>NC_000015.10:96873773-97512200 GCF_000001405.40 Homo sapiens
GGAGCAGAAAGTATATGCGTTAGGTATGAGGAAGAAAATAGATTTTGGAAGTTATGAGAACTGTAGAGAGTGAGTTGAGCATAGTTTGTGATTTTGAGGGCCTCTAAAAGTATTAAATCAGCGGCAGCTGCTGCATGCAGACGTGAGGGCTAGGCTAAAACAGTAAGGTCAAGTTGTTTGGACAGAAAGGCTACAGGGTGTGGTCCTGGCTCTTGTGTAAGAATTCTGAACACGCTAACCATGCCTAGGAAGGAAAGGAGTTGTTGTTTTGTAGAAAATGCTTGGGTTTGAGAGATCAGTCGGACACGATTGGCAGGGAGAGCACATGTGTTTTTATGAGAATTATGCCGAGATAGGTAACAGTTGAGGAAGAAATTTGGGCTTGACTGATGTAATGGGGGCTGTCTGTGAAGCTTTGCGGCAGTACAGCCTAGGTAATTTGCTGAACTTGATGGGTGTCAGGGTCAGTCCAAGTGAAAGCAAAGAGAGGCTGGGATTAAGGGTGCAAAGGAATAGTAAAGAAAGCATATTTGAGATCCAGAACAGAATAATGGGTAGTAGAGGGAGGTACTGAGGATAGGAGAGTTTATGGGTTTGACACCACTGGGTGGATAGGCAAAACAATTTGGTTGATAAGGCGCAGATCCTGAACTAACTTGTAAGGCTTGTCTGGTTTTAGGACAGGTAAAATGGGGGAATTGTAAGGAGAATTTATAGGCTTTAAAAGGCCATGCTGTAGCAGGCGAGTTATAACAGGCTTTAATCTTTTTAAAGTGTGCTGCGGGATGGTATATTGGCATTGAGTGGGGTAAGGGTGCTTAGGTTTTAATGAGATGGTAAGGGGTGCATGATCGGTCACCAAGGAGGGAGTAGAGGTATCTTATACTTGTGGGTTAAGGTCGGGGGATACAAGAGGAGGACGCAAAGGAGGCTTTGGATTGGGAAGAAGGGTGGCAATGAGATATAGCCGTAGTCCAGGAATAGTCAGGGAAGCAGATAATTTAGTTAAAGTGTCTCAGCCTAATAAGGGAGCTGGGCAGGTGGGGATAACTAAAAAGGAGTGCTTAAAAGAGTATTGTCTAAGTTGGCACCAGAGTTGGGGAGTTTTAAGAGGTTTAGAAGCCTGGCCGTCAATACCCACAACAGTTATGGAGGCAAGGGAAACAGGCCCTTGAAAAGAAGGTAATGTGGAGTGGGGAGCCTCCGTATTGATTAAGAAGGGGACGGGTTTACCTTCCACTGTGAGAGTTACCCGAAGCTCGGCGTCCGTGATGGTCTAGGGGGCTTCCGAGGCGATCGGGCAGCGTCAGTCTTCAGCAGCTAAGCCGAGAAGATCTGGGAAGGAGTCAGTCAGAGAGCCTTGGGCCAGAGTTCCAGGGGCTCTGGGAGTGGCTGCCAGGTGAGTTGAACAGTCCGATTTTCAGTGGGGTCCCACACAGATGGGACGTGGCTTAGGAGGAATCCCAGGCTGCGGGCATTCCTTGGCCCAGTGGCCAGATTTCCGGCATGTGTAGCAAGCTCCTTGGGGAGGAACTTGCTGGCTGCTGGAGGAACGCCTGGCTGCTACAGTTCAGGCGTTTGGAAGTTCTTGTGTGCTGGAGATGTGGCTGGGGTTTGTCTCACAGTGGAGGCAAGGAATTGCAACTTTTTTCTGTTATTGCACACCTTGAAGGTGAGGTTAATTAAGTCCTGTTGTGGGGTTTGAGGGCCAGATTCCAGTTTTTGGAGTTTTATTTAATGTCGGGAGCAGATTGGGTAATAAAATGTGTATTGAGAATAAGACGGCCTTTTGACCTTTTAGGGTCTAGGGCTGTAAAGTGTCTCAGGGTTGCTGCCGAACGAGCCATGAACTGGGCTGGATTTTTATATTTGATGAAAAAGAGCCTAAACGCTATCTGATTTGGGATAAAGAAAAAGGAGCATTAACCTTGACTCTGCCTTTAGCTCCAGCCACCTTTTTAAGAATAAATTGCTGGCAGGTGGGGGAGGGCTAGTCACGGAATGAAACTGTAAGCCAGACCCGGTGTGAGGAGGGGAGGCGATAAAAAGATTATAGGGTGGAGGAGCGGAGGCTGTGGAAGAATTGGGACCTAGCTAGGCCTGTCGAGGAGGGGAGAGGTCAGATGGGTCTGTAGAAAAGGAAGATTAGAAAGACTCAGTGACGCTTGAGGTTGGTACTGAGGGGACAGGCGGGAGGGAAAGAAGGAAGATTTGGGACGAGTTGCACTGGGCACAGAGACTAGGAAGGGACTGATGTGTAAAAGAATGCCTGGACGTCAGGCACCTCAGACCATTTGCCCATTTTACAAGAATTATTTAGATCTTGTAGGATGGAAAAATTGAAAGTGCCGTTTTCTGGCTATTTGGAACCACTGTTGAGTTTGTATTGGGGTCAAGCGGCATTGCAGAAGAAATAAGACGCTTAGATTTTAGGTCAGGTGAGAATTGAAGAGGTTTTAAGTTCTTAAGAATACAGGCTAAGGGAGAAGAAAGAGGAATGGAAGGTGGAAGCTTGCCCATAGTGAAGGAGGCAAGCCCAGAGAAAAGAGTAGAGACACGGAGAAGGGGTGGGGGTTTCTTCCCCTCCAGAAAAGCAGAGAAAGGGTTGGGACACGGAAATAAGGGATTGGGGCACAGAGATAAGAGGTCAGGGTGTGGAAATAAGGGATTGGGGTGCAGAGATAAGAGGTTGGGGTGCGGAAATAAGTGATTGGGGCGCAGAGATAAGAGGTTGGGGTGCAGAAATAAGTGATTGGGGTGCAGAGATAAGAGGTTGGGGTGCGGAAATAAGCAATTGGGGCACAGAGATAAGAGGTTGGGGTGCGGAAATAAGCGATTGGGGGTTCTTGCCCCCTAGGAAAGCGGGACTTGCCGCTAAGGGTGAAGGAGAAGGGGTTGAGGGGTACTTGCCCCTGCCCCAGGAAAGCGGGACTTGCCGCTAAGGGTGAAGGAGAAGGGGTTGAGGGGTACTTGCCCCTGCCCCAGGAAAGCGGGACTTGCCGCTAAGGGTGAAAGACCAAGGCAGGCGTTCCTGCATGGTCTGACACCCTTGAAACGTGAGTGTATCATCAGAGAGGCGTCCCTGCAATGATTAAACACCAAGGGAAGGCTGCCTTCCCAGTCCGTGACCGGCGCCGGAGTTTTGGGTTCACGGATAAAACATGTCTCTTTTGTCTCTACCAGAAAATGAAAGGAATTGAAATTAAGAGAAGGGAGAGATTGAAGAGTGGAAAGGAGAAAGTGGTTGAGGGACAGTGAGAGAGGTTGGAGAAGAGAGTAAGAAGAGGCCGCTTACCTGATTTAAAATTGGTGAGATGTTCCTTGGGCTGGTCGGTCTGAGGACCTGAGGTCATAGGTGGATCTTTCTCACGGAGCAAAGAACAGGAGTACAGGGGCTTGATCTCCCAAGGGAGGTCCCCCGATCCGAGTCACGGCACCAAATTTCATGTGCGTCCATGTGAAGAGACCACCAAACAGGCTTTGTGTGAGCAACATGGCTGTTTATTTCACCTGGGTGCAGGCGGGCTGAGTCCGAAAAGAGAGTCAGCGAAGGGAGATAAGGGTGGGGCCGTTTTATAGGATTTGGGTAGGTAAAGGAAAATTACAGTCAAAGGGGGTTTGTTCTCTGGCAGGTAGGAGTGGGGGTCGCAAGGTGCTCAGTGGGGGAGCTTTTTGAGCCAGGATGAGCCAGGAAAAGGACTTTCACAAGGTAATGTCATCAGTTAAGGCAAGGACCGGCCATTTACAGTTCTTTTGGCGTGGAATGTCATCAGTTAAGGTGGGGCAGGGCATATTCACTTCTTTTGTGATTCTTTAGTTACTTCAGGCCATCTGGGCGCATACGTGCAGGTCACAGGGGATGCGATGGCTTGGCTTGGGCTCAGAGGCCTGATATCCATAGCTTCCAGTTTTCAGGTTCACCTGTGTTTCTCTGCTTTGAAAGTATTGCCATTTTCTCTGGTACTTTTGAACTGAGGCCACTTGTAGAATTCAGTGTTTTCCTTCCTGTAAATAGCACATTGGCGTAAGAGAGGAGGAAGAGGAAATGTATCTTTATTCTAATGAAATGGGTAAAAGCTGGCTTTTACTTTTAGCCAAAACACTCAACTGTGGCCACGTGAGGATTGCCTTCCTCATCTGTGTAAACGTCCTGTGCTACTGAGTGAACCAGCCCTGGACATCATGATGATTTTTCTTTATTGGTCCCTACCTCTTTGTGGGGATCACCCTGCGATACCCACCGGCTGCTGTTTTGTCAGACTATTTGGGACAAACTTTGCCTTCGTGGACTTCTGGGGCTACGTCACCAGGCTTTCTATCCTGCCTGTCATGATAAGCCTTTAATTATGCCAGTCCTGCCCTGCAGTGTATAGTAACTGTGGCATTGTTATGTAGCTTTGATTTGTTTACAAAATGCTGTTTGATGTTTTAAAGTGTACTCCCCACTTCCTTTGAGAGTGATTGTCTTATCACACCACCATAAGTGAGCACTTGGAATGAATTCCCCTTCCCCTTGGGAATGTCACCTTATCAGACACTCCCATGTGTGTGAGCTACTGACCTCAACTAGTGGATTTCAAAATACATACATATTTAAGAGTTTGACAGGCCCTTTGAGAGATCAGTTCATGGCAGGGCTACTACACTCTGTGGGCCAGTCACTTCTCAGAACACCAGAACTCAGGCTGTGGCAGACCTAGGGGCCCTGAAGCCTCGCCTACCACCACCGGCACTGATCTCTGGCATGAAGACTTTAGGGGTCCTAGCTGTGGTGGTCAAGCCAGCTTCTCCTGAGAACCACTGCTGTAAAGGTACACCTCAATCTTTAATTAGAATTCACTTTCCACAGAGGCCTGTGGCCTTCCTAATTGAGCAACTAGACCTTAATAATTTTGGAACTCCCTCACTATGTCGTTGGTGTTCCTCATTTACTGAGTGTATTCCTTGTAGGATTTCTTCGTGTTATTCTCCTTCTCATTAAGCACTGTGAACCTAGAAGAAAAATCCCTTTGTTTGGCAATAAGCTGCACGATTCATGAAGTTTTCATCATCTCTTTATTTCCACCGTATGCAACAAGCAAGCTTCAGGCTTGCAGTGATTCAGAACCTAGAGCAGTGAAAGATGCATTGTGAGATGGGGGATGCATTCTTGTAAGCTTGTCCGTCTCCAGAAATCTTTAAACAGTGAGGCCATCTCAGAGCTTCTCTACCTCATATTCCAAGAAAGGTCCCTCCACTATTATATTTTACCGAGGGTCAATATGAGATCTATTCTCCAGTAAGCATTTGACCTATGAGAGGTCAGAATGATTTTTCACCTAAGCTGTTTCTTTGCTTCTCTTTCTCTCTTCCCCTTGGCTTCTTCATGTTTGCTTGCTTGGGTCCCTTCTTTTTTCTTTCTCTCATTGATCGTGCTGCTCTGCAGTAAAGTCTCAAATGGAGTATTCTGTTAGCCATTCAGCAGGTCAACGTATGTTGTAGGATGTATGATGCATTTTTCATTAGACCTTGTGAAAATTTAAATGCCAATATGAATTTTTTTGTTCATTGAAGTAGTGAATGAGAGGAAAGAAACATACTGCTCATTTTCCCTCCTCACCAAAAGCCCATGAAATAGGAGAGTGTGGATAATGAATACTGGAATAGAAAGCTAGTAGATGCAGTTTTGTCGAAAGTTCCATCTTAGCAGAGAACATTTCAGGAGGTCCCTACCTATACAGCAAAGGTCAGCAAACTATGCCTAGCAGATTAAATTTTCCTGCCTTCTACCTGTTTTTGTAAATAAAATGCTGTAGGAATGCAGCCAGACCTATAAGTTTATGCATTGTCTATGACTGCATTCACCGAAAACTGAGTAGTTGCAACAGAGACCACATGGCCTGAAACTTCTAAAATATGCACTACCTGGCTTTTTAACAGAAAATTTTTGCCAACCCTTAGAATGTAGAAAAAGAACGATCGAAGCCTCCTACAATACTTTTTTTTTGCACTGGAGTAAATGAAATATTTGGAAACGACTAAATTAGATATACTCTTGTTGGGAGTCTGGTCTTTACGTGCGTGGAGTAAAACACCAAGATAAACCATACAAGTGTATGTATGTATGTTTAATTTTATTTAAGGACCATTTGCATGATCCATATTTCTTGGTAAATTGTGATCCTGAAACACAAGGACACCATACTATCTGTAACCTGACTGTGATCACGTCTGTCAAACACTTGCCACTCATGTATTTGTCAAATAGACATCCTTTGAATGAGTGTTCTCTGTGAAGAAAATCATTTAATAAACCTCCAATTCTTTAGGTCCAGCTCATTGGAAATGGAGATCACGAAGCAGTGTGATATGTACTTGGTAGTATTTTCAATGTGGACCCATTAAATCCCTCCACTTCTGGACACTGAACAGGGATTTTGATTTCTTAGTGAACAACTGCCTGCTTTTCAATGTGTTTGTTGCATCTTTTTGTCTTCTCTTTATTTTACTAACTCCAACTTTCTGGCATTTTTAAAAAGAAGTTAACAATTTTTCTTAAGGAATAGTTTTTGTATAATTGCTTTAGCAACCAAAGCACCTTTCATTATTTTAGAAACAATCCATTTCCCATGATAAAGCTCTGCTTCCTCTTAGTCAACATATTCAATATAGCAGCTGCTTTCCCTGCTATCCCCTGGCACAGGCGTGCCAACCTTCTTTGCCACTTACCTGGCAACATTTGTTGACACAAATAGTGGCAGATTTAACCAAAGTCTTGCCAATACTTGCCTGGTGCCAGATTTGTAATCATGCATTATTTGGGGGGGCTACTCCAGCTGTTTCCAAAGGGAGAGAATAAAGGAGTTTTCTTTCTTTCTGAAAAAACAACTCTCCATTGGCAGAAAGAAGATGGCTGAGTGAACTCCCACTTGCTGAATGGCATCCACACCTCTGGGAAATTTTAAACCAAGGAAGCTTAAATCGGCCAAAATTCTTTGAACCTATGTCTGCAGTCCAAGAACATTTACTTAAACATGTCTAGATTACACATGCTTTCACACAATATAGGGTTTGATGGATACATGGAATTTTAGTTAATGGAAAGAAGTGGTCCTAATATTTTTGAGTGTTCATTTTGAGCCCACTCTCCATATGTGTCATCTTATTTAATACTCATCCATATGTGTTATTTATTTACTGCTCATGATTGCCCTGGTAGGAAACCACCCTATAGGGAGTTTACAGATGAGGAAACTGAGGCATACAGAGGCCAATCATGTTTATAGAGGTAGAAGGAGGCTGACTCTCCTCATTAGGATCCCCAAGAAATTGCGAGTGGGAGTAAACTGGGTGCAAGTGTGCAACTCCAACAAGCTTCTATCTCCACATAAGCAACATTTTAGATGAGATACTCTCTCCCAAAGAAATTGCAAGTGTTAGCAACCTGGGTGCAAGTGTACAGCAAAATTCTCTGGTTTGCTCATTTGGTGATATGTAGACTTACATATCACCATGTAAGCCCAGACTTACATATCACCATGTAAGCCTACATATCACCAAATGAGCAAACCAGAGTGTGAAGCCTAGGAATGATTTCAGGACCATCCTTCCCACTTTTGTTGACATTCAGAGAGATCTTTGACCACATGGTTAAGCCTTCATCTCACATCTCTCTCTCCTACTCCATCTCATTGTCCATACCTTAAATTGAATCTCATCAACCTCATCCCTGGATCACTGACTGCCATCACCTTCTATGGGCCTCCTTGCTCCAGCCTGGGCATCTGGAAATTCATTGCCTGCACTGGAATAGGAATGATGTGTCTAAAGATATTCTGATTATATTCTATCCTGTTGAAAGTTATTTGATGGCTCCCATTGACCAAGGTCTTCTTAACCCAACACACAAGGTCCTTTACAATCTGGATCCACTTCCCTGGGCTAGTTGTTTTCTTGTCTGTCTCCTGTGCTAGACAGCAAGACAGCAAATGCTGTAGCCAGGCATTCTCAGCACCTGGACTGGTGCCTGACACCTAGATGATGCCCAATAAATAGTTGCTGAATACATAAGTATGTTCTTAGTCAAAAGATTCTATCAAAATTGATTACAACTTCATATTTAAGGTTTATAATGCAAAATAAACTTTGAGCTAATTTTGGTGTTAGAATCCAAATGGAATATTTTCAGAGCCTATTATTTTCCAAAATTGTTTGCAAGTTAGCAATTAAGCTACTAATACAAATATTCATATCATTGCTCATACTCCACTGAGCTCTTCTCAAACACTAAGGGAAAGTTAATTTCAAGGCACATGGCTGATACTGAAGTGAATAAATTATATCTTTTTTATTATCTAAATAAAAGCCAATGGGTTTTTTGTTTGTTTTTGTTTGTTGTTGTTGTTTGCCGAAAGAGTTACACATTATCCCTGCTTTGCACAAACAAAGTTAAGGTTGTTTATTCAGAGGCAAGATTTGGCAGTGAGGGGAGAAAATGGCTTTGGCTAACTCAGTTTAACTGACTTAAACTTGAGCACTGGCAGCTCCCACCCCTATAGAAAAACTCCCAAAGCTGTTCTTAACTGGCCCCACAAATCTAGTAGGAAAAGGATTTGCTGATGAAAAACATCTGCCTTAGGGTATAGTGAAGATTCCACAGAAAGTTACACTTTCCACGCTGCGACCTTATATGAATTTTCTCTACTAATCTTTATCTGGGGGAAAACCCTTGAAATCCTCCCTCCCAGTTTCATCATCAGCTTTTTACATACCTTCTCTCCTTGGCAGAAGCAAATACACTGTCTTGTTGGAAAGAACAGAAAAGCTATTGAAGACCATTCATTTAACCCCCACGCTGTCATTGCCCTATGACCTGAAAAGCTGAGTCACTTTAGAAGCAAATATAGAAAATGCCATAAAAAAGGATCTATACTCATTGTAAGACTACAGAAACACATGCCAAGGTTTATTTGAATAAATATAGATGTAGCATGTTTGATAATTTTGAATTTTTTGATTCATATAGAAGAGAGATGTTTGAATGAGTCAAACTCAGTTCCCATATTCTTCCAGCCATATAACCAGTCTAACAGAAGACCACACCTATTGACATTAAAGATCAATAAAGTTACCAAAATAAACCCATCCAATGCCAGAAAGAAAGAAAGAAATACAGACAAATATAGATAGGGAGATAGATTATTTGAATATCAGATTAAAATTTAGAATCCACAATTTCTAAGATGGAGAATTTAGGTTTCACAAGAAATTAAGACTGAAAAACTATTAATGAAGAAAGATGAATTATGCAGTTAAGGTGGCCCACGCTATGTACACCTATTGAAGAAGCCTCATGTTCTTACTACATCTTGCAAAAAGGAGCGCTTCACTCTGGTGATCATATTCTACACCCCCGCTCCCTTGGTAGGGAAGAAATCTAATTTGACTGTGTGCTTAGGCATGTGGTGTTTATGGGAAAAGTTGTGTGTGTGGCTGTGCACTTAACTACTCAGGAGGGATCTGCAGTATGATTGAAATTTCAGAAGGCTTTCCTACTTCTGAATTCCAAGAAACCAAAACAGTCAACTGGATGAATCTACTTACAAGCCCAGAAAAGCAATGAGGCATTTTCATATCACAAAAGTAGGGTAAATTTTCCATTGTTGCCATGAATTATTTAAGAGATGCTTGCCATACCCTGAGAAGATGATCTAGTTCCTCTCCTAAATAGGCAGTTGCCCTTTAAAGGGAAAAAAAATGAAGCAAATTTGATTAGAAATAAATGAAAACCAATCAATAAGTTTTCAGTCTGACAACTTGCCCGCTCTCCCTGCCTTCAAAGTCAGGGATAGTGAGATAGTATCTAAGTTATCCTGTACAGATATTGTACTGCACCTAATAAACACCATGAAAGCTGAATTTTCTTTTTATTTATTTATTTTTTATTATACTTATGTTTTAGGGTACATGTGCACAACGAGCAGGTTTGTTACATATGTATACATGTACCATGTTGGTGGGCTGCACCCATTAACTAGTCATTTAACATTAAGTATATCTCCTAATGCTATCCCTTCCCTCTCCCCCCGACCCACAACAGGCCCCAGTGTGTGATGTTCCCCTTCCCACCTATGAGTGAGAACATGCGGTGTTTGGTTTTTTGTCCTTGCAATAGTTTGCTGAGAATGATGGTTTCCAGCTTCATCCATGTTCCTACAAAAGACATGATCTCATCATCTTTTATGGCTGCATAGTATTCTATGATCATTCCTTCTGAAACTATTCCAATCAATAGAAAAAGAGGGAATCCTTGCTAACTCATTTTATGAGGCCAGCATCATGCTGATACCAAAGCCTGGCAGAGACACAACAAAAAAAGAGAATTTTAGACCAATATCCCTGATGAACATCGATGCAAAAATCCTCAATAAACTACTGGCAAACCGAATCCAGCAGCACATCAAAAAGCTTATCCACTATGATCAAGTGGACATCATCCCTGGGATGCAAGGCTGGTTCAACATACACAAATCAATAAATGTAATCCAGCATATAAACAGAACCAAAACCACATGATTATCTCAATAGATGCAGAAAAGGCCTTTGACAAAATTCAACAACCCTTCATGCTAAAAACTCTCAATAAATTAGGTATTGATGGGACGTATCTCAAAATAATAAGAGCTATCTGTGACAAACCCACAGCCAATATCACACTGAATGGGAAAGTTGAATTTTCTAACTCAATCTCGATTATCTACATATACGAGATGTATAAAAATACAAATTTTCATAACCATTTTTTAATCATTTACTATTTACAAAGTCCTGGTTTCTGTTGAATTTTAGAAATGTAAGATTTCTATTTGCTAGTGAGTTGGAGTCCAAAATAATTGCAGAGACAAATCCTTTGAAGTTCAGTTCTATAATAATCTTTGGCCTCAACGTCGTCCTGTTGCACTGAGATGGAATTGACAGGACAAAAGGAAGAAGGAAGAAAGACTGTAGCCCTGTGCAGTTATGACTTCAATTCCTCGTTTCGCTAGTTGGCATGGTGAGTGAGAATTTCTTCCACGCCTTGCTATCCCTGGGGTAGAATATAGGCATGCAAAAGCTGGGATACCATTGATGAGAGCTGTTTCATAAGTTTGGCACCCACTAGCACCTTTTTCCCAGTCCAGGGACTTGGATAATTATCTTGGTTCATGGTGGGTGGTATCTCACTAACACATTGTTCTCTTGAGAGTACCATTGTTTCAGGTTTTGCAGCTAATGGTCTGGAATTTTTGGACTAATTGATTTAAATTTGTAACAGCTTCTTTGTTTGGTGTAGAAATGATTGGTCTTAGCACTGTAGGGCTATTGTAGCCTTGCAACTTTACATGTTTAGAATAATTGGATTAGATTTGTAATATTCTTTTATTTTATGTGGAAACCATTGTTCTGACCACCGAAGGATCGTTGTAGCATTGCAGCCTCTTTCATGGAAACCAAACTCTTTGCTTTGCAGAGCTTCCCAAAAGTTAGTAAGCTTCACGAAGACAGGAAACAAGTCTGTTTCCTAGCTTTGCTTCATCCTCTGAGGTCTAGCCAGTATTTTCCATACGATTCCATGAGAGTTTGTTGAACTGAATCCTATATATATGTCCTTGAGTCTGATGCATAAACATGGGTAACTGTTTGCAATCATGGAAAAAAAGTAGAAATGAGAGTCTGCCAATCATTTCTGTAGCTCTGTCTTTGCTGCTTATTAGGGATGTGATCTTCAACAAATCACTGAAGCCATCTAAGTTTCACCGTTTGCACTTGTACAATGGGAGTAGTAGAAGATATTGATCTTAACAAGTTATAACAATCAAGGGTGAAAATATGTATGAGAAAGTGTGTACTTTATAAACATCCTGTACTACAGAAATCCGAAGTATAATTCTTATTAAATCTCACTTTGCTACCTGATTTTCTGATTAGTAACACTGTGGGGTCTGAGTTTCTGAGTCAGCAGCTCCCCTGACACTCATGCCGCATTAGGACTCATTTTTCTCACCTGTGTTTGACCTCCTTATCTCTAGGTTTCTAACGTAAAGACATGGTTTCTTGATTTGTATAAATGAAAGATCATGAATTTTACATTGGATTATATATTTAAATGTTATTAAAGATTTCTTATACTAAAAGCATAATAATTAGATGCATAGAAAGTAAACAAAGAGACTGAACATATAACTTAAATTCTAGGTGTTTTTGTTCTATTCCAGTGAGTGCCCTAATTTCTGTACTCATTGTGCACAGATTATTACCTAAGGGCCTAAAATTTGATAGGATCCGAATAATATGTGATTAGAGGGATATTGTAGCACTATGGCAGTGGGGATCAACTTGCCTAAAATGTTTCAGAGGGAGATAGTCTATATAATTGTTTCTATGTCAAGATGGGAAAAACCTACCAATGCTTCCTCACCCACATCAAGTGACCCTTTCTCCAATGGTCACTTAACCCTCTCTCCAATAAGACATTGAAGTGACCACTCCCCATTTGTATTCACAGCTTTATGTCCCACAGAAAGTTCGCTCATACCTCATTTAATGATTCACTGCACCGCTTGGTTTCTGCGCCTACTTCCCTTTCTCTAACTCACCCTCTAGAACAAGATTGTGTCACATGACGATGCTCAACAAGGTTCAATGGTTAAATGAAGGAAGAAAACAAGAGGACTTTGGCATAAGATGCACAGCGAAGAAGAAATATATATGCTGGGCTTGCTGAAGAAGCTGTAAAAGCGAAAACAGAGCCCCAAAGGCAAGTTCGGAAGATGCTATAGAACAAGCTGTATATTGTGTGACCTCACGGCAGCTTGATTGAGGGCTTGTGGTGGTAGGCAGATAAAAATGGCTAAGATGGCCAAGTCAATACCAAGGTGGCTTCTGTAGGCACCTGGAAATTTTGAAAGGAGAAAGTTGGTAGGACAAGATGATTTATACTATTTAATGTATGTTCTTATCCTAGGTGATGACAACAGGTGCAAGTGTGACATGGAGCAACATGAATTCAACCAGGGCAACAGAGGTGGCTTTGGAAATTGTTTGGCATTACAAAAAGCAGTAGGGCTGTGAAATGAGACAGATCTTGTTTGAGTCCTGATCCACTGTAGCTGTGTGGCTTAGGACAAGATACTTAAACCTCTTCAGTCTTATTTTTCTTATTTTAAAATTTGGTTGACAATATTGGTAACTACTGCAGAGTGTTGTGGACTTTAAGCAAAACAAGAAGTTTAAAGCATTTAGTACCAATACCTGGTCGTAGTAGAGACTTACACATTAAAAAATGATTAATTTTTGTGCACCTGAAACATAGAAAACTCTGTAAGAACAGGAATGAAGTAGTTATACCTTGAGCCGTTGGGTGCTTGCGTGGGAAACCGCAACCATAAAAAGTTGCCTGCTTTTGGGCGGGCGTGGTGGCTGACGCCTGTAATCCCAGCACTTTGGGAGGCAGAGGCGGGCGGATCACGAGGTCAGGAGATCAAGACCATCTTGGCTAACACAGTGAAACCCCGTCTCTACTAAAAATACAAAAAATTAGCTGGGCGACGTGGCGGGCGCCTGTAGTCCCAGCTACTCGGGAGGCTGAGGCAGGAGAATGGCGTGAACCCGGGAGGCGGAGCTTGCAGTGAGCCGAGATCGCGCCACCGCAGTCAGGTCTGGGCGAAACAGCGAGACTCCGCCAAAAAAAAAAAAAAAAAAAGTTGCCTGCTTTTCTTTCTCTTTTTGTTCAAAACATTTATTGAATATTGCAAGGCATTGGACAAGTTTGTGTGCGATATACAAGTATGTCTTTAAGACAACATCCATGTGTTTTGGAGTCTTGTAATTGAGTGAAGGAAGAGAAAATTTGTATATAAAACAATGAAATTTTTAAAAAATCATATAGTAAACTGCGAAATAGAAAGAAGGAACTGGTGTGGGAGATCAGAGAGCTGGATGTAAGCCCTGGGCTCTTGTTGGTTCTGTGGCCTTGGATTGGTCTTATATACTTTCTAACCTTTGGTTTCCTCATCTGGAAAGTGAACATTGGTTTCCAAGATCTCAAGTTTTCTACTGGGCCTGAAGATTCTAAGTCCAGTAGCATTATTACTGCCATTCAGACTGATGCCATTCAGTCAGACTGCTATTCAGACTGAGTCATCAGGGACTCAAGAAATGATTTATGGAGAGGAAGTACATTCAGGCCTGTTCTTGAGATTTCTCTAGGCAGAGAAGGGAGAGTGGTTTTAGAGGATATCAGAGCAAAAGCTCAGAAATAGAAAACGACAGAATGTATTTGTAGTTATCCATACAACTCACATCAGAAGATGGATGTAGTCAAGTGAAACTGTTTTAAATTGAACTAAATTTTATTGAAAATCTCTCCTGTAACAAGCACTAGCCTGGGACTTCTCCTTATATTACCTAACTTAATCCACCACCAATATGGTGTGATAGGCATCAATACCCCTTTTTTGGAGATGAGGCAGGGATCTACATGCCACTGACCACCGAACCTCACAGATAATCCCAAAGGGCGAAATAAATTCTCTCGAGCAAACAACACACCTGGGTCCACATCTGGCCCATAGACCACCAGTTGTCAATGTTTGGTATGTGGAAACTAAAGTTCAGAGAGACTAGATGACTTAAATGGTACAGAGTGTTCGTATAATAAATTATGTTGAAATTTAAGTTTCCTGAATCCATGTCTGGTGCCTCTTCCACTATATGATCTTCTTATTAGAAAAACTGGAAGAGAAATCTGGGGAGATAGGTAGGCTCAGATCGTGAACAGCCTTGAAAATCAGCCCGAGATTTGGATTGTATTCAGTGACCAACCACAGGCTTTGAGTAGGATTTTGCTAGAATCAAAGTGGTTCCATGGGGTAGTTAATACAAAGATGAAAGAATATGGTTAAAAGGGTAAATTTAAGAATGGGATTCTAAGGATAGAAGTGGCAGAGTAGATTCAGAATGACAACGAAAAAAGATGAAATGTGAAAAAGGACATGACTGGATATTGATAAAACCAAGGAGGGGAATTAATCAAATGAGAAGTTCCAGGCCTAGTTAGCTCTTTCTTAGGCCACCCTCCCTGTTTTATGTGAAGAAACTGACATGTACAGAGAGTAGTTGAAACCATGTGAGTGATTCAAGGAAAAACATTAAAATCCTCTGATGAAATCCTTTGTTTATGAGCACAATTTACCAGAACACGAACTGCCTTTGGGGCTTTCCTTTGCTTGTCTCCATAACTAAAGTAGAGTCCCACTGCTGATTCAGAAACATATCTGCCATTAAGATGGGGTAGGGTTCTAAGTTTTTACCAAGAAAATTAACCAACCCAATTGTGGTGAAAATTTTGGTTTGATAAGTGAGCATAACTTTATGTGAAGGACTTAGCTAGGTTAGGTGGAAGGATAAACTGTGTGTGTGTGTGTGTGTGTGTGTGTGTGTGGATTTCATCAGTTTTTCTGTTTTAATGGTTTCTTTTTTGCCATTGTTTATCTGCCAGTACCCTGATTATGCAGTTGCCCTTTATAACCAAAAATGGATACTTTTTTTTCTTCCTGCGGTAGAACTTCAACAAATGCTGCTTTGAATCTGAAACTGGCAGAACTGATGGAAAGACAAGTACCAAATGCTCAAGTATATCTGACATGATGCATTTGAAGCATTTTGTATCTTAGTAATGAAAGAAAAAATTGTAAACTTGAGTAAATTATATTTAATTACAAAAAGTCTATAGAATATAGAGGTAAATTGAGAGTATAAAGTAGCCAACTGTTTCTGTTGACTTTAAATAGTGTCAATTCAAACACTATGTCGGGCAAATGTTGAAAAAACTGAAATGATCAGTGTAGATTTTAGTTCAATTTGAAAAATATTTATTTAACTGCCAATCT
Organism: Homo sapiens; assembly: GCF_000001405.40. Lineage (NCBI taxonomy): Eukaryota > Metazoa > Chordata > Mammalia > Primates > Hominidae > Homo > Homo sapiens. The sequence continues at coordinate 96,889,682 of NC_000015.10, forward strand.
TATTAAAAGAAGAAACCTTTTAAAGTATATTGGAAATAAGTTGACTGCTCTCTTACCTAAAGGGATCTTAATTATAAATGACTCATACATAAAAAAATTAAAATGTAGCAAAGCAATACTGAAGGTAATATAATATAAATATTATATAAAATTCAAATATATCTAGTATATTGCATTCTTCAAAAATAATCTGGGCTGGAATTACTTTTTATGTGGCACAGACCTCTCCTGTTCCCGGCAATTCCAGAAAGTTCAGAAGTCACGTGGGAAAATATTGTAACATGGGAAATTATACTTAATATTAAATATGCAATGAATCAACATACAATGGTTTGTCTAAATGTTGACAGAAATCATGTGAACCATATTTTTTATTATGTAGCTACCCTAAGATGGAAAATTGTTTGGTGTTCGTTTCCAAAAGGAATCCTTCGTCAGAATGTTTGTGGGCTTTATTTTTTTTTTCTTCTCTCTCATTCTCTTTCACTTTCTCTTTCTCTTTTAAGGTAATATACTTTGCTCTCTGTGAAGCCCTTTGACTTGAAGAAATAGTGATCTAAGATAATGTCCTGCCATCCAGAAGAATTGTAGGCACGGGAGAGATTGAAATTGGTGTGTAATGTTATTGCTTCCTTCATTTCATAACTGTAAAGCAATGTGCTAATCAAAGAGCCAGTCTGTGTGCACATGCGAGCTCTCTGTCTGGGAGGCAGACCTGATGCAGACCAGAACCCCTGCTTTCCAGGTGGGCTACAGTCTATGAGGCTCCTTCTGTGTTCTGTATTTTGACTTGCTTAGACTTTCAGATAAAACTTAAAGTTACAGCAATATCTTTTTTTTTTTTTTTGCCAGAGTTAAGTCAGATAAACTTGAATATTCAAGTTAATGTTTATTTACTGACTTACTTCAATATAGAATATTTCTTTTTTTCTTTAAAAAGAGTGCTAAGAATATTTCCGAGCTTTGCAGGATGCATCTCATTTGGGTCTCTTTTTTCTTACTGGGGCAAAGTAAATATACAAAATGAACCCCACACCATTTATATCAGAGTAAGAAACACAAACTTTAGATGTGATTTTAATATGATGCATGTGGGGAAAGGATTCCACAGCAACTGCTTAGTACCATCTTTCATTTATTTTTTTGCCTAGAATCCTGGACAGGGTGGGTCATTTTCTTCACGCATTGCTCCTGTTCACATTTTTTTTTCTTTCTTTAAAATTGCGGAGGCTTGGCTGTTGCTATTTGGTGTTGCTTGACCCTTCTGGTCTCGCAATGACTCCCGGGGGTGAAGGAGAGCTTCCTAAAGTTCTGAAGGAGAAAATTTAATCAGCAAAGTAATCATTTCTGCTGTGATGGAAAAAAGGAGGCCGGTATGAATGACAAAACAGCTGTGGACCACCAAAAAAGTCAACTGGAATTGGAAGGAGGGAGACCTAAAAAAAAAAATTGCTTCGAAGGCATAGCATTAAAGGGAAAATGAATCAGAAAAGAGATCTGAAGTGCTAGAATGCACTGCTTAATAACTTTAAATAGTCCATTGAGTCTTCCGGAATTTTTTTTGTTCTTCTTCAAGAATAATCTGCTTACATCGTTAAGACCTCAGCTAAGCTCAGTAACACAAATTACCAGATGTTGTATCCCCTAGTTTTTCCATCAAAAGACCAACCACCAAGCTTGTTGAAAGAGAAAGGTCATTGTCCCTCCCTGGCTATAAAACTATTTTTGCAACTCCTAACAAATGAAATGAGAATACCTTTCAGCTGTAGAAGGAACCTATCTCCCGCTCCTTCGAAGTCCCCCTGTTTGGCTTTGTTATTTTCTAATAACGCACTCATGTGTAAGCTAATAACGTGAACAGAGGGAAAATGAAGAGACTTAAAAAAAAAAAAAAAAAGGAAAAAAGCAGAATGAATTAGGGCAATTGAGGTCGCTCTGTTTCATTTTTGCTGGAAGGATTTTAGCCCTAGTTTTTACCTTATCGCTTATTACACAATTTACGATAAAATGAGATGTGATTCCATTCTTATTGTTGTGCTATAGTCTATTGAACATGCATATATAGAATTCATTTCAGATTTAAACACTATCTTAATTATAAACTGAATAAAATGGACAACCTATCAGGTTTTCTAAATTGCATTCTAACAAATAGTTTCATTTTTTATCACATTTCTACTGTTGACATATTGGGTATAATAATGTTCAGGGAATATTCCCTTTTAATGCAGTGTCTTAATTGTGCCAAAGTATTTCCCATGTGACAACTAATAGTTTATTTCTGACTTACAAGTTTGAGAACTTTAACCGTATGTCATGCCTTGCAATATTTTTCATGATGATCTGCTTAAATAACACTATCAGGAATTTTTTTTTGTTTTAAAATCACCTACAAATGATATATATTTTGCATATTGAAAAGACATCATAAGTATATTACATGTAACTTTCTATTTTCTTTAATAAATAATGTGATTGCTTGTATTTAGGATTCATTTACAGACACTTTTCCAACAAAAGACTTACGTACATTAAGTTGAAAATATTGAAAGAAATATCTCAATTGTGATTAAAAATGAAATACCCAGTTAATGGAATATAGAATGCAATTTTTAAAGAAAAACATATGTGCCAGAACCTGAAAAGTTAAGTCTTATTTTTATATTTACTCACTACAAACTGTGAACGTTGCTTTAAATGAAAAATACGTACCTGATTAAACATATAGTTTTAAAGTAGTCCTAAATATAGTATATTTAAAGTAATCCTTCAAAGTAATTCTGAGTTAATAGCATGGGTCCTAATCCTCAGAATGTAATGCTATGTATTCTTTAAAAACGCTGATTTGTATTCATATGATATTTTAAAATGTAAAAGAATAATCATGCTGAGAAAAATCTGACATTGGAAACTGAAGACAACATATAATTTTGTAATTAAAGGTAAATTTTTCATATGTGCAGCATTTGTTGAAGAATTTCTAACTTAAAAATCACTTAAATTTAATTTTACATGTCAAATACATAACTATTTCACTGACACAGGGGAAAGAATTTAATTAGCACTTTAATGTTAATTGTTTATTAATGTGTTAAGCTTATCAAACTGCCTCATTTAACTTAATAGATATTGCTATACTTTCGTATATTATTCTAATAAAGTATACAATTTGGATTTTTTTCCCTTCTTTTTCAAGTTCCCATGCAACACCTACACGTAAACCTGGCCAACTGGTCTGTTAGAACAGAGCGGGGTGTTTCCTGAAGTTTGAACCTAAACTATTAAATAAAACAGTTATCCTGCAAGACCCAAGAGCTATTACTGCCTACTAATGTCGTCTTGCAGATACTTTTTTTGAACAGTACACAAGAAAGTTGATTCATTTCTCTCTCTCTTTGACTATAAGTAGGGGGTTGTCCAACACACACACACACACACACACACACACACACACACACACACACAATTTTTAGTCATTTTTTTCAATTTAAATGATTTGCTATCACAGTTACTCCATCTTTTATCTCTAAAATAGTTTCAACCCTGTTAATGTGTGCATGTACTTTTTTCTTATCAGCCTCTCAGCAGCATTTGTGATTCATAGCAGCCATCAAAGTGATAATAAACTCATTCACAATACTAACAAACACGGGGCTCCCAGTTATTTACGAGGCAAATTCACTGCAAGGCTGGGCTGTGGAACGGGAGAATCAAGATGGTGTTGATTGATAAATTGACAGGTTAATTTACAAGTGGATAATAGGAGTTAGACCCAGAGGGAAAGAAGGAAGGTCTGAATTCTAGCTTGGTTGCACTGCCATCTGTCTTATGCCCAGAAAGCTGCAGGACTGCTGGCTGGCAGGATCAAATACATACACATTCTTCATAACTTAAAGACAAAGACCTCCATTTACTGCTTTTTGATGGGTTTGTTGCCTTGGTTCTTCACACAATTGACCCTCAATATGTCACAAACAGTGCCACGTCTCAGTGTTTTTTATAAGTGCCACTTAGAACATGACTTAGAATAAGTTATTCTGTCAGTTTCACAAAAACAATGAACAAAATTGCTTTCAAGACTATATTTCACAAATATTAATTGTCATTGGATTGTTGAAGAGTGAATGCATTCTTTCAGATTTCCAAAGCCTCTGAGATGTCCTTGTTCTAGGATGTACATCGCCCCCCACCACCCCCACAAAAAACACACATATACCTTTTCTTTTTCATCCTTGGTATTTAGATGCTATCGGTCTAGCTATTTACAAGATAGGGTAAAGCAAATTGTATGAATCTCATGTTAAACATTTGCATCACTGTTTTTCCTAGAGTTTTATTGTTGTAAATTTGAACATATTTCATAATTTTAAACAATAAGTTTACAAAGTTCTTTTCAAAATGGAGTACTAGTGCATTTGTTTATGTTTCATTTCCAGTGAAATATTTTATTGTACAGGCCAGCCATTTTTATTTTAGTTTTGTAGGAACAGGCCATTAAAAATCTTTTAGGTCTTGTGTAACAGGGACATATTATCATAAGTTCTCAGGAAATTGCCTCGATTGGGCTAGTGCCACTGTGAGTTAGATGGCAAATTTGCAACTACTGTCACTTTGGGAGAAAACCTAGTCTTTGGTCTTTTAAAATTGGTTGGTTAGCAGCAGTGGCTATGCTGGGGGCCTCCAAAATTGCCGGGCTGTGGTTCTTACTTGCCAGCACTTATAATTCTGAAAGTCGCCGGTCTCAACCCAAACCTTTTCTCCCCATATCGCTACATTGTAGGCGAACACCCTTCTCAGATTCCAAATCCATTTAATGCTTAGTTCATGTTAAAACTTGGTAGGTTTGAACAAATACTGAGGAGTTCAACACATTTTCAAAGGAAATTGAAAAAGGCACAAAAGAGCATGTCTGCTCAGCTTCTGCAATTCATTACGAAATGCCAACACTAATACTATTTTTAAACAGATTGCTCCTATTAATCAAGGTATTAAAATAAACTATTAAAATTATGCCTCTAGTTGAGTAACATGAGAAAGCCCATGGAAAATATCTGGTCAAGAATGAATGTCAGAAAAATAAAAACAAATAACTTTGCATGCATGGAATTTTATGGTGTCACAAGGTTAAAAATGTCCCCTTAAAGGGTAAATATCCTTTGAAAAGAAAATGCATTTATGTGTGAATGGGAGGTTGAATGGCCTTTACTGCTTTGTTTAAACATAGACAATCATCTTTGTAATTTTTTTTGGCAAGTTGTATATTTTTCAAAAGAGACTCATAAAAGATCGCATGTTTAAGATTGCTAATTTTTCTTGATGTGGTGACTTTTTTATTAAAAGGGAGTCTTTTCTTCAGTAAAGTGTTTAAGTAGTTTTTAAATTTCACAATCTACAGATTGAAAACCTAAATTCTTTCCTCAGACTGTGAAGCAAGGCATTTTCTTTCTGAGGACTACTTAAACTTTGCATTATATATTTTCTATTTAAAGTCTCAGTGACAACAAGTGTTATGCAAAATAGGAAAATAATTGATAAGACAGCTTATAGAAATGTATGCTTTTATACATATTTATATAGGGAATGTAATAGAAGAAAAATATGCTCAAAATTTAGTTTAATACTTATCTCCTGTCTCTAAATTCCAATTGTAAAACTGTTAGATTCATAGAGGCATAATTTCTAATATATTATACTTTTTAACTTAAAATATGTTAACTTCCTAGAGATTTGTTTTTAGTGAATAATTCTCAAACCTCATGACTCCACTAAGATGTAGCAGAACTCGTTTTCATCAGAAGCATGTTGACATGGAAGAGAATAAAGGCCCAATGCAAGAATGGGCAGTCATTGATAATTTTATTTGTTTAAAATTGTGAATTATTTTTAGTAAGTGGACTTCTCTCCCGTGCACAATTAAGAAGAGGCTTTGTCTTTTTTTCTCCTCAGGTACTAAAATAAATTCTGAAGCCAAGATAACAACAACAACAACAACAAAGATATCAGATCTAATATCCCACCCAATTTCTGAGTTAAGCCAGTGACAGGTATATTTCGAAGCAAGACTATTTAGACACATTGATTTTTGTTGTCACTTTCTTCTTATTTCATATGTCACATCAAGGCTTGGAAATCGGATGAATGTAAGAAGGGTCCGCTGATCACTGTTCCTCAGGAGGAATTTTCAAAGTCAGCTAGCTGTGCTTGATGAAAGTGGTCCTGCATAGAGCTCCACTCTGCCTGCAGGGAAGTTTAGGCAAACTACACTTTACCACTTCACTCCTATTACTAGGATTCTTGGTTGTCAAGGAGGCATCTATTTAACTGAAGTCTGGTAAATCTCAAAAGTAAAGTATTAGGGAGGAAAAAAAGCTTAAATCATCTTTTTTCCTCTTACTTCAAAGTCCTTTTAAATGAACATGCAACTCCAATTCTGGTAAACAAATTTTATGAAGTAAGTCGTGCAGGTAATGCGTTCTTCAATTGTATGCTTCCAGGATAACATGTTGACATCCAATCTTTGTGTTTTGAAGAGTTTGTAATAATAAATAGAAATCAATGCTGGAGAGTGAAGGGTGCATCAATTATATTTCTTTTATCTCAAAGATTCTTTCCATGTTGTATCTATCCTTCCTCGTGAAATTTTTTTCACATTGTAAAGTGTACTGTAGCTTAATTGGCAACATAGATGCTGAGTGCTGATCAAGTCTAAATTATATTTGACAGAAATGAAACTGGCTTTATTTTATGTGAAATATAAAATATTATCATGGTCCTTGAGTTTGAAAAGGGAGATTGTGCGTGTGTGTGTGTATGTGTATCATATTTAAAAGGCAATTTCTGAATAGGTATAAATTTTTTAAAAATAAGTTAGGAAAAATACTGAATAGCTTTTTAGTCCTGAAAAATAAGCGAACAAGATAGTTGAAAAATATTAAGTGCAGTTCGACTTTAAGCTTTGCATAATATATCGTCTATTTAAGAGCTTAGTGACAAAAACTTATGCAAAATAGAAAAATAATTGATAGCCAGTTTTGAGAAATGTATGCTTTTATATCACATTTATATAGGGAGTCTAATAGAAGAAAAATGTGTTCAAAATTCAGTCTAATATTAGTCTCCTATCTCTAAATTCCAGTTGTAAAACTATTGGAGTTACAGGGGCATAATTTAAGTAAGTGATAAAATGTTTCAAACTAATATTATTTAGAAAAAATGTGGCTTATTTCTACCACTTAAAAAAGGGGAAGTCTAAAACGGACTGATAAAGTCTCAAGAGGATGCGGTTTGGGCACTTTGAGGGAGGCACCCTGCTTAGTTCTGAAGCCGACTAGGACTGAGGGCTCCTGGACAGACCCTACAGTTTTAATGGTCATAGTCTCAAGTCTAAAACATTGCAGGGACATTTGGGCAGGAGAGAAGGATCATGGATGCCATTCTAGTGTCACAGAGGGATTTCCTTTTCAGAGCACTTACAGTGCCTTCCCCGCCTGTGGTTGAGCTAGATTTCCTTTAGGAAATTTTATTTGAGCCCACAGGGAGAGAGCACTTGCTAAGTTGTAATTTCCTCTGATTTGAGATACAGCATCTGCAGGCCTCCTGTGTAGGATCACGCAGTAAAAAAACAAAAACAAAAAACCAAACCAACACCCCCCACCCCACCAGGGTTTATCTTTTAAACTTGGCTGAATACCCAGTCATTTGTAACTCAAATTTTCCCTTAACAATGTACTTTCTTTAAAAATACATTCAAGTAATTGTGTGGACATTCTTGGACAGTGGTGTATCAGACTGTGTTAACTGCTTATTCACATGATATTTTTAGCCTAAATAAAAGTTTATCTTAGGCACGTTATTTGAACAATTGAATTAAGTTAATTAAAAGAGTAGAATGTTAATATATTAACATAAATGAGCATTTATGAAAAACTGGGATTGCGATAGTTTACTGAGAATGATGTTTTCCAATTTCATCCATGTCCCTACAAAGGACATGAACTCATCATTTTTTTATGGCTGCATAGTATTCCATGGTGTATATGTGCCACAATTTCTTAATCCAGTCTATCATTGTTGGACATTTGGGTTGGTTCCAAGTCTTTGCTATTGTGAATAATGCCGCAATAAACATATGTGTGCATGTGTCTTTATAGCAGCATGATTTATAGTCCTTTGGGTATATACCCAGTAATGGGATGGCTGGGTCAAATGGTATTTCCAGTTCTAGATCCCTGAGGAATCGCCACACTGACTTCCACAATGGTTGAACTAGTTTACAGTCCCAACAGTGTAAAAGTGTTCCTATTTCTCCACATCCTCTCCAGCACCTGTTGTTTCCTGACTTTTTAATGATGGCCATTCTAACTGGTGTGAGATGGTATCTCATTGTGGTTTTGATTTGCATTTCTCTGATAGCCAGTGATGGTGAGCATTTTTTCATGTGTTTTTTAGCTGCATAAATGTCTTCTTTTGAGAAGTGTCTGTTCATGTCCTTCGCCCACTTTTTGATGGGGTTGTTTGTTTTTTTCTTGTAAATTTGTTTGAGTTCATTGTAGATTCTGGATATTAGCCCTTTGTCAGATGAGTAGGTTGCAAAAATTTTCTCCCATTTTGTAGGTTGCCTGTTCACTCTGATGGTAGTTTCTTTTGCTGTGCAGAAGCTCTTTAGTTTAATGAGATCCCATTTGTCAATTTTGTCTTTTGTTGCCATTGCTTTTGGTGTTTTAGACATGAAGTCCTTGCCCATGCCTATGTCCTGAATGGTAATGCCTAGGTTTTCTTCTAGGGTTTTTATGGTTTTAGGTCTAACGTTTAAGTCTTTAATCCATCTTGAATTGATTTTTGTATAAGGTGTAAGGAAGGGATCCAGTTTCAGCTTTCTACATATGGCTAGCCAGTTTTCCCAGCACCATTTATTAAATAGGGAATCCTTTAAAACCAAACACCGCATATTCTCACTCATAGGTGGGAATTGAACAATGAGATCACATGGACACAGGAAGGGGAATATCACACTCTGGGGACTGTTGTGGGGTGGGGGAGGGGGGAGGGATAGCATTGGGAGATATACCTAATGCTAGATGACGAGTTAGTGGGTGCAGTGCACCAGCATGGCACATGTATACATATGTAACTAACCTGCACAATGTGCACGTGTACCCTAAAACTTAAAGTATAATTAAAAAAAAAAGATGGAAAAAAAAAAAGAAAAACTGGGATTGAAGTCAAAACGCTAAATCAGAGAACAGATTATAAAAGAAGTTATAAAGAATATTCTGGAGGAGAAAACTGTATAATTTCTAAAGTTCTCAACCTGTGTGATCTTGTATTCCAGCCTTTCCAGTTCCACCTTCTCCTCCTTTGAAAAGAAGGAAGCTAAGACCTAGAAAGCTGAAATAAGGTTCTGCATCCCCATGGATAGTTCATACCAAAGCAGTGGCCAGGATCCCGTTCTGTGGATACTCCTACCAGCTTGTTTCCTAGATCAGCACTCTGCAGACAGTTCCTGTGGCGGGACAATGATAGTAGCTACAGAGAGCAAAGAAAGTCAGCTTGCCACTGAGCCTCAGTTTTTACATCCTAAAAATGGAGATGGGCCGGGCGCGGTGGCTCACGCCTGTAATCCCAGCACTTTGGGATGCCAAGGCGGGCGGATCACGAGGTCAGGAGATGGAGACCATCCTGGCTAACACAGTGAAACCGCGTCTCTACTAAAATAATAATAATAATAATACAAAAAAATTAGCCAGGCGTGGTGGCGGGCGCCTGTAATCCCAGCTACTCGGGAGGCTGAGGCAGGAGAATGGTATGAACCCGGGAAGCGGAGCTTGCAGTGAGCAGAGATCGCGCCACTGCACTCCAGCCTGGGCGACAGAGCAAGACTCCATAAAAAAAAAAAAAAAAAAAGAAAAAAAGAGAGAGATTATGGCACTGTCTTCTATTTCTAAGCATTGAAAACAATCTTTTAGAATTTTAACTGAAAGCGGAATTGAAGAGAAAAAACCAAGAGAAGAATAGATATGGCGTTATTTATTATCAATGTAGATTCTTTCACCATCAATAGAGAATACAATGGAAACACAACGCAGGTGTTTGTGTGAATGTATATTTGTGTATGCATATGTATATGTGTGCATGTGTGTAAGCGTATGTGTCGGGGAACGCAGGCTGGCGGCCATGGCAATGACTATCCCAGAACATACCACTGCAGAGTTACGGGGTCATGAAGGCCTATCAGCTCACTTATGAGCACACACACACACACATAAACATGCAGATTATTTTGCATAGATATGCTTCTGACATATAATTATTTTGAATTTCATTAAACAAGACTGGAGTTTGGGGAGTAAAAGCCAGTCTCCTCTGATAAGAACAGTAAAGTCAAAAACCATCCTTGGTGTATTCTCAGGATGTTAGGATCTGCTTAGAGAGTTAAGCAGTATGTGTATGTGTATGTGTATATTTGTGTGTGTGTAAGTGTGTACATGTGTTTATGTATATGCATGTGTATGTGTGTATATATGTGCTTTTACATGGATGTGCATATGTGTGTATATGTGTATATTTGTGTCTGTGTGTGTATGTGTATACATGTATAATGTATTTATGTGTGGATGTGGATCTGTGTATATGTGTGTGTATTTGCGCATTTGTGTTGATGTGTTGATGTGTATGTGAGTGCATATGTATGTGTATATGTGTGTTGTGTTTGTGGATGTTTGCATGTGTGCATGTCTATGCATGTGTATGTGGATACATGCTGCGTGTGTACATGTGTGTATGTGTATATATGTGTACACAGATGTGCATGCATGTGTATGCACACATGTGTGCTATATGTATATATGTGTGTGGACGTGTGTACATGTATGTGTGTACATGTGTAATATGTGGATGTGTGAATATGTGTGCATGTGTAAATGTATTTGTGGATGTGTGTGCGTGTGTATATGTATTTGTGTGTGTGTGTCCATGTGTTAGGGGAGAATTGTGGTTGGGATTGCCACTGGGCATGTGAGAGAGGAGGAGCCAGCAGGAAGAAACACAATGAGAGGAGATGTAGATTAGTTTTACACAACTTTTGAAAATACTTTGTAAATTGACCGCAGGTTGGTCTTCGATAGGGATCATAGTCAAAATCCTGGGAAATCAAGATTAATTTTAGGTCATATGTGGTCCCAAGGCAACTGGAAGACAGAAACTTCTGTGTATGTTTCAGCTGCTTTGGCAGGACTAGGATGGTCCCTTGATTCAAGAAACAAATGAATTTCACTAAAATGTCATCATACTGCAGCGAAAGTTATTCACTAATTTTATTTAATGTGCTTTTCCATTGCTCTGATTGGCGACGGTGATGGTGAGGATGAAGATGAGGATGGTGATGAGGAAGACCATAGTGTTTATGCAGTGCTTGCTATGTTCTATTACTGTGGCTATTTCATAAATGAGGACATAGAAACTGGAGGCATTGGATACACTGTCCAAAGGCACCGAATAAGTAGATGATGGCAGTGAGATTTAAACCCAGGGAGGCTGGTCCGGAGACAAACGCTTAATCACTACATAGTACTCTCTTGCCAGAGGAATGGAGATATATTTTTGTCTTTGATGATTAGCAATGAGAACTATGTATTTAGTAAATTGCCAGGAAAACCCCTTTTTTTAATTGGCGTAACCTCAATTCAAATATATAATATTCTGAGAAGTGTTCATCTGACACCTCTTTCTTGCCTGTATCACACACCCATCAATAGCGTTTGCTCACATTTTCATACAGTCTGCCCCCTATCCCGCCATTTGGTCCCTAATAAAGTCAGGGCAGAAAACAGTTCATGTTTCTCGATATGATGAGAGTTGTATAGCACATCACATTTCTCTGTTTGTTGTCACCGCTAGAAAACTCAGAAGTAGGTTTTGCGTCCATTTGTTTTATTTTTTTCCTCATACAGCTCTTGGGAAATTATGATGTTTTTTGCGGGGGGAGATTTTAATGCTTATGCGAATTCTTTTTCTAAGGAAGTCATAGGGTTGAAGAAATATTTAAATAAATGAATCTCAAATATACATAAAAATTATCCAAGAAATGAATTGTAAAAGTGGCTGTATTTTTACACTACTAATTCTGAGGATAGCTAGCTTGTTAATCTATAAAATATAAATATCACATTATGTTTTCTAATCATAAGAATAACAAATATCCAAAGTAGCAAATCTCACCACACAAAGAGAATGACCACCAACATATAAATCTTTTTATGAATCTATAGCTAATTAATAGCTATGAATCTATAACTAATTAATAGCTATAACTATATATAATATGTGTCTGTGTGTGTGCGCGTGTGTGTGTCTTTGTGTGTGTGTGTATGCAACCTATATTCTGGCCAATTTGGGATTATACAATGATACCATCTTATAACCTGTTTTTTCCCGCATCTCAATTTTGAGTATTCTCCACATCACTATTTCTTCTCCCAGTTGTTTAAAACAACTCACACAGGGATTCAACTTACTACTGGCCTCCCATAAGTAAGAGTTCACATCAGCTATTGAAATGTCTATTTATAGGTAGCACCATAATCCACATAATCTTGCATAAATTCCCCTATGTAATTAAATTTATAGACTATTATTGAAGAGATTATTTTTCTTTCCCAGCAGACCTGAGAATATATATATATAGAGAGAGAGCATATATATATATATATATAGAGAGAGAGAGAGAGAGAGAGAGAGAGAGAGAGAGAGAGAGAGCATATATATATATATATATATATAATTTTTTTTGAGACGGAGTCTTGCTCTGTTGCCAGGCCTGGAGTGTAGTGGCACGATCTCGGCTCACTGCAATTTCCACCTCCTGGGTTCAAGCAATTCCCCTGCCTCAGCCTCCTGAGTAGTTGAGACTAAACATGCCACCATGCCTGGCTAATTTTTTTTAAAATATATTTTAGTAGAGACAGGGTTTTACCATGTTGGCCAGGATGGTCTCGATCTCCTCACCTGTGATCCACCTGTCTCGGCATCCCAAAGTGCTGGGAGGCATGAGCCACTGCGCCCGGCCGAGAATATCTTGAATATGGAATCTGCATTCTTATAAGAAAACTCTAATTTCAAGCGCAGTCTACAACATTCCTCCTCCTTTCCTGAAACTACTATCACCCTTTTGGCCATGGGGCACCTAAGACAAGAGCTGTGCTTTTCTTCGGCTTTCACAGGACTCCAGAAAAAAATGAAATATCAGAGAGGAGGAGAAACTGGTTAGGTGATTCGCAGCCTAACGCTACCTCTCCCCTTCACCCCGGATGCTAGTTCTAAAGGCTCACTTTCCAATGTCCTCACTTCTCCGTCTTCAGAGAACGGCCATCTGCATAGTAATGGTCACCTGCCCAGGCTCTCCTCCCACCCAAGGGATAAAAGCATCTCAGGGGCCCATTTTAACATTCCTGGGGCAGGAGGACTTCTATTCACTTTACTGTCAGTTTCCTTTAGGACCAATCTCCTTCTACTGCTCCTCCTTGTATTCCTATAAAATTTCTTCCTATTTCCATTGAGTTCTCCAACAGTCTCTGCCCGTTCAGATCTCCAGTGCCACTCCTCTCTGGATTAAATTCTTGTTCTTCACTCTCCTCACCTTTGATCATACTTCATTAGAAGGTGTGTATGTTGGGAAGATAGGTTGAAAGAGTTTTTTCAATACCAGCTGGTGAAGATGAATCAGAATTGAAGTAAGCACATACATAACTGAAATTTCACTGAGAACAATTGAGTAATATGATTAAACTAAAACAAGATGATCGGTGCACAATATTTCTGTAACATAGCTATTACCGCAGACTGTGTACATCTGTCAGGTACAGCCAACAATAGTCTAAGAAGCTCAGAGTAGATGTTATGGCATTTTTTTGAGAGCATTGTTTATAATCAGAAGTGTGTGGAAAGTCCATATTTGATTTGCAAGGAATCGTAATGTTGGGATGAAGGATACAGCCTCATAGTGAGACAGCCAAGTATAAAGTGGTCCCTGGAGAACCTCCGACCACCCTGGCACTGGGAGAATGGGGTGGAGCCGTGGGAAGTTCACACCCTTTGCAGTGGGGAGGAGCCTGGCCTCTCCTGTTTGGGGTGATAACCTGGGATTCAGTCTGTGAGGTGGGAAACCGATTAGCGGGACTCTCACTCTGCTGAGTCCATGTTTCCCTTTTTTTCCTTCCCACCCAATAAATTCCATTTTTTCTCACCCTTCAAAGTGTCTGGGAGCCTAATCTTTCTTGGTCATGTGACAAGGACCCTACGGCGAAAGTCCTAGAACAATCGAAACTTAAAGAAAATTTGGAATGCTGCAATGATTGCCTTTCAGATAAATAAAATAAAAGATCTGCTGAGTGTATTTAATACTTAGTTCACAGCTTGGTATCCAAGAAACTTCCCTACCCTACATCATTTCTTCCTTAGTCTTTTCTAATTCAGATTGGAATCTGTCAACATTTAAAGATACTTCTGACTCCTTGTGTCCACTTACATGGTCCTGGTTTTCACAGACCTTTCCAATTAAATGGCGTTGTTCTTGAAAAGCAGGACAGTCTCATCTCTTTTAACCACATGTCTACTGATATGTACCCACTACTATGCCTATAACCTGAAGGTACCAGGACCATAGCATTTTAGTCCTCAGACATCATCTAATTCAGGCTAAAAAAAAAAAAAAAAAATGCTAGGGCTAGAATCCAATTCTCAGATGGAATCTAATACCAACCACAATATAAATTCTAGTTAAAAAAAAGGTCTATGAGAGATTTTTCAACTCATGCCTACTCAGCCTCCATCTTGAGAAGGGGATGCCCTTCTCTCTGCCAACCCTGAAGGCACAGGAATGGAACTATATGATCCTGTGAATAACAGTTTGAAAATGACTGATCTTGTATAACCTCTGAATTTTTCTTTGGAAACGGAGGGTCAGAGAGATTAAGCAGCATAGCCAGTGTGAAACAGCAAGTATTACACAAAACCGGGCCTAGGAACTGTTTCCTGACAGTTCCTATTATGGATTTCCTTTTAACAGGGGCAAAAAATAAGACTCAACAGAAAAAATAGAAAACATTTCCCCAAGATGTGATGTTGAGAAGAGTTTATGTTTGAAGGATCTGTGTACACTTAGGAATGTTTATTGCTGAGGGTTTTATTCAGGACTCCATGCTTCTTCTTCATTTCTTTTTTGTTTTGTTTTGTTTTGCTCTGAGATAGAGTCTCACTCTGTCACCCAGGCTGGTGTACAGTGGCGCGATCTTGGCTCACGGCAACCTCTGCCTCATGGGTTCAAGTGATTCTTCTGCCTCAGCCTCCTGAGTAGCTCAGATTACAGGCATGTGCCACCACATGCCTGGCTAATTTTTGTATTTTTAGTAGAGATGAGGTTTCACCATGTTGGCCAGGCTGGTTTCAAACTCCTGACCTCGTGATCCGCCCGCCTTGGCCTCTCAAAGTGTTGGAATTACAGACATGAGCCACCACACCTGGCCTAGCATCTTCATTTCTCTAGAATGTAGATGGATCAAAGTGATTCAATTTTTTTTAAAAAAAGGCATCATAAAAATGAGAATGAAGACCAAGTGCAGTGGCTCACACCTGTAATCTCAGAACTTTGAGAGGACGAGATGGAAGGATTGCTTGAAGACCGTGTTGGTTGAGACCAACCCTGGTGTGGGCAACAGCAAGTAGACCAGCCTGGGCCAGGAGTTTGAGACCAGCCTATCTCTCTAAAAACTAAAACAAACAAACAAAAAAATTAGCTGGGTGTGGTGGCACGTGCGTGTAGCTACTAGGGAGGTTGAGATGAGAGGATTGCTTGAGCCCATGAGTTCAAGGCTGCAGTGAGCTATGATTGCACTGCTGCACTCCAGGCTAGGTGACAGAGTGAGACCTCAACTCTAAAAAATGAAATGAGAATGATATCAAAATCTCATAGCAGAGAGAACCAAACCGGAGAAAGGCAGCTTGTATTCTGAGATTTTGAGAGGAGGGTTAACAGTTTGAACTTTAATAGGGCTGGTGATCAGAAGCTTGTTAGAGTTAAATGCTACCTCTATTTGGGGAAAACTCTCGAGTTAATGAGGATTTCTGGAGTTACTCATCATGACTGTGTCTTTTGGAGACTGGATGATTAATAATAGCAAGTAGTAGAATGAGGGTGGCAGGCTGTCTTCTAGCCCTGGCTGCCTGATATTACTGCAGGAGGTAGAAATTGGTAGACTATTCTTTGATTGTTCTATTCAAAGCTAGTTGTAATTTACTCAGGTTTTGTGTGGGCAGGAAAAAACATGTCAGAGAGAGACACATAATCAAAATATTGAATCACAGAAATATAGCACGTGGGCTAGCTCTGGGGCCACCAGTTTTAGACTGCAAGGGAAAATTGGTGAATGGAGTTAGCATAGAGGGCAGCTGCCTGGCTATAGTTTGGGATTTCTTCTGAGCTGAAGCAGAAGGAAAGATTTAGCAACTGTTTGTCGTGGCAGAAAATCATCTCTGATCGTTTGTGGGGCAGAGGATTGGAGTCAAGAAGATATAGACAATTTCAAACGAGAAATCCTGACCTGTGTTGTGTGGAGCTGTGTTTGCTTGATGAACCTGTTATAACTCCATCCACCTTCACTCCAAGGTAAAGATCTTTTTAAATCAAGAAAACAAAAGTAAAAATTAGAACCTAGTCCTAGCAAGTTGGAATGTAGTTCAACCCCCACATACACCTGTAGGAATTGTCTTCTCTTAACAATTTTCCTTAAAATTTGCTGTAGACACCTCGATTTCTTCCTGTCTCATCTTTTCCCATAAGATGAGCTGGGAGTCAACTCTTGTCAGTCCAAAGGCATGATATTCAGCCCAGTGCAAATCCTTGGACTCTGTGATGCTGTGGACACAGCCTTCAATGGCATTGACCTCACATGACTTGGGTCCAGATTCATTTTTGCCTCTCACAGTTGTGTGAACTTAGGCATGTTACTTGATTTCTTTTTTCTTTGTTTTTTGGTTTCACTTCTTTATCTGAAAGCCAGAATAATTATACCAGCTTCATGAAGCTGGCATGGGGATTTAAAGACTTCGAGAAAAATATATGTCCAGTTCTCAGCCACGGTTACCATATTGTGTGTTCCCCATACTATTTCTCTTGTGATGGCTTCCTGGATGTAGCCCATGTTTCTAATTTACCTAAGGTTTACATGTTTGGAATCACTTTTTTCCTTTAGTCAACTATTTTAGGATTTTTTTTTCTCTCCAGTAGAAGGAAGTGGAGAATAACCTAGAACACCTGCATGAGGTACAAGTTCTTGTCTCATATCTGTTTTGATGATTCCTAGGTTCTGTGCAAGGCATCATTTGAAAAGCAAAGAGGCAGTGCCCTCTGTGGGCTCACCTAACAGCTGAGAGCTCGTGGCATTCTGTAGCTTACTGAGACTTTAGGCATTACTAATTTGTAAAATGAGAAAGTTCCACGGTATAACTCCTAAGCTAGAGTCCTCAGTTACACATCAAGAAAATTTAATAAGCAATCTATCAACATGTTACCTTGTCTATGTGGATCGAGTTTTCTCCTCTTTAAGTTGTTTCTTAATGTGGTACATTCTTGTACCTTCAGGTAGCCTGAATTTTTAGAATACTGTGAACATGTACTTTTACTTGGCATTCCCACATCTGGTCTGTTAGCAAGTCGTTCTGAGGCGAAAGAATTCCCTTCACCCACTCATGGGATTGCAAAAGGGGTGTGGCTTGTTTACCTGGCCACCATGCCCTCGAACCCCTGGTGGGAGGGGGAGGACACAGGTGAGCAGGTGTGGGGCTGGGCCCAGCGCTTTTGGGTTCCGGCCCCACAGCAGCATCTAAGGGTGAGTTAACAATTAATGCTCTTTTAGCAGTTGCCATCCACTGACGGCTAAGTGTTAACCAGCTCGGCGGGGAGACGAGGCGACAGTCTTTTACAACTTGCCCTCTTGGTTTTACACTGTGCCCTCTTGGCACCCGGGTTCTTGTCCGGCGTCCAAGAAGAATTAGGTCGAATGATTGGTTTGAAAGATGATGAATGCGGAGGATTTTTTTAAGCGGTGGAAATGGCTCTCAGTGGAAGGGGAGCTGAAAAGGCTATGGTGTGGGAAGAAGGTGATCTTTCCCTGAAGCCCGACCTTCTCGGGCCAGGCTCCATTCTGAAGTTGTGCCATCTGAAGTTAAGTTGAGACTGTCTGTAGTTTCCAATGCTCAGTTGCTTCTTCTCTCCATGTCAGCCGCTTGCCTCTTTGCCAACTGATGTCTGGGGTTTATATGGGCACAGGATGGGCGGGGGGAGGGGGGGAAGGCCAGAAAAGTAACATTTGAGCAGGAAAACAGGGATAAGTCTTCTCCTTTAGGGACGCGGATTCCAGGCTTGAGGGTGGGGCCTTTGTCGTGAACCGCCCTCTTCTACCCAGTATTTCCCTGCCTCCTGTCCATATCAATTCCTGTCAAGACTTCCTTCAAAATATGTTCCGAATCTACCCACTTTTCCTCAGCATCATAGGCAGTGTCCCTCTGGATTGGCAGAATTGCCTTTCGCCTGGGTTTTGCATTTTCACTCATGCCTCTCTGCAGCCTTACTCTCCCCAAAGCAGAAGAGCGTGATTGTCTAAAATGGGGATTAGATTTTGTGACTTCCAGATATAAAGACTTTGCATGAATTCTTGTTGCTTTTCGTGAGGTCTAAACCTCTTACTGTGTCTAGAGAGCTTTGCATTATCTTTCTTTTTACTCATCTTTATCTCCAGTTCCTCTCCGCTGAGCCTTTTCTCTGGCCATATTGAACTCTTTGATTTCACTCACATGCCAAGCTCTGTTTGGCTTCAGAACTTTGTCTTGTAACTCTTTGTCTGGAGAAGACTTGCTCATTGTCATCTCTCTAAATATCACATCCCCAGAGACTTGTTTCTGGAATATCCTATGAAAATGAGCACCCCATTACTCTGTTTTGGTTTCTTGATATGATTTATCACTTTTTCAATTATATTAAAATGATTTTTTTAAAACCGCTTGAATAAGTCATTAAAATGATTTTTTAAAAACCACCTGAATAAGTCATTAACCATTAAAGAAACTAAGTTAGTAACCAAAACCTTTAGATTCAGATTATTTTATAGGTAACTTTTATAAAATCAGGCTATAGATAATTTCTAGCCTACACAATCTTCTTCAGACAATAAAAAGGAAAAGCTACAATAATTATTTTTATGAAGCTAGTACAAAATAAATATCTTAAGCAGAGGATAAGAAAAAATTAAAAGCCGATCTCATATACTGAATATAAAAGTAAAAATCCTAAGAACAGACTAGCAAGACTGGAATCCAACTGTGTATGTATTTAACGCAGACATATTTATCTGTTATCTATCTATCTATCATCTATCTATCTATCTTCTAACTTTTTTTCTGTCTAATTTTAGGGGTCTGACTTTATAATAATGTAGTCCAAAAATAGTTTTATAAGATAAAAAGATATTGTCGTGGGGTGGGGGGAGGGGGGAGGGATAGCATTAGGAGATATACCTAATGTAAATGACGAGTTATGGGTGCAGCACACCAACATGGCACATTTATACATATGTAACAAACCTGCACGTTGTGCACATGTACCCTAGAACTTAAAGTATTATAATAAAAAAATAAAAAATAAAAAAAATAAAATGAGTTTGGAAAAAAAGATACAAATATAAAGATTAAAATGGGTACGTTGGAGTATAATAAAATATAAAAAAACCCTACTTATCTTCAATGAAAATGCTTTATACAAAGTTAAGTAACACAGTCCACAGTTCAGGAAAGCACATATAATCATTAGTGCCAGTAATTTATAAAGAACACCTACAGTTCAATAAGAAAAAACAAGCAGCCAAATAAACAATTGAGCAAAAGACATGAACATATAATTCACATAAAATAACACATACATGCCCAATAGCTATCAGAATAAATATTTAAGCTTACTAACAAATAGAAAATGCAAAATAAAATTATGAGATGATATTCCAGTGATTGGGAAAATCTTAAAGTCTGATAATAAAAATAACAAGAGTTGTGGGAAAATAAACTCAAATTTTCAGTGAATGTGTAAATTGGTCCTACTACTTTCAAAGTAATAGGACAATATCTATTGAAATTGAAGATGTCTATACACTTTGGTTCAATATTTCCAATTCTACTAGAAACTGTTGCATTTATGTGAAAGGAGATGGGTATAAGAACGTTACAAATAAATTTTGGAAAGTACCTAAATGTCCATCAAAAGTGATTGGGTAAACAAATTTCTAACTAGGAATGCTACACAGCAGTTATAATTAATGATTTAGAACTAAATTTATAAACGTGTACTTCGGAAAAATAAACTATAATATTAAGCCAAAAAAGCAAATTACACAATAATGTCAATATTGTTGTACCTTTGATAAAAATGTTAATAAACATACAATAAAATAGTATTTACATTTTATAAATATGTGTATATATGTGGCATAAGGACTTGCCTGAGAATTACAAGCACAGAATTCAGGAGAGCAGTTAGCATCCCAAGTAAGGGAAAATGGGAGGATGTGATTAGAAGGAAAACATAGGAAGTTCCAACTTTATTGGCAATGTTTTATAACAACATCAGAAGCAAATGTAGTGAAATGTTAATACTTTATAAATTAAAAAGCTATGAGGTAGATACACAGACTTTCATTATATTAGTCTTTATAACATTCTGTATAAAGTATTTTGTAATAAAATATATAAAGCTTTTCTTCATATATTTGTTAAAATATGCATTTGTTTCCACCCCAACACCTCCACATTTTCATCTAATTTTAAATTAAATATAAACAGTTTATTTCTGGAAAAAGGAAAAATAATATTAACAAAATCAAATTTAAAAAGTAGCATTCACATTTCTTTGAAACAGTGCACATATAATTTCTCCCAAAAGCTATGCCATATGTCTATATTTTTTAATCTGACATTCTTTTTGGATACTAACTGTTTCACCCTGTTGTTGATTTCATAACTTTTTTCTTGATTGGGTGTTTGTCATTTTGCTCAAATATTCATGTTAAGACTTCTTCTTATTTACTTCAGTATCCAAAATATCCATCCATGAGTTAGAATGTGGTAGAATCAGGCTTACAGCACAAAACCAACTCCATAAATGTTTGCTGAATCCCTTGTTGGTTGACCATCTTAACTTGGTGGTAATTATACAAGCATGATGAATACTATTTTGTAAAACGTGGTTCTCAATCTATTGATGATATATTTATTTTCAGCTTTTTAAATATACACACATGGAAATATAACAAATCAAAGTACAGTATTATTAGCTAAATTTGAATTTCAGATATTCAATTAATTTTTCAAAATATAAGTATGTCCCATGGAATATTTGGGACCTATTTACACTAAAAATTATTTGTTATGGTTGACAATTCGGACTAGGCTGGGCACCTTGTATTTTATGTGGCAACCCTGTCAAGGGCCAACCCATAGTATTAAATTGACCTTGAATTTCTTACCTCCCTCAGGGCCTTTAACCACTTTTATGGACTAGAGAATGACCAAGATTGAAGGCAAGTAGGACTTGCACATCTCTATTTCAAGGAGTTAGAATAAAAGCTGACATAAAACAAAATGGTCTTAGAAGAGAATATGTGGAGGAACCAGTGTAAATTTATGAAAATTATTTGGGAAAATGAAAGTTTCACCAGACTTCCTAATATATATTGCGATGATTTGAATATTTGTCCTTTCCAAAATTAATGTTGAAATTTAATCCCAATTTGGCCGCATAGAGAGCTTTTAAGAAGTAAACCCATTAATGGATTAATCTATGCATGGATTAATGGCTTAATGGGTTAATGGACTAATGGGTTATCACAGGAGTGGGACTGGTGACTTTATAAGAAGAGAAAGAGAGCTGGGCACGGTGGCTCATGCCTGTAATCCCAGCATTTTGGGAGGCTGAGGTGGGCAGATCAGAAGTTCAGGAGATTGAGACCATCCTGGCTAACAAGGTGAAACCCCATCTCTACTAAAAATACAAAAATTAGCCGGGCGTGGTGGCGGGCGCCTGTAGTCCCAGCTACTTGGGAAGCTGAGGCAGGAGAATGGCATGAACCTGGGAGGCAGAGCTTGCAGTGAGCCGAGATTGCACCACTGCACTTCAGCCTGGGCAACAGAGCGACACTCCATCTCAAAAAAAAAAAAAAAAAAAAAAAGAAGAGAAAGAGAGACCTGGGCAAGCACACTCTGCCCCCTCACCATGTGACTGTACACTGTGCCACCTTGGGACTCTGCAGAGGATCCCCAGCAGCAAGAAGGTCTTCATCGTCTACCTTGGACTTGCCAGCCTCCAGAACTATAAAAAATAAATTTTGTTACCTTATAAAGCATCCAGTTTCAGGTATTCTGTTATAAGCAACAGAAAACAGAGCAAAACATACATGAAAGCCATAACATTTTTCTGCTGAGTGGGCTTGGGTTAATGATCTCAAAATTTTAAAATATTTACATAACTTTTAACTATTGCAAGTAGAGTATCTAAAAACCACTTTTAGATCTTCCCCAACCAACAGATCCTAGAGATGGAGGGCTAGCTTACTGATTACTTGCATAGGCTCTGGTCTCAGTGTTCCTCCTTAAGGCTTTACTCAGCAGATATGGCCAGCTGATGGCTTCAGTTATCAACATTCACTGTGCTTCTTGGAAAGTAGTTTGTCACACAACATCACTGAAACTTGGAAGAAGGACTTTTTGTATTCAAAACCCACCCAATGTAAATAACTTCTCAAATTCTCGCTTCTATTCCAAGCTATCCCCTCATACGGGCAAAGAAGCAGTCTGTCAGTCTAGAGTGCAGAGTGGAAAACAACATGCCATAACTCCATAGTCATGTTTTTCTTCACTCATCTGCCTTGACCTGCAAACATATATATGCCACAAAGTGTAATTTTCCTTTCAATAAATAACAGAAGGCCCCTTAGACTCTTGGAGGAGGAGGTTATATTTTACTAAAGTAGTCAAGCTATAGTTTTAGCCAAATCAGGTGCCCTGATACACCTATAGTATTTACTATTCCCAAAGTGAGACTGTTACTGGTAAAGCCAGATTAATGGTAGGATTTCCTGACTTATGCCCTAGGTCCCAATTTCCTTGGCACTGCAGTCTCATCAATGAGGCAGAAATTATATATACCAAAACCACAGCAAATGTGGGAGAAAACAAGAGAAAGTACAATGATCCTCAAA
Organism: Homo sapiens; assembly: GCF_000001405.40. NCBI lineage: Eukaryota > Metazoa > Chordata > Mammalia > Primates > Hominidae > Homo > Homo sapiens. The sequence goes on from NC_000015.10 coordinate 96,912,973, forward strand.
GGAGGGTGCATTGTCAACAGAGAGGACCACATGGTTGTCATATCACATCACATCGCACAGACCCTTGATTAGGGTCAACCCATCAACCAATTTTCTCTTTAGTTGCCCAAGCAATAGCCGCCAGAACCTCTACGGGCATCTCATTCCTGCATTCACAGCCTGCAGAAACTAAAATGGCACCTTCCTTTAGAGGCTGAGAAGAGCAGTAGAGAAAAGTGTGGCAGGAAAGAATCACATGCTAATTTTCCTTAATTTTTTGTTGAGATATGATTGCAGAGAATCTTACCTTGCATGAACTAATAGGATAATTCAGTAGTGTAATTTCGCTACCCAGGAAACATCTTCAATAAACATACCACAATTCATGAGGTTTTTTCATGAGATTATTGGAGAAAATGCACATATACGTTGCTACAGGGACATTTAATATCTTAGAAACTGAGGATTACTCATCTTTCAATCTATTCCACCATTATATAGCTCTATGATCTGTCTGTAATATCATTTTTTCCCCAGAAATATACTTTAGTATCTTAAACATTCTAAAACCCATTTGATGTCCAGACATTCTTTTTCAATCATCAAATAACGAGTCTCTGGGGAAAAGACTTTTCCTCCTGATGTACCCAATAGGTTGTTCTTGACTGGCTGGTTTCTGCACCAGCAGTGCTCTTGATCTCACCTGCACTTTAAAAGACTTCTCAAAGTCACATCTAATTAACACTGGCTCTGTATATAAAAAGGCTTTGTTAGGACTTCTTATACTCAAAGCAGGTATTTTTTCCAGCTCTTTCCAATCTATTAAATATATTGTAAAAATGACAAGGCCTACTATCTAAAATATGCATATTACTTTAGCCCCTTAACTGTCCCTTTGCCATTTTTTTTGATATTTTTCTCCACTTACTTGTAGTTCATGCTATTTCTAACCAGCTTTCCCTGATTCAAAAATCAAATAGTTTAGCAATGGGAATTTTTATTACAGCAAAGCAGACTTTTACATCCATCAGAATCCAATTTTAAGGAGCCAGATTATATCAGTTGTTTAATATCTTTCTCAGAATTCCTGTTGAAATGTTGTATTTATGTATCTGAAAACGTCATCATAGTTTTTAAGAAAACTCTATAGTTGCTTGAATTTGAATAAGAGCCTGAGCAAAAGTAAAACTTGGGGAAATAAAATGAGAAAAAAAAAACATTTAAAAGCTTCTTATGAGGAACTCCTTATCCACTAGATCACATGAGTAAACCTGGATTCCTTAAGTATCTTACCAGCTATTCCTCGTTAACCAGATCTTCAAATCTGTCATTCACATGGCTGCCCCAGTTACCTTCCTAAAACCTAGGTCAATTGACATTTCTTCCCTCTATTACAGTCTTCAGGGGCTGACAGCCTGCCGCATAAAGTTACAATGAATTAAAATGACACTTAAGACCTCTGTGATCTAGTCCCAAACCGTTCTGGCCTCACTTCCCGCCCCATTTTATTAATTTCACCACTAGCATTCTCTCTCCTCACTGAGGAGCACGCACATTCATACTTCTGTGCCTTTCCCCATGATGGTTCTAAAATTCCCATGTGCAAACGCCACTGATTTATGGAGACTTTTGGATGCTGTGGTCAGAACCAGTTCCTCCTTATTCTGCTTCAACCGTAAGATGTTTGACCTCTTTTGATACAGATTTTGTTTTACCTTCTGCTGTAGTACTGATTTGTGGTTTCTTCATTGCAAATTAAATGATCTGAGAAAAATTAGTATCATATTCAGCTTTGTGTTCTCCCAATACCTGGAACAGTGGCATTCAGAGACTAGGTCCCCAATGCTTGTCTGTTGCATGATTCAGAAATGAGAGCCCTTACTCAGAGCTCTTCAGTTCTATTGGAGTTAACATCATTCTGAAAACTGATATTTTCTATTTTCATGTTCATGTTCATTCTTCCTTCATGTTAAATAATTCTTAATATTGAACTATTCAGTTATCAGTAAAGCTATGTTGACGTCATAGGGCCCTACCAAAACTAGGGTGACATTCAGTGGCTGGAGCGCAGAGATGGGTTTAATAGAAGGAAATGAGTGTTGAATAAGTGTATTAAATATATAGTTGAATGGCTGGGTGCGGTGGCTCACAGTTGTAATCCCAGCACTTTCAGAGACTAAAGCGGGAGGATGGCTTGAGGCCAGGAGTTTGACACCAGCCTGGGCAACAAAGCGAGACCCTGTCTCTATTTAATTTAAAATAAATTAATAAAATAATCATAAAATAAATACAGAGTTTAACTGTGGTCTACAGACCAACAGGTATGACAAAGTAAAAATGTCCTTCAATTTTTAAGAAACTAGGGGCTAGCTAGTTATCCTTTGGTTTTCTTCAAAAAAACTAACACTCATAGTCTAACTTTCATAAAATCGAATCCCAGCATTACCACTAAGGGTTACATATGACCTTTTCACAGTGTCACAACCTCCTCATCACCAGGAGAAACCAGTGATCCCACTTCAGTCCCTTAAAGAGTAAGCAGTTGAGTTTAGAAAACTAAGTCCTCTCTGTGAGGGTTTCCATCAATTTGTTGGAGATTCACTTATGATTGGCAGAGGAAGATGCTGTTTGTCATTCCCCTCCCCAAGAAACAATGTATTCATAATTAGGCCAGCCTTCTCCTTTTGTTTGGGGATACCTGATTAATATTATCAAGAAGGTTTATTTTTCTTTCTCTTTAAAAGGTGGACATTTAGTTGGATAAAGGAAATTGAGACGGTGAGAAAATGAATTCAGAGGTGCTAAAGTGCCTCTGTGTGTATATACCTAGGCACAGAATCTGCGCTATAAGCCATGCAAATATCCAAGTTTTAAGAGATTAGTGCAGACTGTCAAAATGATGGTACCTTTTTATGATCCCACAAGCAAAGTATAAAAGTTACCATTTCTTGGTATCCTTGACAACATTTGGCACTTTCAGATTTTTAAACATATGCCAATAAAGTGAGTAAAGTGATATTTAATTATGGTTTTAATTTGCATTTCTCTGATTGTTAATGAGATTGAGTATGAAATAACTATTCATATCCTTTGCCCTTTGTCTCTTGAGATATATATATATATATATATATATATATATAAAATAAACTGTACTGTATATGACACTTTTCCTTTGATATTTGTGAGTAATTTTAATGCCTTATGACTTGGTAGTAATTTCTAAGTTTTGTGTATGATAAAAAGTATTGTGTATTTCCAACATTTTGGAGGATAATTGATACGTTTATTAGACTATTGCTTTTAAAAATCTTTTATCTCCTTGCTGAATTTTTCATCTACTTGAACTATCAGTTATTGAGGGTGTTATATTACAAGTAATAATTACTATGGTAAAATTGCTAAATTGTCATTATGAGTCTCTCATTTTTTCTTCATATCTTTAAGTGATAGTGTCTGGCACATATGTCAAATTCTCTTGGTGAATATATTATTATATTATTATTACTATTTCTTGAATTTTACTTCTTAAACTATTATTTCATTAGCTTTAATGATTATAGATGTCAATATTTACCTCCAGCTCTCTAAAAATGTTATTCTGCACTCTTCAGTCTTTCACTTTTGCCATTGAGAAATCGTCAGCACAAATGGCATTCCTTTGACAGCAATATATTTAAATGTTGTTCTTCCAGAATGACATTAAGTTCGCCCCTTCCATGTGGGGTTTGTAGTTTATTGCAATGTTTCTCCATGTCGGTTTCTATTTATCTTGCTTGGGACTCACTGGGCTTCTAGACTGAGGATTCATATATTTAAGGAAATATATTTATTCAGACATGATCTCTTTAAATATTTCGTTTTGCCCATTCTCTGTATTTTCTTTCTAGAACTATGATCACACATATATTTTTGATTAGACATATATATGATTAGACTCTATCCTCCATATGTCTTTAATATCATTTTGTATTTTCTGTCTCTTTGAGCAGAATTACTGGTAATTTCTTCAGATCAATCTTCCAGGTCAGTAATTCTCTCTTTTACTGTGTCTTAACTAATATGTAAATCGGTCATTGATTTTCTCATTTTAATTATTATATTTGTCATTTCTGGAAATTGTGTTTCCTTCCTTTTTATTTCATTGGTTATTCTTTGATAGTCATTTGCTCCAAATTCATGATTTCTTTTTGCATTTTAAAAATGTATTAAACGTTCTTGTTTCAAATTATATATCCAGTAATTTCAATAATGAAGTTGTTACAGGTCTAATTTTGTTTATTGTTGTTTCCACTGGCTCTTACTTATGGTGGCTTATTTTCTATTGTGTATTGGGATTTAATCATGAGTCCAGGTTTCGTTGAACTCACTATATGAGGTTTTTGACACCTGTTTTGAGGATGTCTTCCTCCTGTGGGGAAGATTTATATTTGTTTCTGACAGGCATACAAGGGCACTAGAGATCTTGTCCATTTTAAATAATGTTGTTTTGTTGGCAGTTTTTAAGGCCATAAAATATTGTAAATTCAGTCTTCAATCTTATATGAAGGCAGGCCATTGGTCATTGTGTTTATGTTTTCTTTTACCTTCTAACTGGAAGCAAAAAATCATTGTCTTGTTGACTGTCTTACATGGTTGTTTTTCCCTAAGTTTAACCTTTCTCTGAAGTTGAGACCTATCTGAGGGTCCACCTTTATGCAGGATCTCTCAGTCAATAATTTCAGTGTATCATCTGTTTTTTTGTTGTTGTTGTGTTGCGTTTTGTTTTGTTTTGTTTTTTTGAGGTGTATCTCTCCCTATCACCCAGGCTGGAGTGCAATGGCGCAATCTGGGCTCACTGCAACCTCCGACTCCCGGGTTCAAGCAATTCTCCTGCCTCAGCCTCCCTAGTAGCTGGGACTACAGGCGCACTCTACTGCACCTGGCTAATTTTTGTATTTTTAGTTGAGACAGAGTTTCACCATGTTGGCCAGACTGGTCTCGAAATCCTGACCTCATGATCTGCCCACCTCAGCCTCCCAAAGTGCTGGGATTACAGGTGTGAGCTGCCACACCTGGCCTAGTGTATCATCTTTAGTCACCCATTGCCACTGATTCTCTAGCATCTTTGTGTGTCCCTAGTATAACAAATTGCCTAATTGCTAGCTTCTCTTACCAGCCTGTGTTCCTTTCTTACTCATGACTTCATATCTTCCATCTTTCTTTCAGGTACATCCAACTCTTTAAAAACTGTTTAAAATATTTTGTTGAACATTTAGTGGATTTTTTAAAGTGTAAATGTGTTGCTATCAGTATCTCTTCTGAGTCCACTCCATTCTGAAAATGGAAGCCTGACTTTTCTCCCCAAATGTAATGTGGATAATACCAAACCTAGATTCTTTTTCTTTTTTATTTCTTTTCTTTTCTTTTTTTTTTTTTTTTTTTTTTGCTGTTTTTTTTTTTCCAGGCAGAAAAGTTTTTAAAGAGTTTAGATCAAGAGGAGAACTCGTTTCGTCAGCTTCTAAAATTATGAGAATTAAATGGCACAATAAAATGCAATTACTCAAGTCATCTGGAAAATTTGAAATTTCAGTGGTTGTTCTCAAAAGAGAAGATTCCCTGAAGTTTGTATAGAAACTCAGAGCAGGATATAATGCAGATTGATAAGAGAAAATGTTTACTTTCGGAAATTAAAGTAAAGATAGAGCTGGCAGAAGTCATATCCAGTTTAGAGAATGAGAGAAGCATGGTAGAAAGGGCAAGAATGGGTTCTGTATCACGCACACTTGAACATGAATGATGCACTCCTGAATAGTTGCATGTATCTGGTCAAATCATTTAGCCTCTTTAAAATGCAAAGTCTTTATCAGTATAATGGAGATAGTAATGTTTTGGTCATAACCTTAAAATAACTCACCTATATGAAGTGGCAAGTAGGGTGTCTGGCACAAACTAGGCCCCTGACAATTGGAATTTACTATAGTATTCTTACTAGCATAAAAACTTCACCACTGCTCTGCCTATGAGGAGTTGGAGATGAACACTAGAGTCAATCTTAGGTTATTCATATATTTTATGTTTTTTTGCTTAAATAAACCACTATCAACTAAATATTTTGTTTGCCCCATAGTATTAGTTAAGCCACTTCAACAAACACTTTTAAATTAAGGTATAATTCACATAACATAAAATTCACTATTTTAAGGTGTAAATTCAATGACTTTTAGTACATTCATGAATTTTATGTTACCATCATCACCATCTAATTCCAGAACCTTGGATTCACCCCAAAGACAAAGCCTTGTACTCATTAGCTATTATATCCTTTTCATTTCCCATTTTCCCCTTCCCGATTTCTTGGCAATCACTAATCTACTTTCTATTTGTATGACTTTGTAGATCCTGGACAATTCATAGAAACTCATACAAATAGAATCACATTAAATGTAGCCTTTTGTCTCGTTTCTTTCACTTAACATAATGTTTTCAAGATTCATTTATGTTGAACCATGTATCATTACTTAATTTCTTTTTATAGCTGCATAATGTTCCACTGCATGGATATACCACTTTCGTTTAACTGTTTGTCCATGGTTTATCCATTTATCCATGTCCAACTCAGTGATGGACTTTCAGGTTTTCCCCACTTTTTGGCTACTGTGAATAATTCTTCAATGTACAAGTTGTTGAATAAACATCTATTTTTAATTATTTTAAGTGTATACCTTGGAGTGGAATTTCAGGATCATATAGGAATTATGTGTTTAATTTTGTGAGAAAATGTTCAACTATTTTCCACAGTAACTGCATCATTTTAAAATATATTCCTGTTAACAATGCACAAAAGTTCCAATTTCTCCATATTCTCATTGTCACTTGTTATTTTCCTTTTTTTTTCATAGAAAAAAAGTATACTCATCCTTGTGGATGAAGTTAACTTTTGCAGTTTTGATTTCCATTTTCCTAATGTCTAATGTTGTTGGGCATCTTTTCATGTATTTATTGGCCATGTCCATATCTTCTTTGGAGCAACATCTTTTCAAGTCCTCTGTTCATTTTTTGATTGTAATGATTGTCTTTTTTTAAGTTGTAAGTGTCCTTCATGTATTCAGTGTAATAAACTATTATCAGATACAAGATTTTCAAATATTTTCTCTCATTGTAGGGGTTGTGTTTTCACCTTTTTGATAGTGTCTTTTGAAATGAAAAAAAAAAAATTAATTTTGTTGAAGTCCAATTTATCTTTATCCTTTAATTTCCTGTGTTTTAGAAGTCATAACAACAACAACAGCAATAAAAATTGCCTAATTCAAGGTTTTGAAGAATATATTTAAATTTTCTTCTAAGAGTTTTATAGCTTTAGCTCCTACACTTGGGACCTTGAGCCATTTTGAGTTAATTTTTGCATATGGTGGGAAGTAAGAGGCAAAGTTTATTATTTTGCATGTGGATATCTAGTTTTCTAAGCACCATTTGTTGAAAATTCTATTATTTGCCCATTAGATAGGTTTGATACCCTTGTTAAAAATAAATTGACCATAGATGTTGATTCCTAAGCTCTCAATTCTATGCCGTGAATCAACATGTCTACTCTTACGCTAGAAGCACACTGTTTTGATTACTGTAGCCTCGTAGTAATTTCTGAAATTGAGAAGTGTGACTCCTCCAATTTTGTTCTCTTTTTCGGATTGTTTTAGCCATTTTAATATTCTTTGAAATTCCAAATAAAATTTAGAATTAGCTTGTTCATTTCTACCACAACACAGTTGATTGAAATTTTGATAGAGATTGCATTAAATCTGTAGATCACTTTAGAAAATATTGCCATCTTAGTAGTAGTATGTCTTCCAATGCATAAACATGGGATGGCTTTTCTTTTGTCTTCTTTAATTTCTTTCAGAAATGTTTTGTGGGTTTTCAGTATATAAGTCTTTCACATCCTTGGTTAAATTTGTTCCTAGCTATTTTATTCTCTTAGATGCTTCTGTAAATGGCATTGGTTTCTTAATTTTGTTTTTAGAGTGTTCATTGCTGTCATATAGAAACATGGCTGATTTTTATGTGTTGATCTAATATCCTGAACCTTTGATTAATACATTTGTTAGCTCTCGTAACTTTTCTGTGTATTCTTTGGAATTTTCTATGTGGAAGATCATTTCATCTGCAAATAGAGATAGTTTTACTTACTTTCCAATTTAGATGCCTTTCATTTCTTTTTTCTCACCTCATTTAATTTAAAAAAAATTTTTTTTGAGATAGAGTCTCGCTCTGTCACCCAGGCTGGAGTGCAGTGATGCAATCTTGGCTCACTGCAACCTCTGCACCCCGGATTCAAGCGATTTTCCTGCCTCAGCCTCCCAAGTAGCTGGGATTACAGATCTGCCACCATGCCCAGCTCACTTTTGTATTTTTAGTAGAGACGGTGTTTTGCCATGTTGGTCAGGTTGATCTCAAACTCCTGACCTCAAGTGATCCACCCACCTCCCAAATAGTGGCCTCCCAAAGTGCTGGGATTACAGGCGTGAGCCACCGTGCCTGTAATCTAACCTAATTTAATTTTCAAGTTACAACTTCCAGTGAAATGTTGAATAAATGGTGAAAGCAGACATTCTTGTCCTGTTCTTTATCTTAGGTGGAAATGTTTCATTGTTTTACCATTAAATATGATATTAGCTGTCGGTTTTTCACAGATACCTTTTGTATCAAGTTGATGAAGTTCCTTCTTATTTCTAATTTTGAATTTTTTTAAGCAAAAGGGTTTTAAATGCTTTTTCTACAGGAATTGCAATGATCATATTATCTATTTTCTTCATTCTATTAAGAAAGTTTATTACATTGATTTTTTTGTATATTAAACCACTTTTACATTCCTGGTATCAATCATACTTGGTTGTGGGGTAGAATCCTTTAAATGAGCTGTTAGATTTATTTTGCTGATTCATAAGGGATATTGCCATGTAGCTTCTTTTCTTGTGATATCTTTTATCGTTTTTTCAGAGTAATACATATCTCATAGAATGAGTTATAAAGTATTCTTTCCTCTTCTGCCTCTTTTTGAAATAGTTTGAGAGCAACCACTAGACAGAAGACATTTATAGGACTTGTTCCTATTTAGAAGCACTCAATTCATACTGCCTCTCTCTTCAACTTGAGAAATAAAAATCGATTACATAACTTTGATTTGGCAACCAACTATCTAATGTAACTATCCTAATAAAGCAACAAGTGATTGTGTATTTGTCATACTTGGTTGAGTTTACCTGTTTAAGTGAGTGCACTTGATAAGAATTTTCTATCAAATAAATTGCAATATGTTCTAATAATTATTTTCCTAGAGAGCCTTACAATTGTATCATGTGTTTACGTATCATTAAATCAATAGCAAGTGTGGAAAACCCACCAAATTTTTATGATTCAGGCTTTCATTTTTCTTTAAGAAACATTTAAGTGATAAATTATTCATTGAAAATGGTTATTTGGGGAAGTAAGTGCTAATTAGGAGACTTCACAAATTGTTCCTCAATTAGTTGATTAGCATGAATAGAAGTATGTTTGAATGATGTAAATTTAATGGTTTAATTTTACTAAGATGGTAAAAATAATAAATGTACCAAGTCAAAGAACAAAAGAAATTTTGCTTCCAATAGTGGACATTGTTTCATTTGTGGAGGATCACTCAGTATCTTATCCTACATGTTTCTTTGATTGATAAACCCATTGTGTTTGAATAGGTACAAGATAAAGCCTCGGCTAGGTGTGGTGGCTCATGCCTGTAATCCCAGAACTTTGGGAGGCCGAAGTGGGTGGATCACCTGAGGTCAGGAGTTTGAGACCAGCCTGGCCAACATGGTGAAACCCCGTCTCTACTAAAAATACAAAAAATTAGCTGGGCATGGTGGTGCATGCTTGTAATTCCAGCTACTTGGGAGGCTGAGGCAGGAAAATTGCTTGAACCTGGGAAGTGGAGGTTGTGGTGAGCCAAGATCGCACCATTGCACTCCAGCTGTAGCAACAAGAGCAAAACTCCGACCAAAAAAAAAAAAAAAAAAAAAAGCCTCGCTTCAGACTATAGAGGTCCAAACTTCTAGATCCTCTATCTGCTCACTATTAGCTAGTGAAGGTTATGGCATGTGATGTTTTGTGTTGCTCAGTTGTATGCTCTAATTAGGGTTTTTATCATGTGGAAGTGTGATAAGCAGAATTCTAAAGGTGCACTCCAAGATTTCCATCTTTCGGTTATTCGATCAAACATTAATCTAGGAACTAGTGTAAGGAACTTTGCACATGGAACTAAGACTGTTCATCAGCTAACCTTAAAGTAGGGAGACCATCTTGTGTTATCTGGGTGGGCTAAATGAAATCAAAGGAATCATTAAAAACAGAAGAGGAAGGCAGAACCATCAATCAATGGAGCTGAGGTGGAAAAAAGGTGCAGAGACAAGGTGGGGGAGATATAGACAATGGTTTATAAGCAATAGAACCCATGATTAATACACGTATTTGGAAAGACCTATCTTACCTATTTTGAGCTAAAATAGTATTTTAGGTTGGAAGCCTGGTAGCTCAGGATGTGTAATGAAATATCACTCTGATTGCCTAAGATTACTTTGAATGAAATACTTTTCTGAAGAAAAATTTTTGAGTGGCCATTTTGCCACTTCCATGAATCAAAGACAGAAGGGAGTCAAGATGGCTGCTGAAAGATCATGGCAGGTTAAAATGCTGAAGACCTTGTTAAAGATACCAGTTGAAATCTAGAGACTATCTTGATCTCATTTCATGCTTCCGTAGAGTGGAAACAGCCAAAGTCTATGCTTCACGTTTGAGCTAAATTATAATATCTACTGAATTCAAAGCTTCTTCCCATCTTTTATGTCTGAGTTACGAAAATGATTGGGAAAGACTAGAACCCCACGTATTAAAATGAGATTACATGAGAAATCAAAGGTCTTAAACTTCTCCTGGAGGCCAGAAGAACCTCTTGTCTCTTGTTTGGTTTTATGCTTACAGGAAGATGGGGTAGTTATAACCTAAACTTAGCATTTGAGTTGCAGGACACTAAATGATAATATTAAATAAATTCAAAGCTTCACCAGATCTTAGATCAATAGGATAATGACGGAAAAGAATACAGTTAAATGAGGATGTACAGGGGGAGAATCAGAGCCTTGCAACTCCCATGGCAGCCGGAATGGTCCTTTTCTCCTTGTTGATGAAACTCTTTCACACTTGCATGAAAGAATTTTGAATAAATCTCTTACCTAAGCTATTTACCTTAAAAGCAGATCATTCTTCTTAGCCATCTTCTCTGCTCTTTCCTAGACCCTTCTTGCCTCCCCAAATGTAATTAGCATTATAATCCAGAATGCTCCTGGAGAAAATTACAAAGTCCAGCCTTAAGAAGAATGCTTTCACCTAAAAAATAGTTATATGGCTTTACTAATTCATGTTGATCAAAATCTGGGAAATGTGTATAGGAATGAATCTGAGCTTATTTGTAAAATGAGGAACAGTCATCATTTTTGATTTGGCCAATTTAATTGATATGGTTTCAGTATGCTTGCTGGATTCCCTGGGAGTGAGTTTAATTGTTTGTTTGGATGGATGCCTAAATCTGCAACCTGGAACTAAGGGTGGCCTACAGTTAAAAGAAAGGAAAAAGTTGAAATGACAGAAAACTCTTGGTCTAGTACAGAGAGAACACTGCAAAGACTTAGAGGTTAGAAGGTGGGAGTCCATTCACCGTGTGTTACTTCAGATAATTTCCTAACTTTATCCCCTGAGAAACACCAGAAGACACTCTTTACCAAGACTTTGAGAAAAACATTGTGTAATGAGAGCAGATGCTTAGTGATAATTTGCTTAGGGTTCAAGATGCTTATGAGAGATTGCACTTGAAGTAGGTTCCTGGTTTCAGTGAGTAGGAGGATTGCAGAGGAGCAGAAGCAAAGTAACAGTTGACCCTCAGTATCTACAGAGGACTGGGACCAAGGCTCCCTGCAGATCTCAAAATCTGGGGTTGCTGAAGTTCCTGACATAAAATAGTATAGTATTTGTGTCTAACATATGCACATCCTGCGATATACTTGAAAGGATCTCTAGATTACTTATAATACCTAATACAATGTAAATACTGTGAAAATAGTTGTTATGCTGTATTGTTTTTTAAAAAATCTGTATTATTTTTAATTTTATTGTTATTTCCCCTCAATATTTTCCATTGGTGGTTGTTTGACAATGAGAATGCAGAACCCACAGATACAGAGGGTTGACTGTAGTTCCATTTAAACTCCAGAATCAAAAGGCCAACCTGGCAAACAGAACTTCAGAAATATTTGACCTTAGTTAATATCATGTGATTCCTTGGGAAAAAGCAGATTTAAAATTGATACGAGTTTCCTAAATGATATGTACAATTGGTTGGGTATTTTGGGGTAGGAAGGAGCTTTATATTTGGTAAACTTAGACCAGACCTCAGAAATCATAATGTATATTTGCTATCCTAAACCTATATTGCTATCCCAATGCCTGAGTCAGTTCCTAGACCTAGTTCTCCTAGAATGAAATTAAGGGAGATAGTATTGTGATTGGACGCTGTAGTAATATCAAGGTGTATATTATGATATTTTCTCCAAGTCTATTTCAAAGATATATGGCACAACTTATCACTAGGAAAAGGAAAATATTCACATCTTTTGTGTATTAGTGTATACAACTCAATGCTACACTATTGCTCCAAAACCTGGAATACCACTATAGTCCATAGGTTAGTAGTTCATGGGTGTCAAATAACAAATAAATTTTTGGCTCAATAGACCCCAAAGTTATTCTGTTTCCCTTTCCTAATTATATAGTATATATTTGAAATTTAAGATTCTATATTTAAAATACACATACACACACACACACACTCACACACTTAGGTACTAGAAAAACCCCTACTAGATTTTGTGACCCATAAAGTAAAAGTTATTATGGTCCTATTATGTCCCCTAGAACTTCTTGTCCTTAATGAAATAGTAAATAAAAAGCAATATCCCATCCCTAGGGGAATCTTCCTCCAGAGAGAGATTAGTGCTACCATCAAAGACTTGAGAAAAGCAGGCGTGGTGATTCCTAATATAACTCTACTTATCTCTGTAGCTGCGGAAGTGAAGAAAATGAAGGACCTTGTAGAATGAGAGTGAGTTATCTTCAAAAGAAATAGATTTGACTTACACTGTAACTGCTGTTCCAGATGTGGTTTCTCTGCTGGAGAAACTCAGTGCATTCACTGGCACCTGGAATGCATCTGTGGATTTGAAAATGCTTTTCTTCTCTCTCTCAATAAATAAAAATATCAGCAGAAATTTGACTGAATGAAGAGGGGCAGCAATATACCTTTTCTGCCTTGCCTCATGGTTTTAACAGTGTCCTAATTCATTTCTAGGGCCCTTGACTATCGCTTAATTCCAAAGGATATCTTGCCAGTCTGCTACATGAATATTATCATATTGATAGCACCTAGAGAAAAAGAATGAATGGGTATCATAAATGCCTTGGCAAGACACATGCAGGGTATAGATTTGGAGATCAGTTCCACAAAAATGCACAGGCATACCACCTCAGTGAATTTTCTGGTGATCCATTGATCTGGAACCTCAAAGTGAAGGTTGATGAACATTTGTCACCTAACACTAAGGAGAAAAATGCTTAGTGGGGCTTTTTGTTTTTAGGAGCAAATTGTATCCCAAGTGAGAGTTCTACTCCCTCCCAATTATGTGAGCTTCCAAATATGAATGGAGCCCAGAACAAATTACTTTTCCCCAGTGATCTAGGTTTCAAGACAAATAGCTATGGTCCTTGGTCTTTATAAAGCACCAGGTTCAATAATGCTGGGGATATTTGTGGTCATTGAGGATGAAGTCCTAGTTTTGGGGACAAAACCACCTTCTTTAAACAAATAAACATGCCACTTCTAAGAACAAGTTCTTGGTTTGCTATTCATTTCTCGTGATGACTAAGTTTCTGATCATAAGAGCCATATAATCATGACACTTGAGTCAAATTTCCCATTATGATGGAGTTTTATATGATCTACCTATTTATAAAGTGAACACACAAACTATCCTCCATCATAAAATAGAAGTGGTTCAAATAGGGTTAGGATCAAGCAGGTCCTAAGGACACAAGACAAATAAGTAGCATCTGACTTTCTTACTCCTTAAAAACTGTATGTATTAACTAGCTATGAGCAAGTTTTCTATGACTTTTCATGATATGTGGCACCAGGAGAGTTGGTCCCTAAAAAAGGTAGAGAATAATTTTAAGTCTTGTATGTTGTTCCTCCACTTCATGGCAAAGTGTGTCTAGATGAAGGGATGTCTTAAAATCAGGATGTATTGTATGTATAGCAGTCCATGAGGAATGGCCAATGGCTTGTCCATGTGACCAGGGGGTTGAAGGTACAAGTTTGAAAAATTATAACAAGAGGGTTTAGGGATGAGGTATATACTTTTCAGAAAAATTGCAGTTTGAGATTATTTTGGAATGTTTACCTAAGATCATACCCACAGCAGAGGAGGCTCTTAGTAATCAGTGGTGGTTTTCTGGAAGTGTCTCTCCCTTATGTTAGTTACATAAATGCTTCAAGAGTCATGAAACAAGGTGAGATGTTCAAGATGGGCTTATAAACATGGACTTCCCCTTCACCAAGACTATTCAGGCCACTTCTACTAATGGGTGTCCAATTTGCCATCCAGTGAGTGATACAAAAATCCACATATATATTACACCTGAGATGACCAGTCAGGTGTCTGGTAGCAGGATAATAACTCTGAAATCCGTCTGAGATAGAGGTTGCAAATATTTCCACACTGGAATAGATACTTAACGTGAATTTGGATTTGTTGTCCTTGGCCATCAAGCATCTGCAAGCAGTACTATTAAGGGACTTCCTTATTGCTCTACCCTTGGTACAGATTTTCACATAACATTGTTTGTAATGAAAATGGTTAAGTGAAAAAAGGACAGGGGAAAGACTGCCATGTTTTGATTCATTATCCTTGGCATATTTGCCATAACTCAGAAGCGTCTATCATTATAGGATATTGGAAATGGCCTATTGAAGTTTCAGTTACAGTATTGGTATGACTTTAAAAGTTTTTTGCATCTTGTTCCAATAAGTTGGGGTCTGCTGGTTGGAGGTATTAATCCACAAGGAAGAATGTTTCCAGTAAGACAGACAACAATGTTTCCATTGAATTGGAAGCTCATATTGCCATCTGGCCATACTCAGCTTCTTATGACTCCAGGAAAAGAGGAAATGATATGGATTTTAGTGCTGGCTGGTGTAATTGATCCTAACCATGAAGGACAAAGTGGATTACTACTTTACAATGGAGCAGGAGAATTGTGGGTGGAACCCAGGTAGTCTCTCGGGATACCTTCTTATCCTACTATTTATAGTAGTAAAAGTAGATGGTAGAAAAGAATCACAAACTGGAAAGGCTGTCAGAGACTTGGAATCAACAACAATAAAGGCTGGGGTAACTCATTAGGTTAAATGTCAACACCTAACCGGTCAGCTGGGGCGCTGGTTGAAGGCAGAGCATGCAGAATGGACAAGAAAGGAGAAAAGTCATAAATATGAGTTACACTTTCACACGCTGCTATAGAAATTTGATTACTATCCTCTAGACTTTCTATTTTTACAGAGTGATGAATACATTTATATATCTTAGCTCCTAATTCATTTTCTTCTTCTTTTAGTACTGCATTTGGGGTATGCTACTAAACACTTGTTCATGAAAGCAGAATTTAAACATGGGATTGTGATTTTATAGGAAGAATGAACATCTTCCTGTTTGGACTTGGAGTTGTGTGAAATCACTGATAAGATGCTGAAGGGTCTCCATTTGGGGGAAAGAGTGAGTATGTTTATTGTTGCATAGGTGCATGATGTCCCAAGTATCCATTTCTTTTTTTCCTTTCTGGCAGGATAGATTTAGGAAGAGGCATTTATAACCATACCTCAAAGATATTGTGGGTTCAGTTCTAGACCACTACAATAAAGTGACTATCACAATAAAATGAGTCACATGAATTTTTTGCTTTCCAAGTGCACATAAAAATTATGTTTGCACTATACTGTAGTCTGTTAAGTGCGCAATAGCACTAGGTCTAAAAATGTACACACCTCAATCAAAAATAATTTATTGCTAAAACACACTAACAATCACCTGAGCCTTTAGTGAGCAGTAGTCTTTTTACTGGAGGAGGGTCTTACCTTGATGCATAGGGCTGCTGACTGATCAGGGTGGTGGCTGCTGAAGGTTAGGGTGGCTGTGGCTGTGGCAATTTTTTTTTTATTAAGACAACAATGAAGTTTGTCACAATGATTGACTATTCCTTTCATAAAAGATTTCTTTGTAGCATGCAGTGCAATTTTATAGCATTTTACCCATGTAGAACATCTTTCAAAATTAGAGTCAATCCTCCCCAAGTTGCTGCTATTTTATTAACTAAATTTGTGTAATATTCTAAGTCCTTTGTTGCCATTTCAGCAATGTCCATAGCGTCTTCCCCAGGAGCAGATTCCATCGCAAGAAACCAGTTTCTTTGCTTATCTATAAGAAGCAACTCCTTATCTGTTAGTTTTATCATGAGATTGCAGTGTTAGCCCCATCTTCAGGCTCCAATTCTAATTCTAGTTCCCTTGCTATTTCCACCACATCTACAGTTACTTCTTCCACTGAAGCCTTGAACCCCTCAAAGTCATCCACAAGGATTGGAATCAACTTCTTTCAAACTCCTGTGAACGTGGATGTTTTGACATTCTCCCGTCAATCACAAATGCTCTTAATGGCATCTACAATGGTGAATCTTTTCCAGATGATTTTCAATTTTTTTTACCCAGATCCATCACAGAAATCACTATCTATGACAGGTATAGACTTCCAAAATGTGTTTGTTAACTATTAAGACTGAAAGTTGAAATACTCCTTGGTCCCTGGACTGCAGAGTGGATGTTGTGTTAGCAGGCATGAAAACAACATTAATCTCTTTGTATACCTTCATTAGAGCTCTTGGATGACCAGGTACTTTGTTAATGAGCAGTAATATTTTGAAAGGAATCTTTCTTTTTCTCCTGAGCAGTAGGTTTACTTAAAATATTCAGTAAACCATCTTGTGACAGAGATACTGTCATCCAGGCTTTGTTTTTCATTTCCAGAGCACAGGCTGAGCAGACTCAGAATAATTCTTAAGAATCTTAAGATTTTCTGAATCGTAAATGAGCACTGACTTCAACTTAAAGTCATCAGCTGCATTAGTTCCTAACAAGAGAGTCAGCCTGTCTTTTGAAGCTTTGAAGCCAGGCTTTGACTTATCTTCTCTAGCTATGAAAGTCCTAGATGGCATCATCTTCCAGTAGAAGGCTGGCTGTTTCATCTACCTTGAAAATATATTGTTTAATGTAGCCACCTTCATCAATGATCTTAACTAGACCTGGATAACTTGCTGCAGTTTCTACAACAGCTCTTGCTGCTTCACCTTGCACTTTTATGTTATCAAGATGGCTTCTTTTCTTAAGCTTCATGAATCAATAGTTTCAAACTTTTCTTCTGCAGTTTTCTCATCTCTCTCAGACATCATGAACTTGAGAAGGGTTAGGACCTTCCTCTGGATTAAGCTTTGGCTTAAGGGAATGTTGCTAATCACAGGATTGCCAGAAATCTTCAATATGAAAAAATTTGCAACTATGCGAAGCACAAACAAGGTAGGCCTGATACTCAGATGACAGACAGGGTCCTTTTCCTATTCTCTTGACTACTCAGCATCTGTATGCTTTCTGTGGTTTGGGCAAGTTCACCACTGTGTCAGTTTTGGGAGGATTCCATTTCAGAAATGGAAAGGACCGTGTCTTCTCTCTTCTCAGTTGGAGAAGGCTCAACTATCTGGGACTTTATGTTGAAGGAGAGATGCAAAGACACAGGAGCATTTTAGAAACAATTTAATTTGGTCTGAGAGGTGTTAATGATGAGTGGTGGAGGTGTTGCAGTTTCAGAAACTAAGCAGCAGGTGTGTTAGGGTAGTGGCTCTGGAGTAGTTTCCTTCAAGAGTCTTCCTGTCTGGAGTCCTTGTCTGTCTATGTTTCTTACCAGCAGCCCCCCACTGCACCCTGACTCCTGCTGTTTTCTTATGCCTGTCCATGTGCCTTCCTTTAAAGATTCTGAGCTCTTTGATATCCTCTGTGGTCAAGTGAAACAGAATGAGAATCTGTGGCCTCCAACTCTAGCTAATACAATATGTTTTGTTAACATTTGTATAGTGTTATATAACACTATATTCTAATTTTAAATATTCTCAAAACTATTTTGATTTTATAAATACATCCATTATAAATATATCAAGTTATTGCTAAGTTATCATATATTTTTAAAATTTTCTTTTCATTCTCTAACCTGTCATTCATTGTCAGTATTCGTGAGATGTAATGGTAAAATCACATTTTTCCTGTAACAATGTTCTTCATCTGAATGAGGAGCCACTGCTTAGTTAACTTAAACAGGTATAAAATTCATTTTAATTTTTCCTCTTACAATCAGATTCCTGATAACAATCACAAAGCACCTTTTCATGTGACACTCTGTTAAGTGTGATGTAGAGACTGAATAAACAGACACAGAGACCTTCTCCCAAAGGCAGCTTGCAGCCTAAGAGAGAACCATGATTATAAATAAACATGAACATTCATAGACTAGGACAGACATGGGGGAAATTAATATTTTTATCTATTTATTTGATATGGAGTACAATGGTTGGGTGTCAGGAGAAAGATTGGTTGAAAAATAATGTTTTTATATGAAAAAGGAACATGGAAAATTTAAGAGCTTCTTTTTTTCCAATTGTCAGTGTAATTATTCAACTTGGTGGTAAACTTTACAGATTCAAAATGAGTTCTTCCTCTATTCATTAAGATAGCATCAAGAATGCTTAGCATAGACAGCATATGTCTGTACAGGACAATGCGCTATGTCTGACTGCTAAAAAATCCCTCATGAAGTTGAGTGTTCTGTCTTTTTGACATTTGAGCTTCTGGCATACTAATTTCATCTAACACAATACAGTCAGATCCTCCGGATGTGTCTTCATATTGATCAGTTTCATATAAATAGTTGGTCTTTGTTCCTTTTAAGACAGAATCCCAGAAGTAGCAGTTGGGCTAATAATGACAAAGAAACCAACCAAACCAAACAAACAAACAACAACAAAAAAAACCCCGTGCATTTATTTTCATGTTATTTATCAGATAGAGTTGAAGTTCTGAACAATTAATGTTCAATCTTAGAAAATGTTTAGCAATTGGATGTATTGTACTAGCAATTAAGACATCACAGGGAAGTTAAAATATTTTAAAGCTTTTTATAAAATTTGACAGAAGTCAAAAATACTTAACATTTCCCCTATCAAATCTCAGCTAGGCAATCATCTGATCTTAAAAAAAAAAAGTCTAAAATAAATATGACAAGCATTGTTCATTACCTACTGGCATCAGCTGGTCGACATTTGCCCCCTTCTTGAGCTGTCTACTTCACGAGAAACTGTCCTTCTCCAAAGCAAGAAAAAAAATGCTGATTTGTCTAGGTTAACCATGGTGATTTAATGACCCTGTTTATAGCATTTGGTTCAGAAGTGAGCTTCTGACACAGTTCTGGCCAGTGGGGCTTAGGTAGAGATTTTGAGAAAGTTTCTCTTGCTGTTAAAATGGGAAACTTTTTTTCCTCTTTTAGGATATGGTGCTTGGGACTACTGCAGTCACATTACAACCAAGAAAAATAAGTCGTGAGGACAAGGGCCAGTGTGCAAATATTTGCAAAGCAGGAAGACCAAAAGAACCTGGCTCATGGATGACATCATTAAGTCAGTGGATTATCCTTGGAATTGACTTACCTCTGGGCTATGCGTGACATATGAAACTCATTATTATGGAAAACACTTTTTGCTAGGTTTTGTGTACTTGCAGGTAAAACACTCTAATGATTTAACAAATGTCTTCATTACAAAAAAAACCCTGAAATTGCTATTCAAGTGTATGTTAGAATGACACTGTTTTAAAGATGCGTTGATTTGATTCTACTAGGAAAGCAAATCCTCTACAAACTTGAGTTCTTGATCATTGGCATGATCAGTTGCCACCACTGAGTTTTTGCACTATTGCTGAGAATCATAGAGAACATTTGGAGCAGATAGGAGGGATTCTGCGTTGTGGACTAGTCTGTCATTGACTGAGATGGCTTGCATTTGGCCATTATTATTATCATCATCATTAACATCAACTCTTTGGTAATCACTGGTGCTCTCTGGTCCTCAGTTTTCTTATGAGTGAGGTGATGTGATTACATAGGTTGGTTTCTAAAAATTTCTTCCAGCTCGAAATTTCTGTCTAGCTTTATTTATATTAAAATCAGAACATGTTTCTTGTAAGAAGTAATTTACAAAATGTCTTGAATCCTGGGAAGGTTTTTGCATTGGTTTCCTTTCCTTTCTATGAAGTTAAAGGTTATGGACTTTGACATAAACCCTGCAGCAGGCACTGGGCGTAAAACACTGGACAACACAGATGTGATCCATGCCCTCACTGACCAATGGAAGAGAATCATTAAACAAATAATTACAAATCTGATAACAAAGACATTCAATGTGATCCGGAGTGTCTGAGATTATACCCCCAGGGAAATGGACTTGAAGCTGGGGCTTTATGGATGTGTACAACTTATCCATTTAAGTGGGAGATTCACGGCTTAAAAAAGAGGAGAGTATGGGTAAGTTTGCATAATAGAGTAAACCTTGAATATATTTGAGAAACAGAAAGGAATTCAACGGTGTTGGGGCAATGGACAAAGAAGTGTGAGATGAGGCTGAATAACAAGACAGGGAGTTGTCATGAAACACATGTGTATTGTGTAGTTTGTTGATGGACAATGGACATTGCATTTTGGGGGCATAACAGGCAGGCAAAGTTGGAGGGATTCATGCTTTTGTCTCCCTAGACAAGCCTGCTTTTCTCTCTCTTCCTGAATATGTGTCAACATTCTTTGAATATAGCCTATCTATCTCTGTGAATGCTTCATTGTAAGACCTTCACTTCTGGTGCAAGGTGACCTTACATATGAGGTTCACCAATTCAGCAGAAGGTGACCTTACATATGAGGTTCACCAATTCAGCAGAACAAATCAAAGTGGAATGAATCATAGGAATAGTTTAGAAATGGTTTGGTGAGCAGATAAATATTTTGTAGGCAATTGAGTGCCAAAATGGATGATTTTACCATGTAAACTGGAATGAAAATAAATAAAAGGGAAAGTCTAGCATTGAAAAATAAAATAACTAAAATTAATTATTGAATAAATGGGTTTCACAGCAGACTAAACAGAAGAATATAAGACCTGTTAACTGAAAGATACTCCACTAGAAGAGATCCATATTAAGCAGACACCAAAATCTGTGAAAAATTACATATAAGAGTGCAAGCGTATTTGTAAAGCAATGAAAATAAAAATTGCTTGAAATTTGAAAACGCCTTAAAGATAGCGGAGAAAGAATGGCACAGAAGCTACATTTTGAAATCATATTGGTCAAGAATTTTCTAAAACTGGTGAAAAGCATCAAGCCGTAGTTTGCAAGAGGCTATAAACATAGATCAAGATAAATACAAAGAAAACTACATGAAAGCATATCACAGGTAAAAAGACTAAAAATAAAAAATACAGAAAAAAATTTAAAAGCAGCTGAAGAACTATAATGAAACACTACTATAAAATTTCAACAGTAAAGCTGACAGTTGACTTTACATTACAAATGATGGGAAAGAGAAGAAAATTGAATGATACTTTTAAAGTGCTTAAAATAACTACTAACCTTAAATTCTATATCTACCTAAACCAGTCTTTTTTTTTTAATTATACTTTAAGTTCTAGGATACATGTGCACAACGTGCAGGTTTGTTACATATGTATACATGTGCCATGTTGGTGTGCTGCACCCATTAACTCGTCTTTTATGTTAGGTATATCCCCTAATGCTATCCCTCCCCGCTCCCTCCACCCCATGACAGGCCCTGGTGTGTGATGTTCCCCTTCTTGTGTCCAAGTGTTCTCATTGTTCAATTCCCACCTATGAGTGAGAACAGGCGGTGTTTGGTTTTTTTGTCCTTGCGATAGTTTGCTGAGAATGATGGTTTCCAGCTTCATCCATGTCCCTACAAAGGACGTGAACTCATCATTTTTTATGGCTGCATAGTATTCCATGGTGTATATGTGCCACATTTTCTCAATCCAGTCTGTCATTGATGGACATTTGGGTTGGTTCCAAGTCTTTGCTATTGTGAATAGTGCCGCAATAAACATACGTGTGCATGTGTCTTTATAGCAGCATGATTTCTAATTCTTTGGGTATATACCCAGTAATGGGATGGCTGGGTCAAATAGGATTTCTAGTTCTAGATCCCTGAGGAATCGCCACACTGCCTTCCACAATGGTTGAACTAGTTTACAGTCCCACCAACAGTGTAAAAGTGTTCCTATTTCTCCACATCCTCTCCAGCACCTGTTGTTTCCTGACTTTTTAATGATTGCCATTCTAACTGGTGTGAGATGGTATCTCATGGTGGTTTTGATTTGCATTTCTCTGATGGCCAGTGATGATGAGCATTTTTTCATGTGTCTTTTGGCTGCATAAATGTCTTGTTTTGAGAAATGTCTGTTCATATCCTTCACCCACTTTTTGCTGGGGTTGTTTGTTTTTTTTCTTGTACATTTGTTTAAGTTCTTTGTAGATTCTGGATATTAGCCCTTTGTCAGATGAGTAGATTGCAAAAAATTTCTCTCATTCTGTAGGTTGCCTGTTTGCTCTGATGATAGTTTCTTTTGCTGTGCAGAAGCTCTTTAGTTTAATTAAATCCCATTCGTCAATTGTGGCTTTTGTTGCCATTGCTTTTGGTGTTCTAGAAATGAAGTCCTTGCCCATGCCTATGTCCTGAATGGTATTGCCTGGGTTTTCTTCTAGGGATTTTATGGTTTTAGGTCTAACATTTAAGTCTTTAACCTATCTTGACTTAATTTTTGTACAAGGTATAACGAAGGGATCCAGTTTCAGCTTTCTCCATATGGCTAGCTAGTTCTCCCAGCACCATTTATTAAATAGAGGGGAATCCTTTCCCCATTGCTTGTTTTTGTCATATTTGTCAAAGCTCAGATGCAAAACCAGTTTTTTTAAAAAAAGAAGGTTACAGACATCTTGACACATATACATGATGGAGGTAATTTATTTCAAGGAACATATATTAAAAGAACTATTAAAGAGAGGTTTTTGGGAAGAAAAAACCGTGACTTTAAGATAAGGAAACGAAGAAAGAACTGAAGAGCCAAAAAATTAAATATCAATGGCACAAAATAAGTGTATGTATTCGAATAGATTTTGAATATGTAAAGTAACACTGCATTATTTGAAGTATTAACATATGAAGGACTTAAACTCTCCAAGAAGTGGTACGCATTAATTTATATTAGCTTTTAAATCAGGGATGAATTTGGTTATCTCTATGGTAATAAAATGAAAGAAAGGAAAATAATATGTAACTAAAATTATAATAGAGGAGAACAGTAGAATGATAAAAAATTCTTGCTTCACCCAAATCATGGTAGAAAGAGAAGAAAAAAAATACATTGACAAACAGGAAAAATAGTAAGATGGAGAATTTAATTACAAGTATATCAATAGTAACATTAAATTACATTAAATATAAATAGAGGCTTAATTAAAACATTGTATACATTTCTGACAATGATCCTCAAATTGGGCAAAATGAACTATTATACATATATATCTACATACGAAAAACATAAATGGTATATATGAACTTTATATCATATATGTGTAGGATTTAGAAGATATGTGTATAAACACACACACCCACAAATACAGTTTAAAAAATTAAAAAAGAAAATTTAGCCACACAAAGACTAAACAAAAGAATGCCAATGTAGCTATCATAATAGAAAACAATGTAGATTTTATGGCAAAAATATTTCATAATAAGAGAAAAGGTTCAATCTACCAGGATGATACAAAAATTATAAATATTTATGCATTTAAAATGGTAGCCTCAAGAAAAAAAATGGAAATTTATAAAACTAAAAGGAGAAATAGATAATTTACAATTAGTGTATAAGTTTATTTAAATTTAAATTTAAATTTTTATGGGTACATAGTAGGTATATATGTTTTTGGAGTACATGAGATGCTTTGATACAGGCATGCAATATCATGATGTAATAATCACATCAAGGAAAATTGGGTATCCATCCCCTCAAATATTTATCCTTCATGTTACACACAATCCAATTATATATATGCTTTTAGTTATTTTCAAAGTAGTATAATTGTCACCCTGCTGTGCTAGAGTCACCCTGTTGTGCTATCAAATACTAGGTCTTATTTATTCTTTCCATTTTTGTGTATCTATTAACCATCCCCTCATCCCCTTCACCACCACCACTATCCTTCTCAGCCTCTGGTAACCATCTTTCTACTCTCTATCTCCATGAGTTCAATTATTTTACTATTTAGCTCCCACAAATAAGTGAAAACACGCCAAGTTTATCTTTCTGTAACTGGCTTATTATTCTCCAGTTCCATCCCTGTTGTTGCAAATTACTCAATCTCATTATTTTTTATGGCAGAATAATACTCCATTGTGTATACGTATCACATTTTCTTTATCAATTCATCTGTTGATGGACACTTAGGTTGCTTCTAAACTTTGCCTATTGTGAATAGTGTTGCAATAAAGATGGGAGTCCAGATACCACTTAGATATCTTGATTTTCTTTCTTTTGTGTATGTACCTAGCAGTTGGGCTGCTGGATTGCATGGTAGCTTTATTTTTGGTTCTTTGAGGAATCTCCAAACTGTTCTCCATAGTGGTTGTATTAATTTATATTCCCACCGATAGTCTATGAGGGTCTTTTCTCCATATTCTTTTCTCCATACCCTCTCTAGCATTGGTTATTGCCTGTCTTTTGGATAAAAGCCATTTTAACTGGGGTGAAATGATATCTCATTGTACTTTCAATTTGCATTTCATTGATGATTGATGATGTTCAGTTACTTTTCATATGCCTGTTTGCCATTTGTATGTCTTCCTTTGAGAAATGTCTATTTGGATCTTTTGCCCATTTTTAAAATCAGATTATTAGATTTTTTTGCTATATAGTTGAGCTCCTTATATATTCTGATTCTCAATCCCTTGTCAGGTGAGTAGTTTGCAAATATTTTCTCCGATTCTATGGGTTGTCCACTTTGCTAATTGATTCCTTTGCTGAGCAGAAGCTTTTTAACTTAATGTGATCCCATTAGTCCATTTTTACTCTGGTTGACTGTTCTTGTGGAGTGTCACTCAAGATATCTTTGCCCACTTCTTGGAGAGTTTTCCCAAAGTTTTCATTTAGCAGTTTCATAGTTTGAGGTCTTAGATTTAAGTCTTTAATCAAGTCTTTAATCCATTTTTATTTGTTTTTTTGTATATGGAGATAAATAGGGGTCTAGTTTCATTCTTCTGCATATGGATATTCAATTTTCCCAGTACCATTTATTGAACAGATTGTTTTTTTTTATTCCCCAACATATGTTCTTGAAGCCTTTGTTGAAAATGAGATCACTTTCTATGTATGAATTTGTTTCTAGGTTCTCTATTTTGTTCCATTGGTATGTGTGTCTGTTTTGATTTCAGTACCATACTGTTGTGTTTACTATGGCTATGGCTCTGTAGTATAATTTGCAGTCAGGAAATGGGATTCCTTGAGTTTTGTTCTTTTTGCTCAGGATGGCTTTGGCCTTTGGCTATTCTGGGTCTTTTGTGGTTCCATATAAATTTTTGGATTCTTTTTAATTTTTTTTGAAGAATGCCATTGGTATTTTGATAAGGATTGTATTGAATCTGTAGATAGCTTTGGGTAGTATGGATATTTAACAATATTGATTCTACAAATCCATAAACATGGAATATCTTTCAATTTTTTTTGTATATTTTTCAATTTCTTTCATCAGTGGTTTCTAGTTTTATAGTTTTCTTTGTAGAAATCTTTCACTTCTTTGGTTAAGTTAAATCATAGGTATTTAATTTCATTTGTGGCTACTGTAAATTAGATTACCTTTTTATTTCTTTTTCAGATTGTTCACTGTAGGCATAAAGAAATGTTACTGATTTTTGAATGTTGATTTTGTATCCTGCAACTTTACTAAATTTGTTTATCAGTTCTAATAGTTTCTTGGTGGAGTTTTTAGGTTTTTCCAAGTATAAGATCATTATTAATTGCAAACAAGGATAATTTGGATTTTTCTTTTAAAATTTGGATGGTCTTTGTGTCTTTCTCTTGTCTGATTGCTCTAGCTAGGACTTCCAATACTATATTGAATAACAGTGGTGAAAGTGAGCATCTTTTTCTTGTTCCAGATCTTGGAGGAAAGATTTTCACTTTTTCCCTATTCATTATGATACTATCTGTGGGTCTGTCATACATGGCTTTTATTATGTTGAGGTACATTCCTTGTATACCCAGTATTTTGAGTGTTTTTATAATATTATGGAGGGATGTTGAATTTTATCAAATACTTTTTTAGCATCAATTGAAATGATCATATGGTTTTTGTTCTTCATTCTGTTGATATGATGTATCACATTGATTGATTTGCATATATTGAACTATTTTTGCATGCCTGAGATAAATTCCACTTGGTCACAATGAATAACCTTGTTAATGTATTGTTGAATTAAATTTGCTAGTATTTTGAGGGGATTTTTGTATCAACATTCATCAAGAACATTGGAATATAGTTTTCTTTTTTGGTGTATTTTCATCTGGTTTTGGTATCAGGGTAACACCGGCCTTGTGGAATGATTTTGGAAGTCTTCTTCTCTATTCTTTAGAATTGTTTGAGTAGGATTGATATTAGTTCTTCTTTAAATGTTTTATAGAATTCAGCAGTGAAGCTATCCAATCTCAGGCTTTTCTTTACTGGGAGACTTTTTATTATGGCTTCAATCTCGTTATTTGATATTAGTCTGTTCAAGTTTTGAATTTCTTTATGGCTCAATATTGATAGGTTGTATGTGTCTAGGAGTGTATCCTTTTCCTCTAGATTTTCCAATTTAATGGCATGTAGTAGCTCATAGTAGCCACAAATGATCCTTTGGATTTCTGCAGTATCAGTTGTGATGTTGTCCTTTCATCTCTGATTTTATTTGTTTGGGTCTTCTCTTTTTCCTCATTAGTCTGGCTAAAGGTTTGTCAATGTTGTTTATCTTTTCAAAAAACCAACTTTTTGCTTCATTGATCTTTTGGGGTTTTTTTCTTCTTTTCAATTTCATTTATTTATGCTCTGGTCTTTATTATTTCTTTTCTTCTACTAATTCGGGGTTTGGTTTGTTCTTGCTTTTTTAGTTCTTTAAGATGCATCATTAGGTTATTTATTTGAGGTTTTCTTTTTTGATGTAGGTGCTAATAGCTATAAATTTTCCTCTTAGTACTGCTTTAGCTGTATCCCAGAGGTTTTGGTATGTTGTGTGTGTTTCCATCACGATTTGTTTCAAGAAAGTTTTCAATTTCCTTCTTTATTTCCTCATTGACTCACTTGTCATTCAGAAGCATATTGTTTAATTTCCGTGTGTATAGTTTCCAGAATTTCTCTTATTGATTTCTAGTTTTATTCCATTATGGTCAGAGAAGATGCTGGACATTATTTCCATTTTCCTAAATGTTTTAAGACTTGTTTTGTGACCTAACATATGGTCTATCCTTGAGAACGATCCATATGCTGTGAGGAAGAATGTATATTCTGCAGCAATTGGATGAAATGTTCTGTAAATACCTATTAGCTCTATCTGTTCTATAGTGAAGCTTAAGTTTAATGTTTCTTTGCCAATTTTCTGTCTGGAAGATCTAGCCAATGCTGAAGTCTTCAGCTATTATTGTACTCAGGTCTTTCTCTCTTTTTAGCTCTAATAACATTTGCTTTATATATTTGGTTGTTCCAGTGTTGGGTGCAAAAATATTTACAATTGTCATATCCTCTTGCTGAATTGACCCCCTTATCATTATATAATGACTTTCTTGGTCTCTTCTTACAGTTTTTTATCTTGAAATCTATTTTGTCTGGTATAAGTATAGCTAATCCTGCTCTTCCTTAGTTTCCACTGACATGGAGTATCTTTTTCTATCCCTTTATTTTGTCTACGTGTGTCTTTATAGGTGAAGCATGTTTCTTGTAGGCCATAGATCACTGATTTTTTTTTAAATCCATTCAGGCAATCTATGACTTTCATTTGGAGAATTTAGTCCATTTACAGTCAACGTTATTACTGATAAGTAAGGACTTACTCCTTTCATTTTGTTAATTTTTTTTCTGGTTGTTCTGTGGTCTTCACTTCCTTGTTTTCTTCCCTCCTGTCTTCTTCTTAGCGAAGGTGATTTTCTCTGGTGGTGTGATTTACTTTCTTGATTTTTATTTTTTGTGTATCCATTGCATGATTTTTCTTTTTTAATTTGAGGTTACCATGAAGCTTGCAAATACTATTTTATAACTCATTATTTTAAACTGATGACAACACTGATTGCATAAACAAACAAAAGGCAAACAAAAAGAAAGTGTATGATTTTATACATCTCACTGAGCAACTGTTAGAAATAGACAAAAAATTAATAAGAATATACATTATTTGGATTATGATTTTCAGACAACTTTATTTATATAGATAGAAATCTGCATTCAATACCTTATGCATATATAATCTTTTCAAATACACATAAGACGTTTACCAAAATCACCATATGCTAAGCCATAAAATAACAAATTTCTAAGTATTGAAATTTCAGAAAGTATATTCTGTACTCATAGTGTAATTATGCTAAAAGTCAATAGAGAAAGAAAAGAGGAAAAGCTCTAATATTTGCATATTCATCAGTATACTTCTAAAGAATCTGTGGGTCAAAAAATTTATGATGCATATGAGTGAATATTTTCTGCTGAGTGACAATAAAAATGCAACTTTTCAAAAGGAGGGATTCAGGCGAGGCGCGGTGGCTCATGCCTGTAATCCCAGCACTTTGGGAGGCTGAAGCGGATGGATCATTTAAGGTCAGGAGTTTGAGTCCCGCCTGGCAAATGTGGTGAAACCCTGTCTCTACTAAAAATACAAAAATTAGCCGGGCGTGGTGGTACACACCTGTAATCCCAGCTACTCAGGAGGCTGAGGCAGGAGAATTGCTTGAACTCAGGAGGTGGAGGTTGCAGTGAGTTGAGACCACACCACCGCACTCCAGCCTGGGCGACAGAACGAGACTCCGTCTCAGAAAAAAAAAAAAAAAAAAAAAAAAAAGAGAAAGAGAAAGGAGGGATTCAACTTAAACAGTAGATAAAGGTAAATGATAGTCTTAAAATTACATATTAGAAAAAAAAGAGTGGCTGAAAATTGTTCATCTAAGTGTCCTCTGAAGAAGTTATAATCAGAAGACTGAATTTCCAAAAAAGTGAAAAAAAGAAAGCAATATAAGAACATAACTATATTAACAAAATAGGAAAAAATAGAGAAAAATATTAAACATCTCAATTTTTTAGATTGCTGGAATAAAAAGTAAGAAAAAGCTAATTACCAAAATCAGGAATGGGAGAAAGATATTAATGTTAGTAAATATTGAGATATTTATGCCAACGATATTGATCAGTTATAATTCTTAGTAAATGCCTAGGAAAACATACACAGCTTTGCAAATCTGTTGAAAGAGGAATTACAAGCACTTATATTTAAATATTTATTAAATATATTAAATATGTTATTGAAAGCTATCCATCAATTAAAACTCTAGGACAAGGTAGCTTCACCATTAATTTCTGTCAAACATTGA
Organism: Homo sapiens; assembly: GCF_000001405.40. Lineage (NCBI taxonomy): Eukaryota > Metazoa > Chordata > Mammalia > Primates > Hominidae > Homo > Homo sapiens. The sequence continues at coordinate 96,942,871 of NC_000015.10, forward strand.
AGGAAAAATAATATCTTATGCAAACTCCTTTAAAGAATATAAAATCATGAAAGGGAAACAATTTGTTTTAAAAAACTAATAACTCTGATACAAAAACAGTAGAACTGAAAAACAATTAATGCTATGGTCATGCAGCAAAATACTACACGGCAACTAAAATAAATTACAATGGAAGAATGCCACCAACATGATATTTAACTAAAGGCAGGCAGAAAAATTAGAACACATACTTTGTATTATTCAAAAGGATACATCAAGTATGAGTCTATTTATGTCAAATTTAAAAATAAGCAGGCCAGGTGCAGTGGCTCATGCCTGCAATCCCAGTTCTTTGGGGTGCCAGGGTGGGAGAATCATTTAAGTCCGAGAATTTGAGACCAGACTGGGCAACCAAGCAAGATCCCCCATCTCTAAACACACACAAACACACACACACACACACACACACACATACACACACAGCAGCAGCAGCAGCATGAATCTATGGTGTTAGTCATTAAGACACTGGTGCTTTTGGCTAGGAGAGTGAGTTAGTGACTAGGAAAGAACATGAGGAAGCTCTCTCAGGGTATTAATAAAACTTCAATTTTTTATCTGGGTGGTTGTTTCTTGGAGGTACTCCCCTTGTGAAAAGTCATCCAGCTGCACTGTTATGCTTTCTGCAATTTTCCATATGTGGGTTGTACTTCAATAAATATATTTATTTTTATTACTATTATTAGTTTTTTGAGACAGAGTCTCACTATGTGGCTAGGCTGGAGTGCAGTGGCACAGCAGTCTCAGCTCACTGCAACCTCCACCTCCGGGGTTCAAGCGATTCTCTTGCCTCAGCCTCCCGAGTAGCTGGGATTACAGGTGCCCACCACCACGCCTGGCTAATTTTTGTGTTTTTAGTAGAGACAGGGTTTCACCATGTTGGCCAGGATGGTCTTGATGTCTTGACCACATGATCTGCCCTCCTTGGCCTCCCAAAGTGCTGGGATTACAGGCATGAGCCACCACACCCGGCCTAATAAATATATTTATTTTAAAGTTTACGTATACCAATTTATGAAGCTGAAGGATACTTTTCCCATCTATCAGTAGAAAAAGAAAACTTCAGTCAACCATGGTAAAGGAAAAATGACTCTACTAGCTCCATGGAAAATTATATGACAAAAGTTTTGACACATGAAAAGCCGGTCAATGATAAGCAACCAAATATATAGGAAAACAGCATTAGAGGAGCATGTCAGATTCTTTTTTTAGAAACTTAAAAACTTTATTTGTTTGTTTGTTTATTTTTTGAGACAGGTTCTCACTCTGTCACCCAGGCTGGAGTGCAGTGGTATGACCATGGCTCACTGGAGCCTAGGCCTGCTATGCTCAAGTGATCCTGCCACCTGAGCCTGCCTAGTAGCTGTGACCACAGTTGTGTGCCACCATGCCATGCTAATTTCTGTATTTTATTTGTAGAGCTGAGATTTTGCCACGTTTCCCAGGCTAGTCTTGAACTTCTGAGCTCAGGTGATACACCTGTCTCAGCATCCCACAGAGTCTTAATTAATAAAGCTATTAGGTGATTTTTCTGGAATAGCTCAGCATGCAACATTCAGGATGCTTTTAATTATGCCTACAGAAAAACAGCTCACACTGGTTGAAACAGTAAAACATGGAAACTATAAGCTCACCTAAGAGGAGGTTCAAGGTGTGAAGACTTAATGTTGTCTGGACCCAGAATCTTCCCTTTTCACTGCTTTGCTCTACAAAGAGTTTAATTTCTCCCTAAACCTATATACTGTGATGGCTTGTGATAATAGTTATCAGCCTTGCACATGATTTTTTGTATATGTTGGTGATGGAGAGAGGTGAACTAGTGTCCCTTAACTTCTCTAAGAGTGAGGAAGAACTTCTCTCCAGCTTCCAGCAACTCATTATCCAGAACTGAATCAAATGTTCAATCTTTAGCTAATTTGGAAATGGAATTAAACTGTCCTTGGAGCAAACAGGCCCACAGCTGAAGGGCTCAGCCTTCCTAAAGTAAGGGGCTGTACGAGGGTCGGCTGGGTATTTAAAAACAAAATGAAGACGTGTTAAGTGGTGGGATGGGGTAAGGAACAGTGTGCTCCTTGGTAGTCATTGGTGCTCTCTAGAAATATGAATGCAAGATCCATTCAACAATCGCAATCTTAACAACCTCCTCATATTTATGGCTTCTTTGCTAGGATATTTTTATTTATTTCTTATCTATTAGGAATTGTGCCTTTAGTATCCTCTGCAATTAAGTATCTTTGACTTAGATTTGTCTAGAATTCCTTTTTATATGCTTTAATACCTGCATAAGTATACTGGAATTGTCATTTTAAATTTTCACATGAAACACACTCATTTTTTCTAGTATGCCAGCTTCAATTATGTTTATAGTGTGTTTATTGCCGGCCTTTGGTTTCTTAATGCCATTTCATTGCAAAATTGAGTACTTTAGCATAAGTCCACTCCTCTAGATCAGGTTTACCCAGGACTGGGTAAACCATGCGTTTCATTGGTGGGGTTGAGAGCAACACTCAGAGGAGAGACTCGGGATAAAGGTGCCTTGAAATCGGAGACAACAGTAGCAGATAAAGAGGATGTGGATTGAGCCTACCTTGTGAACTCAAGATCCTGGTACTTTACATCAACAGGGGTTAATATTCCAAAGTGTGCCTTAGGACTTTGGGGAAGCTTCCTAACTATAGACCAAGTATCAGTAGGACACAGTTTCTTTAATGTTATCAGTTTGGGAAACCTCGTTTGGGCGTTTGGCTGAAAGAAATGGATATGTGTTAAAAACCTTGTTACACAACCAGCAGCAGTATAAAGTACACTGATTTTATTTCTTATTTGCAATAGATAGGAAATAACCGAACTTACTGACTTTCCTCCTGTTACAGACTGTTGTCATCATTCTGTCAATTTTCAGTAATCAAAGACATATGTACACACACACTAATACATATGCACATATAAATGCACACACACACACAAAGGAAATTGGAGATACTAAACCAAGGTTTAAAACAGATGTATTTTGTCTCAAAATGTCCATTTTTATAAAATAATTCGCAACATTATTTAAATTATAAATTTCTCTATGAATCTAAAATAGAATTTTATTTACATGTAAAATCAGTATTTATGGAATTAATGTTCCATACCAAAAAAATTAACATTTTCACAATAGGATAAAAGCAGATAAACAAATTATTCTAGAAATGGTTCTCATTTGGCCTTGTCTGAAAATTGTTGAAGAAAACAGATTTTATTTTTGAACTATTGTTTCCAACACAGCCTGTGCTGTCTGGGAATGTGATGTTGAGTCACTTGCAAAGGTTCAAAGAGATCTCTAAATTTCCACACACATAAAAATGGCAAAGACTATATTATATACACTTTTGCACAAACTAATAAAGATTACTAAGGCTAGATCTGCTCATACAAAGTGTGGAATTTAAGCCTGAAATTAGATGACAACTTTTAAAATGAGAACCTGTTGCCTTCCTGAGCTGCCGTGGAGAAGGACGACATAGACACCAGGACTGGGTAAACCTGATCTAGAGCTTGGATCTGCCAATGTATTCACTGTGTGAGTCCGGGAAAGTTACTTCACCTCTCTTTGCTTCCGTTTTCTCTTTCAGTGAATGGAGATCGTTTGGCGAATTGAATCAGGTCCTCAAGTTTCATCGCCATTGACTACTGAAGGTGTGATTTGCAGCAAGCTCCTTTACTTTCCCTATGGTTTTCCCTGCTACAAAATGCGGCAATTCTTAACTCACAGAATTCTTGAGATGATTAAATAGGATATGTATGGTTCTGAGTGCAGAATATCGAACACAGAGGCCTTTGATAGTAACAAGAGGCTTCTACTCTGTGTTAGGAACTATTTCACGGACTGGCAATACCTAGATGAATAAAAACCAGCACAGCCTCTGACTTCAAAGAACCCACTAAAGTTGAGATGCCCTAGGGATTAAATAAGACAGTGTCCCTAAAGCTATCTAGCGTATGTGAGCACTCAATACACGTTATTAATACTTTTTCCTTTTATGATTGGTTTGATGGACTTAGAGTCCTGACTCTCAAAGGCTCCAGCTGGAGATGTTTAATGAATAAGAGACCTAAATATGTAATTTTCACATCTTAAGATTTGTCATCAATTTTTAAAATTGTTGCAGCGTGTGTAGTTCTTACTTTTAATACTAATAATCTTTTTCTGGGTATCTATTAATATGTAGAAAGCTTCACTTCCACCACATCGCATAATGCTTTCCACCGCCTTATAAGGGTATAATATTCCCATTTTCCTAATGACTTAAAGTGGCTCAAAGAGGTTAGGTGACATGCCAAAGTTCAGGTAAGCATGAGTGTGTGCACACACATACACACACCACACACACACTCTGCTTGGAGCTGTGCCCCCTCCATGCCCAGGTGGGAGCTGCCTGGTGCACCGCACCTTAGGAGAAGCCGAATTTGGTGGCACTTCATTCTGTCAGACAATTAAGGCGACAGAGAGGAGCAGCCCGAAAACTGTAAGGCCACGGTTAAGGAAGGGGACAGCTGCTTCACCTGCCCATCTCGCAGCTGGGTTTGGGAGTGACTCGGTGCAAGGTAGTGACTGCACTGCCCAGAGGTTAGAAAGAGCGATGCTCTCCAAGGCTTCCCATGCGCGTAATTGTGTTGGAAGAGCTAGCGTGTTCATGCTGGATGTGGTGATAATAACAGTAACAGCAGCAACAGCAATAATAATACTGTCCTATCTTTTTTTTTTTTTTTTTTTTTTTTTTTTCAGAAAAGATAGCCTAAAAGGGTTAAGAATCCCAGCAAGACACAACATAGATGGGCTGAAAACTCGTGGCAGGATGGAAGGGTATAAAGACGCCGGGGAAGTGGCTGGGGAATAATAAAATAAGAGGGAAGCTAAACCAGTGACCCTTGTCGGCAGTGAAAAGCGGGAGATTAGAAAATGTTTCATGCTAATTTCCATGGAGATTTCTTTAATTTAGCGAAGACTGCTTCCCGGGCTCCGCCTGGCCCGCGCCGGCCCGCGTCCTCGGTGGTCTGGGCGCCCCGGCTGAGCCGCTAGCGGGTCACTCGGGCGGCTCCGACGTCTCTATCAGCCGCGCCCGCGCCGCCCGCCTCCCCGCGCTGCTGCCCGGCTCTCGGGCTCTCGCTTTTTTTTTTTTTTTTTCTTTCCGCGGCAGTCTTAGGATTCTTGTCACATGATGGCTTCATCGGGCCCTTCTCCTCCTGATCCTTTCAAGCTCTTTCTCCTGCCTGGCATATCAAAGGAGATTTGTGGGTCACCGAGCCGGGACGCAGCATATAAAGTCATCAGCCTGGCCGGCACCACCTCGATCATTTGCCGCATTGTTCTTGCAAGGAGCCCAGGATGGCTGTGGCTTTTTAATAACTAGCTTAGTAGTTAGCCGAAAAATCTTAGTTTTTAAAAATACAAAAAAAAAAAAAAAAAAAAAAGAGACAGTCTGATAGTTTATTTGTTTTTCCATACACTCTTAATTGAAACTCAGTAGCAGCCTAAGATAAAGCAACACATCCGATGAATTAAAATGTTTCACAGAATCTTTATTACTTAGCGTTATTATTGTTCTAGAATGAAATGAACAATTTAAATACGGAACCCGCTTGCTAATTCAACAACGAGGTTACAAACTGCACTTTTTAAATACATATTGTACGCTTATGTGAGCACAAGCCTTTTAGAGAATAACTGTTTTAAGTTTACCGCGTAATTGAAACTCCAACAACTTCACCATCATAGGGAAGTACGTTTTAAGTGGAAGGTTTCTGCAGTGTATATGGAGGTGGATGCCTGCGTGGTTATGTGTGTATATACAGTATAACATAGTCTCCAAAATCAGCCCCAGAGATAGGCTCCGTATTTCAACTCGTTTCCAGGTAAAGATTGCTTTTGTTTGCAGAATTATGTAGGACAGATCAGAAGATTGCCTCTTCCTGCTTCCTCACTGAGTTTCCACCTGCTTCATCTACTTTTCTTAATTCCTACCGAAGCTGCAACTAAGGCCTGAGGCACTGGCTTCAGTGAAAATTTTATTGGAGTAAAACTCTTCTGCCAAGTCATTTTTGATCAAAGATATTTCCGTAGCTGTTGCTGCTCCTACAGTCTGAATTCTCTTCTCTACTTTTTCTCTTGTGCTTTACTTTAGACCTTCTGGCTGCATTTCCAGAGCGTTACTGTTATGTTGCCTTACCTTTTTACAGGCATAACTTTTATTAATTTGCCTTAGTTAGTTACAGCCTGAAAGGTCAGGGCAAGTTTCTTTGGCATTAGTCATCTAGCATAAAATTTGCCTATAAAAAAGGAAGTGTCCCCTTGAAACCTTGCCTCATGATAAGACATAAATTCCTAATCACTGTGATGTGTTTGGGGAAGGAATGTGGGAGTCCTGCATTAAAATTTAAAATAAGATTTTGTCTTCAATCCTTACAATTCATGTGACCATCTAAGTGTAGCAAATACATAAATTGTGTGCCTTACACAATATCAAAAATATAACATGGTTTATGTACATAAGTAAATTCACAAGTACTCTATTTAGCTAAAGAAAAGTTATTGAGGCCCTTTTCTAGAACTTTACCATTTCAATAATTAGAAGTAATTCAGAGTCGCCATGGCTATTATATGTTCATTCCACTGTTTCCTACTTCCATACCCATAACAGACATTGAAGGAAAATCCTACTCTAGGTCACACTTAGCCTCAACAGTTCATCCCACCCACCCTCCAGAGGGCCAGCGCCAATCTACCGTACAAATGCTATTGACCATCCCTGATCAAGAGTAGCAAGCATATTTTGTGGTTGTGAACTACTAAAGTCACCTCTTACGACTAGTTCTTGAATATTTAGAATGTAAAATTTTTATTCAGTGTCCCCTATGACAGGTTCATTTTACATTTTTTTTCCAACCCGAGTGATTTTGGACAGATGTTTGACTCTTATTTTGATATTCCATTGTGAGAATATCCTGGACTTCATTCATGAAATATAGAGACCTTTTGGATAACTCATTGAATACTATCAACTGAAGTTCGATTTTGAAAATGAGAAAAAAACATATAATATTTACAAATAGCTGCCATGTTCATTAGCTGATGATAATTGATAATGCTATCATACCTGTATATCTCCACAGTGAAAATCTGTGATCCATAATCAATTAAAATATTTTTATGAGTATATAAAAATCCTTTTTAGCTAACAGAACATGGACAGGCTATTAAGGAGTTTTTCTTTCTTTTCTATTTCTAATATACATACATTTTCTATGTCAGATTTTTACAGTGAGGCACGGAGTCTGTGGTAGATATATTCATCTGGAGATGAAACATACTTAGACTGACAGGATTTGGGATTTGGTAATCCCTCAATCATATAAGTGAGCATGGGTCACTTCTGTAAAAATAAAACCTTAGCTGGCATATTGGGGAAAAATACCTGACTTATTTTTTTATTTGTTTTACTTTGTTCTCATTAAGCTCCTACATTTAATATACAATGTAGTCTCTCATATTCATCTTTCTTTGTCACCCCCTCAAAATTTGAGATTATTCTTGCTTTTAATTCTGGGCTTAATGACAATGCATTCCCACAGGATCAAATACCATCATCCAGAGTTAAAGTTACGAGGGATGGTAAGCATTATATCATTAATTTCATAAATATGCAATAGTAAAATGAAGTGTTAGCCGGTGCTGTCAGCATTCAGCAAATTCCTTCGTGTATGCTCAAATACATTAACTGACCATGTGCCTGGGATATTAGATATTCACACTTTGTAAGAAGATTTTCCAAAAGTGATTTTGCCCCCTTTGTTTAAGGGTTGTATGGATTGTCAAGATAGGAAATGAGAAAGGGGGATTGTATATCACATCTTAGTGTCCAAACCAGACATGTCACTGCTTTTCGCTGTCGGTGTTTCCCAAGAAATGTTCTTAGTGGACTCAGAATCCTTATGACACACTTTTATTCTTATGTTAATACTGATGAGAGCTGAAGTATAAGCCAGGGCCTATTTATGAGCGTCTTAACACAGATAATATGACCAAAATAATCTCAGTATTCAAACGAAATGTTAGGATCTTTACCCGACTTGCCTTATTTGGCTAATCCTATTTTTAACTATTTTAATAATCTGTAAAGTTGTCATTGATTAACTTTGATCGTATCTGAAGTCTTCCTTGCTTATGTGTTTTTTTTTTTTTTTTGAAAAAAAAAAAGATTAAAAACAATAAATACCTTGGCCTAAGATGCCGGAGGTACTGGGAGAAACAACAGTAGAAAGTACAAAACAAAGAGTAGAGACATTGCTGTTTGAAAGAATTTTGCAAATCTCAGTACATGCATGTGTTTTTTTAATCCCTTCTCTCATTACTAATTTCCTCTGGCTCTACCTCCTCATCCACTGAAAAAAATTTCCTGAAAATTGAGTGAGAATGATACGCCAATACCCAGGAATGTCACAAGGAACTCACATTTTAACTTCTTTCAGAACCCAAGAATGGGTAGTCATTTATTTTATTTAGGGTTCTGAGAAGAGATCCTGCCCCAAATCTTGTTTCTAGGCCAGGGTTTCTTGGCCTTGGCACCATCGACCTCTGTTCTGGGCAATTCTTTGTGGTGGGGCTGTCCTGGGCATCTTAGGATATTTAGCTGCACCTCTGGCTTTTACCCACTCCTGTTAAGATGACCAAAAATATCCCTCCAAATTGCAAGATTTTGCAATGAAGCCATGGGGTAGGGGGAGGACAAAAATATCCCTCTAATGAGAACCACTGCTCTGGGACACTTCTTTATTTTTATACTCCTTGACATTTTCCCCATCTCTTTTTCTCATCTCCATCCATCCTTCTCTCCTAATGCCATTCCTGGTTTCCTCCTTCTAAACTTTCTAGTCTTAGTTGAGTAGGCAGCCCCGTCTGGGAGGTCCTCCTTGATTTGGAAAGGTTTAGGTGTCTTCCCTGTTCTGCCAGACCTAGCATGCATTGGTCTTTATGACCTTTCACCCCAAGCCCCCAGGATTGTTAGCTCCATTGAGGACTGCGACTAAATCTGTTTCCCTTGTGACCTCAGCACCTAGCACAGTGCCCTGCGCAGGAGAGTCTGTGCCATAAGTGAATAAAGGTTGAAGACTGACTACTGAATTATGGGTGTGCTTTGCCTATGTTATATTCCCCCCCTTTCTTTTTTGACCTGGGCAGATGCAAAAGCAATCTTCCCACTCTTAGTAAATTCGGGACCCCTTCACTGTCACTTTCCATAACCTGTTCTACAGCGGCAGAATGCAGAATGCAATTTCAGAGGTGACTGCCAGCTTTATTTGGTGGCTATCTTCCTGACAAACTCATTTAGAAATCTGGGTGGATAAAAATGTCAGCTCTGCCTGGTGCTTTTCATTTCAATATGGCATATTTCCCTGGTTCCCAAACCTTGGGGAAAACACTGGGCTCCGGAGCAGGAGGAGGCGAAGGCAAGACCTCTCCTGGTGCCAGTGTTTTCTGCATTGTTCTCTATTGGATCTGCTTGTAGAGAAAGCGGACTTGGCAGGCGGTGAGGCCTTTCCGTGGGCACGTGCAGGACAGTCTCAACCACAATAGCAAGCTCGCACCTTGGGTCTGGCGCCTCTCCTGCTTCATTAAGATTTTTCTATTCTGTTCCCTCTCCCATTCTTCTTGGGAAGTGGGCCATTTCAAAAAGAGCGAGATGACTCTAATTTTGTGCTTTTAAAAAGTACACACAGGAAATTTGGATACATATGGATGCATGGACTTATCATGTCAGCAGCGCTGACCCAAAAACGCTGAAGGGAATGGTATCTGAGCAGACTGCTTCCTCCCTTCAAGCCCAGGAGTCTCTGCTGCTCTCTTTGGCCATGTAAACATCTCAGCAGGGTATGTCGCTTTAAAAACTGGCACAACAGGAGATAGAAATTTATGGTAAATAAAGCATGAGATGGTGAGAAGAAGGTTTTTTTCTCTTCCTTATGTGTACCCCTCATACCTTGCCTGCTTACAAGAAAAAAAAAAAAAGTCGAGTAGCACTTCAGGGGAGTACGGAAGGAAAGGAGGCTGAAAGCGAAGGTTCTCAGCACTGTCTTGAGTTAGCTGGTAGCCCCCTCTTTTTGTGCCTCTATCTCCTTCCATGTCAAAAATACAATGAGATTTAAAATAATGAATGATTTCCAAATTGCAACCAACACACTATGGCCCTGTGTTCATTTACTTACTTACATGGTTGCATTAGAAAAGGAGCTAAACAACAAAGACCCCATCTACTTTTGAGATCAAGCATAGGCGTGTGAATTCTTTTGTTTCCCTTAATGGTAGATCACACTTATTGAATATACACTATGTGCAAGTCACTGAGCTAAGGACATTATAAGCAGCATCTCATTTCATCACCACAATCACCTATGATGATCCTCCATCCAGAGTTAGAATAACAGAGTGAAATAGAGTGGAAAATTACAAGAACCAGGCAAATGGAGTTCAACTAGGTTCTTTAATTGTTTTAATTTTTTAAATTTAACTTTTAATTTTGAGATAATTATAGATTCACACGTAGTTGTAAGAAAGAAAACTTAGAGGCGATGTACCCTTTACCTGGTTTCTCCCAATGGCAACATCTGGCAAAATTAGAGTATAATATCACAACGAATGAATCAATTTTGATACAATCCATCAATCTTATCCAGATTTTCTAGGCTTACATGTACTCATTTCTGTGTTTTATGTGTGTGTGTGCATATTTAGTTCTTTGGAATTTAATCACATTTATGTATCCAGTACCACAGTCAAGATACAGAACATTTCAATGAGGGTCCCCCTAACTGTCCCTTCACAGCCATATCTATTTCTCCCCTGCTTCTTCTCCCTTCTTAGCTCATGGCAACCACTAATCTGTTCTCCATCTCTAAAATTTTGCCATTTCAAGAATGCTATATAAATGGAGTCATACAGTACATAATCTTGTGAGATCAGCTGTGTTAAGTCAACAACATACCCTTGTGAGTCATCCAGTTGCTGCATATGTCTATAGTTTTTTCCTTTTCATTGCTGAGTAGTATTCCATGGCATGGGTGTACTACAGTTTGTTTAACCACTCATCCACTGAAGGACATTTGGGTTTCCAGTTTTTATCTAATATGAAGAAAGCTGCTATCAACATTTCTGTATAGGTTTTTTATATGAACATATGTTTTTATTTCTCTGGGATAAATGCCCAGGAGTACAATCACTGAATCATATGATAACTTCATGTTGAATTTTATAAGAAACTGCCAATCTGTTTTCCAGAGTAGCTGTACCATTTTACATTTCTACCAGAAATGTGTGAGTAATCTGATTTCTTTTCATCCTCCCCAGCATTTGGTATTTCACTATTTTTAACTTTAGCCATTCTGATAAGTGTGTAGTTATATCTCATTGCGGTTTTAATTTGACCTCCCCAATGGCTAATGATGTCAAACATCTTTTCATGTTATTTAACTATTTTGGTATGTGACTTTCTATTTGTAAATTTCTGTATCTTCCTCCAAAATTGGAGCTTTTCATAGATATCCATGTGAATAAATCAAGATGTAAGGAGATCTATAATTTGTTATTTGGCATATGGCACTCAGAGGAAGATGAATAAGTTGCGGTCAAAAAAGATTCCTAGAAGTTAATACCACATGGTGGCTTTTTTCCCTGATCTATTTGCTATGCCCAAGCAGTAGTTTAGCCAGTGGGAAAAATCAGCCAAGATGAAAACAAATACAAACCCAAGAACATTTAGGATGCCATTTATAGTAAAAAGAAGTTTCCTAAAGTATTTAGCTTTTCGTTTTGGTTTGGTTTTAATAAAAAGCTGCTTCTAAATGCCTGCCCTCTTATACTGATACATCATCCAATTTGAAAGTTGTTTCTTTGTGTTCATTGTCAAATGATCCCTGTTCTTTTACCCATGTCTGGATGGTCAGAGAAGTTAGAGGTATGGTGAATAGATCGTAGCAAAAAGTGTGTCTCTTGATACTGAGGTCCTCATTATCTGCTGAAAACTCCTACCATTTTCCTTTCATTCAGAACAGCTCTACATACTTGGTGTTTTGGTCAATCCTCTAATAGTATTCCAGAGAAGTAGGGCAATATTCTTTTGCAGGCCATCATGAGATAAAAATAGCATATACTTTGGTATAAAATAAGTCTCAGTTTGAATGCTGACACTGACATTCACTGACAGTGTGACTTCAAGCTGGCTACTTAACATCTCTGAGCCTGTTTTTCCTCAACTGTGACACAAAGATGATACTAGGGACTTCATGGTATTGTGAAGATTATATACAGTGTTTGGCACCCAGTTTTGTTGATGGTAGTCACACCATCCCCAATGATATTTCTGTTTTTACTTTTTCTTGCTCATCCTTCTAGCTTCATTTACTGTGAGTCTCAATTTCTTACCGGTATCATCAGCACTTATTGGGCGCAGTCGCTTCCTACTAAAGTCACCCAGTCACCCAGGGATAATGAGATAAATCCCCTGCTTCCATAACGATCTTTTTTTTCTGAGTATTCTGGGCTGACTTCAGCAAGTCAGAGGTCATAGAACCATTATCTTGAAAGAGTGACCCATCTATTCCAACACTTTTGATACTTTCTTAAAAGAATAAAACAAAACTTTAAAATTGCTGTCTCTATTTGAATGTTTCCAGTGGCAAAAAGCCTCACTCATTCACCAAATAATCCAAGGTAATTCTGGGTAGCTCTAATGACCATAAAACTGTCCCTCTGTTGGCATGAAATTTGTCTCTTCTGAATGTTTAACGGCTCTCCTTTTGAGCCATGTAGGACATCTTTCACATGTCTGTGTTTAAACATCCAAATTTTGCTATCACATTTTCCTTCAGCTCCTGTTCTCCTAAATGAAACAATTCCTCTTTTGGGGGGCCAATGACTCTTTGTATGGCAAGCATTTCCAGGCCAGACCTCTTCATCAGTCTTCTTTGTTTATATCCTACTTACTTAATATTCCTGTTAAAACATTCCTATTAAAACAGCTGCTTGGAACTGACCACCATTCACCAGAGATGAATGTATAATAACCTCCTCATTTTTGGATGCTGTGCTTCATTTAATGCGCCCTAATTTGGCATTCCACTTTTAAAAACTCACGGCAGTTTGGTGTCAGTGATAACAGCCATGTGCCATCGATGAGATTCTCATCTCGTGAATTGCCTACCTCTAGGTCCAGAGTCTGTTTGCTGATTCTTTGTTCACTTGTTCCCTCCTCCAACGATGGCATAAACCCTCTCCTTGTGCCAGGTTGGGCACTGGAGCTGCTGTGCCTGATTTCGGCTGTCAGAAGCTCACAGTCTGTTGTGAGTTATGAGCTATGTGGAGGGGTGATGGGTAGCAGGCAAGATGACAATGATAATAAGCAGGCAAGGGAGAGGGGCAACGAGGGACTGTGGACCACTCAGGGCTAGTGTAGAAGAGACAAATGACTGATTATGACAGAAGGAGGCTTAGGCTAGGATTCCTAGAGGGGAGGCCTGGCAAGGGACTGAGATAACGTTCTTGTCTTGTTTGCTTAATCCTTCAGAGGATGGCCCCAATGTAACCAGAACTCACCTCTTTCTTCCTTCTCTCTTAACTCCATGGACCTGGCATACTTTGAAAGAAGAGAATGACCCAGGTATGGCTAAATACAGCCAATGCTGCAATTCCCCTCACCATCTTTTGTCTAATCTGACTTCTGATGCCACACCTTTCTGTCTGGCCTTTCTTTCACCCTGGACAGGCGCTGGCCACTCATCTTTAAGAACAGGAAGATTGTTTCCATTTGGACATCTTCAGGTACCTAGTGGGTGTGCAGAAAATACCCACGGAATGCGTGAACAAGTGACAGAATGAACAACACCTGCCAATTCATGGTGATCTTGGGGGGCATATCTGATCTGATTCTGGTGTCTCTGTCTTGGCTTTAGGGAGCTACTGGGCAAGATAAGTGTGTATCTCCAGCATTTATAAACCACTGTTGAATTTGAATCTGAATCTTAACCAGAAAACTGAAAGCTCATGGTGCTTAGATTCTATTTGATAACAAACCAAAACTTGAACCTATATGTATCACAGGCTGGCCAGTGCCAAAAAAATAATAAAGCAAGTTGGACATAGGGGGTAGAATTGGGTTGAGTAGGTTGCAGAGGCTTCCTGCTGTTGGTTGGGAAACTCCCCAGAGAGTGACCTGTGAGGAGAAAGGTAAATAAAATCTCTGAAGACCTGACAGAACAATTTTAGAAAGAACAATTTACAGACCTGTAAAATTTCTTTTAGCTTTCACCAAATCATTTTTTATAATCATACAAAATTTCAGAAAATAACCATCATTGTGCTTACAGAAAAATGCAAATGGATGTGCCAAAATGAAGAAAAATAGCCAAACCTAGAGAAAAACATGTTTTCTTGTTATTCATTATAAAGCACTATGCAATTGGGAGGGATCTTTCCTTTCTCTTTATTTTCCAAATTTTTCTTTAATGCTTTCATAATAAACAAGAATTATACACTTTTTTTAAAAAAGTATATACATTCTACAAAGTGAAGTTTCCCTCAGCAGAGAAATTTAAGCTTCACAAGCTTGGATTTTAGGGGATCGACAAGCAAACAGCGGTGGACTGTACAGCAGAGTCAGCCTAATGGGACAGGGCTGTCCTTCTGCCCCAGATGGGTGTAAGGAAGTCCACATAGCCTTGGGAAAAACTCAGAACTGAAAGTAGGCCCTACATTCATTGATCTTCTCTGGAAACTTCTCGTTAGTCTTTATCCAAGCCCTGACAAAGGGGATCAACAAAATCATTTAAAATGTAATGGAGAATTGAGCAATAGTCAGCTAGCCTTCTGAGGCTATCTGATTCTCTAGAAATGCTAGAGAGACATTGAGAGAGAGAGGAAGGGAGAGAGACAGACAGACAGAAAGAGAAAATACAATTTCATCGTTTTCAGATTAAGTGAAGGAGGACACAGTCCCTTCCACCCTCAAGTCATTCTCTTGAAGCCCATTCACAAAGTTACCTTTGATAGAGAGACTGAGGGTAAAACAATTCTCCTTAAGTGTTCTTCACATGCTTGAGTTTTACAGTTTAGCTGGAAATTTCATAGAGAACATATAGCTCTGGCATTCCAAGCCTAATAGCAACGTGGAAAGAAGTGCTGTAGCACTGAAGGAGCTTCTTTTCTCTTGACATTTGCAGAGTACCTCTGAAGACTCAAGGGCTGCTTGGCGCCCAGATAAAAATCTGATCTTCGAGATATTTATCTGCACCAGTTTTAATCTAAACCTTTCCCATCACCCATCCCTGCAGAGGGGTCATGGGCCATCATTGAGTTTTCTTTAGCTATTGGGCTGCTCTTTGATGATTTTGGAGTTTTACAGCTAGAGTAAATTTCATTTCATATTTTGTTTGAATATAGCAAAACACAGATATTGAATTTTTTTTCTTTCTTTTAGGCTTTTAGCTGTCCAATAGACCTTTTCTGTTTTTTTTTTTTTTTTTTCCTGTACAGTGAGATCCTCCAAGTTAATACACACACTCAGAAATGTTAAGTGTAAAGCAACAGCATGTCAATGAGCCTTAGGGTTGTTTTTAGAGAATCATTTAGTAGGTGCAGTTTTCCTTTTGGTTCGAATGAGTCAATACTCGTATTTCCCTGTTGCATGGGAGCTGATTTTCCTCAGGAATCCAAGCATACCACTTTTCTTTGAAGACTCAGGAATATTTGAATGTAGAACACTGGCTTTTTACCTGATTCCAGTTATTCAGCTTGTGCAATATTGTAAGACACATAATGGTACCCTGTATGGATAAAGACAGGATATGGCTTTTCCTTACTTTTAGTGAGTGGCACTTAAAGTTTTGTAGCTGGAGCTGGAGCCAGGGAGTCTAGAACACCATGCTTTCTGACAGCCTAGCTTTTAAGTGCAGCAATTGGCTTTTCATAGCTGGTGACCCTTGGGACCAGTGCACTAACAGCATTGTCTGACATTGGTGCTGTATGTTAGGAATGTCACAGGAAGTCTAAATTAAATGGCAAGTGCCCTCATGCCTTAGGTCTGCTTTCGGGTTTCTGCACAGAGATGGACCCTCCCTGAAGGAGGAGAAAAAACTCCCGTGTGTAGCCAAAAGTCAATAAAGTACAGGATCTCTATCAAATTGATTATACCCATAGAAAGGCACTGGCTACAGATGATATCAATTAAGATTTTTATTAATAGGTACAGTTTGGAAGCTTAGATTGACATTAATTTTAATGAGAAATTTATCAATCAAAAATTAGCCCATGGTCTTTTACTATTGATTCCAGAATAGGCACCTTTAATGAATTATGATAGCAAACTGGGCTTTGATACCTTAAAAGAAAGTTAGTGGTTTTTCAAGTAAGACACATTTTTTTTTTCTTTTATGATTTGATATTGGCATACTTTCTTGTTATTTGTGTTTTGGGGGTTTTTTGCTTGTAAGTTTGAGAGAATTAGATATGAAGCCATTTGGGATAATCACCCCCTCCTTCTTGCCGATGTCAGTGTTATGTCACAAATGTATACCATAAATACGTTTACTGTATTATGTGATGTATTCCCTAGAGACTTATGGGGAAATGCATTTTTATAAATGACTTAACACATAAATATAGAAGGAAGCTGACTTACTATACAAAGAAATCCCATGAGGAATCTACGTGCAACATGAAGCAATTGCTTGTAATGTTAAATATCTCCAGTGTTACAATCAGCAGACTTGAAAACTCAGAGCCTGCCTCTAAGGATTTCTCCCAAGACAGTGCACAACAATGCCCTACCCCGCACAAATGTCGCTCTTCCCTCCCTATGTGGGTGTGTCATTTTGATTTGTGAATGCTCTTCTGAGGAAATATGGTCAGAGGAGGTGATCCAGGATCGCACCATTTGAAAAGAGAAGTTCCGTGTCCCATTTTATCACTTTCTGTTTCCTTACTCCATTTTATTTTCTTATGCTTACTACCATAAGACATTGCACTATATATTAACCCATTTGTGCCCCCTTTCCCTTGAATTAAAATCAACTGGAATGGCAAATCTAGAAGTCAGGAACTTGGTCGGTTTTGTTCATGCTTGTAGTCCCATTGCTTAGAACATAGCATACACTCAATACGTATTTTTTGAATGAATTAAGGGGTGCTTTGCTAAGATTAAATAGGCGGTGGCAGCACTCAAGCACCGACCTGAAGTGTGTCATATTTAACACACACCAATAGACCAAGAGTCTTTATTAGCTGCAAGCAAGATGCTTCAACCAGGCCACTCCGATGGCGACAGTGAAATGGTTGAGAATGAGAGGCTGGAACTCTGGCTCTCATGCTGGTCAGCTTTGGGGCACTGGGTAAGTTGCTTCATCTTTCTCAGCCTCATTTTCTTCATCCATTCAAATGGGTTTATTGCTGGCAATAGCTCTAGGGATTTTTTGATGATTTAATGAACAAATACCTGCCCAAGTATTCACTATGGTGCTTGGCACAGAATAGGAGTACCATAAATGTCAGCTGTTATTATTATTATTTTTGCTGTTGAGTCGTGTCATTATTGATATTTTAGGCTTTTTACTCCATTGTTCCATGCTAAAAATGCAAATCAAAGCAATTGTTGAAGCTAAGATGGAGGTAATTAATTACTGCTTTTGCCCATGAAATGTTTAAAGACCACCAGTTAAGAGATCTGCCTTCTATATACATGGCTTCCCATGCTTCATTTACAAAATAGGTGCTTACATACACAAGATTTCCTTTTAAAAGTACTTCCCAGCTTAGCTGCTGTTCTTGTGATTAACCAACTTTCTTTTAAAGACTTGAAGTCATGAAGTTTATTTTTTGTGACATCCACTCAAGGATAGAAACAAGGATTGCCAATGGTTTTCCAGCATGCTCTTGTTTCAGTTTCATCATGCAAACTTGCAGATGTTGTTTACATGAAAGACACATTTGTAGAAAGAAGGTAATATTGACAGACAACATCTGCTGTAAGGGACGATTCTGAAAAGTGTTGTTATGCCAATTCCATTATTTTGCTATCATTTGCCACAATTGTTAGTGCCTTTGTTATGAGTGTTTAACTCAAAATTAAAATATAACTTTTGGTAAATTTTATTCTGTTAAACTTTTTTTCTGAGGCTTATGTGCATAACCATTCAAGCAATCAATACATTTTAAAATCGAGTACCTCCTAGGTACCTAAAACCTTTCAAAGACTTCAAATTATACCTGGAATAAAACCCAAACTCTGTCTGTCTATGTTCTACAAATCTCTATGTGATCTCATACTTCCCACTGCTGTCATTTCCTCTTGCTTTTGCTGCCCTGCCTTTTTGGCCCGCTTTTGTCATAGATGATTTCCCATCCTAGAGATATGCATTTAGTGTTTATCTATCTAGACCTCCTAACATCAGTTGTTTGCATGGTGTGCTCCTTCTTAACGTCCATGTGTCTCATCTTTTTTCTTGTTTTTTTCTTTTTCTTTTGTTTCTTTTTTTTTTTTTTTTTTTGAGATGGAGTGTCACTCTTGTCATCTGGGCTGGAGTGCAATGGCACGATCTCGGCTCACTGCAACCTCCACCTCCCAGGCTCAAAGATTCTCCTGTCTCAGGCTCCCGAGTAGCTGGGATTACAGGCATGGACCACCACACCAGGCTAATTTTTGTATTTTTAGTAGAGACAGGGTTTCATCATGTTGGCCAGGCTGGTCTCGAATTCCTGACCTCATGATCCACCCACCTCAGCCTCCCAAAATCCTGGGATTACAGGCATGAACCACCATGCCCGGCCTATCCATGTCTCATCTTAATTTATCAACTATTTGAATTTTCTCTGCCATAAAATATTAAGTAGGCTGCCCCCAAACCAGGCACTTCCTTATGCATTACTCTTTATTTCATCATTGTTCTTAGCATTATTTAAAATTATATTTATGCATATATATACATATATGTTCTTATGTATAATATTATAAAATTATTTCTTTATCTGATCTGAATTGCTGACAAAACTTAAGACCCCCAAGACCAGAAGCCCATTTCTGTCTTATTCCTTGATGTATTATTTGTGCTTAGAACCACATTTTTTGGCCAAGAGAATAATTACGTGAATATCAGGTATGGTGATATCAGAGAAGTTTCAAAGAGCATCATAGTTCTTTAGAAGGCTTCTGTCTAATAAGAGGGTTAAGCCACTGGTGTATGAGAAGATAATTTAACAAGCCAGTAAAACTAAGTGATGAAAGCAATAAATACTGGGAGATCTGAATATGGAGAAATCACTTTACACTGATCAAGAGTGGATTGATAAGTGCAGGTAGGTTTAAAGCTGGGCCTGAAGGATGGGTAGGATTAGTAAAGGAGCACAGTCATCGTTCAGCTCTTTTACACACAAATACAATTGTGTAAAGTCATTTCACTATAACTGCAACCTTGGTATATTTGCTAGGGCCCAAGTGAATCAAAGGAAGGAAATGCATGTTGGCTTTCGTGTTTGCTGCTGTCCTCATAGATTTCACATGGATTAGAGGTCCTCCAAATGGAGTGCTGCCCACCTTGACCACTCTTTCCCATGCTTCTTGCCTGCTGCTTCACATGGTCCAGGTGGACTGCTTTTCTCCCCGCTTACATTTCCTAGAAAGTGCCCTGCTCACCCTTTTCTCTGGATGCTCACTCAGGGGTTTTACCAGGCCTGAACTCTCTCCAGGCTGTGCCGCTTCACCCAACTGAGGCCTTCTCATTCTTCACTTTGTAGTCAAGGAATCTGCAGCCCAGAAGCTCCTCCATTTTCCTCCAGACTAGCCCAGGTCTCATACCCTTTGGTTTCACCTTTCTGTACTTCTTTCATGTTGCCCAGGATAATTCCTCATCATTACTTGTCAAATGGTTGTGTTCTCCCTGGGCTACAGATTAGATGAGGTTGGGAATTCCCTTTTCACTGCCTCTGTATCTCAATAGCAGCCCCATGCCAAACACTTCCCAGGGACTGAGTAAAGATTTCCCCAAAGGGTGAGTGAATGTTGAGGAAAGGCAGAAAGCAATCCTCCTTAAGTGGGATATCAGAATGCTGAGCTTAACTTGAAACCGTTTCTAAACCATAGACTCTTATTTAAAGGAAACCAACATGAAAATGCCAACACCACCTTATTTACAAGGTACTTTGTTCACTAGAGCTATTAAAGGGCTGTGTTGATGGGAAGCTGTGTATAATTGTAGGTATTATGCCAGAGACCGCTTTCTGTCAGGCTGCCAGACCAAAGGGGTAGGGACCGTACTCTAGAGACCCTCACCCAACAGGATGATTAAACGAATTTGTAAGGGTTAATAGATGGGCGGTGGCTCATTAAAACCAACTCTAAATGCATTACTTTGACCACAGACTCGTAATATGGACCATCTTGGAGAGCCTGGTGAAGGATGAAGTGCATCTTTGCTAGGTTTGCGCTACGAATATCAGTTAACAGTGGTACTTGCTAACCTCAGTGGTACTTGAGGTCCCTCCTGTATGCCAGGCAAAATTCCAGATGCTTTATACATACCATTGCCAGTCCTTCCAGATAACTTCCGAGGTTTAGGCATTCTCATTCCCATTTATAATTGAGGAAATTGAGGCTCAGAAAGACGTTGTGGCCAGAGGAAACTAACTATTAAAGATTGTCTTTTCCCCAGCCTGGCCAACATAGTGAGACACCACCTCTATGAAAAGTAAAAAAAATTAGCCAGGTCTGGTGGTGCATGCCTGTGGTCCCAGCTATTCAGGAGGCTGAGGCGAGAAGACCACTTGAGCCCAGGAAGTTGAGACTGCAGTGATCCCTATTTGCATCACTGTATTCCACCCTAGAAGAGAGAGTGAGACTCCAACTCAACAACAGCAACAAAAAAGATTGTATTTTTTCTTAAACAATGACAATTGAGAGTCCCTAAATTGTTGTCATGGTATTTCCTATGAGAAAATATTTTTGGCTGACAGGACCTATTCACTTTATTCCCTTGAACCTAAGACATTATTCATGGTAGACTGTACCATAGGTTAATAACGACCTCAAAGGGAAAACAGAACGTGGAATTCAATACACATTTTGTTAAACAGACTGACCACAGCATTACATTATGGTTGGCTGTTTTCTTAGACTTGTGTTTGATTCTAAGTCACATTCAAAATTTAACCTGATTTCTGTAAGGCCTTAAAGTGAGGTTGTGAAATGTGCAGCTGAACTGACTGTACCACCTCTTGGCCCTTCCTCTCTTGGCCTGTTTGGCTACCTTCAAATTCCCTAAAATCTCTGTAAAAAAGAAATGATATGGAATCTATCTCATAAACTTGATGTAAGAATTGAAAGAGTTGCTACGCGGGAGGCTGAGGCAGGAGAATGGCTTGAACCCCGGGGGGCGGAGCTTGCAGTGAGCCGAGATCGCACCACTGCACTCCAGCCTGGGTGAAAGAGCGAGACTCCATCTCAAAAAAAAATACAAAAATAAATAAAAAAAGACTTGAAAGAGTTGACAGAAATTCAGCACTTGGATCACACCTAGCTCTTCATCAGTACATGACAGATTCTAGCTTTTACCCTGGGGCATTTGGGGCGAGAGGCAATAGCAGCACTTCATTCATCCATTTGTTCCACAACCATTATGGAGACCCGCTCCTGCCTGGCAGTGTCCTGGGCAGTGACAACAGAGTCCTCGTGGGCCGGTGGTGACCTCCTGCCCTGCAAGACCTGCGCTGACCATCTTGACTCTTAGTAACAAAATCTTTAAGATCCATCGTGCAATATTTTAGCATATTGAGAACATCCGGATTTCAGCGGAATATCCTATATTTTTAAGTTACCATTTTTATTTTCTCCCTTAACCCATGTTTTTGGAAGGTTGCTGGCTTTGTTTTAAGGTTTGTTGGGCTCTTCTGACAGAAATAATGCTTCAGAGAATACACAGCCCCTCCACCAGCCTCTCTCAACTTGAGACATGTTAACAGTTTCTAGTACATTGGCCTAGTTATGACACTTTTCTGTAGACAAATTACTTTTCCTTTTAGTATTGCATCTGAGTGAAATATCTTTGAAGACACATGAAGCCTCTACTAGATATTCCTATTTTAATTGAAATTTGAACCAGTAACTTGCTACTGATCTAAATACTGTGGGGTGAAAGGATCTCCCTCCTGCTCTCAGGAGCCGGTGGGAGCTGGGATGGAGGAGGTGAGAGCTGGCCCGGTTTCTCTGGTGTCCCATCACTCTAAGATGCTTCGTCAAGTAACTCAGGGTGTTAGTTCCCAAAACAGAACTAGGCTTCTGTGAATGGGAGTGACTTTCTCAGAACAGATGGGGATGTAAATCTGTGTATTAATAGGTATGTTTCCGTCTAGATGTGTTAGGAAGAGGAAGTGGTGGCCTGATGAAGACCTGAGCTGTGCTTCCTTCTTCTGTGCAAGTAGGACAGCACCTCCCTCATCTCCTATTCCTTCCCTGTGGGATCTGTAGCCACCGAGGCCTAGACCCCCACTTCCTTAGCATTTATGGAAAAAACATTGGTAGTCAGTGGCTTTGGTAAGAGTGGATTCCCAGGACTCAGGAGACTGGGGATGAAATCATCACCGCAAAATTATACAGATTAATGCCTGGGACGAGAAGATGCTATAGTGAAACAGGGCTCTGAGTACAGGTAGGTGAGCCTGGGATTGTAGGTTGATTGGGAATATATTGAGCAGGGGAGGTGACTTGGAAAAGTTACACTGAGAAGAAGGAACCTGAAATAGATTGAGCATTTCCCTTATGCTCTATGTGCTCTTAGTCAATGCTTATATGTATTATAGCATTTAATGGTCTCTATTCTCTACACAGCCCTGGGTATTGGATGCTCACTTTGAGGCACAGAGGGACCCCAGAAACACAGCTCCTAGTGGCGGCTGTGTCCAATTCTAAAGCAATGTACTCCCATAGAAAGCAACTTGGGCCCGTTGAGCGGGAGTTGGGGTGAGTTGAGAAGCAAAGAACTGTGATAAGAGTGAGATGTAGGCTGGGCGTGGTGGCTTGCACCTGTAATCCCAGCACTTCGGGAGGCTGAGGCGGGCGGATCAGGAGGTCAAGAGATCGAGACCATCCTGGCTAACACGGTGAAACCTCGTCTCTACTAAAAATACAAAAAATTACCTGGGCGTGATGGCAGGCGCTTGTAGTCCCAGCTACTCAGGAGGCTGAGGCAGGAGAATGGCATGAACCCGGGAGGTGGAGCTTGCAGTGAGCCGAGATTGCGCCACTGCAGTCCGGCCTGGGTGACAGAGTGAGACTCCGTTTCAAAAAAAAAAAAAAAAAAAAAAAAAAAAAGGAGTGAAATCTAATTACAGTCTAAGAAATTATCACACACCGGGGTCTGTCAGGGGTTTTGGGGGTAGGGGGAGGGATAGCATTAGGAGAAATACCTAATGTAGACGACGGGTTGATGGGTGCAGCAAATCACCGTGGCATGTGTATACCTATGTAACAAACCTACTCGTTCTGCACGTGTATACCAGAACTTGAAGTATAATAATAAAAAAAAATTACTCTCAGGATTCATCTAAAAACCAGTACCAAACACTAATTATTATTCATTTTCTCTTCTCTAAATGTGTTCATTTCAGAAAAGGCTAAATATAATTCATGTAAGGTTTGATATATTTGCTTATTAATATATGAATCCCTATCAAAACTCTAGCTCGTTGTGTTACAAGAATCCGTGGGGACAATAGAAGGTCAGAGTATGATTTAGTCACGGGGGACTAGGTTTGTTTTTATGTCACATGCTCTGCATATCAGTGTGTTACTTTTATGCTAGATTTCTGAGTCACACCAATCAATAGAATTAGCCCCTCCTTTCTCTCCTTGCCTTCATTTAAACATCAAGGTAAAATTCAAAGGCTTGCAGAGACTACTTGGGTCATTCAAGAGATCACTGGTCTACTGGGGGTTGCCTTTGTCTTTCCATCACTGCATTGGTTTTATTGTCCAGATTTGGACTGCCTGCTGCCCATCACCCTACGCCTCCTGCCCAAGCCCATTTGGGAACCAAGCACAGCACATGCAAACCCTCTTGTCGTCGTGGAATAAGGTGAGGGAATAGAGAACAGGTCTTATTTTTTCTGAACTATTTAATTGCTGTTCTACGCAGGAACTCTCAATGATGACCAGGGATTTTATGCAACATTGTGGCCCCATTCAACAACAGACTACTAATTAGTTCATTTACTTGGGTACTAAACTCATCTAAGAAGAGGAGCAGAGCCTAATTAGAGAACTCTCAAAGGATATTAAACCCCCATCTTTTGAAGTTACAGTTTTTAAAAAACACAAATGTACAAAAGTATACACACTTGCACACACATGCTTGCATACACACACATGCTGAAACCAAGACTCCACATGAATAGTATTCCCAAGTATTTGGTGATAACTGATTATTAGAAAGGATTTCAGTTGTTGTTGTTTGTTGTTTGTCTTGTTCTAAAAGAAGACCAAACCAACATAAAATGTGCTCACAATGACTAAGCCAAGAAGCCAAGAATACATATTCCCTTCAACTTAAACATCCTTAAAAAATATGGTGAAAATTAGATATTGTTTAAAGATTTTGGTGTGATTTTCTTCTACCACTAAATTTTTTTTCTTGCATTTGATGGGATCTTTATGAACCTCTGATCTTGTTTAAGCCGATGTTTGCATTTGGGGAAATCCGCCTTTCATTTGTTTGTGTAGTTTCTAGACATTTTCCCAGTGGCAGTTATATTCCAGGCATTATACTATGCACCTGGAGGGACACCTGGAATCAGACACGAATCCTACCATCCCAGTAGCAGCTGTATGTCAGTTTGTTCAACCAATGGTTAGTAATCAGTTAGAAATGCAAATGTTAAAAAGATGTGCTTCCTTCTAGGAAGTGAAACGGAAATAGAACTAAATAAATACAATTGAATGAAATATGTGTATAAATGAAGATATTTAACAAAAGGAAGTATCAGAAAGAAAGGAGAGATAAGAAGCTGCAGGAATTAGCAAGTCTTCACTGAGAAGGTGGCTTCTGAGCAGGGCCATGAGGGATAAGTGAGAAAATGTCAGGCAAATGGGAGAGGCATCAATTAAATGAAGAAGGAGAGAGGGAGACGAATGATATATTTAGCAGGAATTGAAAATAGTTTGCTGTGGCTGAAGACAATGTATAAGGCAGGAAGTGGAATTATAGCATTTAATGTTCTCCCATTCAGCAGAGCGCAAAATGAGGCATTATTTGGAATGGGACATACTCATGTAAGCCCTCATGTGCTATGCTTCAGGGCTTGAAGAAGGTCATGGTAATAACGTAGGCAATAGCAATAATAACAATAAATGTAAGCATTTATTGAGAAAGACCATGTACCAGGTTTCTATTAAAAGGTGCTATACGTACAGCAACTTTCCATCTGCCACTCCCCCTAGCCCTAGAGTTTCAGTAGTGCAAGATGAAAAAGTTCTGCAGACCTGCTCTACGACATTGTGCTTATAGGTAACGACACTGCACTGTGTCGTTAAAAATTTAAGCATGTAGGCTGGCTGCAGAGGCTCATGCCTGTAACCCCAGCACTTTGGGAGGCCAAGGTGGGTGGATCACTTGAGTTCAGGAGTTTGAGACCAGCCTGGCCAACATGATGAAACCCTGTCTCTACCAAAAATATTTTTTTAAAAATTAGCCATGTGTGGTGGTACGTGACTGTAATCCCAGCTGCTCTGGAGGCCGCAGCAGGAGAATCGCTTGATCCCGGGAGGTGGAGGTTGCAGTGAGCCGAGATTGAGCCACTGCACTCCAGCCTGTGACAGAGTGAGACTCCGTCTCATAAATAAATAAATAAATAAATATAAATAAATAAATTAAGCGTGTAGACCTCAGGTTACATTTTTTTACCACAATTAAAAATAAAATGCTACATGCTTTGTCTTAGTTGGCTATTGCAATCTTCCTAGTCGTTAGGTTCTATTATACCCTGGTTTTGTCGGGAGCTTAGCTGAGCTGAGAGAGAGAGAAAAGGAGTGCATTGACTTGCCAGGTATTGGAGTAGCCAATTAAAGCAACAAGCCATAAATGAGTTAAGACTTTAATCACTTATGGTGATAGTGCAAGCTAGAGGGTAAGGCCAGAGAAAGCACCGACTCCCCTTGTTCCATTTTCCCCCGTGGAATGGCACACAGGTCAGGTGGATCAATGCAGATGTGGGGTCATCTCACGGGTGGAGGGAGCCCCCAACAAAAGGCTCTAGAAGTTTTGTGCACCCTGAGGTGGTGGCAGGGAGAGGACAAGAAGGAAAGACTAGGAGTGGAAAAGTACTGGAGTAGAGTGGGGAAAAGTATCTTCAAGGTTTCCTCCGCTCCACCATAAAAAGGCCTCCGCAGAGATGCCTGAAGAAGACCTCCCCGACAAGACCTCTGATAAAGGGACCCAGGAATGCAGGAGCAGGAGCTAAGAATGCAAACTTGTACAAGAGCCTGACTGGACAGGGGGTTCTGAAGCCTTGACTGCAACTCCCTTCAGAGATTGCAACGTGCTGGCTGTGCACCAAGCCTGGGCAGGGATGGCAGTTTCCCCTGAGAGGCCTGCTAGGCAAAGCTTTCATAATAGTCTATGGTCAGGCCTGAGAAATCACAGATAGGATTTTAACCAGGAGCCACACTCCTCTGATGACACCACACCTGAGCCAGGATTCACATCGAGGCAGTTTGCATCCAGATCCCATGCTCCTACCATTACCTTCTTCCGCCTCTGCAGGCTCAGGGAACCACTGAGAGCTTTTGCTCACTTAGGCCAGCATGGATGGATTTGCCTTGGAGGAGAAATGCTCTGGTAGAAGAGCAGGAATATAAAAAGACATCAACAAAGTAGGAATTTCTGTAGGAAAGGCGTGGATAGAATAGGAAAAAGAGAAATGACATTCAGTTAGCGGCAGCAGACAGGGCTCCTTGCAGGAGAGCGTATGTGAGCAGAATTTTGAATAGATAGGAATTAATCCTGTTGTGAGGGCTGGCGCAGCATCCCAGGCAGGGAGAAGAGCAAGGGCCCTGCAGCAGGAAACACACCGTGTGTGTGTGTGCAAGCAGGCATGTGTGTGTGCGTGCACGTGTGTGTGTTGCACGTGCGTGTGTGTGCGCGCATGTCTGTGTGTGTGCATGCAGGTGCGTGTGTGTGTGTGTGTGGAAAGCAGTGAGTGGCTTTGTTGACTGCTGGACAGCATCTATGTAGTGGGTCAGAGGACGAGATCAAAGAGGAGAGCACCAAGGCCCCTCTGAGCACACTGGCTTAACTCTTAGCACACAGAAGGTTAGGAGGTTTAGGGTGTTGTTGGTAGCTCTGTAACTTGGTTTGACTCGCAAAGTCAATACCATAGATTCAAGGGAGGAGGGACTGGAGGCCAGAGGACTCTGGGGAGCAGTGATGGGAGCCAGGGGTTGCTCGGTGTGAATCTGAGTGCCTCTGTGACTGTTTCCCAGGGAAGATAAGACCAGCCAGGAGCTCCTTCCTGGCCCCTCAAGCATAAAAGAGATAAAGGAAGGGTAGTAAATTGTTTTGATGTGGCTGCTTCCTGGGGTAAAGTGATAAGATGATAACAGAACTTGGATATGTTAAAACCTGTGAAGTTCCAACTGTGCATGGTTGGCATGCTTCGTCAATTCTAGCAGGGCGGATATGAACAGAGGGGCTGGAATTGGCATTGCCAGGTGTTTGCAGGGCCTCGTTGGGCATTTAATCCTACAAATCCTTCTAGGCAAATTTTATGGATTGAATTGTGCCACCCAGCCCCCTTAAAAATAGTTATGTTGTCGTCCTCAAAATGTGGTATTATTTGGAAATATGGTCACGCTAGATGTAACTAGTTAAGATGACATCATACTGGAATAGTGTGGGCCTCTAATCCAATATGACACGTGTCCTTATAAGCAGAGGACCATGTAAGGACACACACAGAGGATACCATGTAAAGATGGAGGCAGGGGCTCGACTGAGGCATTTACAAATCAAGGAACACCGAGAATTGATAGGAGAGAGGAAAGGAACGGATTCTCCTCCCTCAGAACTCTCAAGAGGAACCAACCCACCTAAGACTCTAAATGTCTGGTTTTCGTTCTATTTTATTACTATTACTATTATTATCATCATCATTATTTTTTTTTGAGACAGAGTGTCGCTCTGTCGCCCAGGCTGGAGTGCAGTGTCATGATCTTGGCTCACTGCAACCTCCGCCTCCTGGGTTCAAGCGATTCTCCTGCCTCAGCCTCCTGAGTAGCTGGGATTACAGGTGCCGGCCACCACACCCAGCTAATTTTTGTACTTTTAGTAGAGATGGGGTTTCACCATGTTTTTCAGGCTGGTCTCGAAATCCTGACCTCGTGATCTGCATGCCTCGGCCTCCCAAAGTGTTTGTTATTTTCTTTTTTAAGAGACAGTGTCTTGTTCTGTTGTCCAGGCTAGAGTGCAGTGACGCAATCATAGCTCACAGCAGCCTCGAAATCCTGGGCTCAAGAGATCCTGCCGCTTTGGCCTCCTGAGAAGCTGGGACTACGGGCGAACATCACTATGTCTGGCTACCTTTTTTTTTTTTTTTGAGACAGAGTCTCGCTCTGTCACCCAGGCTGGAGGTGCAGTTGCACGATCTCGGCTCACTGCAACCTCTGCCTCCCGGGTTCAAGCATTTCTCCTGTCTCAGCTTCCCTAGCAGCTAGGACTACAGGTGCACACCACCGCGCTCAGCTAATTTTTGTATTTTTAGTAGAGATGGGGTTTCGCCGTGTTGGCCAAGCTGATCTCGAACTCCTGACCTCAGGTGATCCGCCCTCCTTAGCGTCCCAAAGTGCTGAAATTATAGGCTTGAGCCACCATGTCCAATCTCACTTTTTTTTTAAAAAACTTTTTTTTTTTTTTTTTTGGTAGAGATGAAGTCTCGCTTTTTGCCCAGGATGGTCTCAAACTCCTGGACTCAAGTGATCCTCCTGCCTTGGCATCCCAAATTGTTGTGATTACAAGAATCAGCCCCATGCCTGGCCAAAATCTGGTTTTAAAAAATCATCTAGCTTGTGGAAATTTGTTATGACAGCCCTACGAAACTAATATAGCCACAGTTTATGTTGTTACTGTGTATGATATTATAATATATTGTACATTATATACAATGATTAACTTTCATTAGGAATTTAAAAATATGGATTTACATTAGACAGAGCATGCTCTGAGGAAGAAGTTTTTAATAAGTATGAGCAAAGGCACATTTTGGAGATTAATTTTTTTTTGGTAAACTTGACCATCTTTAAGCATTGTTTAAAAGGCTGCTCTAACCATCTGTATGAAATGGCACATGTTAAATTAGTCAGCTGGTCTCAGTGTTAATCAAAGAGGAGGTCAGGGTGTCAGAACCATCAACTACACAAGAAAGATCCATTCCCTCTCCCCACATCCTGAGAATGGACTTCCTGGCCTACAGCCAAGGCCAGTGGTGAGATGTGAATAGTGGATATTTGCCCAAGTGGAAAAAAATAATTTCCGATTATGAAAGTAATGCCTGCTCTTTGCAAGGAATTCTGAAATAATAATAAAAATACATATATAAAACAAAATAAAAACCACCTATAATCCTACCACCCAGAGATACCAAAATCAAATGGGTATATATGTACATATATACTATGTGTGTTCAAAAGTAAGATTAGTCCATGTGTATAATTTTTTTTTTTTCATTTTGCTGTGTACTGCAGGGATCATTATCTAGATCTCATCCCTTTAATATCTGTATGATACACAAGGGGATGAGTATGACATGAGTGATTTAACAATTCTCCTGTGGAAGGACCTTTAAGTTGCTTTAGTAATTTTTGCCACTTTGAACCATATGGCAATCAACTTTATGTGCGTACATTTATAAGTTTGTCCAATTACTTATTTTTTGTTAGAATCTCTATTTTTACAGTGAGCTGCAAAAGTTTAATGGTTTCTAATTAAACTATAGGTGTGCTACACAAGAGGTGAATTGTCAATTCTGGAAGGCTTGGGCTCTATTTAATCAGATGGTTATCTAAACCAAGATGGTGTCATTAAGTCTGCCTCCCTCCAGATGACCTCATTTATGGGAACAGAACTCTTCAGGGGCAAATAAGCATAGAAGATATGATCTCTGCCAGTAAAGAATCTTATTTTTCAACTATACAGGTGCAATAAGTGAGCAATTTTACAAACTGATTTTTAACCACATGGATATAATGCCTAAAGGCATGTGTGTGTACGTGTATGTGTATTAGAAGATCCAGCTCATCGGTAAGTGTAGCAAGGCCAGTGGATGGGGTTAAGTGTGAACTTATTGGAAAGGAGGTGAAAGACCTGAGACACCGAGGTAGATCAGCAAAAAGGTGTAAGGGTGGAAGTGAGAGAGAGCAATTATAGGAGAGGGGGTGGAGAGGCTTAGGTACATACATTGGTCATCCCCCTGTGTCTTCTTTATCTGAGAAGCCCCCCTCACCCCTTTGAAGCAAGAAGATATCTCTATAATATCTTTCAGAGCATTTCTGCCAGTAGAGGGTTACATGTATCTCTAGAGCTTAGCATAGCACCTTCGCATGATGGAAACATTTCTTCAACATGTAAAATAGGTGAGAGGACTATAGGTTATGTTAAAAACTGAAATTGCTGAAATGGGTCTAGGATAGTTTAGGTGAAGTCCTTAAAAAGGGAGAAGAGAAGGAAACCCTTACAGCCTTGCAGAGATACTTTATAGGACAGGTGAACTGCAATGAGGCATTTTGAAGCTCAAGTGTGTTCCAGTGTAGGGGACAGATAACTGGGCTGGAAGATTGGCGCTCTGCCTCTTCAGCCTCACCCCATACGTGACAAGGACCCTTGATATCTCTTGTTAGGATTTAATCTACCCTTAGCTATCAGAACAACCCTGTTCTCAAGAGAAACTCTAGAAGCTTTGGTTCAAGAATTCAGCAACTGGGACTCTGACCTTGTGTCTTGGTTCTAGTAACGAGGTGATTGCCTTCCTTCTCCTTGTGCCCAGACCCAATAACTTAGATGCACTCATTTTTCCCAGGCCTAAGTCCTTGCATGGAGAAACAGCTTGGAAAGTCATCTTTTCTGCAACCAGGAATGACCTTGGTCTGCTCATTTTTCAGCACTGCAGGCCAACCCAGCAGACGGAGTCTTCTCCATATTTCACTTAATAGGTTTGTTGAGGTATAGTTAACACACAATAAACTGAATATACGTAGAATGTGCAATTTAATAAGTTTTGACTTATTTACACAGTTATGGAACCATTATAGCAATCAGGATAATAAACTGATCTATTACCTGCAACTTTCCTCTTACCTCTCTGTAATCCCTCCCTCTGCCTCCGTACAACCTCTGACTATACGTTCTGTCAGTCAGAATATACAACCTCTGTCACTATACATCCATTTTCCTTTTGTAGAATTTTATATAAATGAAATTATACCACATGTATTTTTTTGGCTAAGCTTCTTTTTCTTGACATAATTATGTTGAGATTCAACCTGTAGTTGTGTGTCAATAATTCATAAGTTTTATTGCTCAGTGGCATTCCATTGTATTGTGTACCACAACTTGTTGATGTACTCATCTGTTGATGAACATTTGGGATGTTTCCAGTTTTGAGTTATTACAAAAAAAGGTTCTATGAACATTCATGAATAAATCTTTGCATGAACATATGTTTTTGTTTCTCTTGGAGAACTACCTAGAAATAGGATGGCTGGATCATATGACAGGTATATGTCTAACTTTTTATGAAACTGCCCAGTTGTTTTCCACTGTGGTTATATCAATTTATTTTGTTACCAGCAGTGTAGCAGAATTCCAGTTTCTCCCAATCTTTGCCAACCATTGGTATGTGGGACTTACTGATTGTACCCATTCTAATAGGCATGAAGTGGTAGCTCACTGTAGTTTTAATTTGGATACCCCAATGACTAATGATGCTGAGCATTTTTTCATGTGGTTATGAGTCATCTGTTTGTCTTCTTTGATGAAGTGTCTGTCAAATCACTTGCCCATTTATGTTGGGTTGTTTGTTTCCATATTACAGTATCTTGAGAGTTCTTTATACACTGTGGGTACAAGTTTTTTATTAGATATATGAATTGCAAATATTATCTCTCAGTATATGACATTTATTTTTATTCTCTTAATGTCTTTGGAGAGCAGAAGTTTTTATTTTTGATGAATTTCAATTTACCAATTTCTTTTCTGTCATAGACTGGACTTTTTGCATTGTATCTAAGATATTTTTACCTAATCCAAAATTATAAAGAATTTTATTTCCTCTATAAGTAGTATACTTTCATGTCTTACATTTATATCTATGACCTCCCAAAGTGCTGGGTTTACAGGCATGAGCCACCATTCCCAGCCACGTATCTCTTTCTCCCCCAGATTTATCCCTATTTACTATTTTTTAATTTTATTTTTCCTATTTATCCCTAGTTTCCTATTTTTGATGATATTGTAATTGACATTTTAATTTTAATTTTCAGTTCTGGGTTACTAGAATGTATAAATACAGTTTATTTTTTGCAATGATTTTATATCTTGTGACTGCTAAACTTACCGCCATGGTCTGAATGTGTTCCTTAAAATTCATGTGTTGGAAACTTAATCCTCAATGCAACAGTATTGGGAGATGAGGCATTTAGGGAGGTATTTGGGGCATGAAAGCTCTGCCCTCATGAGTAGACTAATGTCATTATAAAGGTCTTGCCAGAAGTAGCTTATCACTTTTGCTTTCAGCTTTCTGCCATTTGAGGACCCAGCATTCCTCCACTCTGAAAGAGGCTCCCTTTTGGAAGCAGAGAACAGCCTTCACCAGATGCTGGCACTTAATCTTGGACTTCCAGGCCTCCAGAACGGTGAGAAATAAAGTTATGTTCCTTATAAATTACCCAGTCTCAGATATTCTGTTATTGCAGCACAAAACAGAATAAGACACTCACTTATTAGTTCTAGTAGCTTTCTGGTAGATTCCATAGAAATAGACAATCATCTGTTCTTCAAATAAACCTCTCTCTTTGACACATCTTGATAAGTGTATCCTGTGGCTTTGGCTGACATGTGGTCTTGGGTTCTCTGTCTTTCTAGCTCTCTTTGCCTTATCATGACCTCACTGATAATGGATACCCAGATGCTGTCAATGGAGGCTGTCTTGAACATTGGACATTATACTTTCCCGATTCCCTACAAGTTCTCTTAGGCAAAATAAATTCCAAGGCCAAGTAACTGGCTCCATTACCTAAGCAATTGGTCAACCCTGTAAGTGCATTTAGTTCTCACGTCCCGAAGGCACCCTGTCTTGCCCATATCATTCATTGTCTTTTGATGGCTCTGAAATCTTAATGTGTTGGAGAAACAGAGCTAGGCATGTCTCATACTACAGAATTTTCTGGTGAAGAATTTTATCTGGGACAGTGTGGACCACAAAAAATACAGTAAATTTCCAAAATTAAAAAGATGTTTGGTTCTAAATATAAAGCCAAATTTCTGGTTTATCTTGAAAAGTAGACCTAGCAACATTGGATATATATACCAATTTGCTTAGGCAACATAAATGCCACTCCACATCACTTTAATTTAGGTCACTTACCTAACACTTAAACATGCATTTTCGTTGTAAATTCTGCCTTACTTTGATGGGCTTGCTTAGGCTTACCAAGAGACTTTGGCACACTCACTCATTTATTTATTCACTCGTGCATTCACTCATCAGTCAACACTTACTGAGTATAGCAATGACATCACAAACAGTATGAGAGTTGCTTTCTATAGACAGACAAACCAACACACTCTTCCTTTTTCCAGAGAGCTCACAGTTTTGCAGGAATAATTGAGATGCTATTATGCTGTTAGAATTCAGCACATATTTCTACATGAATATAGAATGGGTTGGGAGGTATCTTGCTTTCCAGAGAAGGCAACATTTGGTGAGAGTCTCCAGAGTACAATTAATTGCCAGGTTGAGAAAAAGGTGTGAATGGTATAGTAGGCAGAGGAAACAGCATGTGGCAAGCCACTAAAATATGAACTGAAAATACAAGTTTTGGAGAATGTTTTTCATTCATTGTGGCTGGGACTAGTAGATGGTGAGGACCTGAAGCCAGAGATGTCAGCTGTAAAACAGAAGTGCCCACTAGAAGAAAGCATTGCTTGGAGTTAAATAGATTACCCCCCAGTAAGCACAAATTATTTACTTAACACAAGTGAACAACCACTCTCCAATCAGAAAGCAGATAACTGGCTATCGTATAAGATCTAGAAGATCCATCTTCACCACTCATCGCCTCTTCTGAAGATTCTGTTATGATTTGGGGTGTGTGTGCAGGTATTGTTCAGATAATTTAATTCACATCATTTTTTCACATGTCTAATTATTACTTTTTCCTTTTGCAGAAACAATTTCTATGTAATGTTTCAATGGAAGTTAAAGGTACAGAGTTCTTTGGAAAGAATGAAAATGTTAATACTTCAGCACTAGTAATTCAGACTCACAAAATTCCTATTTCATGGTCTTCCAATGGTGCGATTTATTCAACGCTTTATTTGTGCTTGTTTCATCATCACTGAAGCCATTTCCCACCACCATTTCATCTCAGCTAAAATTTTCTTGGCAATATCCAGGTGAAATACAATACCCATTAACCCTCATTAACCCTGTAGCATCTTCTGTTAAGGGGAGGTGTTTCCCAGTACAACTAGAACTTAGGTTGTGATGAGAATACAGTGTTTGTTAGAAACTCTCTAAAATCAAATATCAAGATGGGGGTGAGACAAACAAAAGAAAATAAAAGAAGATTCAAAGGCCGGGGAATGACAGTGTTGCAACCAATGTGAATTTATTATTGTTTACCTTCAAGAAAGCAGGGAAACTGTTCATATCTTTCTTTCTTAATTGCTTGGTTGACCTCGGTGGTGGGGGGGAAAGGAATCTAAGTTAAATGCACAGCCTATCTTCTGACAATACTCATCCCAGCCCCCAGTTTCCTTTCGGCTGAGTACCCATGTGGTTTCTGTGCTTCTGAGCAAAGAGAGCCAGAGTCACTTTAATAGCCCTTGAGAAAGTGCTTCAGGAGGTATTTGCAGAGAGCAGAGTACCAGGCCACAGCCTTGTCTCCTCCACATGCCCCAAATATTGAACCTTCCAGTAACTACAATTACAACCAAAACCACAAAATGTAGATTTACAGATTGTTTTCAGCAACACCCATTCAAATTTACTTATATTTACACTAGAAAAATTAGGGTAAGTGCTATTGTGACCAGAGACACAGACCAGGATCAATAACCAACCAATTCTTGGCTAATAAAGCACTTCTCTAAGGTCTACGGTTGCTCTATTCTGACTTTGAGGTTGGCCTCTAATGTCTTATCCATTGACTTTTCCCGTAAATATGTCTAATCGAGGCCATGTAGGATTCTAAAGAGAAATGATACACTCGGTTTGGTAAGAATTGCTAATTAACCAAGTATGTAAAAACTGTAGCTGCTACGACTCATAGTATTTCTCCTGTAGTGAAAATTTAGACATGACAAGGAACTAAAAGTAAAATACCAACTTCCATTTTATGTATAGAACTGTATTTTTTTCTAAACTTCTCCCTGTCCCAAACCTTAAGGATTCCAACATTACCTTTAAGATAATGATCCTTTTTAAACAAATATATCTGTAACAGTATTTTCCTGACGTTGTAAAACCTCTCACCAGGAAAATAATGTGCAGAATATTTTCATGTTACACAGGCATTCTTTAATCATGCTTAACCTCAGTTTGTACAAAGTTCTCTTTTTTACAGCCACAAAAGATTACACTTCATATTAGAGAGGTCAAGAGAGATTAATTTGGTTCCTTGTACACTTGAATCATTAATTTTGTTCTGGTAACAGAGCAGGCTATTTAATCAAACCTAAAGGAAATAAAATAATGAATGACAAGGGAAGGAGAACAGGGAGAAATCTCAAAAGGGTTTCTGAATATACATGTCCTGTTGGGAGTGTCGTGCCACTGTGCCCATTCATGCAAAGGTGTGCTGAAAAAGCCAGCTCTGCCCAGGGAGCTCGCTTGGTGTACTCAGGCCACCCCCTTCTTGTTATCCCTGTTCCCGGTATCAGAGGAAAAAATTTCCCCAACTCAGCTGATTACAGTCTGGTACAAAAAGGCCAAGGTTGTGCTTTCAATTACCACAAGGTCCAGTTAGTGTGGCTTTGTTCTAAGTTTACAAACCTGCCCGTGTTCCCACCCAATAGGCTCCTACCTGAGAAACCACACTCAAGCATGGGCTGCAGATCACAGGAGAATGCATGTGACTTTCTCAGGGTGAAGCTGTCAGTAGTGTTGGGGGAGCATGTATGCAGAAATTCGTGCAATGCAGACAAACACTCTAGCTTTCTCCAGCACCCTGGGACTTTCTTTTCCCAACAAATTTCTTACTCTTCTCCACTTTTAAAGAAGAAAAGCATACCATAGCAGTGTTCTGTTTTGGGGTGTTGCGGGGAAGACCTGGATTACTTGGGCAGAAATTTAACATAGACTGTGCTTAGGGTAGTTTAATGAAAGCACTTAAGTGGTTTCAATCATGATGTAATAGCAAAAGCTTAAACTCCACAGTCTGTGTACCTGAACGCTGGCTAGACCAATTTGGAGTCATTAAAGCAGTATATTATAAATAAGATGTAACATCTTAATATAACCTAAACCAACAAAATATGTTACAGCCAATTTCTCATTTGATACTCAAAGCAAACTTGTGAGAAAGGAATTATGTTTATTCCAATATAATAAATTAGGAAATTACAAATTTTCATTCTGAAGGAGTTCACAGTCAAACTGAGGAAACATCAAAATAAACTATTTTATGACAAAGGTCGTTCTACAAGCATTTGAACAGGTGCTAAGGAAGAACTGCCTGCCCCAGGTGCAAGTTTAAGGGACACCTTGATGGAACTGATGAGTCCTCAGAGGTTTAATCTTAAAAAATTAAGAATGCCTCTCCATTAAGGCACTATTTAAAGATTAAAGAGATAAGCCAGAAAGTAGAAGAAGATATTTGCAATCCATATAACAGACCAAAGCTGGAATGAAAAAATATGTAAAAACCATTGGAAATAAAAACGAAAGGTAAATATACCTAATTAATAAATAGAAAAAACATGAGCAGAAATTTTAGAGCAAAAGAAGTATCTGTTACTATTTAATATGTGAAACATTCATTTTAGCTTTGGTAGTAATCATGTAAATGTTGTTGAGTACAAAGAGATATCATTTTGTACCATTACATTGGCAAAATCAAGGAGTCGAGGTAAAACACTTATATATTAATATTCACTAGTGTAACTACCTTGGAAAACAATGTAGAAGCATCTTGTCAAGTTAAACATTCACCAATCCCAAGTGCATGTGCCCCAGGAGATTTAGCATGAATCTTCATAGCACCACTGTTCATAATAGCAAAAGACTGGGAAAAAAATTC
Source organism: Homo sapiens (assembly GCF_000001405.40). Taxonomy (NCBI): domain Eukaryota; kingdom Metazoa; phylum Chordata; class Mammalia; order Primates; family Hominidae; genus Homo; species Homo sapiens. Next base: position 96,980,481 of record NC_000015.10, read on the forward strand.
AAATATCTATCAACAGGAGAATGAATAAATACATTGTAGTAATAAACACAGTGAAATATCTTCAGCAGTGATAATGAATAAACTATTGCTATAAGCAACAAAGTGGATGAAGTCTAGAAATATAAAGGCAGAAATAATAATATTGAACCAAAATAGCAATACAAAGACTAGATGCCGTATAAATATCTTTATTGTTAATATTCAAAACCATTACAATTAATCAGTATATTTTCCAAGTACAGTACATATAAATTTATTCTAAACTAGGCAACATAAAAACAAACCTAAACTTCAGGATAATGAATACTTCTGGGAAGAAGCATGGAGATGGGATGAGGAGGGGCATATAGATGCAAGTTATTGGTGATGAAAGTTAATTGACAACCGTTTTTGGAATCTTATACATTCAGTGGGAAGTGAGACTGAATTACCTCTAAATTATTTCTCAGAATAAGCCAAAAGGCTGCTTGTAAGAATAATGAAATATATACACAGGCAATGAATGTGTCAGTCACTTATATTATTGATAATATTATTAAGCTTTTGCCATGATTATATCTGGTTCTACTTTAACTAGGGCAGTTTAATAAATAAACTTGATCAAAGCAATGACTCTTGAATTAAAGCCTTTGGGATTAAAGTCCTACTGCCTGATGCTTATAAGAGACATAAAAAAGAAAATGGCATGGAAATATTCAAAGTACGCAAACTCAAACGAAATGAACCATAAATCATAACAGTACTTGTAACATAGTAGATATTTATTACTATTAAAGATATAAATGCATAATAAACACCTAACAATAGTGAATTCTTCTGCACCAAATTACAGAACATCTAAATATATAGAGTGAATACTTTTCATAATGCTTGGAAAAATACAAAAAGTATGATAAATAATAAAAACACTTATCTTTACAGATATTAATTCTTTGTAATGATTGCACTCTGTGAGGCAGATAAGTTGCTTTTCCATGTGGTCACGTGGAGAAAGTGACTTCAGTGGATTTTGAATGCAAGCCATTTGGCTCTAAAGTCTTTGCTTTTAATGCATATAATGCCCCTCAAAGATTGTATTTACAATATATCTACAGTAAGTACGTATATATTTAATTCTGTTTATTACAAAATTAAAACATTACATCTTCTTTACAAACATCTCTGAACTATTTTTAAAATGTTCATATTCTGCATTCTGACTACTCAAGCTATATAGGCTCTATGACTAGCAGCCTGGACCTCCTCCAGGGTCTTGACAGGTAGGCAGCATCCTCAGTGACTCCAGATTTCCAGAATCAGAATCTGCATTTTTACAAGATCTCAGGAGGATGTATATGCACATTAAAGTCTGCCAAGCATTGGAAAAATTATCAAACCTTGTTCAAATCATAAAATAGCCAAGGTACATCCTGTCATCACAAATCAATTAACAATGGAAAATAATATGTTAACAAGAAATCACTTAAAAATTGAAAAACAATTGCTTTGAAAAATTGCTTAAAGAGGACAAGAATGAAATCTCAGCATCAGATTTTTCATAAGCCAACAATATGAGAACAAAGCATAGTCTTGTCAAATGTAACAAAATCAGTGTTAAATGGTAAACTTGCAATGCATGTTGTCAAAAGGATGTAAACTGAACTATTCTTTAATTCAAATAATTATTAAACTATACCCTAAGAATATAAGAAATAGAACACAATAAATATTAAAACAGAAAACAATGAGTTAAAAATATGAGGAAGTAAAATGCAACAGTCCAAAACCTAGCTTTTTGAGAAAAAAAAAATAGATGAATTCCTGGGAAATTAAACAACAATTTTTAAAAAACTGAAAACAAGTAAAACCAACCAAACAAACAAAACACCCAGGCAATTAGAAAGAGAAAAGGGACTGAATCAGGCAGCTGAAGTGAAATGAACACGAGTAAAGGTGACCTATTCCTTTTGCTTCAGGACCAAACACTTTCTATTCTTTTCTCTTGTTTCTTGATAAACAATTAGGACATTGAGGAGCTTCTCTGGTCCTTGTTTTCATCTTCTTATTGATTAGATTATACAATAATGTAGCTAAGGGCACCATATTCTTTGGATATTCATTGAAATGCTGGGAGGTATTTATGAATTTTTAATGACATAGTTCTCGGTCAATTCCCAGTTACTGACAATCCCCTTTGTGCAGAGTCTGAGGCCAGGCAAAGTGCAGCAGGAGAGCCGGGAGAGAGCACACAGCCCCTGCCTTCAGAGAGCCGACTACCCCGAGACTTTTCTGGCAAGAGCATCACCTGCCTAACCTTGCCTCTGGCGGATTGATTCTGGCTGTAGGAGAAGAACCAGGCAGGGACAATAGAGGTTCCTTATGGCAAATGACTCTGCCCAGCAAGGGATTTCTAGGAGAGCCACAGCCCCTCCTTCCTCAGTTCCAAACTGGAGTGACAGATGTGGTCATCTACCATCAGAGGCTTTGAAGAGTCACAGCATTCATTTGATAATTGAAGGATTGGTTAAGAAAAGACACTTCATTAAACAAGGAAGTTACAATGAATACATGTATACACATAAATAAAGGCTACTGAAAAAAACACATCATCTTAACAGTGATTAGCTCTAGGTGTAGTTTTCTATAGCTCTAGCTATAGTTTTCTTCGTATTTTTGAAGTATTCTAACATGAAAAGTTTATATCTGGAAAAATTACCTTAACATGATACAATATTCTGTTATTGATTTTTCATTTATATAAAATGTTTCTTTATCTTCAGCCTCATCTCCTTGGGGCTCTCTTCTCTATTTATAATAGGTATGTATAACCAAACCTGTAACCTCTGGCCTCCAATGAAACAGGGAGAATTTGGGATAAGGGAATTCCCTCAGCTGGGAATGCAGTGGGAGGGAGGATGGGAGAGGAAGACAGCATCACTTACAGCTGTTCTCATATGAGCAAAATCAAGTGAACGTTGAGGAGACTCTTGGGCAAGTTTCAGGACCATATACGGATGTGATCTGCAGAGACAAAGACTGGACGGCTCCTCTGGCTGCTGGTTTCGGAATCAGTGATTCTCAAACCTACCTTCACCTTGGAATCACCTGGGGAATTTGCACATCTGCACCACCAGAATATATCTCAGATCAAATACATCTGAATCTCTGAGAAATGGAAACTGGGTTTCTAGAATCACTCTCCAGGTGATTCTAATATGGATTCAAGATTGAGAACCATCAAGGTTTCCTTTGCATGCAATATGGAAATAATTAAACCATAATCCCCCTCGATTTGCAATTGTGCCACCTGGTAGACGCAGTTTAAGAAGTAGCTATCAGAACAAAATCACATATTACAGCCATCTGACCTCTTTCGAGGTCAACAGAGTCGAACCATCCCACAGAAAGATTTGCACTGGGAAGTCATTGTGTCTGTATTCCAGAAAATCATGTGGTATGTTAGAAAAAGTGCAAGCTCTGGAGGTAAACAGACCCGAGCCCCCCAGTGACTGGTTCAGATCCGTCGCATACCCCGCCTCTTACTTCGCCCACCATGGAGGCAGCCAGATCCTCACAGGCCTGGAAAGCCTTAGCACCTGCAACTCCAAAGTTCTCCAACTCCCCACCAGCCTGAGGAGCCCAGCTGGCTTCACCAAGTGGATACTGCACAGGGGCCGCAGGTGGAGCTGCCTGCCAGTCCCGCGCCGTGCGCCCGCACTCCTCAGCCCTTGGGTGTTCGGATGCGACCGGGCGCCGTGGAGCAGGGGGCGGCGCTGGTCAGGGAGGCTCGGGCCGCGCAGGAGCCCACGGCGGCGCGGGGAGGCTCAGGCATGGCGGGCTGCAAGTGCTGAGCCCTGCCCCGCCGGGAGGCAGCTAAGGCCCGGCGAGAAGTCGAGCACAGCTGCTGGCCCGGGTGCTAAGCCCTTCACTGCCACGGGCCGGGCGGGCGGGGCCGGCCGAGCCGACGCCCACCCGGAACTCGCGCTGGCCCGCAAGCACCGCGCGCAGCCCCGGTTCCCGCCTGCGCCTCTCCCTCCACACCTCCCCGCAGGCTGAGGGAGCCGTTCCCGCCTGCGCCTCTCCCTCCACACCTCCCCGCAGGCTGAGGGAGCCGGCTCCGGCCTTGGCCAGTCCAGAAAGGGGCTCCCACAGTGCAGCGGCGGGCTGAAGAGCTCTTCAAGCGCGACCAGAGTGGGCGCCAAGGCCGAGGAGGCGCCGAGAGCAAGCGAGGGCTGCGAGGACTGCCAGCACGCTGTCACTTCTCAGTAAGAGCTTTAAAGTAGATGGCTGTTTACTCCTCATTTCAGCTCTATAAAGAAGGTGTTTTTCTCACCAGTTGTAAACATAGAAATTGAGGTATAAAGCCGTTCACTTAATTTTCCTAGGACTTTAATTTACTCAGAGGCAGAGCTGGGATTTAAGCTCAGTGCTGTCTGACTCCAGAAGCAGGTTAGCTATTTTCCCAGAATGCTTTCTTCCTTTCATTCTCTACCCATTTCCCATCTCTTGAATAAAAACAAACAAAAATAGAGTTAATTATTCTCTCAAGAGTACAGTGTCCCATTTGACCAGACACAGTTTAAAATAAAATCAGGTCGTTTATGACCCTAATATGTCCTTAATCTCCCCTGTCCACTTCGCTGAGCTCAGATAGGATGTGGATGGACTCATCCTGCCAGGGAAACAGAAACACCTTCCATAGATGGGCCCCAGCAGCTGATAATTCATGTGCTATGGAAGGTCATAAAAAAGCAGAGGAGTTAAACTCACACTCATTGCCTGCAGTTGCAAAGATAGCAATTACATTTCAAAAAGCTTCCAGAAAAAAATATGTTTTAGTCATTTTGGACTTTGGCAAAAAGCTACATTTTTTTTCCTGTGCAGTGTTTTCCCTATTCTTTCCACCCCAAACATGGCAACCCCTAATCTTATTTATTGATATACTTATTTTTTGAGACAGAGTCACCCTTTGTTGCCCAGGGTCTCAATTGCAATGGAACGATCTCGGCTCCCTGCAACCTCTGCCTCCCAGGCTCAAGCAATTCTTCCACCTCAGCTTCCCAAGTAGCTGGGACTACAGGCACGCACCACCATGCCCTGCTAATTTTTTTATTTTTTGGTAGAGATGGGGTTTTGCTGTGTTTCCCAGGCTGGTCTTGAACTCCTGGGCTCAAGCAATCCACCTGCCTCAGCCTCCCAAACTGTCGGGATAACAGGGATTACAGGTGTGAGACGCCACACTCAGCCCTCTAATTTTTATTTATTTATTTTTTTTGAGATAGAGTCTTGCTTTGTCACCAGGCTGGAGTGCAGTGGCACAACCTTGGCTTGGCTCACTGCAACCTCCACCTCTCGGATTCAAGTGATTCTCCTGCCTCAGCTTCTTGAGTACCTGGGACTACAGTTGTGTGCCACCACGACTGGCTAATTATTGTATTTTTAGAAGAGACGGGGTTTCAACATGTTGGCCAGGATGGTCTCGATCTCTTGACCTTGTGATCCGCCTGCCTCGGCCTCCTGAAGTGCTGGGATTACAGGTGTGAGCCCAACCCCTCTAACCTTTTTAATGTCTCCATAGTTTTCCCTTTTTCAGAATGTCATGTAGTTGGAATCATATAGCATGTAGTTTTTTCAGACTGGCTTCTTTGACTAATACGCATTTAAGTTTTCCCCAAGTCTTTTGGTGGCTTGATGGCTCATTTCTTTTTAGCACTGAATAATATTCCATTGTCTGAATGTACCTCAGTTAGCTTACCCATTCATCCACTAAAGGACATATTAATTCCATGTTTTGGCTAATTATTGGTAAAGCCGTTATAAATATTATTAACTATAATTCTCATGGTCTACATTAGATCTCTAGACTTGTTCATCCTCCATATCTACTATTTCGTCTCCATTTCTTTTCTCTTTCTTCCTGATAATCAGTGTTTTATTCTTTAACTGTATATTTGACTTTGTTACTTCAAGACCTATTACAACACTACAGTAATCAGGACAGTGATTACTGTCACTTTCTTGATAACTGTAGTTTTCTAATAGGTCTTGAAGCAGATTTTACCTGCTCTGGCCACAGACAATAAAGGGTAACTATGTAAGATGATAGATATATTATTTTGCCTTACCATAGTAACAATTTTACTATGTATATGTATCCCATAACATCATATTGTTTACCTTAAATATATGCAAGTAATTTATTCTTTAAAAAGCTGCTATAAAAATCCTTGTGCAAGTTTTTTTGTGGACATAAGTTTTCAACTCCTTTGGGTAAATACCAAAGAGCATAATTGCTAGATCATATGGGAAGAATAGGTTTACTTCTCTAAGAAACTGCCAAAGTGCCTTCCAAAGGGGTTACCATTTTGCATTTTCACCAACAATAAGTGAGAGTTCCTGTTGCTCCACATCCTTGTCAGCATTGGTTGTTGTCAGTGTTCTAGATCTGGACCATTCTGATAGGTGTGTAAGTGGTACCTCATTGTTTTAATTTGCATTTCCCTGATGACATATGATGTGGAGGATATTTTAATATGTTTATATGCCATCTGCATATCTTATTTGATAAGGTGTCTGCTAAAGTCTTTAGATCATTTTTTAAATGGGTTGTTTGTTTTCTTATTGTTGGGTGTTAAGTGTTCTTTGTATATTTTGGGTAATAACCCTTTATCAGATGTGTCTTTGCAAATATTTTCTCCCAGGCTACTGCTTGTCTTCTCATTCTCTTTACATTCTCTTTCACAAAACAGAAGTTTTTCATTTGATAAATTCCAGCATGTCAATATTTTTGGTGAATTGTGCCTTTTATCTTGTATCTAAGAAGTCATTGCCATATCCAATATCACCTATGTGTCCTCCTATGTTGTCTTCTTGTTTTATACTTTTGCATCTCACATTTTGGTCTATGATTCCTTTTAAGTTAGTTTTTGTGAAAAGTGTCAGTTTTGTGTCTAGATTTTTTTTTTGCATGTAGATGTTCAGTTGTTTCAGTGCCATTTTCTGAAAAGACTGTCTTTACTCCATTGTATTTCTTTTGCTCTTTTGCCAAAGATCAGTTGACTATATTTATGTGGGTCTGTTTCTAAGCTCTCTGTTCTGTTTCATGGATGCATTGATCTACTCTTTCACCAATACCACACTGTTTTGATTACTATAGTGTTCTAATAGGTCTTGAAGTTGAGCAGTGTTGGTCATCCAACTTTGTTCTTATCCTTGTCCTTCCATAAGGTGTTGGCTATTCTGAGACTTTTGTCTCTCTCTATAAACTTTAAATTCAGGCTTTGTTTTTTTTTGTTTGTTGTAAGAGATGGGGTCTCACTCTGTTGTCCAGCTGCAGTGCAATGGCACAATCATAGCTCACTGCAACCTGAAACCCCTGGGCTCAAGTGATCTTGCCACCTCAGCCTTTTGAGTGTCTGGGGCTACAGGGGTGTACCACCATACTGGGCTAATTTTTAAAAAAATTTTTGTAGAGGCAAGACCACACTGTATTACTCAGGCTGGTCGTGAATTCCTGGGCTAAAAGCCATCCTTTTTCCTCAGCCTCCTGAATATCTGGAATTTCAAGCCCAAGCTACTGCACCTCACTTGAATCAGTTTGTTGATATCCACAAACTTGCTGGGATTTTGGGTGGTATTACACTGAATCAGTAGATCAAGTTGAGAAGTGGCATCTTCTCAATTTGAGTCTTCCTATCAATGAACTTGGAATATGTCATTATTCATTTAGTGTTTGATTTCTTCCATTAGAGTTCCATAGTTCTTCTCATACAGCTCTTGTACATATTATGTTAGGTTTGTAACTAAGTATTTGAGTTTTAGGGGAAATGCTAATGTAAATGGTATTATGATTTTAATTTCAAATTATTCTTGTACATTGCTGGTATATAGAAAGCGACTGACTTTTGAATATGAAACTTGTATCCTGCAACCTCACCATAATTGCTTTAATAAGAGATTCTGGGAGTTTTTATACTTAATTCTTTCAAATTTTCTACATGGAAGATCATGTCATCTGAGAATAAAGATAATTTTATTTATTTATTTCCAGTCTTCATAGCATTTAATTTTCTTTTCTTGTCTTATTGCATTAGCTATAACCTCCAGTAGGATGTTGAAAAGCAGTGATGAGAGGAAATATCTTTGCCTTGTTCATGATATTACCGGGAAAACTTCAAGTTTCTTATTACTAAGTATGATGTTTGCTATGGGGTTTTTGTATATATTCTTTACCAAGTTGAGAAAGTTTCTCTCTATTAGTTTACTGGGTGTTTTTGTAATTAATAAGTGTTGGATTTTGTCCAGTGCTTTTTTTGGCATATAATTATATGATTTTGTGATTTTTCTCTTTTAGCCTCTTGAAGAGGTGATCTACATTAATTAATTTTTGAATGTTGAATCTGCCTCACATACTGGGGAAAAGTCCCACTTGGCCGTGTTATATAATTAATTTTATACATTGTTGAATTCAATTTGATAATATTTGTTGAGAATTTCTGCATCTATGTTCACTAGAGATACTGGACTGTACTCTTTTTCATTATAATGTCTTCAGTTTGAGTGTTAGAGTAATGGTGGGCTCATAGAATAAGTTAAGAAGTATTCCCTCTGCTTCTATCTTTGAAAGACATTGTACAATTTCTTCGTATAATTGGACTATTGATAAAAATTCTTTCTTAAATGGTAGCTAGAATTCACCAGTACACTCATTTGGGCCTTGTGCTCTCTGTTCTGAAAGGTAACTAATTTTTGATTCAATTTCTTTAATAGATATAGACCAATTCCGATTGTCTGTTTCTTCTTGTATGTGTCTTGGAAGATTTTGTGTTTTAAATAATTGGTCCATTGTATCTAGGTTATCAAATTTGTGGACACAGAGTTGTTCATAGTATTCCTTTATTATCCTTTTAATGTCTGTGGGATCAATAATGATATCCTGTATTTCATTTCTGATATTAGAATGTGCATCCTTTATATTGTTTTAGATATCCTGGATAAAGGCTTATCAATTTTATTAATCGTCAAAGAACCTGTTTTTAGTTCTGTTGATTATTGATTTCCTATTTTCAGTTTCAATGATTTCTATTCTAATTCTTTTTATCTCATCTTTTTGTAGTTTCCCAAGGTGGAAACTTCAATTACTGATTTTAGATCTTTCTTTTTTCTAATATATGCATTCAGTGCTATAAATTTCCCTTTAAGCACTGTTTTCACTGCATCCAACAAATTTTGATAAGCTGTATTTTCATGTTCATTTAGTTCAAAACATTTTAATTGTTTATTAAGATTTTTTCTTTGACTTATGTGTTATTTAGAGAGTGCCATTTAACCTCCATGTATTTTAGAATTTTCTGGTAATCTTTCTGTTATTGATTTCTAGTTTATTTACAATATGTTTTGAGAATAGGCATTGAATGATCTATATTTTCTAAAAAGTTGTTAAGCTGTTGTAATGTCTCAGACTATGGCCCATCTCGGTGAATGTTCCATGTGAGCTTGAGAAGAATGTGTATTCTGCTGTGGTTGGATGAAATAATCTATACATGTCAATTATATCCAGTTGATTGACGTTGCTGTTGAGTTCAACTATGTCCTACTGATTTTCTGCCTGCTGGATCTGTCCATTTCTGATAGAGGGATGTTTAAGTCTGCCATGATAATAGTAGATTCATCTATTTCTCTTTGCAGTTCTATCAATTTCTGCCTCATGTAGTTTGGTGTTCTGTTGTTGTTAGGTGCACACATGTTAAGGATTATTATGTCTTCTTGGAGAATAGACCCCTGTATCATTATGTAATGCCCTTCTTTAGCACTAATAACTTTTCTTGCTTTAAAGTCTGTTCCATCAGAAATTAATATAGCTACCATGTTTTCTTTTGGTTAGTATTAGCATGATATATTTTCTTTCTTTATTTACTTTTAATCTATAGGTGTCTTTACATGTAAAGTGGGTTTTTAAAACAACATATAGTTGAATCTTATTTTTTTTTCCACTCTGACAACCTTTATCTTTTAATTGGTGCATTCAGGCCATTTATTTTCACAGTGATTATTGATATAGTTGGATCAATGTCTACCATATTTGTTACTGTTTTCTATTTCTTACCTTCATTCTTTTTTTTCTATTTTTGTCTTCTTTTTCTTCCTTTTGTGGTTTAAATTGAACATTTTCTATGATTCTATTGTTAACATATCAGTTATACTTTTTTATAACTTTCTTTATTGGTTGCCCTAGAGTTTGCAATATGCATTTATAATGAATCCAAGTCACCTTTCAAATAACACTATACCACTCTTGCATAGTGAGTACTTTATAATAAAATAATTCTAATTTCTCCCTCCTGTCCCTTGTATCATTGTTGTCATTCATTTCAATTACATATAAGCATACCTAAGTATACACACACACACGCACACACACACACATAAACATATATAATAAAATAGATTTTTGCTATTATTATATTGGACAGACTATTACCTAAATGAGAAAAATAAATGTTTCTGTTTAACTTCAATACTTATTTTCAGTGCTCTTTCTTTTTATGTAGATCTGAGTTTCTGACCTACATTATATTTCTTCTTTCTAAAGAACTTCTTTGTAATATCTATTGCAAGGCAATATACTGACAAAAAATGCCTTTTTTTGAGAAAATATTTCTGCTTTACTTTTAAAGATAATTTCACTGGATACAGAATTCTAGGTTGGCAGTTTTTCCTCTCAATACTTCAAATATTTCACTTCACTTTCTTCTTGCTTCCATGATTTATGAGAAGTTGGATGTAAGGCCTACCTTTACTCTTCTATATAAAAGGTGTTTTTTCTTTTCTTCTTGTTTCTTTCATTGTTTATTCTTTTATTTTTATTTTTTATTTTTGCATCTTGAAATAATATGCCTAGGTATTGGGGGTTTTTGCATTAATCCTGCTTGGTGTTCTCTGAACTTCTGGATCTGTGGTTTGGTGTCTGACTTTTTGTTTTTCAGATAATCTTCAGTTGTTATTGTTTCAACTATTTCTTCTGTTTCTTTCTCTCTCCTCCATCAGGTATTTTATTATGCACATGCTACACCTTTGCAGTAGTCCCACAGTCCTTGAATATTCTTAATTATTTTTTTGGGCTGGGGGGGGCTTTGTTCTCTTTGATTTCCAGTTTTAGAGGATCTTTTGATACATCCTTAAGTTCAGCGATTATTTCCTCATCTGTGTCCAGTTAAGTAATACTCCCATCAAAGGCATTCTACATTTTTATTACAGTGTTTTTTATCTCTAACTTTCTTTTGGTCTTCCTCAGGATGTCCATCTCTTTGCTTACATTCATTGACCTCCTAATCCTGCATGTTATTCACTTTATCCATAAAAATCCTTAGCATATTAATCATAGTGGTTCTGAATTCTTGGTCTGATAACCCCAACATCCCTGCCCTATGTGGTTCTGATGCTTGCTCTATCTATTCAAATTGTAGGTCTTTTTTTGGCGGGGGGCGCCTCCTGGTATGCCTTGTAATTTTTTCTTGATAGCTGGACATGATGTGCTGGATAAAATGAACTGCTGTAAATAGGCATTTAATAATCTGTTACGGTGTGGTGGGAGAGGAAGTGTTCCGTGGTTGTATGATTAAGGCACAGTCTTTCAGTAAGCCTGTCCTTCTGACCCGTGGGTTCATAAGTGTTTCTCTGAGTTTTTTTTCCCTCCCCTTTTAGGTGTAATAAGATGATTACACTGGGCTGGAATTGGGTATATTTCTTCCCCCAAGTCAGTTTTTGATAATACCCCAGCAGGTTAGGCGCTGTTTCATTAGTTTCCCCTGAGGGCAGGCCTTGTCAAAAAGAACAGGGTGCTCTGGTGTTTTTCAAAATGGTTCCTCTTTCCCTCCCCTTGCTGAAAGCACAAGAGAATTTTTCTCAGATATTTACTATAAAAAAATCATCAAGCTCCCTGAACTAAAACTCACAAAAGCAGGGTGGAGTACCCTGTGACTGACTTTCCTGGAAGTCTCTAACTCTCACAGTTGTCCACACTGAGCTTTTAGCAATTTATTAATTAGAACCCACTTTTTCCCACCCCAGCACTGATTCCCTTGGTGGGTTCTACTCTTGGGTCTCTACTCTTTACTCTGGAAAGCTGTGACTCTGTATTTGCCTGCCTGTCTCCCTCATCTTAAGGGCAGCAGTTTACCCTGTGTCTTTTCCTCTCTACTAGATCCAAGAAGATTGGATTGTTGATTTTTCAGTCTTTTAAGCATTTTACTTGTTGTTAGGATGAAGTGGCAACTTCTCAACTCTCTAAATGCAGATCCAAAAACTGGAAGTCACCTACCAAACGTTTCATTTTCTTAGTATTATCATTAGTTGTGTGTGAAAGAAGGTGAGATGGATTGGTAAGACCCACCATTTCTATTATTATTGTATCCAGGGCTATGTGAGATAGATGTGCAGTAAAGGAAGTTCTTACTCTAATGCTTGGTCAAATCTGGCTTTTAGCAACCAGTGATAACCCTCTCCTGACACAACATAACTAAGACATCCGTTTCAGGGACAGCATGCAGGAAACTCCCTAATAAAAGGAAGTACACAGGATGCGAGCAGCTGAGTAAGCCTTGCAATATGCAGCTATGGAAGGAGAAGCATCTGACATCGCTGGTACCACTGGCACTGCTGGCCCTTGCCAATGTACAGAGCCTCAAGACTGCTAGCTGATGGGCTCTACGGGAAATTTGGGAAATTACAGGTCAATTACACACGAAATATGTGTGAGAAGGAGAGGCTAAACAATCCTGCGGTAAAGAGTATACAGAGAGTAGTTTGAATACTCTTGCAACTGCAGTTTCATTATTTATTACCTTGTGTAGATTTACAACTATGCATTTATTATATATTATTGATATTACCCCCATTTTGGGCAATATACCTTTCAGCACCAATGACATAAAAAGCAGAAAGTTCATTTGGGTAAAAGAAATCAAGTTCAAGTTGTGAATTTCTGTTGGAAACCTGATGACAAATTGATAAATGATTAATTTGACAAAATGTCAACATATATCACTCACCAGGGGGACCATGAGGATATTACTGACGACATGTAAACCAGAAGATAAAAATCTGCCAATGAAGTATCAACATCTAACCTCAACAGTTCATAGTTATGTTAAAAGACTGTGCCTAAAGATAACAATTTAATACATGTAGCTACAAAAGATAGGTTTATCATAGATAGTTCTGTGGCATATGACTTTTATTTGAATCAAATAACTGCTCTCAATTGAATTTGCTCATTTTTTGCTCCAATTAGTGTTACCAAAATTTCTCATGCACATACAAAAACTGAAGAGACAGCTGCTAATATGTTGGATTCATTAGCAAAAGAAGGATTTTGCAAATGGTGAAAAGACACCAGTTTTATGTGAGTGTCATCAAATGTATTGGTAGAAAATCAGTTAATACCAATAGTGGCTTAATTTTTCATCCAATTTATAGAGTCAAAATAAAACTTTTGATGTATATTCTGTCAAAGATGAAACATCTGACATTATTGTATCTGATATTATTGTAAATGCTATAGTTTAGTGGTCCCCCACCTTTTTGGCACCAGGGACCTGTTTCATGGAAGACAGTTTTTCTATGGACTGGGGTGGGGGTGATGGTTTTGGAATCATTCAAGCTCATTACATTTATTGTGCACTTTATTTATATTATTATTACATTGTAGTGTATAATTAAACTATTGTGCAACTCACCATAATGTAGAATCAGTGAGAGTCCTGGGCTAGGCGGTCCCATCTGGGGATGATGGGAGACAGTGACAGATCATCAGGCATTAGATTCTCAGAAGAAGTGTGCAACCTGGATCCCTCACATGTGCAGTTCACAATAGGGTTCACACTCCTATGAGAATCTAATGCTGCCACTGATCTGACAAGAGGCGGAGCTCAGGCAGTAATGCGAGTGATGGGGAGTGGCCATAAATACAGATGAAAGTTGACTTGCTCACTTTTTGCTATGCACCGGTGTTCCTAAGAGACCAGGGACCAGTACTGGGGATTGGGGACCCCTGCTATAGTCAGTTCAGTCAAGAGTTTCAACATAGGACATAAACTTCATTTGTTTGCTTTTGGGCTAATCCAAGATGAATTTTGGGCAATACTACATTGTGCTAAAATAATGTTTTATCAGTTTAATAAATAAATGGCATAGAAATATTCTTATCAAATTGGTTGTGGTGCATACATAGTTCCTAAGTCATTCCTACACACTACTATAATGTATGAAAAAATAGAATTAGTTATTGTTAGAATTGATGAAATTTATATATACCCAAAATAACAACAATTTTTGTGTGTGTGACAAAGCTGATGTGGAAGTAAGAATAATTTTTAAAAATTTGAGATAGCAGTATGTGATTTCTCTTTGTTGCCCCCTCACTTGAATTTTAAAATGTTAGAAATTTAGAGAAATGTATTTATAAATAACCATAGGTGACTGACAAAGATAGTTACATTTTTGGAGAAGCTTTGGTTACATTTTGTTCTAATCAGTTGAAAAATGCTAATCAAAATACTCAACAAATACACCACCAAAAGCTTTATTAGTAACAAAGTTAGCAAGCAGAAAATCATTGACCTTTGTTCTATAAAATCAAGGGCAAAACTAAGTCAAATAAATGTTGAGAGCCAAAATGGTATAGATAATTTAATTTTGTAATTTCATAATTGTACTTTGGAATATTATGATTTTGGAAAAGAATTTTTATTATAGTTCTTATATTCAATTGGATACATCCCTATTCTGTATCATAAAAGAATGAAGTGGACTCCCTAATAATCTACAGCAAACAAACCCACTTACACTAGTTTCTTTCATGACAAATTAAGGCACTCTGATTCAATGAGACATAGATGTGCTACTCTGTACTGTCTACCTTAATGCAAATTAACAAGTTTCATGCATAAACCCACTATATTTGCAGATTATAGTTGTTTTCGTTATATTTAAGTTTTTGTTTGTTTATTTGTTTCGGCAAACCCTATTTAGGGAGGTGGTGTGAACCAGCTGAAAGGACCAAGAACTCAAAAAACTTTTGTAATCTTTAACAAAGTCTCAGTTTTCTCATTTGTAAAATGAGAATTAAACTCACTCATCCACATAGTGATTGTGTGTGGGTATATATATATATATATATATATATATATACACACACACACATATATGTATATACACATATATGTATATATATCTGTATATATATACACACATATATACATATATGTGTGTGTATATATATATGTATATATATGTGTGTGTATATATATATATGGGTGTGTGTGTATACATATATACACATATATAATAAAGCCTTTAGAAAAGGCTTTATTAAAATATAGTTAATTAATCCAGTCTATCGTTGTTGGACATTTGGGTTGGTTCCAAGTCTTTGCTATTGTGAATAGTGCTGCAATAAACATACGTGTGCATGTGTCTTTATAGCAGCATGATTTATAATCCTTTGGGTATATACCCAGTAATGGGATGGCTGGGTCAAATGGTATTTCTAGTTCTAGATCCCTGAGGAATCGCCACACTGACTTCCACAATGGTTGAACTGGTTTACAGTCCCACCAACAGTGTAAAAGTGTTCCTATTTCTCCACATCCTCTTCAGCACCTGTTGTTTCCTGACTTTTTAATGATCGCCATTCTAACTGGTGTGAGATGGTATCTCATTGTGGTTTTGATTTGCATTTCTCTGATGGCCAGTGATGATGAGCATTTTTTCATGTGTTTTTTGGCTGCATAAATGTCTTCTTTTGATTAAGAAAATGTGGCACATATACACCATGGAATACTATGCAGCCATAAAAAATGAGTTCATGTCCTTTGTAGGGACATGGATGAAACTGGAAACCATCATTCTCAGCAAACTATCACAAGGACAAAAACCCAAACACCGCATGTTCTCACTCATAGGTGGGAATTGAACAATGAGAACACATGGACACAGGAAGGGGGACATCACACTCCAGGGACTGTTGTGGGGTGGGGGGAGGGGGGAGGGAAAGCATTAGGAAATATATCTAATGCTAAATGACGAGTTAATGGGTGCAGCACACCAACATGGCACATGTATACATATGTAACAAACCTGCACATTGTGCACATGTACCCTAAAACTTAAAGTATAATATATGTGTATATACACACATATATATGTGTGTGTATATACACATATATATGTGTGTGTATATATGTATATATATACATATATATGTGTGTGTGTGTGTATATATATATATATATAGTTAACATCCGAATTGCCTCTTGAAAGTTGAGTTGGATTTTGTTAGAAAAATAAGAAGGGAAGTGTTTCCAGAAAGATGAAAAAGCAAATGGAAGCCTGGATGTGCAAAAATATTATAGGGTCTCATGTGCTCTAAAATCACATAGAAAATTAAAGTATTCTTCATTATGTTAGTCAGTTAGATGAAGAAGTACCTTGATGTACACCGACCTATTTTTAGGGAACTGGAATTGTAGGAGTCCAATGTTATGGCAAAGACTCTTCCCATCACTTATCCCGATTTCAATGAAAAGATATGGCATCAATTGAAGAATGGACTTGAGCTAAACCCGGGTTGAATTCCATAACTGTGCAGGTGCTATATAAAATGCAACTGATCACCTTTCAAGGTCACGGTGCCACCTCCGCTAATCATTTAAAAATACAATGAATGTCCGTCAGGAATTGCTCGGTCTTGCTTGGAGTGGAGGAGAGACTAGGCGGCCTCCTGAGATTCTTACCAATTATATGCTCCCAAACTAAGAGACAACACGGAAATTCATGAAGATTTAGAAAAGCTCATGCTTTCCCAATATTTTCATAAAACAACCTTTACCAATTTTCTTTCTGTCCCCTTTAATGTATCTCTGTTGCCTCTGGAACACATAAAAATATCCCTCTGCTTTACATATCATTGAGAGCCTCTTTCAGTCTAGTTGCAACCCCATTCCGTTCCCAAGAATTTGCTCCAATCAAGCTAATTTCACATTTACCTTCCCTTTTCTGTCTCTGCCTTCATTACCAATCTCCCCAGTCCAGATGAATTTCCCTTTCCTTCTCTTCTTAAACCTCTTTCAGACCCTACTCAAGTTCCGTGTGTGTGTGTGTGTGTTTGTGTATTACACCAGTTAAACAAATATAGTATTTCTGATCCACTTTTAGTAACATATTGCACTGTGTCAAGTAATACTTCGTTTGCACGCAGCCAGTTCTCCCCAGGATGTGTATTACTACACACAGGTTATTTTTCATTTCTTATTGATTTGCTTTCCCTCAGTCATGGAATATAACCAAGATTGGATAATTCACCACTTAGGGAGTGTGGCAATATTTTGAATTTTTAGTATTTGTTTGTTCACTTAGTACTTTTAAATCCTGAATTATTTACATGCCAAGGGGATTACCCTGCATAAATATTACATACAACACTGACAATAGGGTCTGAGCTTTTCTCATAATCATTCCTTTTGGCAGGAGGTGGGATAAAGCTTATACCTTAAAGAGCCACTGTGGTTTTTAAAAGGTCACATTTGGCCAGCCATAATTTATTCTGTGTGTCTTTCAGGAACTGACAGGGAGTGATTCAGTTGACAGAACTCGATTATTTTTTCTCATAAAAGATTTCACAGATCTTCATAAAGAGGTATAATTTCCAAACTGCACAGACCTGGATGAAGAGAAAAATCAATATGATGGATTGAAAAATGAAAAAGTAACAAATGTGAGACGCTAAACCACCTCAGAGGATAATCACCAGACAAAAGTAAATATACACCTGATTTTCAGTGGAAATATCTTAATGGTTTGAAAAATGTTTGCTTTTCCCTGTCCTCATATCTGTGAACTAATAACTTTAAGAAGTAGAAATATAATTGATAAGGTACTTACGGATTATGCAAGATTGAAAAACCTTATTTTTTTCATACATTTGATCTAACACAATTATTTTAAGAACGAAAATAAACACACTGGATAAGTAAAAGAAGCTTTTTTTCTTGTGATAAAAATAGCAAAAAATAACAAACAACTTTTCCCTGAAATATGAAAATAATTTGACAACATTTTTTGTAGTTAATTTTTTGTTACATTATCTAAGATGTGATCTAGGATCTCCAAGGCGTATAAAGAAGACTATTGACTTGTTGGAAAGCACAGGAGCTTTTGTAAACCTTTTTTAGAGGTTTAGAATAATCCATGTATTGAGCATTTTCTGGTTTTGAAAATGTCGGGATATTTATACCGACTTGACATTTTGTGAAATTTGAGGATTATGATTTCAGAAAATCATATATTATTTCTTTTTATGTTCCCAAGTAACTCAGATTGCCGTTTAAAATGGAAATAAAGTATAAATATGAAAAATGTTCATATTCTAATTATACAAATGGCCAAAATTTTATGACCTGAATATACCTTTGTAACCAGCACCCATTCAGGGAACGAATGAAGTGACGTGGGAAATAACATAATCAATATAATAGCTTCAATGTATTCAAATGTTTGAATCCTAAAACATCAGTGTGACTCAGGGGTCTTCCACTTCAAGGCACTCAACAGGAGGTGAACAGCAAATGGACAATAAATGTATTTAATGTGGTGAATTGGTATATTTAAGGATTTAAAACACATTTTTCTTTAAGACACCATACTGCAAATTTAAAATGCTTAGTTTTTCATGCATTATTATTCAAAGCAATTGTGGAATTGTTTTCAACACAGTGTCTCTAAATAATAGTGTCTCTACATTGGTAATTAAACTCATCGCTGATTTTCATTTATGAATACTAAAGAACTTAACATTATCAGGTTTTGCAGGTGAAGGATCAGAACTGATTCTTAGTGTTGAGTATGGCTTTGGCTGTGTTTCTGGATTCTGCAAGTTCCATATTAAACCCATGAAGGTCCTTAACCTCCTCCTGCTAACTCTAAAACCCCTGAGGGGTCCAGAACCTCTATTTGTTAATCAGTCCCATTTGTTTCTCAGGTAAATTAGTTTCTACCTAATCTGGGAGACAAAGGTTGTTTATTTAAGGCTGTCCTCTCTGCTCCTGTTTTCCTTCAACTGGGAGGATATGGCTATTACTCTCCTTCCTAGGACCTGTCTCTCCTTCACAGTCAGACCATGAACTCTTGTCAGGAAGAAGTCAAACTCCTTCTGCACTAGTTGCTTCCAGCTTGACCTCCACAGTGCACACAGTCTCCCTCTGATCTCTCTCTAGTAAGTGACCATTTCTTCACTCCTGGTTTTCCAATTGTTTTGACACTGACATTCAATTAGGAGGACTAAATACACAGTGGTGATGATGGTGGTGATTATATCATTTTATGACCAACACCTTCTTCAGTGTTTGCTTCAGCCAATAAAACTTAAGAGACAGGAACTTACAGTTTCTCAAGGCCAACAACAAGCCCCAGTTCCTCCAAGAAATCTATCTCATCTCTGAACCAATATCAGAAATATGAGGCTGGGTGCGGTGGCTCACGCCTGTAATTCCAGCACTTTGGGAGGCCGAGGTGGGTGTATCACGAGGTCAGGAGTTTGACACCAGCCTGGCTAACATGGTGAATCTCCATCTCTACCAAAAATACAGAAATTAGCCAGGCATGGTGGTGCGCACCTGTAGTCCCAGCTACTCGGGAGGCTGAGGCAGGAGGATTGCTTGAACCTGGGAGGCAGAGGTTGCAGTGAGCCAAGATGGTGCCACTGCACTCCAGACTGGGTGACAGAGTGAGACTCCGTCTCAAAAAAAAAAAAGAATATGAGTTTTTGGCTTGGTGCAGTGGCTCACACTTGTAATCCCAGCGCTTTGGGAGGCCAAGGTGGGCAGATCACTTGAGCTCAGGAGTTCAAGACGAGACTGGACAACTGGTAAAACCCTGTCTCTACTAAAAATACAAGAAAAAAAAATAGCCTGGTGTGGTGGTGCACCCCTGTAATTCCAGCTACTTGGGACACAGAGGCAGGAGAATCGCCTGAACCTGGGAGGTGAAGGTTGCAGTGAACCAAGATCTCGCCACTACACTCCAGCTTAGGTGACAGAGAGACTCTATCTCAATAAAAAAATAAAAAATAAAAAAATGAATATGAGGGTTTTTTTTTTAATGACTACCGTTTTTGGCAAAAGTGATACTCATAAAATTTAAATAATCAAAAGTAATCATCATTAGCCTTTGATGAAAATTCTTCCAAACATTTCTCTTAGCCCATATACACATGTGCATTACATAAGTGGGATTACACTATGCTTCTCTGAATTTATGTAATTTATCTTTTTCACAATATTTAATGGACCACTTTCCAGGTAAACAACTATGGCTGAATTTCATTGTCTGTAGGTACTTCATAGTGTACACACATCATTTTGACTAAGTACTCTATGGAAGAGCATCTTTTTACTTTTATGAATAATGTTGTAATGAATAACTTGTACATAATCTTTTCCAGTGTGTCTGATTATCTCTTGTTTGAAATCTTCAAGGTGGGTTAGCGAGGTCAAGGGATATATACACATAATAGTTGATACATGTGATCAAACTGTCCTCTAGAAAGATCATCCTGTTCATATGATTTACACCTCAAGTGAAAGCACACATTTCTGCACACACTCATTAAACACTGGGTTTTTAAATAAAGTTTTAAATTTTGTCTTATTAAATAATACTGCACTATTTGATTATCTGTGAAATTGAACACTAGTGCACACATACTTGCCATTTGTATTTCTTCATTCATGAATTGTCTGTTCATGATCTTTACCCATCTTCCTCTTGAATCTCTTCTACCTTCTTTCTTTTCTCCTTCCTTATAAACCTCTTCATTGAAGCCTTTTATTGTTATTTATTACACATATAGTTGAAATTCTGTTGCTTGTTTTATTGTCCTCCCCTGCCCCGCAGCTCCATGGAGAAGTTTGCTTTGTTTATTTTAAATTGATGTAGCTGAAATATGTCAGCTCTTTTATTTTGTGCTTTCTGATATTTATAACATACTTAGAAAGGTCTTTGTCATCTGCATTAAAAAACTTGCATTGTTTGCTTTTGGCACTCATGAAAAGCTTCCTTAGTTTGCTACACTGTCCATGTATTTTACCCATATCCTCAAGTAGATCATTGGTCAAGGAGTAGGTATTATCTCATTTGTTTCCTATGGAAGGTCATTACATCCTAGCTTCGGACCTTGAGAATTGGATGGATTCAATAATTATGATTCATTGGCTACTCATTTTAAAAACATATTCACAACCAGCATTCATTTTTGTGAGTGTGGCAATATGGGCATTTTATCTTTCTTTGGTTGAGCTTTAAATTCTTACAATCTCCTGGTAGAACAACTGGTAATAAACACCAAAACCTTCAAGATATAATTTTACTTCTCAAAATTAATTCTATAGGGTATCAGAGATTCTCAGAAAAATGAATATATGAAGATTTTCCTCATGAATTTATAGTAGCAAAAATCAAGAAATATCCCAGAGGATATAGGTCATTGTATAATATATGACAGATTTATAAATTATAATTTTGTAAAATAATTAAATTAATGTGTTTGAAGAAAATTTAATTATGTGAAAATGCTTATAATACGATGCCATGTTAAAATTTTAAAAATAGGCAGAGGCCAGGTGTTGTGGCTCATGCCTATGATCCCAACACTTTGGGAGGCCAAGGCAGTAGGATTGTTTGAGCTCAGGAGTTTGAAAGCAGCCTAGGCAACATAGCAAGATCCTATTTCTATAAAAATTATATTTTTTAAATTAGCCAAGCATGGTGGTGCATGCCTGTAGTCCCAGGTACTCAGGAGGCTGGGGAGGGAGGATCACTTGAGCCCAGGAGGTCAAGGCTGCAGACTCTGTCTCAAAAACAAAAAAAGCCCCTACAAAACAAATAGAAAATTATTTCATCATAAAAGTACTATGTTCCCATAGTAAAAAACAAAACAAAAAAAAATTGCAAACATATGGAAGAGAATCACATGTGACATAAAAGTTTTCTTCTAGCTCTTTTCTTTCCAATTCACTCACCAGAAATAGCCACTGTTCCGTTTCTGCAATATATTTGGTGAATATCTCTATATTTTAAATAATGCAGGTCCACTGGTACATTTTGGTTTGTTGTGAAATCTTAGGGAGCTGGAGTATTTTCACCATCTCTCAGTTCTTCTATATCTCTCAATTTCTGGAGATCAGAAATTTCATCAGAATGTGTCTAGAAGTGTGTCTCTGTTATTTTATTTCAGCTAGCTCTCCCTGGAGTGGGGGTAATGGTGACTCTTGCAAATCTAAAGACTGGAATATGTCTTCCGGTATAAAATAGCTCTGAGCTATTTTTATTCTATCGTTATTTCATTGTCTATCTTTTGTTCTGGAACTCCTATAACACAGTGAGGGGAGCAGATGGGTAGAACCTTTATTTCATATTTTCACAAATGCTAGTTTCTTTCGTTTGCTTTTGGCACTCAGGAAAAGCTTCCTTAGTTTGCTACACTGTCCACGTATTTTACCCATATCCTCAAGTAGATCATTGGTCAAGGAGTAGGTATTATCTCATTTGTTTCCTATGGAAAGTCATTACATCCTAGCTTCGGACCTTGAGAATTGAATGAATTCAATAATTATGATTCATTGGCTACTCATTTTAAAAACATTTACAACCAGCATTCATTGTTGTGAGTGTGGCACACTCTTTCGTTTTGCTCCTGGTAATAGAAAATTTATTTATGTATTATTATCTTCCAGATCCCCAAGGTAATCTTAATGAAGTCTGTTTTTTTAATACAACCTGTTCAGTGAATTTTGAGGGGAACATATTTTACATTTTCAAGATTTCTTGTTATTCTTTGACTTCAGCCACATCTTCTTGTTCTATTGATGAAGGGCCTGAGCTGAGATGATGGCCTTAGGGTAGAAGAGGAGTGAGAGTGGAGTGAAGAGCATAAAGAGAAAGACCCAGTAAGAGCTGGATCTGGGATGTAAGAGAGAGAAAGCTTCTGGCTTAAGTTCAGCTAGAGCTCTGGTTTTCCACATGCATGAAGGGCTTGGGCTCACTAGTCTTGGGTTCCCCAGTGTGGGACTCAGGACCTGCTGCTCTGAGCAATGCAATAAAAGGCAACATTTGGTGACCATGTCAGAAAAACGCAGGTAATGGTGAAGCACAGAGAAGGGGCACCAACTTCATGCAAGTGGTGGTGTTTTAACTGGGTAGGCATCTTACTGAGCTAAGGAAATGACATTTTAGGTTGAGGGTGCAAACACTTAGAGATGGAAAAACAAGAAAAATGTTTAAAAATAATGACAGTGCTGATGGAAGATGCTCTTACTGACCTAACACACTGCCATGTGCCTAGGAAATGGGGATAAGTAGATACCTGTTTCTCATTGTGGCCTCATGTGTTCTTGGTAGGTATTTTTTTCCATCATGTATTTATTATTTATTTATGACAAAGCCAAATATTAGAAAGCAAACATTGCAATAAATAAGAAATCTGGGATACAAACCTAAACCTTCCTAATGCCAAAGTCTCTTGCTCTTGAGTGCTACATAATGCTTGCTGAAGTAATCTGGCTCTGATGGAGCAAGCACAGGATGTCTGGAAAGGGTCTCATTGAGAATCTGTGTTGGGGGCAGAGTAACAAAGGGCTTTGTCAGCCAGGCTCAGTAGTGGAAGTTTTATTTGGTAGGCAATGGGCATGCATTAAAAGTTCCTGAGCAGGGAACTGTCATGAATGTAGATTACCTGCCTATGATATTATAGTGGATTGGTTTTGGTGTAATGGAAAGCAAAGAGGCCAGTTAGGGTTCATTGTAGAGTTGATGGAGAGATCCAGAGGCTTGAGATCACAATAATGATCACAGGAATGGGGAGAGGAAAATTGGGTACAAGAGGTCAGTAAAGGAAGTAGAAGGCCTCACTCTGGGGTGTCATAAAGCAGTAAAAGCAGCCTAGTGGCCTGGGGAAATGCTTCAGGGTTCTTGAAAATTCCAATACCCACATTGACATGTGTGCAGAAAGGTCCCTGGCCTGAGCTCTATTGTGTTGACTGTCTACCAGGGTCTAAATGTCCACCTTGCCTGGCTCAGTAGACGTATTTAATGTCCAGTTTTCTCTAACATTCACGTGTAATGATTCTTTAGCAAGTGAAACAAATTTAAAACCCCAAACATTAAAACAGCATTTTACCTCCTTTATTCACTGTACCATAAATTAGTAACTGTTTCTTTCTGTGATGGGTGGTTTTACTCTAATTGCATAGTGTCTGTGCTGCTGTGGTGCTTTAGGTGACCAGTGCTAGGGGAACTGCTTGGTATGCTCCAGTGCAGGAGAAGATGATGTGATCTTGAGTAGTTGATTTGCCTCTCTGTGTAGGTTACTCAAAAGAAGTTGGATGTGGTTTCCTATAAATAGCTTTTGACACAATAAATGTCATCAAACTCGATGATATCAACTGAATTCTAGGAATCCTAAAGGCTGGCCATTCTTTTTCTCCACTTGCATTCCAGCTGGCTAGGAGGCCTTTCTCCTGCATAAGTTCTGGCATGATGATTGTAAATGAGAGGAGACATGGCTATCTTTCTAATATATCTCATTGGGGAGGTCATAACAGAAGAGCAGGCTTAGACATCTTATAAAATAGAGGGAGATGCACAGATCTGAGGCTGCTTTCTTACTACCAAGGACAAAGGCTGCCACTTCTGCTGGACTGCAGGCCACCTATGGGCAAGAAGAGGAACCAATCGACCCAACACCAATTCTGATTACACTTACAAATCCGAAATCTGCAATTTTCTCTCCTCCACTCTGCTTGGGTCAAGCTTTCCACAGCCCATGCCTCTGAGACTTTGTTCCTCACAGGTACATTCTATACACATTGATACACTGGAGACCCCAGTGGGTTCTTGTAGCAGGAGCATAAGATGCATCTCACAACTCAGCTTTCATTGGCATTTTCGTATCAGCATTTTTTCTCATCTTCCTGAATGGAAGTTGCGAATCTGAACAAGTGGTTTACAGGCAATGTGAAGGAAGAGCCTTCAAAAGCTTTCAAAAAGTGACCCGTTTAAGCAGTGGGACAGTTTCTTGGATGTTGAGGACTCTGCAGTGGATTAGGCTCTTGGAAAATTGATAATGCTTGCAACAATGCAGAGATCTCTTACCACAATAAACAAAGCAATTAATGTGTCTTTAATTTGCACCTAACCAAACAGAAAGGGTGCATTTATTCCATGTGACATGTAGACGAATTTTTCTTTAAAAACAAAGTTTCATGCTGTGACTACAATTAGTATAATTGTCAGCTCTTCTCTAAAAACAAATATGTATTAAGAGAAACGCCAGCATTGTGCCCTCCTCTGGTGTGAAAATGAGACAATCAAAATCTATTGTAATTACCTCAGTGATATTATAATTAGCAACGATTAAGTTATTCCATGCTGCTTTTTTCCTCTTGGCTACAATTTAAAAAGTATATATCTTTCTGCTGCATATTACTGCTGATCATTTTACCTCAATACATGTCTGGTAAGTGGATAAATTAGAAGTAATTTTAAAGCACAACTCCGTTAAAACATATATCTTTCTATTTAACTGCCTTAACCCTCTAGATGCATCTGTGTTCCTTGCTGCTTGGAGAGAGAAACACTTTCCCCCTGGTTTCTTGGTCAGAAACCAAGTCTGTTTTTAAATAGACAGTTTTAGGTAATGGGTTTTTTTTTGTTTGTTTTTTAATTACAGATATCTGAATGATATGATTAATCATTCAGCTCTTGCCAGACATGCCCACCTAACTAAATTTCTGTGCTGGGCAATAATCAGTTTTTAAAATAAATGACTGAAAAACCATCTAACTGTACCATCAAAGCAAGAAAAAGCCCTACGTAGATGATGGTCTTTCTACTTGGGTTAGGAGAAAAAGTGAACTAGGCCATAATTATAAATACGCCTTTCTTCCTTCCTTTTTCTTTCCTTTTTTTTTTTTTTTTTTAATGGAGTCTTGCTCTGTCACCACGCTGGAGTGCAGGGGCACGATCTCGGCTCATTGCAACCTCTGCCTCCTGGGTTCAAGCGATTCTCCTGTCTCAGCCTCCTGAGTAGCTGGGCCTATAGGCGTGTGCTACCACGCCCAGCTAATTTTTGTGTTTTTAGTAGAGATGGCGTTTCACCATTTTGGCCAGGATGGTCTCAATCTCTTGACCTCGTGATCCGCCCACCTCAGCCTCCCAAAGTGCTGGGATTACAGGCACGAGCCACAACTCCCATGCTTTTCTATTATATATTACATATATATTTTTTCCTTATAGATACTTTCACATTTGTCTCTACTTACTGTAAATGGGGAAAATAAGTTAGTGAGAAAATGAAGATTTAATTACAACTTGTAGCTCAACTCAGTTTGTGACATGAGAGGTGGCTGTAGAGAAGCCCTGTTCATCTCAAACATTTAAAGCCAAATAGGCTCATTTGTCTACATGTCTTATCACCAGGGTTTCTAGTTATCTCTGCTTTTTGTCTAACAGAGGTGAATACAAAACTTGTGTTTTCTTTGAAACACTTATGATCTTGCTTCAGAAGGGACATACTGGCCGGGTACGGTGACTCATGCCTGTAATCCTAGCACTTTGGGAGGCCAAGGCGGGCGAATCATGAGGTCAAGAGATTGAGACTATCCTGGCCAACCTGGTGAAACCCCATCTCTACTAAAAATACAAAAATTAGCTAGGCATGGTGGTGTGCGCCTGTAGTCCCAGTTACTTTCGAGGCTGAGGCAGGAGAATCGCTGAACCTGGGAGGCGGAGGTTGGAAAAGAAAAAAAAAGAAGAAGAAAAGAAGAACTATACTTCATCTTTAAATGGAAATGTCAGAAACACATTTTTCCTCCTCTTTTTCTGTCTAACTACCTTTGAGCAGTTCCTCATATTTTTGCGGGGGCGGGTATTTTTCCCAATGTATGTATAGAAGATTTGGTATGACAGCAACAGCAGCAGCATCTACAATGAACTTTTTGGAAATCTAGGGGATGACCCCTGGGTATTAATGAGGGTCAGCTTAGGAAACCCGGGCAGCAAAACTTCCCCACGTCACAGTGAGCAACCAGGTAGTTTCAATCATGGATTGAGAATTTTTCTAAGCGTTTATCATTCCCCAAGGCAGAGGGTGGTAAAAAGAGCAGAAACAGGATTCATTTTTTTTCTCTCTCTCTCTTTTTTTTGAGACGGAGTCTCACTGTCACCCAGGCTGGAGTGCAATGGCGCAGGTCTTGGCTCACCGCAACCTCTGCCTCCCAGGTTCAAGTGATTCTCCTGCCTCAGCCTCCCGAGTAGCTGGGATTAAAGGCACCCACAACCACACACGGCTAATTTTTGTATTTTTAGTACAGACAGCGTTTCACCATGTTGGCCAGGCTGGTCTCAAACTCCTGACCTCGTGATCTGCCTGCCTTGGCCTCCCAAAGTGCTGGGATTACAGACGTGAGCCACTGCATCTGGCCAGGATTCACTTTTCCTCTTTCACTGGGAAGACAACCGAAACAGGAGAATACATCGATTTAGTAAAGAATGGAAGCATGAGGAAGTTTCTGGAATTATGCTCTTCTCAGATGACAAGGGACTTGTAGAAGGACAGGAAATAGAGGGACAGGAGTGGGCAGTGGGGGAGTTGACTCATACGGCCTTTAAGGGAAATAATTCTAAGCCACCCATGATTTAAACAAAGACATGATTTTGAAAAGAAAGGATAATTTTTTAAAAACTGGGGCACTGTGGAAATGCAAAATAATGAGTGCAGCTGTTGTAAGTTGAACAAATAGTAAAAAATGTATGTGGCTGTTCTAGAGGCGTGCCAGTCCCTGAATCCTTTCCACAGGGTCTGTGCAGTCTCATGGATGGCACCAAGGTTGCTCTAATATTCTGACTTGCAGTCTGGAAATATTTAACCCTTTGTTGAACAAGAAGCTCTACCGTTTTATTTAGCCCTGGGTACTGAAAATTATAAAGTCCTTCCTGCCTTCCTATTTCCCTGCTCTTCCTGGAATAGCAGTAGAAAGTTCAATGGTCCACAGCCACACCACCTGTCTTCTGGAGTGGTTTGAGTCACGTTGTTCAGAACTATGCTCTGTTTATCAACAGCTGTTTATCAATAGCTCTAGGGGCTATGGACATTCTGGGTTTCCATACTTCAGATACATAAGAAGGAAATATTTGTAGAGTTTGGGTGGGGGTGGGAGGACTGTAAGTGAACAATTTTATGTATTCCAAACACTTTTTCTCATTATTTTGTCAGAAACATTCTGCTTGTGCATGTTAGCTGGTTTTTTAAAATAAGCAAAATAAACAGTCCATGTAGCATTACACAACACACACACACACACACACACACACACACACACACACACACACACACACACACAGTGAAAACAGAGGTTTTTCAGACCCAAATGTTGTGAAGGCTTTCCCGTAATGTAATGGCAAGTTTGTTTAACTCTGATGGTGATATCAAGTACCATTCCAATTAATATCTGTCCTCACTTGTTCATGACATGTGGGAATTGGGAAGCCCCCGGCGTTCAGGGATGCCCATCAATGCCTCTGTTTATGAAGTGGCGCCCTCAGGAGTGAGCTGCTGGGACGCTTGACTGGCTCTGAATACCTTGTCACCCCTACACAGCTCCATTAGTGTGAGTTTAGTTTAATACTTCTTATTTATTAGCAAGTTGACAGCTATTTTAGTTCAATGGGTATTACTTTGCTATGAGACATGAGACTAGATCATGGGAAAGAAGACAATTCTGCCTTTTAGTGTTTGTGAAGTAATGTGAGAGGGAGAAAAGGCGATGATTCAGCCACTTAAAACACACATAATGAGTCCAGCTGGTGAGATGAGGCATGGCTCATTGGGAGCCGGACATGAAGGTTTATGGAGTGAAAGCATCAGGCGCATATTCATGAAACTTCCAGGAAGTATTCTTCCTCCTTCTATGATTCCTTTACCTGGTTGCTTTCTTTTCACTCTGAGAGTTCTCCGTGAGTGCCTGCATCCAAGCCTCCATTCACTTCTCAATTCCCTCTCTCTGAAAAAAAAAAAAATCCATCATTAGTTCTCTATACTCTGTTAAGAGTTAAGAACACTAGTGATCACTTCAATACTAAATCAAACAAGACTCTCTCATCTGGGGTCCAGGAGTTTACTGAAATAGTACTTGCTCTCTTCATTTTTCTAAAGTTATTCAGTACCGCATGACTGAAGTCTTCTCTCCACGCCAAGTATTATCTTTGCTTGCAAGTGTACATAATGATGTATTATAATCAAAGCTATCTGGGTCTCATTTCTCTGTATAGAACCTAGGATGTTTAAATTCAACTATCCCTTTTTTAAATCTTGAATTTCAAATATTAAAAAAAAAGATCCCCTCTCAACTTTTTTTGAGATGAGACATGGTATATTAAATTAATGCTTGAATTAATTTGAGCACAACTCTCTAGAAGTGGTTGCTTACAGTAGGACTATTTGAATGCTCCAGTTTTTAAATAAATAATATATAAATAATGGTAGTACACTGTAGCATCTGACACATGTAAACTTTCAGGCCAGAATATCTGGGTTCTAATCTTGGCTTTGTCATTTATTGTCACACATGGAGATTTCCTCGATGGTTGAGATGAAAATAATTATGATATTCATTTATTAGGATGCTTTAGAGTCAAATAAGTTAATATGCATAAGCATTTGAATACTGCAAGTTACATGGAAATTGTTCAATAAATATTAGCTATTAATATTGCTTCAAGTTATAATATTTTTAGTTTTGTTTCATTTTGTTATCCAAACATTGTTTTATCTTGATACATTCACATAACCTTAGCTCATTGCTATCTTTTAAAATACTGATTGTCATCAATCCATTAGCTTTGTCCCCAGTTTGTGCTAATCCCAAATTTAATCAGCATTTGACGTAATTTTTTCTTCCCCTAAATTCTTATTTTTGCATGTTCTCACCCCATGTCATTTATTAAATATTGTCTTGCACTGTTGTTGTTGTTTGTCTCTTATCTACCTGCAAGTTTTCTACAAGCTTTCAGACTGCAGAGTGCTCAAGAAATTGTTCTTTGTACCACCCTTGCCACTTGAAGCTTCCTGTATGGGGAAATGTGTTCACTAAATTTTTGTTGAATTAGTGAGTGTAAATTCACTTTGATTTTGTCCAAGTTCTTCATACATAATTATTTATTCTAACATACTGTCTATCAGAATCCTTTGATTGGTGCCTAAAGTTACCTAGTTACTTACCATAGTCTGGAGTAGAGACCAAAGACTAAGGAAGTACATTATGAAAACGTTCACCAACTCAGCCTTTGAACAGATAGAGAATGAATCTTGTAACTCAAAATATCTCCGTTCGATCATAGTAGGAATTAAATAAATACTTGCTAAATAATAGCGTTAATACCATTAGTGTTTGTTTCACAGAAATATGATGTATAACTGAATACATATTTATCTAAATTTGTAAATATCTTAACATTCATGTTCTGCATGCACTACACTAGCTTTATGACAAAGGCACATTTCTTGTTTATGTGATCTTAAAGAATCATTCTCATGTTGCTTTCTATCCTCCATCTATTTCAATTCCACTTCCTTCACCATTCTATCAAATTATTCTTTCCAAACTCACTCAGTCCATCTGGGCTGCCAGAGCAAAATACCATAACCTGGGGGTGGCTTGTAAACAATAAGAATTTATTTCTCACAGTTCTGGAGGCTGGGAAGTCCAAGATAAAAGTGCGGGCAGATTCACTGTCTGGTGAGGGCTCACTTCCTGGTTCATAGATGGCTTTATTCCCATTGTGTCCTCATGGTGGAATGGAGGAATTAGCTCTTTTGAGCCTTTTTTATAAGGGCCCTAATCCCATTCAAGAGTGTAGGGCTCTATACTCATGACCTAATCACCTCCCCAAAGGCCCTGCCTCCCAATACCCATCACCTTGGGGGTTAGGATTTTAACATATAAATAAGCATGCACGCTGTAGCACTTCCCATGGAACACAGAACTCTTCATTTCATACTTTACTCACTTCATAATATTGCCTGGTCTTTCTCATCTCAGTTCATGTAAAATGTGAAAAGGGGAAAGTTACCTTTGTGATTCCACCCTGATGGAATATAGAACAGCTGCCTCAAACATACTCTAAATGGAAAATGTAGCTACCAATTAGAAATCCTCTCTTTCATAATGCTGTGGGAGTTTTTCTTATCACGGACCCTACCAATTTCCCAAATAGGTTAGTCTGCGAGAAAGAGACTGGAGCATTCAAGTTTTCTTTTTGCTAATAAGACTTATGAGTAGTGACCATAGATCTTGGTTCAAAGGTTGTTAGCCAAATCTGCCTACAGAAGAAATCAATGTGAATAGTGAGGAGGAAAAATGCACACAGGAGGAAATAACGATGTAGTGTCATTTTCAAGCTCTGACTCTCAGAGTAGACACAGTCACTTCTCTTTGTTCCGTCTTTAAGATCATAACTTGTTTCTCCTAATCAAATTTGATGTTGCAGATTGTTTTTAGATTCTTAAACGCATTCAACTGAAGGAGCATACCCTTTCTACTTTCAATCCTTGCAGCACACACATGCCCTTCACTAGTTGTTTAAAAAAAGGTCTGTAAACAGGAATGTCTCATGACAGCTGCATGTTTACAATTACTGATATTTGTTTGCACAGTGCCTATGCCTCTGCATGATAGTGCCTACCACACTACATTGCAGAGATTTATAAATTGTATCACCACTTAGATTATCATCTCTACTGCAGCAGGACCCTTTCTGTTTTATAACTCCTTGTGTTTCCAAGTGTAGTCCCTGCAACAGAAGCATCAGTGTCGCTCCTTGTTAGAAATGCAGAATCTTGGTTCCCTACCTCAAACCAACTCAATTAGAGTCTCTATTTTCACAAGATCCCAGGAGATTCCCATGCATGCCGAAGTTGGAGAAACACTGCTCTAGCTTTATATATAGATCCTGGCTTGTGGGAAGTGTTCAGTAAGTGCTCATTGGATGACTTAATTTAAATGCTCATGAACCCGAGGTCTACAGCCTGCCCTTGTAAAGTCACTGTGAAAACCTTCCGCTTCCCCTTTCTGCATTTTAGAGCACTCAGATGGAGTCTTTGTGGCCATTTTACATGATGGGAAAGTAAAAAGAAATGGAAAACACAGAGCTTTTTAGAGAATAGAGCTGTGTCCCCAGGGTCTTCTGAGTCCCCCACTTTCCCAAAAGGTCAGGTTCTCAAGGCTGCTACCCCAGACCCCACAGGCCCTTGCTACTACTGTTAGTGCTTGTCAGTCTCATTTCTTTCTTTCCTTTATGTCCAGGCTGTTGGAGACTGGCCCCAGGAATGATCACCCATGTCCCACATGAGACAGAGTTAATTCCCATCTCCTTGATTATCCGGTACAGAAAGCAAATGTGGTGTTTCTCTTTAAAATCCTTTATTTAATATGTGTCAGTTACCTCCAAATTTGGTACTGAGGGCCTTTCACAATCTTGACTCTCCTGGCCTTTGAATTCTCACCTCTGTCTGCACCTCCATCCACCGCTCGTGCTGTATTTACTTCATGCTCCCTGAAGAAACTGCAGCATACCATGCATGCCCAGGCTTCTCAAGCTGCCTGCAAGGCATCGCCTAAGAGGACTGTTCTAGTATCATGTCCTCAGGCAAGACTTGTGTGTTGTCCTTTGATGCTCCATAAAACATTCCGGCTACCTCTTCAGACATTATTTAAGAATATTATAACTATCTTATCTGATAGTCTTCCCTTCTTTGAGGTCAGCGATTACACCATATTTATCATTTGGTCATCAGTGTTTGCTGACGAATGAATACATACTTCTCATACTGCCTTTGCTGAAGTCAATCAGTATCATCTGTTACTTGTTTTACTGTAGCTACTGCTACTACAACTGCATTTGCAACTTCCAGGGATAAAAACAAAGGACCAGTCTCTTAATGGAGGGGATCATATCATATTTATATGTTTCCTTGCACCTAGCAGAAAATTTAGGCATAGGAGGTTGTCTTGTCTGTTTGGCCTGCTATAACAAAATACAAAACAAGTGAGTGACTTATGAACAACACAAATTTATTGCTCACAGTTCTGGATGCTGAGACATCCAAGATTAAGGCACCAGCATATCTGGCGTTTGGCAAGGGCTTTCTGATTCATAAATGATACTCTCTCTCTGTGTCCTAGCATGGAAAAGGGCCAAAGCAGCTATCTGTGGACTGTTCTGTAAGGCACTAATCTAATTCATGAGGTCTGCATCCTCATGGCCTAATGACCTCTCAAAGGCCCCACTCCTAGTACCATCACATTGTGATTAGTTTCAATATATGGATTTGGGGATATATAATCATTCAGACTATAGCAGAGGTGCTCCGTAAAGGTTCATTAAATGAATGGGTGAAGTGTAGCCTTTTGCATGCAGAATCCATACAACAATCCAATGAAAGAAATGTAATCATTACTGTGCTCTTTCAGGTATTTACAAACAGGTACAACAAATCAAGCACATACTATTTGATTCCAAATAAGCACACACTTTCTATGATATCAGACTCCTGCACATATGTTCCTTTATATGCACTTGGTCACCAATCACTCTAAATGTAAACATGGACCCACGTGGTGTATATTTCACATGACTCACACTTTGAGTATGTTATATATTAAATACATGTTTCCCTGCTATCCTAGAGACTTACATCAGTACACATGTTCAACAAGTGAGGTTACACAATGGATCACACAATAGCTTTTAAAATCCAGTTCATTCATTAATGAAACCAATCCTGTAATATTATTTCTTCAACTGTATAATTGTATTTATGGTTGATTCGAGAAGGTAAAGAAAGCATAACTACGAAGAGAGATACCGTTTATTTCATGTTCATTAAAGATAGCTTGCCAAAAGTGGCGGAGCTAGAGCTGGATTGCTATGCTTTAATTTGGAAAGAAATACAGGGCAGTCAAATGAGATTTGTTTTTCCTTACCAATTAGAAAAAAAATTAACTTTATGTTGATGGAGAACAGATTTTTTCTGTTTCACTTTTGTTACACATGCTGGGAACTCCAGTGGAGATGAAATTACACTGCTTCGAAATTCTGTCACAGTAGGAATTTACCCACTCCCCATACTTTCACTTGCAAATACGTTTTGGTTAGCATTTGACCAAAGCTCTGATCTTTTCTAGTATTATAATAATCATACAACTGACAAATTTATGATGAAGAATTGCATCCTTTTATTTCTGATAGTTGGTAGAATATCATACGGAAATGGAAGTGAGAGGATTAGGCTATTCATACTGCCACACAGTTTCCCTGATAGTGACAGTCAATGATTGAGAGAATGGATGGTATATTACCCACCTAAAACTATTTTGAGAATCTGCATGGTTTGATTCATTATTTAAAAATTTATCTGTGATAAGGAAGGGCACAGACATTGTACAAGTTCTTGATTCCATTTTTATTTTATGAACATTTGAAAATATTACCAGTAAGGTGAAAAATTAATTGTTTAGAATTAACAAGTTGTTAGTTCTCTAAGAAGTAGTTTTCTATTCATTTTTGGAGACTAACAGAAGGAATATATATTTTTTGAAGAGAAAAAAAACACAATTATCTTATTTTTGTCCTGGCTCTAACTTTGGCCAGTGTCAAAGTAAACAGGATAGATGGCTTCTCCATGCTAAATGATGCTAGATTAACATTGAAAGAAAAATTATAGTGATCAGTTATTTCAGTTTCAAATGTCCCAAATGTTTTTATGTTTGATATTTGTCAAAGTCCAGAAAAATGCCAGCATACAAATAAAATTTGAGATGTAAGAAAACCATATTTTGGCTAACTGCTGCCATAAATCACTTTTAATTCTTCACATTTCTACATTTAAAAAATCTGCACCTAAGTATTTACCTATGTTGAGGTATTGTCCACAAGAAGTTAGGACAGGAAAAGCAGATTTTCCTATGCAAGATGATAAGGTTTTATTATTTAAATCAGTGTTCTTCCAAGAGGAGAGCAAGTACCTTAGAAACACCAGGGAGATCTCTTGGAGTGTAGGAAAAATGCATTAAGAGGTATGAATATTTCCATCCAATAAAATAAGAAAATGAAGCATTATTCATATATAATATGTGGATTAGCCCTAGGGGGCCTCATCATTTACCAATATGTCTGATACTCACTCATCAGGTGAGGTAGTCTCATGGAGGAACTCTGACTTAGCATTCACTTAAGCATAGTGTGAGATACTGCAATTTACATGGTCCTACCTGGTTAAGTGCATGTGTAATATACATAAGCCTCATTTTATTTTATTGAGAGAGGGTCTCACTCTGTCACCCAAGCCCTGGAGTACAGTAGCGCAATCACAGCTCACTGCATCCTCTACCTTCCAGGTCCACGTGATCCTCTCACCTCAGCCTCCTGAATAGGTGGTACTACAGGCGTGTGCCACCATGCCCTGCTAATTTTTATATTTTTTTGTAGAGAGGGAGTCCCGTCATGTAGCCCAGGCTGGTCTTGAACTCTTGGGCTCAAGCAACCCATCTGCTTCAGCCTTCTAAAGTATTGGGATTACAGATGTGAGCCACTGCACACATATATATATATCCCGGATAATATATATATAATATTAACTTAAATAAAATGCACATGGACTATTAAAAAACCCTGAAAAAATCTAACATTGATTCAAAATGTGTATGTGAACAAAAAGATAGAACTCAATAGCAATACATTGGAGGTAAAATGAAAATGACATATTTTGCACATTAAAAATTATTTTAAAACTTATTTTAATTGGCACATAATTGTACACATTTATAAGATACAATTTGATGTTTCAATACTATATATAGTATAATAATCAAATCAGGATATTTGGCATATCCATTACTCATATATTAATCATTTTTGTGGTGAGAACATTAAAAAGCCTCTCTTCTAGTAATTTTGTAATATACAATAATATCTCTCTGTCAACCATCATTATTCTACTTAACAATAGAATGCCAGAACTGACTCAGCATTCATAATTTTAACTTGGTATCCATTGATGAACCTCTTCTCATTCTCTCTTCCCCACTCCCTTCCACAGTTTCTGGTAACCACGGTTCTACTTGTTTCTATTATATCAACTTTTTTGTTTTTAAGATTCTGCATATGAATGAGATCACGTGTTATTTATCTTTCTGTGTTTGGTTTATTTCACTTAATTTGAGGTCCTCCAGGTTCATCCATGTTGGCACAAAAGACAATATTTTACTCTTTTTATGGCTGAATAATATTCCATTGTGTATCTGCACCACATTCTATTTAGGCATTAATCTGTCATTGGACACCTAGGTTGATTTGATGTCTTGGCTATTATGAATAGTGCTGCAATAAACATGGGAGTGCACATATCTCCTTGACATTCTGATTTCACGTCCTCTGGATATGTACCCAGCACTGGGATTGCTGGATCATATGGTAGTTCTATTTTTAATTTTTTGAGGAGACTCCAAACTGTTTTCCATAATAGCTGCATTCATTTACAGTATCACAGAATGTGCAGTATTTTCTGCACATCCTCGCCACACTTTTCTTTTGTCTTTTTGATAATAGCCATTTTAACTGGAGTGAAGTGGTATCTCATTGTGGCTTGCATTTACACTTCCCTGATAATTTGTGATGTGGAGCATTTTTTCATGTACCTGTTGGACATTTGTATGTCTTCTTTAGAGAAATGTCTGTTAAAGTATTTTGCCCATTTTTCAATCAGGTTATTTGCTTTATTTTTCCATTGACTTGCTCAAGTTCCTTATATGTTCTGGATATTAACCCCTGTGAGATGTATAGTTTGTGAATATTTTTTCTTTTTCTGTAGGTTGTCTCTTTACTGTTGTTTTGTTTGCTTTGAAAGAAAACTTTTTAGTTTGATATAATCCCACTTGTCTATTTTTGCTTTTGTTGCCTGTGTTTTTAAGGTTTTATTTAAAAGTTCATTGTCAGCCCAATGTCCTAAAGCATTTTCCCATGATGTCTTCTAGTTCCTTCATGGTTTTGAATTTACATTTAAGGTTTAATCCATTTCTAGTTGGTTTTTATATATGGTAAGAAGTAGGAGTCTAGTCTCATTCTTTTGCATGTGGTATCTGATTCTCCAGCACCATTTGTAAAAGAGAGTATCTTTTCCCCAATGTGTGTCCTTGCCACCTTTGTCAAAAATTAGTTGGCTATAGTTTTGTAGATTTATTCCTGGGCCCTCTGTTCTGTTCCATTGGTCTATGTATCCGTCTTTATGCCAGTACCATGCTGTTTTGGTTACAGTAGCTTTTTAGTATATTCTGAGTCATTATCAAATGATGTATGTGTACATAGAAATCCCGGCATATCCACATGGATGGACACCCACATACACAACATACACATGCACATATCTACACACACAGACACAAAACCTTCAAAACATAAATTTTCTAACCTCTAAAACAATATTCAAATTACAATTTTAGTAGATTTTGAACCTGTTTATTGAGCATATATAAATGCAACACCTTTTGATAATTTTGTACAATAAACCAATTGAATAAAAATGGGATAAAAATGTGTTGAATTTCAGTAACACCTGTTTATATTGGTGGAGGATATTTACAGAACATGCCAAATTTTTGTGAAATCTTTTTCAACGTTGACAACCATAGTAACAGAGTAATTGAAACAAACTGAACTTAGAATCAGACCTTTAAATTTCTATAGACTTGGAGAAATGAAGAATAATTCTGTTCTAGAAAGAAATTCTATTAATAATAATTTCAGTGAATGCAAAAAGTTGCTTAGACTGTTAATAACAAAATATATCCTGTGTCTCATACTTTTTTGCTTACTATTCCTCTATTGTTTATACTGCATACACAACACAAGTATGCTTCTGTAATTAGGTAATTTATTTAAAAATCCATAAACATATGTTGAGATTGAGTAAGTTTTTGGGCCACTAGGAAGTCTCAAGGACATCAATATTTGACCCTATGTTGGTATTATCTTCCCTTATTTGATGGCACATGATTCTTTTTTCAATGTGGCACAGTATTTAAATGATGACTTTATTGATGACTTTAACAAAAAATTACAGTAGGAGCACTTGGTTCTAAAAAAGTAGTGTGACTTTTTTCTTATGTGAGAATGTAGGCTATTAGTTAGCTTTTATAAAATAAAATAATTAAGGTAAAATACTATGAAATGACATTAATTCAGATTAGGGAAAACACCTATCTGCTTTAATAACTACAATATTTTGTTTAAATCCGAGGCAGTGTCTGCTATTTTCTGGTAAACATAGTGACTTACAGTAAAGAGATTCTGAAAAGAAGGACAGCCTTTATGATTTTCAGTTTGCATATACAAATAATTCTATTATTATATGCAAATACATGCCTCTTCAGTGTTTGAACTTTTTTTTGCCTTAAGTAAATATTCTTGACCACCATTTTGTGTGCATTGATAATTTGTCTAGCAAATTATTTTATGTATAGATTTGTTTCAGTCCAGCCTTAGTTTTATTTATTATGAATTCTAAATTAGTAAGGCACAAACTACTTAGACTTTGTTAAACTCCTCTCATTAGTTCAATAGTTGGAGACTGTAAACCTTGAATTGTTTCGATGTCTCCCAAATCTCCTTGATGAATGTGACCTTTTTTTCATACCCATTACTCCTACCATTCTAGAAGTGGGCAAATCTAGCTCTATTTTTCATCTAAACTGTCTCTGTTTTCACTTTAGAAGACTGGTAGCCACGAAGTCAGGAAGTGTAGCTCTTAAAAGGTCTCTGAAGGCAATAGGTGTTGAATAAGCTGTTAAACAAGAGAATTGGGAGTCCTTTGTCATCCTTCTGAGAGAAACATTGATTGATGTGAGCAGGGCTCAGTATTGGTTTTAGATAAACAAGACAAAGGCAAAGATTGAGAGTAACTGTTGGGACTAAGGTTTAGAAAAGGTGGTTTCAGAAAAAAATATTGCCAACAAAATAACAAGGAACTTTGTTATTTCTCTCTTGCCTTTCCTTATGGTCAGGTTCACATCGAACAATCTGTACACCCAGCTACCTCCTTTACAGGGGAGGTCTAATCTTGCATATATATGCTGTTCGTTCACCTTTCCCCTTAGTATGGAAGGAAGAAGGCATAGCCTCATCTCTTATAGGGTAATAGGTTTAGTGGGACTTAGAGAAAATGCAACAAGCTGCATGAACTTTAAAAACTAAACTTATTATCCCTGGGTATAAAGCTAGTAGCTCTGCCAAAGAAAGGCAAGTTCATTCTTGTGGAATTCTAGAGAGAAGAGGTGTTGAAATCACAAACACATCATTGCTAGGATGTGCTGCTGCTCCACATGTAGAGACCATTGCTGTTATCGAAAACTTTATTTTCATTTGGCATAATTTGACCTGCCTTGTACAATTTGTAGCCTTCTGTGCCCCTTTCTGGGGGAGAGATAAGTGGAAGTAGGATCACTCAGTTTTCAAAAAATGGCCAAGGGTGACTAAGTTTGCAGTCTGCTCAGGACCAGAAAAGTCATTCTTCACTTTTGGATGCCTGTGTCATCTCTCCCCAGGTGCTTCACATAATGAGTGACTGTTATCTTACCTGTCAGGTAATGGGTATCACGTAATAGGTAATGGGTGCCTGCCGTGGGATGGGTGTTGAAAAGCCCTAGTTCCAGTAAGGCCTGGAAATGCATTCCTTCTAAAGTACTGTTGGGAACTCCACCTCAGACCTGTATCTCCTAGAAATTATTTTACCACCAGACAGCATGCATACCTAGGTGGGACTATTCCACTTGTGTGTAAAGAACACCTGAGTTCTTATCACTTCTTCCACTAGCACTCGAGTGTCATCTCACCTTACTCTTCATTGGAACATATGCTGATCTGAATTTACTTTATAAAATTCTTAGTTAGAAAATTCAATCTGCAGGACAAGAAGTAGCCATCGTGCATTTGAAACATTATATAGTAGCCACAAAAAACTCATTACCAATGGACTAGCATGTGGTTAAATCCCAGATTATCACTTGTTTACCATGAGTCTTGTCTCTGACACTCGTAGATTGAGTAAAGTTGATCGGCCAGAAATGTTATCTTTTAGAGGCTGGGAAATTGTGCATAAAGCCCAAGTCAGTGCTTCTGTTTCTATCCCTGAGTGCTTTTAAAAAATTCGGAGGAGAAGCAGTCAATATCCTACCTATTCCCTTAGGCATCTCTCCCAGTGCCTTCACTCTTGACCTAACTTTCTGCTTTCCTTCCTTCATGCTCCCAGGATTCCTCTGAGGCTTCTCCAGAAAGCAAGCATTATCATCCACTAGAGCTTCAAATCCTGGTTTGCTGGAATTTAATGTTAGCTTCTCAATCAAACTAAACAGATGTCAGTTTGAAATTATTGAATGCTCTGCAGATTTACGTAAAAGGAACCAAATTCCGAGTTGACTTAATAATGCTAGAATTACAGTTATCTGTACTCTATATGCATGATTTAGTTTATGTGTTACAAGGTACACGACTATAATGCTCATGGGATTTGACATAGCACAGCGACACGTATAATCGTTATGTGGGCTTGGACTCAGTTAAATTTGTATTTAATCCATGGTAATAATTCTACACTTAACAGCTGTGTGATCTTGAGTAGCTCACATAAGCTCTTTAAGCCTTAGTTCTCTGACCAGTAAAATGAGAGTCCCACATGCCTTCCTGGTGGAGGTGTTGTGAGGATTAGTAAGACCCAGTGTAAAACCAATTACCACAGTTCCAAGCACAAAGGATTATTATTTTGAGACCCTGGGAAGGTACTTAGGAAAAGATTAGATATAGCACTTTTAGTCATTGATGCATTCATGATTGCCTCCATTTATTCTCTCGTGCATTTGTCCATATATTCACACACTCACCAAACAAGCCCATTTTATTGTGAATATTGTGTGCTGGACCTGTTTGGTACTGGGAAGAAATAAAACAAAAGAAATGCTAGGAA
This sequence comes from Homo sapiens, assembly GCF_000001405.40. Lineage (NCBI taxonomy): Eukaryota > Metazoa > Chordata > Mammalia > Primates > Hominidae > Homo > Homo sapiens. The sequence goes on from NC_000015.10 coordinate 97,021,579, forward strand.
TTGAATTTTGTCTGCCCAGATTCACATGTTAAGCCCTAACCCTCAAAGTGACTGTATTTTGATATAGGATCTTTAGGAGGTGATTAAAGTTAAATGTGATCATAAGGGTGAGGCCCTAAACTCATAGGAATGGTGGTCTTATAGGAAGAGAAATCTAGAAATCTCTCCCTGTCTCTCTCCTTCACCGAACATGCACAGAGGGAAGGCCATGTGAGGACCTAGGGAGAAGGTGCTGTCTGCAAGCCAGGAAGAGAGCCTTTACCTGACACTCAACTAGCCAGCACCTTGATCTTGGACTTCCTAGACTCCAGAACTGTGATAAAATAAATTTCTCTGGTATTTTATTGCAGCAGCCTGGGCAAAGTACTACAAAGAAAATGGTGAATTTACTTAAAATATAATAAAAATACTTTTACTATTTTCTAACTTTTGAGATACAGCAGAAAGTTCGATTATTCAGGAATTGATAAAGTGCTAGAATCACCAGTGTATTAGAGGTGAGGTTTGCTCAGGAAAGGGATTTATGAATAGATATTTCAAAGATCTCTAAAGAGAAGAGAAGAGAAGTCCTTTCTTCTGTTCAAGCAGATGATTGTTGTAACCTTGCCTTCCCCTTTAAAACCGTCACTGAATTATCAGTAAATTCTCCATATTTAAAATAGATTTTAAAAGTGAATGACATTATGATTTCCACTTCAGGGAACATGGAGTAGATAAACATTTTTCTATTTTTCCTCCTAAGTAAAACAAAAGAATCTCTACACATTACTTATAAAACAAACATAAGACAACTCTAAAAAGCTGAGAGAAAAGAGAGAGTAATTGGGAGTCCTAGGACACACAGAACAGCATGGTAGTGAATTGCCTGGATTTTCTTTTTGCTTCATGTTTGTCATACTGGGTTCTAGAGAAGCAGGCAATCTGATTCAGACAAGTCACTAAACAGGAACAAAGGAACCAAAACAACAACAAATCATGCAATGGGAGGTTTATTTCCAGAATGCAATACAAAATTACTTAAAATGTGTGGTTTTTGGCGGGGCACAGTGGCTCACGTCTGTAATCCCACCACTTTGGGAGGTCGAGGTGGGAAGATCACATGAGGTCAGGAGTTCGAGACCAGCCTGGACAACATGGTGAAACCCCATGTTGGTCTCTACTAAAAAAATACAAAAATTAGCGGGGCATTGTGGCAGAGGCCTGTAATCCCAGCTACTCAGGAGGCTGAGGCAGGAGAATTGCTTGAACCCCGGAGGCGGGGGTTGCAGTGAGCTGAGATCGTGCCACTGCACTCCAGCCTGGGCGACAGAGAGAGACTCTGTCTCAAAAAAAAAATATGGTTTTTAACTGATGAAGAGCCACACAAAAATATCAAGAAAGTATGACCCATAAACAGGAAATAAGCAGCCAATGTAAACTGTCTCTGAGGAAGCCCAGATGTTAGACTTACGTTAGATGTAGAAATTAAATCAACAATTATAAATGTACTTTAAAAACTAAAGGAAACCTTATGTAAATAATTAAAGCATGAGAACGATGTCTCACCAAGTACAGCATATCTATAGAGAGAAGCTATAAAGATGACCAAATAGAAATTCTGTGATGGAAAAGAATAATAATTGAAATAAAAAATTCTAGAAGGACTCAAGAGTACATCTGAACAGGAAGAAGGAGAAATTGGCAAACTTAAGTGTAGCTCAGCAGAGATTGAGCAATCCAAATGACAGAGAAACAAAAGAATGGACAAAGAATGAACAGTGCCTCAGAGAAATGTAAGAAACCATTCATCATACCAGCATAAGCATAATGGAAATCCCAGAAAGAAAGAGAGTGAAAAATAATCAGAGAAAATATTTGAAGAAGTTGTGGCTAACAACTTTCAAAATCTAATAAAAAATATTTACACATACATGCAAGAAGTTCAAAGAACTCAAGTACAATCTAGCTAACATTCTAAAGGATGAAAGACTGAAAACTTTCACCCAAGTTCATGCAGAGGTCAAGAATGTCTGTTGTTACTGCTTCTATTGAAGATCGTCCTGGAGGTTCTAGCCAGGGGAATAAGGCAAGGGAAAAAATACATGACATCCAGATTGCAAAGGAGGAAGTGAAACTATCTCTATTTAGAGATGAAGTGGCCTGGTACACAGAAAATTCTAAGTCATCCACAAAAATTCAATTGGAACTAATATATGAATTCAGAAAATCTGTATAGTACAGATCAGTATACAAAAATCAGTTATTTACCTATACTTTAGCAATGAGCAATGCAAACATGAATTTGTGAAAACAATCCATTTATATTAGCATCAAAAATAATAATTAGAAATCAATTTAATAAAAAAGTAACGTTTATATACTGAATACTACAAAACACTGTTGAAAGAAGAAAAAACCAAAATCAATAAAAAATTCAGTATTTATGAATCAAAATATTTCATTTTGTGAAAATAGCTATACTCTACAAACTTATCTACAAATTCACTGTAATCCCTATTAATCCCGTTTATAATCCCAGCTGCACTTTTTGCAGAAATTGACACATTGATATTAAAACTGAAAAGACCCATTTTTGCCAAAACAATCTTAAAAGAGCAAGACAAAATTGGGCCGCTCATACTTCCCAATTCATAAGTTTACTACAAAGCTATATTAATCAAAATACAAAAAATATAAATCACTTTTACAATTCAACAATTAAAAAAAAAACAAGAAAATTTGAAGATGGGCAAAAGATTGAGTAGGAATTTCTCCAAAGGAGTTATACAAATTGTTAAGTGCATGAGTGCATGTAAAGATGCTCAATGTCAATAGTTATTAGGGAAATATAAATCAAAACTACAATGAGATACTACTTCATACCGAATAGGATGGCTATAATAAAAGGAGAGAAAACAGCAAGTGTTGGTATGGATATGGAGAAGTTGGAACTCTCATACATTGCTGGTAAGATTGTAAAATTTTGTAGCCCTTCTTGAAAACAGTTTGATAGTTCTTCAAAGTATTAAACATTAAGTTACCATATGATCCAACCATCTACTCTTAGGGTATATAAAAGAGAATTAGAAACATATGGTTGTTCAAAAACTTCTAAGTGAATGTTTATAGTCGCATTATGCATAACAGCCAAAAAGTGGAAACAACTCAAATCTTCATAAGCGGATGAATGGATAAACAATATGTGCTATATTCATACATGAAATATTATTCAAGCATATTAAGGAGAGAGCTATAATCAATTAACTTAAAGTAAAGGAGATTACCCCTAATATTTTGTAGGGGCCTTATTTAATTAGTTACAAGGTCTTAAGGTAGAACTGAGTATTTCTGAAGAAGAAAAAAATTGAGGGAGATGGAGAAGTTGGGAATGATTGCTAATGGTTATGATGTTTCTTTCTTGGGTGATAAAAATGCTCTAAAATTGATTGTGGTGATAGTTGCACAACCCTGAGAACATACTGAAAACCATTGGGTTGTACAATTTAAATGAGAGAATTGCATGATACGTGAATTATATCTTAATAAAAGCTGACAAAAAGAAAAGAAAGATTGTGCCTGTGGACAAGAGCGTCAACTTCTGCCTGAGAGTTTCCAGGTTGCTTTTCCTAAAGGCCTGCCCTATGGATTTTGGACTACCATAGCCAACCCTCACAATAGTGTAAGCCAATTCGTTTCAATAAATCTCTTAATATATGTCCTATTAATATCTATTTCTCTGGTGGTATGCTGAATGACACACTGATGTTACAAGATTCCTGTTTTATTTTTTATCTCCTTTCTGATTAGAGAACTCCCTTTAGCTATTCTTTTAGAGTAGGTCTGCTGGCAACAAAATCTCTGTTTTCTTACATCTGAGAATGTCTTCAGTTCCCTTTCATTACCGAAGGTGTCTTTTCTAGGAATAAGATTATGAGTTGACAGCTATTTTTTTGAAGCCCCTAAAAAATATTATGCCATTTTCTACTGGTGTCTATGGCTTCTGATGAAAAATTTAGTAGTATCTGGACTGTTTTTCCAGTATATATAAGGGTTTGTTTCCCTATTCTTTTATTTGAGTTTTCTTCCTTGTCTTTAGTTTTCAGAAGTTTAATTTTAATAGAGGTTTTTATGGATTTATTTGAATTTATCTTGTTAGGGATTCATTCAGCTTCTCTTTTCCTAATAGCTTTGTTGAGATATAATTCACACAGCATAATATTCATCCTTTAAAAGTGGTTTTTGGAATATTCACAGATTTGTGCAATTATACCACTACCTAATTTCAGAACATTTTTAATCACCACAAAGAGAAGTCCTGAGCTTTTGAGTAGTCACTCCTTATTTCAGCATATCCCTTCCCCTTGGCAACCACTAATCTATTATTTTTTAAATGGATTTGCATATTCTGGCCATTTCATATAATATGTGGTCTTTTGTGACTGGCTTTTTACGTACTATAAAGTTTTCAAGATTCACTCATGTTTTAGGTCTATCAATATTTTATTCATCAACTGATTGTAGGTATTAATCCTATCTACAAATTTACCTTCGCAGTAACACCTAGAGTAGTGTTTGAATAACCGGGGACAATAGCTTAGTCAAGGTGACACATAAAATTGATCACCACAGACCATAATTTGTCACCTTGACACCAATGCATATCTCTTAAAATTATACTGAATCTTTAAATAAAGGCAACAACAAAGTCATATTTCCATCTAACATGACAAAACTATGTTGTGTACAGCTGGAAATGCACTAACCCCTTCCTCAGCAGAAGATGCAAAGTCCTTGGGTGATGTGCACTCTCCTCCTTGATATCCTACAACTTAAATACTGAGATATAAGGTTAACTGTTATTAAAACATCGTATGTTAGATGGCAATGAGATAAAAGGGGAAAGAAAAAATATTTGGTATACCCAAACATATACAAATATATTCATAACAAAATAAGCAAAAAAACACTCACAATGATTACAGTCCTCATTTCTGCAACTGGTCACATGATTGTAGTTGGTATTTATAGCTACCTTCTTCCGCTACCCGTTCTAGATTTCCTTTGCCCTCAGCAATCACCTCTGGGCTATGGTTCTTTTCCTAGTGGACTTATTGTAACCTTCATTCCTGAAGAGTTTGGGTAATTAGAATTTCTGCCTGAATTGAAGTGATATAACTTTTCATTAGTTTTAGTCACAGTACATAGTAATACTAAGAGATACCCTAAGGAATATCCTATATTCCATACAGACCCTTCTTTACCTCCATTGCACAGTAGCAGCTCAATTTCTCTTGGTAATTGGGATCAATCATTCTAGCCAGTACAGTAACTCCCCTTGAAGCCTGTTGATTCAGAGGCATGAGGAGCCCAAAGTGGCTAGGTGACAGTCATAAATTCCAATTCAGTGAAATCACTGTTGTGTCTCCTGATAAGAATAATTCTCCCTGTGGAACGAAGGCCTCTAGGCCAGCAGGATATAAGGCCGCATGAACAGAAAACAAACATTCTGCTAGTGGATCAGCTGGGGTAACAGTGAGTGATGTCATTCCCATTTCTACCTCTTAGTTCCTGGACCCATAAACCCTGGCTCTGAGAGAAGCAGCATCCTATATATTGGATGATGATGTAAAGTGTATATAGTCTCCCGGAAGACATTGCCCCAGACCTGCAAATTATTGCTACCCAGATGGTAATGTAATTGTCAAAACGACATTCCAGAATTTTATCAAGCCAGCTGCTTCAGGCCGATGGGGGAATATGGCAAAGCCAGTGAATTCAGTGGCATTGGGCTTATTGCTGCACAGTATTTAAATCAAGGATGCTGTGTGGAATACCATGACAATGGATAAGGGATCTTATAGGTCTGCACATGGTAGTTATGGCAAGAGCATTGCTTGTAGGGAAATCGAATTCATATCCAGAGTAACTGTTTATCAGAGGGGAACAAAGTATTACTGTTTACAATGTAATCAACCTGCCACTAGGTAGTTGGATGACTAAAGGAATGAAGCCATATCAGGAATGCAGTATTGGTCTCTGCTGCCAGCAGATTGGGCTCTCAGCACTAACTGTAGCTAGGTTGAACAAATGGGAATTATAGCCCCAGTTCTTTGCCTGGTAGAGTTATTGAAACTCGATGGAGCCCATTTTGCTAGACTCATGCGTAATTCCCATTCTTGCCATCATAGCCATTTTGTTCACAATTACAGGTGTGGCTATGAAAAGAGGCTTACTGGTATACACAAAGTGGTTCATTCTATTTATTTGACAGTTAAAATCTTCCTCCTGGGATAGGCTTAAAAATGTGAATATACAATCAGAATTGGGTAAGATACAAAGAACATATCCTCTTCAGTAAGGGGATGTCAAAATCAATGGATATTTCCAGCTCACATTGATGCTGACGTCACCTTTTTGGCTAACATTCGCAAGGTATCCAAATATCTTAATGATCTTTGACCCTTCAGAGACATCCATGCACCTCATCAACATTTTTCTATCATGTTCCTTTCAAGTTTCTGACCATCCAGCCAAACAATTGTCCACAGTCCATGAATATAGAATCATACCTCTGACTATTTTTCCAGGCAAAATGAATAACCAGGCACACTTACCAAAGTTTTGCCTACCAGGAAGTTCACCTTCCCTACTGTCAGAGATGTCTCAGGAAGGGCTCTAGTGGTACAGATGTCCACTTTGAGGTGGTGACTCCATATTGTGCGGAGCCATCTGTAAACCAGGTCAAGATTTTTCTTCCTCAGTCAACTGCTCATAAAGGCTTTCACATGAAGCCAAGTGTGGTCTGGAAGAGAGAAGGTAATGTGTCCAGAGTTTGTTCCTTCCGGTGGGTTCATGGTCTTGCTGACTTCAGTAATGAAGCTGTGGACCTTTGTGGTGAGTGTTACAGCTCTCAAAGGTGGCATGAACCCATGAGCAGCAGCAAGATTTATTGTGAAGAGTGAAAGAACAAAGCTTCCACAGCACTGAAGGGGACCCGAGCAGGTTGCCGCTGCTGGCTGGGGTGGCTAGCTTTTATTCTCTTATTCGTCCCTGCCCATGTCCTGCTGATTGGTCCATTTTACAGAGTGCTGATTGGTCCATTTTACAGAGCACTGACTGATCCATTTTACAAACCTCTAGCTAGCCACATTGAGCTGATTGGTGCGTTTTTACAGAGGGCTGATTGGTGCATTTTACAAACCTCCAGCTAGCCACACAGCACTGATTGGTACATTTTACAATCCTAGCTACAGAGTGTTTATTGGTACATTTTACAATCCTCTTGTAAGACAGAAAAGTTCTCCAAGTCACCGCCTGACCCAGAAGTCCAGCTAGCTTCACCTCTCAGTAATATAGTAGAAGTAGGTTCTACAAGCATTTGGGCCACTTTCCTGTGTAACTTACTTCTGCCTTTAGGGCCTGCTTGAATCTGATCTTGTATATACTACTTTCATTTCATAATAGAGTGCTGCTGTGCAAGCCCAATTTTATGACATGGAGGGTCAGACAACAGCCTGTTCATGATGAGCAGCTCAAATTTTATGATAACTCTGTGGCCTGTGGTTAAATGTGAAATCACTGCTAATGACCAGCCACAAACAAAAGCTATTCCTCAAAGGCAGAATAATTATCTGTGAGGATGGCAGGGTTTTCCTCCAGATTTAAGGATCTGCACTGTGATTCACCTATGTGGGCTGATCAAAGGTCCCAAACAGCATCCCTATCTGTCACTGACACTTTGGACCTGCTAGGTCATATGGCCCAAGTGTCAGAGCAGCACGCATAGCAGCCTGGACCTGTTGCAGAGCCTTCCCTTGTTCTGGGTCCCACACAAGATTAGTAGCTTTGGGGATCACTTGGTAAATGGGCTGGAGTAGCACACCTGAATGAGAAAAATGTTGTCTCCAAACTCCCAAGAGGCCCATTAGCTATTGTGCTTCTATTCTGGTTGCAGGAAGGACCACTTGCAGCAATGTATCTTTTACCTTGGAAAGGATATTTTGACAGAGTCCAGGCAACTGGACCTCTAGAGATTCCAATGAGGTAAAAGGCCCCTGATTTTTTTATGTTTATTTCCTATCCTCTGACACATACTTATCTTACCAATATCTTTAGAGTAGCTGCAACTTCTTTCTGACATTGGCCAATCTGCATAATGTCATCAGTATAATGGATTAGTGTGATATTTTGTGGCAGGGAAAGGTGACCATGGCCCCTACAGACTAAATTATAAACCTGAAGACTGGCTACATCCTGGAATAAGACAGAAAGATCTATTGCTGGCCTTGCCAGCTGAAAGCAAACTGCTCCTATTGGAGTTTTGTAACAGATATTGAGAAAAAAAAAAGCATTTGCCAGATTAATACCTGAATGTCGGGTTTAATACCTTAATAGCTATATACTAGGAGACATACCAATTTTCTCAAGCAACAAAACCACATCTGAAATGGCAGCTATAATTGGAGTCACTACCTTGTTTAAGTTTACAATAATCCACGGTTATTCTCCAAAATCCGTCTGTTTCCTGCACAAGCCAAATAGATGAGTTGAATGAGAATGTGGTAAGAATTACCTCCCTGTATTTTTAAGTCCTTAAAGGTGACACTAATCTCTGCAATCCCTGCAGAATAAGGTATTGATATTAGTTTACTATCTTTCTCGGTGGAGGCAGTTTTAGTGTCTTCCACTTGGTCATTCCTGGAATAATAGCTCTCACTCCACAGGTCAGGGAACCAATGTGAGAATGTAACGATTCTGTCAGTGGAATATGCCTATTACAGTTATGCATCCTGGAACTGGGGAAATAACCATAGACAGGTTTAGAGGCTGAAATTCAAAGTCTGTAGGGCCAGCCATCAAGAAAAGCAGGCTGGAAACTTCCAAATCAGGGCTGATGCTGCCGTCTACAGGTGGAATTTATTCTTTTTAAGCAAACCTCAGTTCTGCTCTTAAATCCTTTTAAATGAATGGATCAGGCTCACTCACATTATCAAGGATAATATCCTTTAAAGTCATATACTAAGATAGATCATATCCTGGACAAAAAACAAATCTCAAGAATTGCCATTACACAGATTGTGTTCTTCAACCACACACGATGAAATATAATTTAATAATAGAAAAATAATAGGAAATTCTCCAAATACATTGAGACTAAACAAACATACCTCTAAATATTCCATGAGTCAAAGGAGATTTCTTAAGGGAAGTGAAAAATGCATTAAGTTTTATTAAAATAAAAACACAACATATTACAATTTGGCAGGTACAGGTAAAGCAGTGCTGAGAGGAAAATTTATAGCACTAAATTTATAAGTTAAGAAAGAAAAAAGTCTTAATCACTAACCTGACCTCCCATCTTAAGAACTTAGTAAAAGAAGAAAAAATAAACCCAAAACAAACAGAAAAAAATAGTAAAGATGAGAGCAGAAATAAACAGAATTTAAAACAATAGAAAATATCAATAAATCAAAAATATGTTCCTCTAAAGCATGGATAAAATTGACAAAACTCTAGCAAGACTGACAGAAAAAAAACAGGAAAAAAGACACAAGTTATCAATATCAGGAATGAAGCAAGGGCTATCAATACAGATCCCACAGACATCAAAAGGACAATACAGGAATACCACAAACAATTCTATGCATAATTTGACAATTTAGGTGAAATGAACCAATTATTCAAAAAGCAAAAAATACCACAGAATGTAATATGATGCAGATTATTTGAATAGTCATATAGCTATTAAGAAAATTAAACTCATAATTTAAAATCTCCCTTCCAAGAATGTTTTTAGGTCCACATGTGTTCGCTGGAGAAATCTAACAAACTTTAAATGAATTAAAACGAATTCTGCAAAATCTCTTCCAAAAAATAAAAGAGGTGGGTACACTGTCCAGTTCATTTTATGAAGTTTGTATGACACTAATACCAAAATCAGACAAAACAGTACAAAAGAAGAAAACTACAGACTTCATAAATATAGACAAAAATTCTTAAGAAAATATTGCAAATAGAACTTAGCAATATATCAAAAGAATTGTATACCATGACCAAGTGGAGTTTATTCTTGGGATGCAAGCCGGTATAATATTTGAAAATCAACAGATGTAATTAACCATGTTAACTCACTAAAGAAAAAAATCACATGACCATAGTAATTAATGCAGAAAAGGTATTTGACAACATTCAATACTCATTTATGATAAAACTCAGAAAAATAGGAAGACCAGTACCATGGTGCTTTGGTTACAGTAGCCCTGTTGTATAGTTTGAAGTCTGGTAGTGCGATGCCTCCAGCTTTGTTCTTTTTGCTTAGGACTGCCTTGGCTATTTCAGCTTTTTTTTCGTTGTTGTTCCATTTGAGTTTTAAAATAATTTTCTCTAGTTCTGTTAAGAACTTGGACACACAGATGGGAACAACACACTGGGGCCTTCTGGAGGGTGGATGGTAGGAGGAAGGAGAGGATCAGGAAAAATAACTAATGGGTACTAGGCTTAATACCTGGGTGGTGAAATAGCCTTTGCAACAAATCCCCAGGACACAAATTTACCTATGTAACAAACCTGCACATGTACCTCTAAACTTAAAAGTTAAAAAAAGAAAAATAGGAAGACATAAGACCTTCATCAACTCAATAAAAAGGATCTACAATAAATCTATAGGCTACATAATACTTAATGATAAAGAACTGAATGCTTTCCCACTAATATCAGAAAGAAAGGGAAAATGTCTGCTCTTACCACTCTTATTCAATACATTGCTGGTAGTTCTGGTAGTACAATAAAGAAAGGAAACAAAGTGAAATGTATACAGCTTGCACACAACTGTCTACATAGAAAATCTCAAGTAATCTCCCACATAAAGTCCTAAAACTAATTAAGTTCAGTAAAGTTGAAAAATAAAAGAAAAAAACATAAAAAGCAATTTTATTTCTACATGTTAGCAATGAATACATGAACATCAAAATGAAAAAAATACAGCGGACCCTTGAACAACACTGGTTTGAGCTACACGTGTCAACTTATATATGGATTTTCTTCTACCTCTGCTACCCCTTAGACAGCAAGACCAACTCTTCCCCTTCCTCCTCTTCCTCCTCAGCCTACTCAACATGATGGTAACAAGGATGAAGGCCTTTAGAATGATTCACTTCCATTTAATGAATATTAAATATAATTTCTCAATAACATTTAATTTTCTCTAGCTTACTTTATTGTAATAATACAGCATATTAACAAGCTATATACATTTCACTTTGTTGTGTAGTTTTCAGCAGTTAAGTTCTATACACAGTTTAATATATTTATGCCAGAGTAATTGATATGTTTACAACTGTGAGTTTTAAAATTGTAAATAGTATTTACAGTTAGCCCTTAAACAATGCAGGAGTCAGAGGTGCTGACCCCCCACACGGTCAAAAATGCATGTATAACTTTTGACTCCCCAAAACTTAACTACTGATAGACTGTTGTTGACCAGAGGCCTTACTGATAAACAGTCGATCAACATTTATTTTGTATGTTCTGTGTATAGAACTTAACTGCTGAAAACAACACAACACCGATGAGAAAAATCAAAGATGAAAATGAATGGAGAGGCATACTATGTTCCCTCTTTTGAAAACTCATCATAGTATAGATGTCAATTATTCACAAATTGATATACAAGTTTTATGAAATTTCTACCAAAATCTCAGAAAGATTTTTTATGGCTATAGATAAAGACCATTAAGCAATTTTAAGGTAAGTCAACAGAACTAGAATAGTTAAAACTGTTCTGAAAAAGGAGAAAAATTGGGAGAAATCAGTTTACATGATATCAAAACATTATACAGCTATGGTAATCAAGACTGTGATGATAGGATGGACCTGGATAAATAGAACACAATAGACAACCCAGAAAGAGACCCACAAAAATAAGCCTGATTGATTCTGACAAATGTACAAAAAAGAAATTCAATGAAAAAAAGGCAGCCATTCCAACAAATAGTGCCAGACGAATAGGACATACATAGGCCAAAAAGTAAGCTTCAACCAAAGACTTAAATCTTATACAAAAATTGAACTCAAAATGAATCATAAATTTTAATGTAAAATGAAAAACTATAAAAGTATTAGGAAAAAATAGGAGAAATTTTTGAATTCTAGGGCTAAGAGGTTGTACACATCATACCAAAAGTACAATCCATAACAGGAAAAATTAATAAATTGCACAACATCAAAATTAAAAACATTTTGCTCTGTGAAAAACCCTGTTGTGAATATGAAAAGATAATTTAAAGACTGGAAAACAATGTGTGCAAACCATATGTCTGATAAAGAACTAGTGTTTAGAAAATATAAAGAACTGTCTAAATTCTACGGTAGAAAACAAAACAAAGCAAAACAAAACAAAATTACCCAATTTGACTAGAAAATGGGCAATAGAAACAAAGAGATATTTCACTGAAGAGTAAATTCAGGTACAGATAAGCGCACAAAAGATGTTTAACACCACTTGCCATCAGGGAAATATAAATTAAAATCTCAGTGAAATATCATTACAAATTTATCAGAATGACTAAAATAAAAAATAGTGACAGCATCAAAAGTTAGCAAGGATGTGTTGAAACTGGATCATTCCTACATTGCTGGTGGGAAAGTAAAATGGTAGAGCAACTCTGTAAAATTGTTTGGCAGTTGCTTATCAAGATGCAACTGCCATACAACCACAGTAATTTCACTTTTGGGTATTTATACCAGAGAAATGAAACATGTTTACTCTAACTGTACCTGTATGTATAGTGCAGCTTTATTTATAATAGCCCCAAACTGGAAATAGTTCAGATGTATTTAAAGGGTGAATGATAAAAAAATGTGGTACATTCATACCAGGGAATATCAGTCAGAAATAAAAAGAAATGAAGTATGGATAATAATAATCTGAATCCTCAGGCTAAGTGAAAAAAAGCCAGTACCAAACATTACACACTATATCATTCCATTTATATAACATTCTTGAAATGACAAAATTATACAAAAATATAGCAGAGTAGCTTTTATTTGAGGTTAAGGAGAGGGTGAGAGCAGGACGAAAAGGGGTATGGCTATAAAAGGGGAACCTTAGGGACCTTTGTGGTGATTAAATGTTCTGTACCTTTACTGTATCAGTGTCTGGTTGTGATATTATAATATAGTGTATTAGTCCATTCTCACACTGCTAATAAAGACATATCTGAGACTAGGTAATTTATAAAGGAAAGAGGTTTAATTGACTCACAGTTCTGCAGGGCTTGGGAGGCCTCAGGAAACTTACAATTAATGATGGAAGGGGAAGCAAACATGTTCCTCTTCACATGGTGGCAGCAAGGAGAAGAGCAAAGCAAACGGAGGGGAGAGCCCCTTATGAAACCATCAGATCTTGTGAGAACTCACTCACTATCATAAGCACAGCAACATGGGGGCAACTGCCCCCAGGATTCCATTACCTCCCGCCAGGTCCCTCCCATGACATTTGGGGATTATGGGAACTACAGTGGGGACACAACCAAACCATATCATATAGTTTTGCAAGATGTTACCACTGGGGGAAACTGGTTAAAGGGCACACAGGATGTCTCTGTAATATCTTTTACAACTATATGTGAACCTATCATAATCTCAAAACAAATGTTTAATTAAAACATGAATGGCATTAAAAACTCATTTTGTACTTGAAGGAGGAACAATGCATTGTGGAATGAATTCATGTAATCACTAGGTGTGCCATTTACTCCTGACTCAGTGTTTTAAGCATCCCATTACTGTAAAGGCATTAGACACAGATAATTAATGAAATCAATCATAATTAATTCCTTCAGTGTTCCTACACTCATAGTATATATTTCCTGAAGAGTTTCAGTCCAATTTGACATTAATGGAGACGGAAAATAGTAAAAAGATTTTGAATTTATAGGATGATGTTACACATTATAAGGTTTTTTTTTGTCATCGAGAGGTACTTGTGGCTTTATAAAGCGAAAGTGGGAAGCTCCAATAGTTCATCAGGATCAGTCCATCATTATGATGGATTTTACATGAATCGAATAGGCATATAAAATAATAATATTTTACTATCTTGGTTTTTCTAAGTCTAGGCTGTAGCTAGATTTTTTTTTTTTTTTTTTTTGGCAACAGGGCATAATAATGGTACCGATGTGTTTAATTTTAAATTGAGGTATCAGTTAAATAGAGTGGAATGAAGAGTTCTGAAGTGTGTAGAGGATCGTTCTTGACAAATGTTCACTCCCATACAACCCACAGCCCTGTAGCACACGCTTACATCGCTCCAGATAGCTTCCTCATGCCTTCCTCAAAACACAGTCATTTATCTCTTATTTCTTTCACTATGACACCATTTCCTTTATGGAGTGTATAAAGCGTTATTTGTAAAAATCAGGTTAGGTGTTTTAGTGATCAAGTTGTAGAAGTTCTATATATCATATGGATATAAGCTATTATATTTGTCACATATAAGTACTGGTGTCATAGAGATGAGTAGCTATGCCTATATGTAATAAAACCATACAGTTTGTATGCTTTTTTGTCTGGATTTTTTGATCAGCATCATGCTTTCAAGATTCATTCATTAGTTATTTAGTTTATAGCTTAATAGTATCTTATCATAAGAATATAATGATTTAATCAATTCTGCTGATAAACATTTAAACAGTTTCTATTTTGGAGCTATTATAAATAAAGCTGCCACCAATATTATTGTACAAATCTTTTTGTGGATACATGGTACCATTTTCTTTTCTTGAGTAAGTATCTAAAATATAAATCTACATATCCAAGCTCCACAAACTCCAAGTAGAATAAATGTAAGAGATCCCAGACACATCGTAGTCAGGAAGTAAAATGAAAAAGACAAGAGGAAATGTATAAAGCAGCAAGAGACATGACTCATCACATACAAAGAGGTCCCAGAAGGTTAAAGAATGACTTCCGATCAAGAATAACAAAGGTTAGAAGGTAGTGGGATGACATGTTCAAAGAGCAGAAAGAAAAACGAAACTTAATAGAAAAATCTTCTACCTAGCAAGTCATCTTTAAAAAATGCTATTGAAAAACAATAGCCACAGATAAGCAAAAACTGAGAGAATTGATAGCAGACCCAACTAACAAGATATACTAAGGCAGTCACACTGAAAGCAAGTGACACTAGACAGCAATCTGAATACATATTTTAGACAAAAAAGAACCAGCAAAGATATGTGGGTATTTTATAAAGACATGTTAACTACATATTTATTCTATTTTATCCTCATAACTGATTAGCTGATTTAAAAGCCATCAAACTATACAGAGAGAGAGAGAGAGAGAGAGAGAGAGAGTACACTGTGATTGTTAATATTGAGTGCCAACTTGATTGGATTGAAGAATGCCAAGTATTGTTCCTGGGTGTGTCTGTGAGGGTGTTGCCAAAGGAGACTAACATTTGAGTCAGTGGGCTGGGAGAAGCCGACCCACCCTCAATCTGGGTGAGCACCATCTAATCAGCTGCCAGTGGGGCTGGAATAAAGCAAGCAGAAAACTTGGAAAGAGCAGATTTCTGAGTCTTCTGGCCTTTATCTTTCTCCTGTGCTGGATGCTTCCTGCCCTCGAACATCAGCCTCCAAGTTCTTCAGCTTTTGAACTCTTGGACTTATACCAGTGGTTTACCATGTGCTCTCAGGCCTCTGGCCACAGACTGCACCATCAGCTTCCACATTTTTGAGGTTTTGGGACTCAGACTGAGCCAACACTGGCTTCTTTGCTCCTCAACTTGCAGACAACCTACCATAGGATTTTACCTTGTGATTGTGTGAGTCAATTCTCCTTAATAAACTCCCTTCACATATACATATATCCTACTAGTTCTGTCTCTCTAGAGAACTCTGACCAATATATATACTATATATATATATAGTATTTTTGATCTTATAACATACAGAAATATATTTTACAATAATGGCACAAAGAAGTTGAGTGGGAATAAACCTGTATTGGAGAAACACAAGGACATCAGATAATAAGTCAAATTCACAGGAAGAAAGGATAAGAACCTGAAAGAAAAAAATGAGATCATAGTTAAGACAAACCTAAATATACATTCTCCTTTCTTCTCTCAACATCTTTAAAAGATATAACTTATCAAAAGTAATAACTAGAACAATGTAATTGTTGGATTAATTATACGTATAGAAACAAAATGTACAAAATAATGACAAAAGGGTAAGTGAGAATACAGATATGTAGGAATAAAGTTTCTGTATCTCACTGAAAATTAGTATTTGGAATAGATTCTGGTATGTATATTGTAAGTTCTAGAGAAATCACTAAGGAAATCTTAAAAATTTTGAAAAGAAAAGCTTTATATGAATTAAAATGACACATTAGAAAATACTCATTTAAGAAAAAACAGGCAAAAAGCAGAGATAAATGAGCAAGAACAAAAAATGAGGCATATAGACCTAGAAAAGCAAAATAACAGACAAATCACACCATATTAAGAATGGCATTAAAATGAATGATTTATACAAATAAATCAAAAGGTAGCAATTGCTAAAATTTATTTAAAACAAATAAAAATACCCAAGTATGTACTTTCTTCAAGAGTTCCAAATTCTATTGAAAGATACAAATATGTTGGATGTAAAGAATGCAGAAATATATTATCATGAAAACAGTAACTATAAACAAGCTGGAATGGCTATGCTGATATTGGACAAAAATGAACTTGATATGAAGAAGAAGACAGAAAATATCATTAGAGATAAAGAATAAAAGTTTTAGGTATCAGAAATATATAAAAATTATAAATTAACAACTGAATTCCCAAATATGTAATGTAAAACTCTCAAAATTGACGAGAAGATAGGGAACTCAGAAATAATGGTTATAGACTTCAATACTCCACTATTAACCACGGAAGGAATAACCAAAAAGGAGACTAACGTGGCAATAAAGAAGTTGAACAACACTAGAAATGCATAGAAATAACATACACCTCTAAGACATTGCATTCCACAATAGCAGAGTACATAGCTAGTGTAGGTGAAACGTTCACTATCACCAGGACCTGGGTCATAAGATTAGCCTAAAAAAAATGAAAGGATTAAATTCATATTAAGCATGTTTTTAACCACAATGGAATAATATTAGAAATCAATTACAAAGGAAGTTTGAGAAATTTACAGATATGTGGAAATTCAAGCCCTTAAAATACCAGTGGGTTCAAAGAAGAGAAAGCAGAAACTATTTGAAGATAAAGGAAAAGAAGAACACAGCATACCAAAACTTACAGGATATAGCTGAAGCAGTGCTTATAGAAAAATATATAGCTGTAAACACCTTTATTTTAAAAGAAGAAATGTTTCAAAGAATAGTGGGCAAATATGGCTTCTCCCCAAAGATCTCTAATCTCTGGAACCTGTGTATTACCTCTTACATGACAAAAGGGAATTAAGTGTGCGTATGGAATTAGATTTACTAATGAGCTGACCGTAAAGTAGGAGGATTATTGTGGATTATTCAGATAGATCCAATGGAATCACACGAATCTCTAAACGTGGAAGAGAGAATCAGAAGAGAGAACTGGAGAGTCAGAGTGAGAATTGAAGATGCTACATTCTTGGTTTTAAAGGTCAAGGGAAGGGCTTATGCACCAGGGAATGCGGGAAGCCTCTAGCAACTGGAAAAGACAAGGAAATAGATTCTCCTCCAGAGTCTCCAGAAAAGAACCCAGCCCCACTGACATCTTGACATATGCTTAGACATATGCTTGACTTGAAACAACAGAACTGTAAGATAAAAAATTTGTATTAAGTTCATAAATTTGTATTAATTTGTTACAACAGCAATAGAAAATGAAAACACTAATCAGTAAACTTAACATTTTAAGACTAGAAAAATATGCCCAAAGCAGTCAGAGGAAGGGAATAATAAGAATTAGAATAAAACTTAATTTAAAAAGGAAATAAATAAAATCAAAACATCCTTTTTAAAAAAAAATTAACAACATTAACCTCAGCTAGACTTATAAAAAAATGGAAAGAAGATTCAAAATAGAAAAATCTGTAATGAAAGAGGTGACATATTCACTAGTCTTAAAGACTAGTTTAAGGGACATATTAAAAATAATTTAATTGTACACTTAACATTGGCATGTCATCTGGTATGTGAATGATATCTCAAATCTTCTTCAAAAATATTTTAAATATGGTGATTTTCCCCCAAATTTTCTACAGATTCAACGCAATCCTAGCAAAAACTAGCAGGCTTTTTTTTTTTTTTTTTTTTTGAGAAATCAACACAATGAACCTAAAACTTTATGGAAACTCCAAGAACCTAGAATAAGCAAAGTCATTTTCCAAAAGAAGAATAAAACTGTAGGTTTCCACTAATCTATTTCAAACTTAAGCCATGGTAATCAAAATGACATGATACTGGTAAGAGTTAGACATACAGATCAAAGGAACAAAATGAGATCACAGACATAAATTCTGGAATATTCAACTGATTTTTGACATCATTGCTAAGGCTATTCTTTGGGAAAAAAGGATAGTCTTTTCAACTATTGGTTCTGGGATAGCTGACTATACATATACCAAAACAACAACAATGACCAAATCCCAAACAAAAACTAAACTTTGGTTGATGCCTCATATAACATGCAAAACTTAACTCAAAATAGATTACAGATTCAAATATAAAGTTGCAAGCCATACTACTTTTAGAATGAAGGATTTTGACCTTAGATTAGGCAAAGATTTTCTGCAGATGACAGCAAAAGCATAATCTGTATAAGAACAATATGATAAATATCAGGGAATAAAAAACTTTTGGTCTTCAAAAACACCATTAGGAAAATGAAAGTAAACAAATAGACAAAAACAAGCTACAAAGTAGAAAAAAAAAGTATTTGCAAATCCTTTATCTGAAAAGCTACGCAATGTCATGTCATTGGATAAATAAAAGTTAAAACTACAATGTCATACTACTATACCTCTATTAGAATGGCTATAATTAAGTAGACTGACAATACTAGGTGTTGGTGAGAATATGGAGAAACTAGAACTCTAAAACATCACTGCTGGGAACGTAAAATGGTGCCAATATGTTGAAAATAGCTTGACGGTTTATTACAAAAAACCATAAAAAATGTAAACTTAACAAACCAACAATTCCAGTCAGATTTCTTCTTAAGAAAAATATAAAACCATGTATCCACCCAAAGATTAGTATATGAATGTTCATAGCAGGATTATTTATACTAGCCCTAACCAGAAAATAATCTAAATGTCCATCAACTTGTGAATAATAAGTAAACAAAATATGCTACATGGAGTTCAGTAATAAAATGGAATGGAATACTGATATATGCCCCCCTAAAATAGCAAACCTCAAATACGTGATGCTAGGTAAAAGAAACCAGATGTGAAAGGCAAGTTGTATCATTCCAGTTACATGAAATTTCTAGAAAAGGAAAATGTGTGGAGACAGAAGGAAAATCAGTGGTCATTTGTGGCTGGAAGTGAGGCAGGGTTTGACCGCAAACAAGACCCGAGGAACTTTTCAGGGTAATATGAAGGTTCTAAAACTCATTTGTAATAGTGGTTACCCAGTGGTGTAAATGTACTAAAATTTAATGAATTTTACACTTAAAATCAACGATCTTTATAGCACATAAATTGTATAACAATTTAAAATATCTTATCACATGAAAAAATAAAATGTATTATCATATTTCTGAAAAAACTTAGATTTTTTTTTAGAAACTTCAGTCTCTCAGACTCTTGGTAGTTCCTGGGTCAAGTCATAAAAACTAAAAGTCTTGGATCTCTATGTAAATGATTCTAAATTGTTAACAGCCATGCAAATCAGAGACACTATTACCTTTCCTTTAAACTAAATATTATATTATATTACATTATATTATATATAATTTTATTATGTTTTTATAATATATTTTAAATCATTTATAGTTTAAAGGAAATAAACTGCATATGTAACTATTATATATAATTTAAGGGAAAGAATGTATATATCTCACTGAAGATCCCAATATGGATATACGTACGTAGAAAAAATCTAGGTACCTATGGGATGGCTTCTTTAACCACTTTCTAAGAATTATGTTCATTCATTACATCATCAGCTACATATTTCCAAGTAACATGGCTACTTCATCTAGTTGAGAAATTGCCCTTCTGCTTTATTAGTTTTCCACTTCTGAGTATGTTACAATGTTGAAGTTAGAAAATGTGTTAAAAGACTATTTTTATTCTCATAAATTATTAAAATTGTAAGTTATTAGAATTTATCCAAATATTATGATAGCCAATCCAGGGCAAACATTTAAAGTGACTTTTTGAAATTAGAAATGAAATAAAACCCAACATATGTTATGAAATCTAAGAAGACATTTATAGTTGTAAGACGTATAGCTACTTTCCATACAAATTAAAAAAGAACAATGCTCTCAATTAAGTTAAGACATGCCCTCAGTTGTAGGATGCATTCAAATGTGAAAAAATGCAAGTCTACCTTTTGATGAAGTTTCTATTTATTTTGCTGCATCTCTTCCAAATATTGCCAGTTTTCCAAATGAATACCATTTAGGGTTGGGAGTGATTGTTACTATTAGTTTCAAATGAGTCAAATTTGAGTCAATTGACAGCAGTTTTCCATTCGTAAAATAAAGGTTATGTTTTAATATTTTTTACAATAGGAAAGACCCTCTTAATCTACAGATTCTTTAAAAGAAAATTGTCTTTTTCATCTACCCATCAATCAATGTAATACTATAAGAATAGGATTTTTAATGTGTCACATAGTGATCCAGTCAGTTGGATATATTCAATTGCTATTAGTGGTGAAATTGTTATTTAATTACCGTCAACTCTGTGTCAAATATTACTAGTAGGGAATTTTAGAACAATGATAGTTGATGGTAATTTATTAATCAATTTCATAGTACTGCTCAGCTAAGCAAAATTTTCTCAATTAAAATAAATAACTAAACCTGAAAGGGTATATTTGTAGCTTAAGAATGTTGACCATATATCGAGAATTTTGACCACCATATTAATAGTCAGATAATGAAACTTTTTCCAGAAGATAAAAGCTTGTTTGGGGCAGAATACTTACTTTTTATTAGTATTCTCTTTGAACAGTTGGAGGGCTTTCTCTTTTCCTCCCTCTTACTACCTCCATCCCTTCATTCCTCTCTCACTTTCTCCCACTTTTTTCTTCCTGCTTCTATCTTTGCTCCCTCCCTTCATTCTTTCCTTTTCCTTTAGTTTCCTTTCTTAAATAATTTGGTATGTATCTTGATATATTTTCTTTTGTTTTTTCTTAAAATAATTATAATTTAAAAGTTTCATATTTCCTCAGAATTTAAGGGGAGATTTATTCATTCAACTAAGAAATAACCATTATTGATTAATTTTTACTTTTATGTTCAAAATAATTTTTGTTGTTGTTGTGACAGTTGTTGCTAAGATGGGGAGGGAAATTTATCTTTGCCTTTCTGGGCAGTCACTATATAGAAAGGGCTTTGTGAGATTTACATACTGCACACATGTCAATGAAAAATACCTACCCTGACTTACTGAGGGATTCAACATTCCCTAAGATTACTTAACTAGGCCTCAACATTGTAGCCTAGGTGTATCCAAAAATGCCTTTTTGCTAGGTGATTAAATAAAAGACACATGCTAATGACCTCAAAGCAAACACTACAGAAGCATAAAAACAAATTATATATTACATACCTGCCCCTCCGGCTCTCAGATCCTGCCCTTCAATGAAGCTTCAGATGCCCATCAGAAAACCCAGCCAAGGTTCCCAGGTTTGTTTCCATCTGTGGAGTGTCAGGCTATTTGTCTAAAGACACTGCCTCCTCAAATGGACTTGCTTAGCTGTAATTTACTCCCTGGTGGAAGGTCACATGTTTCCCTGTCCTTGCCAGCTAGGCATAATGGGTAAGGCCTTCTCTTCTCATCTCTGGCTTTCCTCTTGCCTAAATGAAAAGAAGTTGGCAGAATGTTTGTTTTCTATTGAGAGAACCCAATACCCAGTTAGCCTGGGCAGCAGTGGAAACTTGATGTAAACCAAAATATGCTGTAAATTTAAATTATAATGAAAATCGAGAGCTGTTGGGTTTCATGCATATTAGTGCTGATGGTTTAAAGAAATGGCAGAAAACTATTATACAGTAAATATGCAGAATATGTGCCTGGTCTGTGTGTATGTGAACCCAATGCAGGTCAGCATGGATGTTACAGCTGAGAACATGGAGGAAACTGTTAATGAAGATGGGTACAACTGGAAGTCAAGTCCACAATGCCATTGTCTTAGCATCATTACTGACTCATTAGAGGAGTTCAGTGCAAAACACCACTTCTATAACAAGGGAAATTTCTAATTGTATCTCTTATCATTAAAATGAGTTTGAATTATATTTATCAATAGTTAACACTTCCATGTATATGTGGGTTCCCACAATTTATAAATTCACTGTTATATTGATTGGTTTGGAACCTTACTTGCTGACCAAGGAGAGTAGAGCAAGTAGATGATCTGTCAATGAATTAGTAAATGTAATGAGAAAGATAATACAGCTCCTGAACCCAAGTAACAGTAATGTAAGAATTAGACATTTTGAGGATTACGTGCTCACTTGATTTCTAGATATAACAAGCAACAAGCATTTTATGGCAATTCTAACATAGCCAGTTACTAGTTGTAAAGCCTTTTGAAATGCGTATTTAGGGGTTTAATTTTTGTTATTTTTTTCTTTTTTAATTTTTACTTCTTTTTAGAGATAAGGCCTTATTCTGTCACTCAGGAAGGAGTGCACCTGACATGATCGTAGATGACTGTAGCCTTGAACTCCTGGGTGCATGGGATCCTCCTGTCTCAGCCTCCCAAATGTTTTAATCAATATAATGGGAATGGTGTAATATTTATTTTTAAATAAAATTCTTGAAACACTAAAATGGGAATGTATCTGTGAAAACAATTTATAATCTCTAAAGTTTTAACCCTGTATAATATTTATAAAATAATAAAAATAACAATAACATTAATAATAATGAAGAGAGGAATTACAATTAAAATCTTTTAAGGTGTGACAGTGGTCCATGCCTGTAATCCCAGCATTTAGGGAGGCTGAGCGGAGTGGGATCACTTGACCCCAGGAGTTTGAGACCAGCATGGGTAACCTGGTAAAACTCCATCGCTGTTATAAAAAAAAAAAAAAAAAAAAAATTATCCAGGCACGGCAGCACATGCCTGTTAGTCCCAGCTACATGGGAAGCTGAGGTGGGAGGGTCCTTTTAGCCCAGGAGGCAGAGGCTGCAGTAAGCTAAGATTGTGTCACTGCACTCCAGCCCGGGTGACAGAGTGAGGTCCCATCTCAAAAACAAACAAAAAAATTTGAATACACTATTAGTTAGGCTTATTTATATCATGTAATTTAGTTTTTAATACTATGTTGAAGATATGATCAATAGTATGGAATCAGAACATGAATTTATGTCATTTTAAAAGCAAAAAAATTATTCAAGAACTATTAAAAAATACTTGTCTAAATGTCCACTTTTTAGGAATGAATATAAGGCTATAAATTGATGAAATCTAGCATCATATTTGATAAGGAGTGGAGTATGCTGCCCCCTTAATGTATGGCCTCAGTGGTAGAATGCAATGAGGGCTTATGCTGGTCCAGGACCTCCCTTCTGTATGGGATCTTCTTAGGGCAGAAGAGGCCATTGATAAGGGAGATTTAGGGCTGGGTCCAATAGAGATTCCTCCTGTCAGGGCACAGAACAACTTCAGAGCCAATGGATTGGGGATGTCAGTTGAGATAAGGTATTTTGTAACACTATGTCTTACATATCCTAGATTTCCTTCCAAAAATGTCTGAGATGTGATCAACCCACGTGCCAAGGTGCACGTTAAAAGCTTAATTCCAACGTTATCAGCAGGGTAACATTATTTTCCAAATATTACATCGTTTTCTGATGCATATCCACTGAAACGATTGTAAGACACCAAAGAGGACAAAGTAACACGGGCTTGTATCATCACCATGGCTCTCCCCAGTTGCTAGATATTTTTTTCCAAAGATGTAAGAAAGAGAATTAAAAGGAAGGCTGAGCAAGATCATAGAGGAGTAACAGATGGTTATGACTTTGAGTGAAATGCCACTCCAGCTATAATAGCAATGTGCAGCTGGAAGGCAAAGGACTTTAGCCATGGGACTCCGTTCTCCACATAAAATGTCAGAATGAATACAAACTTGGGGTCTTGGGGTGCCTCATGCATTATCATGGGCTGGAGTTGTAAGTTGGTAAGATAATTTGCTTTCTCACATTTTTATTACTGCTTCTTTGTGCCCTCTTGGAAGCTTGCCAGAGAGAGAGGGAGAGAAGAACAGGAAGAACAAAGAAAGAAGACAAAGGAAAGAGAGAAGTAGAAAGAATTTGAGAATGATTTTGTGTATGTGTGGAAGTATTGGTTTTTCCTGACACAAAGGAGAGTGCTTTGTCATTGTTTCCTTTATAACATTGATGGATTTCTTGTTGAGTGGGTATTGGGCTTTAGTTAAACGTGACAGAAGCAGAGATTTATAGATAGCTGCCTCAGAGGCTGTCTGAAAGGCCCCATAATGTCTCAGGGCACAGATGTGTTTTCAGTGTTCACTTCTGGTAAATAACCAACGATTTCATACACTCCACCCCTTGGCCCTGATTAGAGCGCTCTCCTTGAAAAATGAAGTAGACCCTTGATGAAATCCAAAGCTAGGGCAGAAGAGAAGGTAGGAAGTGGGTTTGGTTTTGTTGTTTTTGTTTTGTTTTCTGTTGTTTGTTTGTTTTCTTATTTCAACTTAAATATTCACAGAAAGAACTGTGATATACATCTTGTCCTATGTTTTGTGTTCTATAGAAAGACAATATTCTGGATGATGAATTATGTTCTGAAGACCATTACTTTCCTCCTTCTACCCTGATAGCTTTAATAGCTCTAGAGAAATTCTGCCTATCTGTGCTGATGTATATATATATAAAATGTTTCTTGGTGAAAGCAAAAAAGTAAAAGTAAGGAACTAGACACAAACCACCATGAACACAAACATATCACAGGATGCGCCTCCCTCCCTCTCTGTCTCTTATTCTCTCAGTCTCGTGTGTGGTTTGTACAATCCGTTACAGTTTATTTAACTCAAAACACATCAAAAGCTTTTATCATGTTATTATAAATCATGTCGTTCCTGTGCCATCGTGTACTTAGCCCTCTGATTTCAGGTTGCCTATGTTTTCAATGTTCACAATTTTTTATAGCACAGAAATCAGCATTTTTCCCATAACACCTTTTTTCTGCATTTAGTATTATTCCCTTAGTCAAGATCCTAATAAGTGAACTAAGTTGGTATGAACATTTTCAGGAAATATTATTGATATTGACAAATGGCTTTTCACAAATCTTGTATCGGCCAGGTGCGGTGGCTCATGCCTGTAACCCCAGCACTTTGGGAGGCAGAGGCAGGCGGATCACAAGGTCAGGAAATTGAGACCATCCTGGCTAACAGGGTGAAACCCTGTCTCTACAAAAAATACAACAAATTAGCTGTGCGTGGTGGCGGGTGCCTGTAGTCCCAGCTACTTGGGAGGCTGAGGCAGGAGAATGGCGTGAGCCTGGGAGGCGGAGCTTGCAGTGAGCCGAGATTGCACCACTGCACTCCAGCCTGGGTGACAGAGCGAGACTCCATCTCAAAAAAAAAAAAAAAAAAAAAAAAAAAATTAACTGGTAAGGCTGAACAAACCCATTTTATTAGCTATTTATAAAATAGTTTGCCTCCTAAGTCTCAATGAAATCTTAGTGTTTCTTTTTTCTGACAAATTTTATATATCAGAGGTACTGCCACAGTATACTGAAATATTTATTTGCCAGATTCCTTTTGCCTTTAGGTTTTTATTATTTTTCAAAGGCATTGTTCATTTGCATCTTTATTAAGATCAAGCAGAAGGGTAAGTCTTAGTAGTATATTTTGAAAATGTGTTAAGAGTCCTTGCCTTCAACAAATAGGAAGAAAAAGAGTTAAACAATAGCCAAATAAATGGTAGAGGCAGACAAATAAGTGTCCTCTCTGTTGAGACAAAGAGGCAAAACACAGCAAAACAGCACTTTCAAACCCAAACTATAAGCTTCAGATCCTGCAGTATGCCCTTGGATTGCAGGTCTTGAGTTTATCAAACTGTCAAGAGCAAATAAAGCTAAAATTTTTATGCTGTCATGTAATTGTACTACTTACCTTTGGTGTCCTTGGTGGGGAAGGGAAATAAAAGTTGTATTTTGCCCATGTGGCACTGATTAAGAGTGAGGGAAAAGGGAGCGAGGGAAACTCTCCAGAGGGGAAGAACTACCTTGCTGCCTCCCAAAGTGA
Organism: Homo sapiens; assembly: GCF_000001405.40. Lineage (NCBI taxonomy): Eukaryota > Metazoa > Chordata > Mammalia > Primates > Hominidae > Homo > Homo sapiens. Next base: position 97,048,013 of record NC_000015.10, read on the forward strand.
GTTTCTTCTCTTCACCTGAGCTTGTCAGGAGGCATCTCATCACCAGCTCAGCTGGCAGGGAAAGGCAGGGACATGGTGAACCTTGCTAAGTGGGAATGCCTTTCCACACTGTGGTCATTCACATTCCAGCACATTTACCCTGTCTGGGAACCCGACGGTAGCAGAAACAATAACTAGTGTTCAAAAGAACAGTCTCCCAAGAACATCAGGGCTGTGTCAGAATTAACTATTTTTCCATTCATTTCTGTAAAAGCATATGTCCAGTTTAGATAGTTAAAATCGAAACAGCTAACCAAGTTGCTTAGATGAGGTACTTTCATAAAGGTCTCCAGAATTAAAGGGAAGAACTGGAACCATTTGGGCCCCATAGAATTACTGGTTCATTTAATAGCCATCAGTCAAATGCCTACTATGTACCATATACACTGTGCTTGGCTCTAAGGATATAAGGATAAAGAAACCTTTGGTCTTGACTTTTCTTTGTTCATTAGCAGTCATAACAGTCATAGGATGATTAAAATGGTTTTTTGTTTGTTTGTTTGTTTGTTTGAGACGGAGTCTTGCTGTGTCGGCTAGGCTGGAGTGCAGTGGTGCAACCTCAGCTCACTGCAACCTCCACCTCCTGGGTTCAAGCGATTCTCCTGCCTCAGCCTCCTGAGTAGCTGGGACTACAGACGCACACCACCATGCCTGGCTAATTTTTGTATTTTTAGTAGAGATGGGGTTTCACCGTATTGGTCAGGCTGGTCTCGAAACTCCTGACCTCGTGATCCGCCTGCCTCGGCCTCCCAAAGTGCTGGGATTACAGGTGCGAGCCACCACGACAGGCCCAAAGTGGTTTTAAAATCTAATCTTTTTTTGAAGGTTCTCTCTTCTTAACACCGAAGATTCTTCTTTTTGTATTAGATGTAATTATTTAGTAGAAAAATAATCTGAAGTTCACAAAAACCCTTTGGGAGCATCTCATAAAAGTGAATGATATGGTTTGGCTCTGTGTCCCCACCCAAATCTCATCTTGAATTGCAGCTCTCATAATTCCCATGTGTTGTGGGAGGGACCAGGTAGGAGATAATTGAATCATGAAGGGGGTTTCCCCCATACTGTTCTCATAGTAGTGTGTAAGTCTCATGAGATCTGATGGGTTTATAAGGGGTTTCCGCTTTTGCTTCTCTCTCATTCTGTCTTGCTGCTGCCATGTAAGAAGTGCCTTTCACCTTCCACCATGATTATGAGGACTCCCCAGCCACGTGGAACTGTGAGTCCATTAAACCTTTTTTTTCTTCCCAGTTGCATATGTCTTTATCAGTAGCGTGAAAACAGACTATTACAGTGAATTTTCAGCATGTGTACTTTAAATGTTTAATATGTACCAAATTTTCATTAACATGACCAATGCCCACCAAAGCCACTCACCTTCTTGGTAGATCATCTACTTCCTGGGTCTCTGTATCTCTAGGTCTAACCTGCTGAAGTATGCATGGATGGCTAAAATGTTCTGACCTAGCCTGAAAAGATAGGACACTGGATAGCAGGTACTGTAGATTCATATTCAACACGTTCTGGACTTCTAGCCTGATTGACACTGGCTTTCTGAGTGCTTCCTGACAGCACTATTTTGTCAATAAGATTTCCATCAGGCCTTCTTTATTTTCTATTAAGTAACAATAGTATAAATAGACTGAACTCTTCGTTGAGAGTTTGATAAAGGAAAGGAAATTCCAGATTAGCCATAGGGGAGAAAAAGAAGAAAGTCTTTGAGCATTGATTGTTTGGATACCTAGTTTAGCACAATGCTGGTTTTATTACAAATCTATTAATTCCTAAATACTAATACAGCTCAGTGGTTAAGAGAATGGATTTTAGAACATAGCAGGGATTGGCTTGAATTGTGGCACTCACTGGGAACTTGTTTTGTGATATTCAGTAAGCTGGTTGGCCTCCCCAAACCTTCATTTCTCCTAAGGAAAACAGGAATATTAATGCCTACTTCATAGGGTTACATTGAAGATTAATAAATACTTTATTTTAAAAATACTTAATGAAAATGTCAGATTCAACAATCCTTTGCTTATTTTCTGTAATTATTTTAAGTATATTAAGTAGTGGTTGACCTTAGCTTTAAGCAGGACTGGGCCATTTGTGGATTTCTGGTTGTCTCTTAGCTGTAAACACTCTATATGCTTTTGAAGATTCAGTGTCTTCCAGAGCCAACAGAGAGAATATATATTCTAGGGAAGAGGTGGACGTTTCTTGGCCTCAAACTCCTTGACTTTAACACTGATCTCTCCCTCTGGTATAAGGCCACAGAACCTCTTCTCATCTTGCTTGCCTCCTGGATCCAGACCTCTGATTTATTTTGGACCCCAAGCCCACTGGAACTCTAATCTCAGCCAACTGGCCCCATTCCCAGATGCAGCCTGGAATACTTTGCCCTTCTGCTGCTTGGGCATAACCTACATTCTGAGCAGAAATTAATTTATATTACTTCAATTTTGACTTTCTTCTTAGCAAGAGGCTTCTTCATGAGTCTTATAGTCTTATGTTCCATGAGAAGGTAACTAGGTGGATAGATCACCAGATTTTTGTTTCCAAGTTTTAAGAAAGATTATACATGATTTGCTCAATGGATAAGTTGCATTGGAACTACTGATTTTAACAGTAGGCTTTTAAAGTAAAGACATTGTGGCTAAACAAACTCTAAGGCTGTGAGACAAAAGACCTAGGTTTAATATCTACATTCACTGCAGATTCAACACAGAGCAGTAAGAGTTAACAGATATCTATTATATCTAAGGTCTCCTATCACCAAAACAGAAATTTTACCCAGTAAGGTGCCTGGCACATAGCAAATACTTATTAATATTGGTGGAATTAATACATAAATGACAGCAAGAGATGAAAAGATGGTACAATTCAGTATTACTATTATTCCAAGTTCTTCTCTTGGTCATCATCTTTATCTTTTCATTAGTGAGTGGTTTTATGGCTTCTCCTGTTAAACTTCAATACTATACAACCCCTCTCCCTCAGAAAAACCCCGATCAGAGAAAATGTAAAGTTTCTAAAGGAAAGCGTGCTACTTAATTTTATTTTCTTCCTCTTGCTATCTTTACAAATGTATTTTCTTTTGAAATTGAAAATAAAAGGTTATATTTTGAATTTCAAAAGTTTTATACATATATAGTATACACACATATATATGTGTATATATCTATGGTTTTAAGTAAATAGAATTCTTTCATTTTTCCTCTTGAGTTGTCTGAGAGGACAACCCTATGTGTTTTTACTCAAAGCCATGTAACTTGGGGGACAGTAGGAGAGAGGGACCCAGCAACTCAAGGTTCTGATCATGCGACAGTAAGCACGACATGCTCCCTATGGCCATGCTGGGTATGTTAAGGTAAGTTTGCTTCTTTGTGAATAAAGGGTCAGATAAAATAGGGTTCATGCCTGAGGAACACAATAGATGGTCAGGCTGACAGTTGAGAAGAGCTGGGTCTTTGCAGACAATTTGAGAGCATCTCAGAGTTGCTCAGGGCTTCACTTTCAATGGCTTGGCTCTTGAGCACAGCCCCTCATCTGGCTGGCAGGTCAGTCCTCACACACTCAAGATGCTTTTCAGCTCACAGAATTGTGTCCTGTCAACTCAGTGCTGTGATTCTTTTCCAGGTGGGCTTCTCCATGGGGGACTTGGGATTCCTCACAACATGGCAGCTGTGGCCTAAAAGAGCAAGCCCTAAAAAAGCAAGTCAGAGTGCTTGGCCTTTATGACCCAAACCCAGAAGTCACATAGTGTCACTCAACTAGTAAATGCAGTAAGAGGTTTAAGAGAAGGGGACATGAGCCAGTACGGTGGCTCAGGCCTGTAATCCCAGCAGTTTGGGAGGCCAAACGTAGCGTGAGCCTGTGGTCACAGCTACTTGAAAGACTGAGATGGAAGGATCACTTAAGCTTGGAAAGTGAAGGCAACAGTGAGCTATGATAGCATCATTGTACTCCAGCCTGGGAGACAGAGCAAAACCCTGTCTCAAACAAACAACGACGAAAACAACAAGAAAAGAGGCCACAGATTCTACTTCTCAACTGGGGAGTGACAAACTTCGAGAAGTACTTGTGGGATAGAAGATATTGCTGTGACCATCTAGGGAACATAGTATGTGTCACAGTAATTATCGTGATTTACATCTAGAAGAGCTTATGGAAAAAACATTCTTGGCTTTTATACTACTGGAATCAGCAACTGAAGCTGGCCCCCTCATACTAAAACATAGAGACATTGATTAGGGTGGTCCAAACCCTTCCCTCTCAGGTATTCCTGGTCTCAAAAAAAAAAAAAAAAAAAGGTAGGAAGAATGTTTTCTGCAAGCGTTAGACAGTAGTGGCTTTGAAAACATAAACGCTACCTTTCAGCTGGCCCTTAGGGTATGTTTACAAGACTGGGCAAGCCTACCTAAAGCCACATGAAAAGTTATCCTTAAGCAATTTCTCCAGTTTAAAAAAAAGAGAGTTTTGAACGTTTGTGACATATGGCCATTCGGTGTTCTCTTGAGATGATTTTTAATTTTCTCTTGTCAAACAATTACATTTGAGTAGTTCAGCTTGGAATGAAATATGCAGAATTTAAAGAGGGTTTTGCATCATTCATACTGTCTCAGTGTTATTAATGTCAGGAAATGAGGCCTGCATTAGTCTGTATCAGTCAGAGCTCTTAATTGCCAGCAATAGATACCATCAGTGGCTGTTTTAAACATTGGAGGGATTCCTTGACAGAATGTTGAGTAATTCACAGAATTTCTGAGAAGGCTGTAGAATCCAGCTTAGGAAACTGAGAAAAAGAGAGGCTGGACAACAGTGAGGAGCACAGCTTCTGTCAAGCCCTGACATTAGGGTGGTAAGGACGCTGACGCTGTCTCCGCTGAGTGGAGGAGGACATGGCAACCCCGCACTGCAGTCAGTTACCAGCCTCATTACAAATATTGGTCCCACCCAGGAAACTGGATTTTGCCATCACCATAATCACTACCACCAGAGTAGGTTCTCCCCAGTCCCTGGATTACCAGCTCTGGATCCAGAGTATTGGGCAGATCCATTTCATTTGTCAAGTCTAGGCTCTGAGAGAAAAGTTGGTAAAGTAAGCATGTAGCCTTTTCAGGTTATTTTAGAGAGAGGTATGTTCTCTTTTATGCAGATCTTGCAATGGGGATTTCTTAAATAAAGAAATGATAGAAATACTCTTGACAGAAAAAAAAAAGATAGCTGTATTAGTCAAGATTCTCTAGAGGAACAGAATTAATAGGATATATGTATATATGAAAGGAAGTTTATCAAGGAGGATTGACTCACATGATCACAAGGTAAAGTCCCCATGATAGGCTGTCTGCAAGTTGAGGAGCAAGGAAGCCAGCGGTAGATCAGTCCAGTCCCCAAACCTCAAAAGTAGGGAAGCTGACAGTGCAGCCTTCAGTCTGTGGCCAAAGGCCCAAGATCCCCTGGCAAACCACTGGTGTAAGTCCAAGAGTCAAAAAGCTGAAGAATTAAGTCTGATATTTGAGGGCATGAAGCATCCAGCACAGGAGAAAGATGAAGCCCAGAAGACTCAGCAAGTCGAGTCCTTCCACTTTCTTCTCCCTGCTTTATTCTAGCTGTGCTGGCAGCTGATTAGATGGCGCCCACCCAGATTGAGGGTGGATCTGCCTCTCCCAGTCCACTGACTCAAATGTTAATGTCCTTTGGCAACATCCTTACAGACACACCCAGATACAATACTTTGCATTCTTCAGTCCAATCAAGTTGACACCCAATATGAACCATCACAATAGCTATCCATTAGAATATTTTTTTTAACTGAGGTACTATGTGTAATTCAAGAAAACGACATCAGTCAGAATGGGCTAGTTAGTGCCATAGTAACAAGCACTCCCAAATCTTAGCATTTTAAACAAGAAATGTTTATTTATCACTCATTATACAAATCCACTGAAGGTTGGCCATGTGCATATGTCATATCATTCTCACTCCTGAATGGAGGCTTGGTGTAGCCTGCAGCATTTGGAACAGTGTAGGTTGAAATAGCAAAACAAAAGAAAGTGTGGTGAGTTGGATGCTGCCCTTTAAAGGCTTCCAGAAGTGTCACTTTTCCTCCCATTTTATGTCAGGAAATGAAACAGTGCAAATGGTTGTTACCAATTTCAAAAAGACAGACAAATGCAACCCTATCGTAGAAAGGATGGGGCTCTAGGGACTACCCTGCCTGTCTTTCTGGTCACCAAAATTTAGCTACATGGTAGGCAATCTATTCCTTCCACTCTAAAGGAAGACAATCCAAAACCCTATCCCCGGTCCAGGGTCTCTTGTTGGCTTGTCACAGCCTTTTCATGGGGGAGGAGAGGGACCCGTGGTAGTCTTGTAAGCTGAAATGTGTTTTTTCTCCACCCAGACATGAACTAAAAAGACATATCTTTCCCTGGCACCAACATCCAATGTCATGAAAGTACAGTACAACCACAATAAATCACTAGGTTAGAAAAGGGGAAGGATGGTGACACAACCAAGATTGAAATTCTTCTGGGAAGGTATCCTTGAGTGCCTTCGTTGGGTGCTAATATCACTCGTTGATGCTGTTTCTCTTTTCTGTGGTGCTCTGTGGACCTTGTCCTCCCCCTCTGGGATTCCTTTTCTTTTCTTTATTCTTGTTGACCACGTTTGAAATAGATGTTGAGGTTCTTGCTCTCCCTGGAGGCTGGGCAGCCTTCTTAGCCCACTTCTGACCCATAAATGCCCAAGGTTCAAGCTTCTTTTTAGGTATCAAATATTTACAATCTGATCTCTTTTTAAAAATTAAACATTTTATTTTGAAATACTTGTAGATTCACACACAATGGCAAGAAACAATATGGAGAGATCCCGTGTACACTTCTCCACCCAGTTTTCTCTGATGGTAACACATTGCAGTTCTAATAGAATACTATGCCATCATACAATACAATAATGAAGAATTGGACATTTGTATAATCATTAATCTAATTTAGATTTCACCAGTTTTACATGTACTCCTGTGTAGGTGCCTGTGTGTTTGTGTGTGTGTTTTATATTCAGTTCTGTGTGATTTTATCATGGGAGTATTTCTGTATAACACCACTACAGTCAAGATTAGGACAGGTTCCAACATTTCCCGGATCCTTCATGCTGCCGTTTTGTAACTGCAACCCCAGTCCCTAACCTCTGAGAACAACTAATCTGTGTTCCATTTGTATACTTTTATCATTTTGAGAATATTATGTAAAGTAAGTTATACAGTATGCAACCCTTTGGAATTGACATTTTTCACTTACCGTAAGTGTCTTGGGATTCATCCAAGTTGCTTCATGCATCAGTTATGTGTTCTTTTTTATTGCTAAGTTGTATTCCATAGTCTGGATGAGCTATAGTTTTTAACCATTTACCTATGTTTTCAGTTAGGGGTTATTATACAGCAGTTGTGAACACTCATATTTTTTATATGAAGCTACGTATTCATTACCTAGGATAAATACCCAAGAGTGCAATTGCTGGGCCATACGCTAATTAAATATTTAGTTTTGAAAGAAACTACCAGCTGGGTGCGGCGGCTCATGACTGTGATCCCAGCACTTTGGGAGGCCAAGGAGGGCAGATCATGAGGTCAGGAGTTCGAGACCAGCCTGGCCAACATAATGAAACCCCGCCTCTACTAAAAGTACAAAAAATTAGCCAGCCATGATGGTGGGTGCCTGTAATCCCAGCTACTCAGGAGGCTGAGGGAGGAGAATCGCTTGAACTTGGGAGGCAGAAGTTGCAGTGAGTTGAGATCATGTCACTGCACTCCAGCCCAGGCAACAGTGTGAGACTCCATCTCAAAAAACAAACAAACAAACAAAATAGAAAAGAAAAATAAACTAACAATCTTTGGTTATAGTACTTTGCATTGCCACCAGCAGTGTTTGAATAATCCAGTTGGTCTGCATCCTCACCAGCATTTGGTCTTTCACTACTTTTTATTTTAGCCACTCTGTAAGGTGTGTAGTGATATCTTATTGTGATTTTAATTTGCATTTTCCTGCTGAGTAATGACATTAAATACCTTTTTATGCTTATTTGCCATCTGTGTATCCTCTTCAGTGAAATATCTTTGTCTTTTGCCCATTTTCTAATTTGATTGTTTAGTTTCAGATTACTCACTTCTGAGATTCCTTTATGTATTCTGACTACTAATCTTTTGTTGAATATGTGATTTATAAATATTTTCTCCCAGTCTCTAGCTCGTCTTTTTATCCTTTTACCATAGAGTCTTTCATGGAGTTAAAGTTTTAAATTGTGATGAGGTCCGTTTTATCAATTTTTCCTGTTATGGTTCATGTTTCAGCATCAAATATAAGAACTTAACCTGAAGATTTATTTTTCTCCTATGTATTATCTTAAAAACATTATGGTTTTATATTTTATTAAAGTATCTTTTAATTCAAAGTGGTAGATCATTTGTTCTTAGTGTAACTCACTCAAAACTTTATTAGTTTTCTTAACTTTTTGATTTCATTTAGTACCATACACCAGTAGCTGTATGAATAGTGTTTGACATATAATTCCCACATTTGCAGGTTTCTTGGAATCTCATTTCTATCCCTCTCTCTGTCTCTTACTCTGTCTCTCTCTCTTTTTCCAACACTTATTTAATAAAAACCCTCTGCTAATCACTGTAGTGAATGCATGCTGTGCTAGGTACTTGTCATTTAATATCCACAACCAGCCTGTGGAAAATAAGCTATTTTAATTACTTCCAATTTTTTTAAGGAAGAGAAATGGAGACAGAGTTTTAAGAACTTGCTTTGAACATAAAACTAGCAAGTAGGAAGGCAGGATACAGACTCAGCCTGATTTCAGAGCTCCCCTCTCCTGTCCTGAACTGGAATATATAATAACATATTATAGGTATATTATAGATAGATATATTATAATAATGCCTATTATTATTATAGATATTAATATCTATTGTTAATAATACCTATCTATATTATAATCAACCTTATTATCATGTTATTATAATATACCTTACTATAGATAGGTATTATTGGGTATTACTAATAACATTGTTAATAATTAATACTTATTAATATGTATTAATAGCTATTAATAACACCTATCTATATTATAATATACCTTATTATTAGGTATATTATTATGATATACATTATAGATAAGTATTATTATAATACCTATTATAATAGGTATTTGTAATGTTTTATTTACAAATATCACTGAATTGTATAATAGATAGGCATTACTATACCTATCTATAATAAGATAAATTATACAGTTCAGTGATATTTGTAAACAAAACATTACAAAACCAAAGGTAAACAGAAAAGGCAGATTATAATGTTATCACTCTAGTGGTTTTTCAGATAACTTTTTCTTGTTGTTTACTAAGGTTAATTATAGCCCTTTATTGAGGGGGTGCTACAGGAAAATTTCTAAGGCAGGCATGTCTAAAATACTCCCACCTTTCCTACATGAACACAGTGTTAATATAATATATTCTCAGAGCTCTGCAACATAACTTGAAACTGAAGTGCCAGGAAGAATGAAAAATAGCAAAGAGTGACAATATACTGCGTCAGTGCTTACAGTTATGGGCTTTTAATATCTGCATCATTGAACTGCTACATGGATGATGTATCAAGCCTGCGAGTGGTGTGGCTCTGTGGGCTGGAGGGCCTTACTGCTTCCGCAGATACCTCAGTCCATGACGTTGACGGGAATAGTCCCAGGGAGACAGCCCACAGCAATTGGAGCCCACCGATCTTACAGGACAGAGTGCTGATCATCATGAGGCAGGACTTCTGTGCCACTCTGTTGAGTTAGTCCAAGTATTACATTATAGTAACATTATAAAACCAATTTTTAGGAACTTCTACATTTACTTTAAAAACAGAGCCATCTGGAGTGACTCTGTTTAGAGAGGCGCCCAGATGTTATAAAACTAGATGTTTCCAATTATATATATATATATGTATATGAAACGTGTAGTTTTATAACATACATATATATTTATATATACATATTATGTATATATGTAAGTATATATGTATGTATATATATTTATGATATACATATTATGTATATATATGCATGTATATATGTATGTATATGTATTTATAATATACATATGTATATTATACAATTGTATTTTATATATACATATATGTATATAACATACATATATGTATATAACATATACACATATATATGTATATCTAGTACAATTATATAATATACATAATATACATATGTATATAACATACATATATGTATGTATATATTATATATTAAATAATTGTATTATATATAATATAACATTATATATTATATATTATATATATTATGGGTAATATATACATTTTTTGAGACAGAGTTTCACTCTCGTTGCCCAGGCTGGAGTGCAATGGCATGATCTCAGCTAACCGCAACCTCCGCCTCCTGGGTTCAAGTGATTCTCCTGCGTCAGCCGACCGAGTAGCTGGGATTACAGGCATGCGCCACCACACCTGGCTAATTCTGTATTTTTAGTAGAGATGGGGTTTCTCCATGTTGGTCAGGCTGGTCTTTAACTCCCGACCTCAGGTGATCCACCTGCCTCGGCCTCCCAAAGTGTTGGGATTACAGGCGTGAGCCACCGTGCCCGGCCTAATATGCGTTTTTGAAGCCAGAGGATATCTTAAAGTTTACTTCACTTGGCACCTATGGTCCCACCTACTCGGGAGGCTGAGGCAGGAGAATGGCGTGAACCCGGGAGGCAGAGCTTGCAGTGAGCTGAGATTGCGCCACTGCACTCCAGCCTGGGTGACAGAGCTAGACTCTGTCTCAAAAAAAAAAAAAAAAAAAAAAGTTTACTTCACTTCTCTTATCTTAAAACTGATCTTACAATTGCAACCAGAGTTTCCCTGCAAATGTAAACTGTAATCAGTTATTCAATTAATAATCTTTCCATTCAATTGACAAAAGGCATAAAAAAGATAAGAAAAATGTAAAGGAAGTACTGGTCCAAGTAACCCTACCTCAAGTTGAAACAAGCAAAAGTACAGGGCTGGTTCTGCTAACTGGGTGTAATGTATGTATTCTCCATGTTTCATGAGTGCAATAGCAAACTTGAAATATAGTTCACCTTCCTATCCAATTTGCATTCAGTCATTTTGTGGTCCCCTTTTCCAGACCCCATCCTTTATATTCTTTAGTGTTCAACCATCAGCGCTTCACCGTTGAAGAGACATTACATCTTTTAGATATCGCTATAGACAATAAGATATAAATGAGAGTTAATAATTGCCAAATGTGCCTATTTCCTTTTCCTATAAATTAGAGCATGCTTTCCTACTGAATTTTGCAAGAAGGAAAACAGACTCCCTCCTGCTGATGTGAGGAAGCAGTGCTAAATCTCCCTCAAGATTCACTTTGGCTTCTTACAGCTGTATGTTAGTACCTTTTTATATGCAATTTTACTTCATTTAGTCTTTAAGGTTGTGCCTGAGGTTAGTTTAAAAGGTTAGTTAAATGTTAATGGATGTTAATGCTGCAATTAAATTGTTAAATCAATTGAAAACTGTGGCTCCATCTCTATCTGCGTCAGTGCCGGCCTGAGCTGCATTGGCGTATAAATTAAAAGCTGTAAATCTAGTGAAGTCTAATTAGAGACCAAATTTCTCATTTATCTTATTTTCACAGGACTGTAAGCACTGATAGATAATCAACGAAGGGCTAAAACTTTTTAACATTAAAAAACTATTTTATCTATTTCAGGATTCAGGTGACTGATTATAATTCAGATCCAATTACTGTAAAAGGTCATATGTGAAATGAAGTTCTTTCAGACACTCTAAGTTTTATTTTACAAGTTTGCATACAGCCCACTACCATCCTCATCCCCAAAAGCAAATATAAATACATTATTCAAGACTGACTTTAATGGTGTCTTCGAGTAACCTTGGTGCTAAACTGTGTGTTTAATAGACTACAGCATTAACTGGAAGGAGTAAAGATGGATTTCAATGCTTTGTGGGAGATTCTTCAGGAAGCAAAATTAAGCCTTCATGGGTGTCTAAGGTGACAATTGTTCATTGTTGTTTCAAATTGGCTGTTGCCATCTTGCTTTGCCCAATGTCTAAGAAGAACACATGCATATAAAGCCTTCAAATGAAAGGATTTGTCAAGCTTAATCCTCTTCAGTTCGCTGTTGTAGAACTACTCTGTTGAAATTACTCTCCTGTGGCTCAAGCTTGGTTTCACTATATTTAATCAAACTACTTTAAAAAATATTCATTTTTCCTGTTCTACAAATTATGACACAATGATGTGATCCAACCACAGCTTTTGAAATACAAATGCTTACATGAATTAATGCTGACATGAATTTGCACCTTACGAGCAAAATAAAAAATTGTCTTGCTAAACGGTAGGGAGACTCATACGTTCTGTCTGGTTTGCAAAGCTGTTACTTTGTTGTTGTTATTACTGTAAAGATCTTATGAAAGTGATGTTTTCTGTGAATGCTAATTTCTTTAATAAAATATTACAATAGGAGAACAAGTTATAAATGAGAATTCGACAAAAAGGCCTCGTTCCTGTAATGAAGACATAACCCATGCCCTTCTTGGTATTGTGAGTCAAGTTTCAGCATTGATTACACCACAGAAGAACATCACAAAGTGAATTGCTGAGCAGATTGAATGTTCTGAACTTTTTGCTTTTTTAATTTTGTCATGAATTCAGATCTCCTAAAACTCTTGATCACAGACTCTGTAGGGAAAATGGCATGTTAGGTTGCTTGTCCCCTGAAGCAAATGAGAAAGATGTTCTATTTTTTTTTGCGCCCTTAAAGGAGCCCTGATTTCCTGACAGTGTGTTTGATTCTTTTTTGCAAGCATTCCAAGCTCAAGAACTAACTCAGTGTACCCAGCTTAACAAAAATCAGTCTGTATTCATGAATTTCTGGGCCTTTCAAGTGCAGTGGGCTGCAAGATCTTAACCAGGGACATTACACTTACATTGAAATAGTGCAGATGGTTTTCCACTTAAGTACCTGGCAGGGAACGTGGAGCCTATCCCTCTCTTTCTGTTTCCTTAGTTGAGTAGCAAAACCAATAGCAAAAGACACTATTTTGGCTTTATTTTGGGCTATCACTCTACTTGTAGAAAGACCCTGGGGAATTCCTGAGTAGAAAAACTAGGATGAGATCACAGAGTTCCCTGGTCACCGATCTTCTGGGAATAAGAGTTTTCATATTCAACTGTTGACAAGCAACTATCCGCAGTGACTAGACAGACACCTAAGGCTTTCTGCTTTAACAATCTCTGAGAGTGCTCTGAGGCTGAAACTTAAATTCTGCTGTTAAAAATAGGTTCTTTTGAATTACAAATTTCTTTCCCTACACAAATACAAACATCTTTTAAATTCAACAAGCTACTCTCACTCATAGTGTGTCAACATGAAGCTGCCTCAGATCTTGTTGAAGGTCTGGTGGAGGGCATGGGTGAGGGTGATTTTCTTGGAGGGTGGAGGGGTGGGGTCTGGGCAAGGATCACTCCCCCATTGGAGGAGGCAGGACAGAGCAGCACTTCAAAGCCTCAGCTCAGAAGGCAACAAGCAACTAAACTTAAACCTGTCTCCTCCACGTATGTTCTTTGGTGTCGGCAAGTCTCTCAACCTTCCTTAACTGGCATTTTCTCCTCTTTTTCTTATCCATCCATATTCTCATGACTTTATATCATATTTGATTGCAGGAAACCAGTAAGTTTTTTTTTTTTTAAGTTTTGATCTGACCCATGATCCCCAAACTCCTATATCCAAAAGTTCTATCCACATCTCTCCTTAGACTCATTCCTTCATTTATTTTTTTCATTCGTTGTTAAATATCCACAATCTGCCATCCACTGTACCGGGCATTAGAGGCTTTATAGTGAACAACACAAAATACTTGTCCTTGTAGTATGCACATTCTAATGGGGGACATAAAAAACAAACAAACAAATAGAAATCTAACGTAATTTCAAAAAGGGATATATTCTAAGAAAAAATTGAAGTGAAACTAGAAAGAGAAAGTGACTGAGCATGGCATTTGGGTTAATGTGTCAGGAAGCAGAGATCTGAATTAAGCAGGAGGAAGCCCGCTATCTAATGGGTATCACAAATGGAGCATGTTGAGAAGGGCACTTGTGATTCACTGGCTCCCCAACTTTCTCCTCCCTCCACACCTAAACCACCTCCTCTTCTGGTTTTCTCATCTCAGTCAATGACAGTACTCTTTGCATGTAGGTTGAGGCCTCGAAATCTAGGAATCTGTGTTGATTCTTCTTTCACCATTACCCACTCCCCTTGAAAACCGTTCACTGGCATCTGCACTTTAATACAGTCCCTGAGAAGTAGGCTAACATTAAGACACCATCTGAGTGAGGAGTAACTGATGCTTGGTGGAGTTATGTGACTTGCCCAGGGTTATACAACTAGTCAACCATGACCCAAGGCTCACTTGGAGTCAGACCTTCTGACAACCTTTTTTTGTTTGTTTGTTTTGTTTTGTTTTATTTTTTAACCACTCTGACTCTGAAGGAGACCAGCAAAACAGATAAGAAAGAGCAGTCAGTTTCCTGTATGGGCATATTTTGTTTTATTGCACTTTGTTTTATTGTACTTCATAGATATTGCATGCTTTACATATTGAAAGTTTGTGGCAAATGTGCATGGAACAAGTCTATTGACACCATTTTTCCAATATCATGTGCTCGCTTAATGTCTCTGTGTCAGATTTTGGTAATTATAATATTTAAATTTTTTCTTTATTATTATATATGTTATGATGATCTGCAGTTAGTGAGTTTTACTGCTACTGTTGCAGCTGTTTTGCAGCACCACCAACTGCACCCATAGAAGGCAGCAAACTTAATAAATGTGTGTGTTCTGAGTGTTCCAGCAATAGACTGTTTTCCTGTCTGTCTCCCACTTCTTGGGTCTCTCTGTTCTCTCAGACACAACAAGATAGAAATGAGGACAGTTAATAACCCTACAATGGCTCTAAGTGTTCAAGTGAAGAGTCACAGACCTTTTAAATAAAACACTAGAAATGAATAAGATTAGTGAAGAAGTCATGTTGAAAGCCAAAATAGGCTGAAAGCTAGGCCTTTTGTGCCAGTTAGCCACATTGTGAATGTGAAGAAAACGGTCCCGAAGAAAATTAAAAGTGCTACTCTGGTGAACACAAAAATGAAAACAAGTGAAAAAGACTTATTGCTGATATGGAGAAAGTTTCAGTGGCATAGATAGAAGATTAAACTAGTCAGAACATTCCCTTATGCCAAAGCCTAATTCAGAGAAAGACTCTATCTCTCTTTAATTTTATGAAGGCTGGAGAGAGGTAAGAAGGCTGTAGAAGAAAAGTTTGCAGATAGCAGAGCTTGGTTCATGAGGTTTAAGGAAACAAGCCATCTCCATAACATAAAAGTGCAAGGCGAAGCAGCAAGTGCTGATGTAGACACTTAAGTAAGTTATCTAGAAGATCTAGCTAAGACTACTGATCTGGGACTTCATTAGCTACAGAAGAGAAGTCAATTCCTGGCTTCAAAGCTTCAAAAGACAGGCTGACTCTCATGTGAGGAGCGAATGCAGCTAGTGACTTTAAGTTGAAACCGATGCTCATTTACCATGCAGAAAATGCTAGAGCCATGAATAATTATGCTAAGACTACTCTGCCTATGCCCTCTAAATGAAAAAAACAAGGACTGGGTG
This sequence comes from Homo sapiens, assembly GCF_000001405.40. Classification (NCBI taxonomy): domain Eukaryota; kingdom Metazoa; phylum Chordata; class Mammalia; order Primates; family Hominidae; genus Homo; species Homo sapiens. Next base: position 97,063,800 of record NC_000015.10, read on the forward strand.
ACAGTAAATCTGTTTATAGCATGGTTTATTGAATATTTTAAGTCCACTGTTAAGACCTAGTCTTCAGAAAAAAAAAAAAATTCCTTTCAAAATTTTCCTGCTCATTGACAATGTACCTGGTCACCTTAGAGCTTTGATGAAGATATACTTGGAGATTAATGTTGTTGTCATGCCTGCTAGTCTAACATTCATTCTACATCCCATGGATCGAGCAGTAATTTCAACTTTCAATTCATATTATTTAAAAAATACCTTCTGTAAGCCTACAGCTGCCACAGATAGTGATTCCTTTGATGGATCTGGGCAAAGTAAATGGAAAATCTTCTGGAAAAGGATTCATCATTGTAGATGCCAATAAGAACATTTGTGATTCATGAGAGGAAGTCAAAATGTCAACATTAACAGGAGTTTGGAAGAAGTTGATTTCAACACTCATGGATGACTTTGAAGGGTTAAAGACTTTAGTGGAGGAAGTAACTGAAGATGTGGTGGAAATAGCAAGAGAGTGGGAATTAGATGTGAAGATGTGAAGGCTGAAGATGTGACAGATTTGCTGCATTCTCATTCTAAAACTTGAATGGATGAGGAGTTGCTTCTTATGGGTGAGCAAAGAAAGTGGTTTCTGGAGATGGAATGTTCTCCTGGTGAAGACGTTGTGAACATTGTTGAAACGACAACCAGTGATTTAGAATATTATATAAATTTAGTTGATATGGCAGTGGCAGGCTTTGAGCGGTTGGCTCTGGTTTTGAAAGAAGTTCTACTGTGGGTAAAATGCTATTAAACAGTATCACATACTGCAGAGAAATCTCTCATGAACAGAAGAGTCAATCAGTGGGGCAATTTTAATTGTTGTCTTAAGGAATTACCACAGCCATATTACCTTCAGCAACCACTACCCTGATAATCGATAGCCATCAACATCAAAGGAAACCCTCTTCTAGCAAAAAGATTATAATTTGCCAAAGGCTCAGATGATCATTAGTATGTTTTAGCAATAAAGTATTTTTAATTAAGGTATGTACTTTTTTATAGACATAATGCTATCACATACTTAATAGACCTACAGTGTTTAAAAAAAGTTTAAATATAACTTTTATATGCACTGGGAAACCAACAGTCATGTGACTTGCTTTATTGTGATATTAGCTTTATTAGAGAACCAAACCTGCAACATCTCCAAGGGATGCTGTATTTGTTCCACCACCAAAAAGTTCCCATGACTCAGTAACTTTCTCTTACCTTTCCTGACAATTTTTACCCAAAGTTGGGCTTTATTTTCCATTTGCAATTACTAAGCAAGTCTGTATTCTGCCACATGCTTTCCCCTATGTTACTTTTCAAGTACTCCCTCATCATTCCATGTCCCTGTTAACATAGCCACATAACAAGTCTCTAAATGATAAAGAACAAGTCTTCCTACATATATAGTGTTGGTGTTCAATAAATGTTTTCTACTGTTAAATATAGATTTTATCCTTTGCTGATGTCATAAACAAGGACTCATGAAAAAATTAAATCATGGTAAAGCAAAATGAGCAACTGAATAACCATGAATATTTTACAAATTGGGAAGTGAAAGGGATCATTGAAAAGCTGAAGGATGGGTAGGTTCTGGTTGATGATGATGAGAAAAAAGGATAATTAAATAAATAGGTCTCAAAGATGACCACAGATATATCATTTGTGGGTCAGACTGACATGGCAAGGGCAAAGGGTTCTTATTGTGGGTGTGTTTATGTACCAACTATTTATCAAGTGCTTACCATATGTCATATACTCTACTGGCATATTCAATGGTGACTGAAGTAAACATGGTCTTCTTCTTATGCAGTTGACAGGCTCGCAAAAGATAGAGAAGTTAACAAACAGCACTGGTGTAGCAGGGGAAGTAAAATATGATGGGAGTTTCCACAGGGAACATCTCACTACTTCTGGAGAATACAGGATCAAGAGGCTCTTGGAAGGAAATTCTATTTGATCATTTTATTTGAAGAATAATGAATGGAAGATCAAGTCTTGAAAATCTAGGTAAACTAGACTGGGTGATGCTAGAAAAACGTGATGACTGAAAGAGGAGAGGAGGAAGAAAATAAGTGGAGACGGACGAGGAGGAGGAAGAGAATGGGGGGAGAAGTTTATTTGGGGGTGAAATGAAGACATTACTTGAGAATATACAACAGGAACCCAAAATAGGGAGTGTCTTTGGTGGACATTTGTAAAAACGAAATGGTCTCACGTAGGAAGCTCATGTCTGGCCATAGATGTGAGAACCTGTGTCCAACTTTATGCTCCTGATGATCCAACTAACCAGCCTTTCTTCTGTAAAACTTCCTACCAGTTTCTGCTGTACCACTGTCCCCTCTTCATTCTCCTCCTATTTCTTTCTTTCTTTATTTTTTTAACTATCATTTGTCACTTGTTCCATCTTCTCCTACCCTTTCAAAAAACTACAGCATTTCCTCAAAATGTGCCTTTGGTCCTGTACTCCTTCATCAAATTCATCTAAACTCTTGTTATTTGCCATCATTTTTGTGCAAATTAAGCTTCTCAAAATGTATTCTGGTTGGGGATGGGGAGGAGAGGCTGACCTATGTACTTTGGAAATGAGCAGAGTCCATGAAACTAAAGTGAAAAGAAAGTGTACATAAGCCCTGTGCTTCAGTGAGAAGGCGGTTTCACTGAGGTGTCGACTAACAATTCTAATACCACGAAAAATGTCTGCTGATGTTGGGCAATTAAGTAAATGAATAGCAATGGTGACAGCCAGATTTCTCCTGTTAGAGTGGGACTTTACAGATAAGCAAGGAGAGGAAGCTAGGATGACCCACGTGATCATGAATTAGAATTGGACACATCAGTATAAAGTCATGTTTACTTAATATAGACACAGATGGTTACATATAAAATATTTATAGATCTGTATGTGTACTTGGGTTAGTATACACACACATATTTCCTTGCTCTGTTATCTAGGAGGACTTAGAAGCAAGGCCATTCCAGTGGCAATGGCCACATCTAGTGCCCAGATAAAAAGGAACCAGGGATCCTCAGAGAAAGGACTGATTCTAAGCCCAGGGCAAGAAATATGCAAGATGATCCTGAAGCATCTTGCAGTGGCAGAAGGTAAGAAAGTGCTAAGAAACAAAACTGAGCAACTAAAGAAACAAACCAGCTCTACACACAATGATGAACGTTAACATCAATATGATCAGTCATATTGATAATATATACCCTTGATGTGATGAGAATGACATTTTACCTTTGTGGTCTTCCTTCCAAAGACACATAATCCCAGTCTAACCATGAGAAAAACTTCAGACAAATCCCAAAAGACTGACTTTCTACAAAATTCCTAACCAGTCCTCCTTAATTAGTCAATGTCATAAAAAAACAGTGAAAGTCTAAGAATCTCTAACAGTCAAAATGAGCCTAAGGGGACATGACAACTGATCGTAATGCAGTATCCTGCATGAGATCCTGGAACAGAAAAAGGACATTAAGTAAGAACTAAGGAAATCTGAATGAATTATGGACTTTAGTGAATAAGAACATATAATTATTGGCTCATCAATTTAAAAAAATGTACCATAGTTATGCAAGATGTTAATAATAGAACTGGGTGCAGGGTATATGGAAACCTTTCATAGTATCTTCACAATTTTCTGCAAATCTAAAACAATTTTTTAAAGTTTATTTTAAAATTTAAGTTTCCCATTCCAACTTCTTCCATGAGCACAGACCCACATTTTAAGTGCCTGCTGGACTGCTCCAGTGGAATGCTGGGTGGGTGTCTCAAATCAAGTACTTCAAAATTCAAACTCATCTTTTTGAGCATAACATTAAGTAGGCATCACGATTCCTTCTTTCCTTCCTTCCTTCCTTCCTTCCTCCCTCCCTCCCTCCCACTCACCCTTCCTCCCTCCCTCCCTCCCTGCCTTCTTTCTTTTTTTTTTTCTTTGACGGAGTCTCGCTCTGTCACCCAGGCTGGAGTGCAGTGGAGCGATCTCGGCTCACTGTAACCTCCACCTCCCGGGTTCAAGCGATTCTCCTGCCTCAGCCTCCCGAGTAGCTGGGACTACAGGCGTGCCACAACGCCCAGCTAATTTTTTGTACTTTAGTAGAGATGGGGTTGTTAGCTAGGATGGTCTCAAACTCCTGACCTCAGGTGATCTGCCCACCTCAGCCTCCCAAAGTGCTGGGATTACAGGCGTGAGCTACCACGCCTGGCGACGTCATGCTTTCTTGACCTTTGCTGTAGGCACCACACCATTGTTTTACGAGTCAATCAGTGTGGAAACTTGGCAATCATTGTTCAGTCCTTCCTTTAAGCCCATCAACATCAGAAATATGTATTCTATTTCAATAGTCACTTTTGGATTTATCCCCTCTTTTTGATTATCACAGTCCCCATTGGTATTCAAATACCCATAGATTTTTTTAAGTTATTTTTAAGGACTTCAAAAATGCTCCTTCTGTTACTTCCCCCAATATATCTCATTGTCTAATTAGTGCTACTAAACCATAATTCCTATCATGCATTCTTCTAAATAATAGAAAGTAGCTGCTCACTGCATGACATAGTCAGTTAAAATGTCTTAGCTTGGCATTTAAGGCCCGTTGTGATATTATGATATATCCTTCTCTCTCTTTTTCTTTTTCTTTTCTTTCTTTCTTTCTCTTTCTTTTTCTTTCTTTTTTCTTTCTTTTTCTTTCTTTTTTTCTTTCTCTTCTTTCTCTCTTTTTCTTTCTTCTTTCTCTCTCTTTTCCCTTCCTTCCTTCCTTCCTCTCTTTTCTTTTCTTTTTCCCCTCCCTTTTCTTCCCTTTTCTTTTCTTTTCTTTGTCTCGCTCTGTTGCCCAGGTTGGAGTACAATGGCGAGATCTCAGCTCACTGCAACCTCCGCCTCCCAGTTTCAAGCGATTCTCGTGCCTCAGCTTCTCGAGTAACTGGGATTATAGCGGCATGCTACCATGCCTGACTAATTTTTGTATTTTTATTAGAGACAGGGTTTCACCATGTTGTCCAGGCTGGTCTCGAACTCCTCCTGACCTCAGGTGATCTGCCCACCTTGGCCTTCCAAAGTTCTGGAATTACAGGAGTGAACCACCACGCCCAGCCCATCTTTCTTTTCTTATCTGTTTCCCTATTTCTCTACACAAGCATCTCAGGCTCACTCTTGCCACATTACACCAGGTGTCAGTGTCTCATGGACTATCGTACCTCCCCAGAGACTGTAAAAGTCCATCTGTGTGCCTCCTATCTGTCATGTATGTGTCATGCATTCTTGCTGCAGCATGAATAGGTAAACTCACCCTTTCTCTATTTCTGGCAAACCTCCTCATTGATTTTATACTCATACTTCTTCACTTATATTATCCTCTCCTCCTAATTCTGGCTTTCAAAATTTAACTCATCCTTTACCATCTACCTTGGAGATACAAGCAGTTTAGTAGAGTGGCTAAAAACATGGATGTTGGGTTAAGACTGCCCTAGGTTTAAACTCTGGTATTGCATTTTAACATTAGCAAACCTATTTTCTTTTTTCTTTTTTCTTTTTTTTTTTGAGACAGTGTCCTGTTCTGTCACCCAGGCTGGAGTGCAATGCTGCAATCTCGGCTCACTGCAACCTCCAACTCCCAGGTTCAAGCGATACTCTTGCCTCAGCCTCCCGAGTAGCTGGGATTACAGGCGACCACCACCACGCCTAGCTATTTTTTTTGTATTTTTAGTAGAGATGGGGTTTCGCCATGTTGGCCAGGCTGGTCTCAAACTCCTGACTTTAGGTGATCTGTCCGCCTCAGCGTCCCGAAGTGCTGGGATTACAGGCATGAGCCACCATGCCTGGCTAGCAAACCCATTTTCTAAGTTTCTAATTTCTCACTGGTGAAATGGGGATTTGGTTGGAATTATGTGAAACAAAATATTCATTGTAAGTTCTAAGAACATAACAAGTCTTTAAATTTTACTGTAAAATTTTTGTTCATAGGTTGTCTTTTTAGGAAATATGGCCTATGGTCTCCTCCCCTACCCTGCCCCATCAGTTGATTCTCCATGATCTTTTTGTTTGTGTCTTCTGCATACAACTTTTCAATTTCCCTTTGCACCATGGTCATTTTATCCTTGTACGACACTGAGCAATAACCCAACCTCTCTTATGTCTTTGTTTCCTTCTCTGCACAATGAGGATAATGATAGTGACTCTGTCAAAGGATTCCTTAAAGATTAAATGAGTTCATGTGTATGGAGCACTTAGAATGGCCTGTAATTAGTGCTAAATAAGTGTTTTCAGTTATTATATCATTATTATCATTTCATCTGCCAAGACAGCAGGCATTGAGACTTATTTATCTTTATATTTCCTGCAGTGACCAGAAAAAGACATGCTATGAATATAGTAAGTGTTCAATGAAGGCAAAGTGGAACGGAATCTGATGTAGCCTTTGTGAATGGACATAGTGCTTTTTGTCTCTGGGGAGGAAAATACAGATCAATAGAACCAATGACTGAGACCATGGACAATTACTGTGCAGAGAATGTGAGGAAGAATACACACTGAAGAAGGAGTGATGCAGAAAGAAGAGAATAAGGATAAAGTTACCAGGACCAAAAGTGCTGAGAATGAGTTGCATTAAATAATGCAGTTGTAATTGGTGCCTGATGAATAAATGAACAACACTAATGTAACTTCATGCATACTCATAGAAACATTCCCCCACAGAATAGGTTGTCAGATAACATTATGCAATATATATATGTATATATATGTGTATATGTATATATATGTATGTGTATAGATACATATATATGTATGTGTATATATGTGTGTGTGTATATACATATATGTGTATATATATGTATATATGTGTATATATGTGTATGTATGTGTGTGTATATATATATATTTAGATGGAGTCTCGCTCTCTCGCTCAGGCTGGAGTGCAGTGGTGCGATCTTGGCTCACTGCAAGCCCCGCCTCCCAGGTTCACGCCATTCTCCTGCCTCAGCCTCCTGAGTAGCTGAGACTACAGGCGCTGGCCACCACGCCTAATTTTTTTTGTATTTTTAGTAGAGACGGGGTTTCACCATGTTAGGCAGGATGGTCTCAAACTCCTGACCTTGTGATCTGCCCGCCTCAGCTGCCCAAAGTGCTGGGATTACAGGCGTGAGCCACCACGCCTGGCCAATATTATGCAATACATTAATGTGGAACATGGCAACGTTAGGGAAAGTCTCCCAAATTATAAGCCGAAGTAAAGTCTTCACATGAAGTATGACTTGATTTTATTTAATCATTTGGTTATTTTCATTTAACTTGGGTGATTAAATAACTCATATTTGAAGTACTGGTGTAAGCAATGCTGATGTGTTGTAGAAACCCTGCACAGTACCTGCATCCTTCCAAAAGTAAACATAAAATTAAATAGCTTGTCATCTATTAGTGATCATCTTTCTGTTGGGTAATACATGCTGTAATGGACAATCCAGAAGTGTTCTAATGGATCTTGAATTTTATTTCTTCTTGTTTTTATTATCTTCTATCTGTGACATTTGAACCAGGATAATAGCCTAAAACATAATTGCAATAGACCTTGTAAATTAGAAATGTGACACACATATTTCCATTTTTGGAAAAAGAATGAAAGTGTGTTTGAGTGGCTTTTTGTTTTATCTTTCAACAAGTTAGAATCTAGAAATCTGTATACCCTCCTGTATTTGTCATGTCTGGTAAGTCATTGGCATGTTCCAAATTCAGAGGAAGAACCTACATTTTCTCAAACCATTTAAGAAGAGGCAAGGTTATTATCTGAAAAATCCAAGCCAGATATGGAACCAGCTTCAGACTGCCCCGAAAGAGGTGACGTGAAGAGCCCCATTACTTTCATGGGCTTGACCTGATCCCTCATAAAACTTTCCTCTGTGATTTCTCAGTATAATATGAATCCTGTAGGCACCCTGAAAGGGAAATGAAACTCTTCCAGCTTGTATTTAAACTTGACCCCAAAGCATATATGTTTCCTGTTCTCATAAACCCAATGCCACCATAGTATTCATGACTCAAGATCAGGGCAGTGACAAAGCGTGATTTGTTACTGGTGATGACATCATTGTCATCACCGACAGCATCATGGACCGTCTTAGCATCTCCTTTGCAGGGGAGCACACCAGCCACTCCAGGGAACAGGTAGACATATGGGCCCTGTTAGTAGTTTGCCAAGGTCCTATGAGAGGCAGAATCTAAAATGATTTGGTTTTCCCGGAGCTGCTTTTGTGAGGTAGTGCCTTGAACAACCAGATAACAGGGCTATTAAAAGTCAGGTCATACTTGTAGGGCATCATGTTTCTCATTCAGCAGTTCTACCCCTGGACATGAGAGAGGTCTATGGGTTGGGTTTTGGATTTTGAGTTTATCTATAATACCTAATACCTAACTTCTTTTTTTTCTTTCCTCCCCCACTGGTTCTGTACAAAGTAAGTATAGAAGAAAAAGGGGTGGGCAGGTCTTGGAGAATTGCAGCAGCCGAAGGTAGCTCACTGCATTCTAGGGTCTCACCATTAGCTTCTGCCCCCACTGCCCCATTTCCAGAATACGGGGTTCCAGGTGAGGACATTGGGTGCTGGGCAGAAGACATTAGCCCCAAGAGGCAACATCACTTCATTTTAAAAGTTAGTCCGTCCACCTTCCCAGCAAGGGTGCTTACCACGGGCTCCCTCAGAGAAGATTTTGAAGTGAGGTGGTTAGCAATTTCCCTTTCTTCCTTCGTTCCTGGTGCATCCCATCGCCACCCCCACTCCCACTCCATCTCCTTGTGGCAGCCTGGGCCAAGTTTGTTGCTTGCAGCAGAAAGACTCAAACGTTTTCGTGATCCAACTGTTTTCAAACAGTCTCGGTTCCTGTGAGCCTTACCAGCTGTGACTAATAGCCAAGAGAAGGGAGAAAGAAGCTTCTCGGGCCTGCAGGCTTCAGACAGGCAGGCTCTGGGGGAAACAAGAGAAAGCCATTAACTAACCACGGTGTTATCTTGATTCTCTCAGAGAAAGGAGCCAGGGACGCCTAATGAACTAGCCTTAACGTTTCAAACTGAATGTGCCTCTGGGAGCTCTGCTAGAACAAACAGTGTGACAGATCAATGCTTGGTTCCTATATCAAGAGAAAAGGTTATTCGCTCCTCTAAGGAATTAGAGGATTAGTATATCTCTATGATATACTTTCTCTCCTTTTAAAATGTAACTTTTCTTAGCATGTGAAGGTATGAGTAGTGCAAAGTGGATGGGAGGGCGTGCCTATGTGTGGAAGCGTTTAAACATACTGGTTTTAAAGTTCATTACTACAGGAGGTACTGCTGTAAGATATAATAGCTTTTCTTTTTTTACACTTTCAATTTTTTTTTTGTTGTCCTTGCTCCATGCCAGGTAGACATTTCAAATAAAATCATACAGCCTTCAATTCCTGAGCCCCAGACTGAGACAGGGGTCAAGGTGCAGGCCTGCAAAGCTCACCTTTGCAGTTCAAAAATTCCCCTTGTGGCTACTAGCTGGAGATTTTCAAAAGGTGACCAGGTTTTCTAGCCTAATCCTCCAAACTGTTCATTTTCTGGGAAGCTTAACTGCATCAGTTATCATTTTGAAGAATTTCTTGATATGAAGCGATGTAAAATATAAAATTCTTACCTTGTCAGTCAGTAATGGCTGAGATTGGAGTGTGCTTTGTAAGTGTCCCTTGTGAGGGTGACTGTGGGGAATACCAATTGTATTCTTGTAGCAAACTGGTCTTAGGTTCCTAAATTTAAAAAGAAAGAAGAAAAAAAAAAAAAAAAAAGAAAGGAAAGAGAAAGTAGTTTGAATCAATGCCCCAGTTCAGGAAGCCTGATTTCAGGTCAGATTCACACATGAATTCTGCTTATCTTTTTTTAAAGTTAATTTTATTTTTAATTGACCAATAATAACTTTCATTTGAGGCCAGGTGCAATGGCTTAAGCCTGTAATCCTGGCACTTTGGGAGGCTGAGGCAGGTGGATCACCTGAGGTCAGGAGTTCAAGACGAGCCTGACCAATATGGTGAAACCCTCTCTCTACTAAAAATACAAAAATTAGCCAGGCACGGTGGTGCATGCCTATAATCCTAGTTACTTGGGAGGCTGAGGCAGGAGAATTACTTGAACCCAGGAAGCAGAGGTTGCAGTGAGCCGAGATTGCACCATTGCACTCCAGCCTGGGCAATAGAGTGGGACTCCATCTCAAAAAAACAAAAAACAAACCTTACATTTTAATTAGGTTGTAGAGACTTTGGGGGGTAATAATTTTTAGGGAGCAGGGTATCTTCTAATTGTAGTACTTTGGCAATTTGTCTTCAGTAAACAAATGTGAGAGCAGGTTCTTTCTCTTCCCTTTACCTCATTCTCTCTTAGATTCCCAAGTGCACTTTTAGAATCACAACCTAAGCTGAGTTCTCCAAATGTGAGAGGCAGTTACCTATGAGTACATACAGCAGCCCTCTTTCCTGCCTCTTATCCATTGACATACCCACCTATGTTGCAAAGCTAATTTCCGGAGAGTAGTATAATCTGCAGTCAATATTTCTGCGAAAGCTTACTACTTCAAAGCCTTAAAAAGTGCATACTTTGGTCCAGCAAGTACCATTCCAATAATTTTTCTGAGAAAATAATCAAGGATACATGCAGAACTTCACCTACAGGAATATTCATTGCAATAGTAATAATGTGAGAATATGCACTTCCAAACTGATTGTCGTATCCCTACCCATATTAGGAAATCATTGTCCTAAAAAGTTTCTTTTTCTTTTACTTAATACTATGTGTTTGCTAAAAAAAACCCAAAAAAACAGTTCTTTGTATAAAATTAAAAAGCGGGAAATTTAGGTAAATCTCACATGAATTATTATAGTGCATTAGACTGCTCAGTCTGCCATAACGAAATACTACAAATTGGGTGGTTTAATAACAAATGTATTTCTCATGGTTCTGGAGGATGGAAAGCCCATGACATAACATTCCATGGATATAATGTAACTCATATTTATGGATGTAATATTACAAAACATATTGCAAAATCTGAGCTGGCAAGGTAGGTTTCATTCTGATGTCTCTTCTCTGGACTTGTAGGTGGCCGCCATCTTTCTGTATGCTAAGATGATGTTTTTATGCATGCTGGATTGGGGGAGAGGGAGAAAGAGAGAAAGGGAGTGTGCTCTCTGGAACTCTCCGGTGTGTCTTCTAATAAGGGCACTAATTCTATTGGATCAGGGCCCCACTCTTATGACCTCATTTAACCTTACTTCCTTAGAGGCCCAATCTCCAAATATTGATACATTGGGGGTTAGGGTTTCAATATATAAGTCTTGCGGGGACACAAACATTCAATCCATAATATAGAGTTTTCTAGTTAGTGGAAGTTTGTACTCATAAAATATTCTTTACATAAAAATTTCAAAGACATTTCACTGAGTATCACATAAGATTGCATAGTTAGGCCATAGAAACTTTACACCAGTAGCCTGAAGAAAGTTCTTCTGTTGCTTCCACACACCATCAGTATGCCAGGGCTTTACCCTTAAATGGCTGAGCCACCAGAAACAAGGCCCATTGCCTTTCTGTATCTTCATTTCTCCATCTTTAAAGAGAGGGGATTAAACCAGATGTGTTCTTACATTTCTTTAAGCTCTAATTTTCATGCTTCTGTGACTATTTTTTGTAGTTGAATGTTCTCACACCCATGATACCACTGTCGGAAATGACAATGTTATAAATAACATATTTTACAAAATTTATAGTTATAAAAATTGCATACAAAATAATTTATGCATGTGTTCTTATTTTCTCACCAGGTTCATTTATACAAATCATTCTGGATTGTTGTTAGCTTTCAACAGAATAAAATATATACAATTTTTTATAGTTTGACCCTTGAGGTTAGAAGCCCAAGGAATGAAATATAACTGAAATTTAAAGGAGAAATTGAATCCATATTTATAATTTCAGCAAAAACAGGAATAAGGAGGAACATTCCAGGGATATAATGTAACTCATATTTATGGATGTAATATTATAAAACATATTTCAAAATCTGAGTTTTATCAATACTCTTTATATAATATTTATTACCTAGTAATTTCCTCCATATACACCATAAAACACTGATAGTTTTGTCTGATGAGATCCAAGTACCAATTATATAAACAAGTTGATAAGGACATAAAAGTAAAAGAAAAGAAAAGTATAAATAGCAGATTTTACTTCAACCGGCTTTGAAAAATCTCAAAAGTTAAAGGTTATCAACTTTGGTTTGACTTTTGGGTTCTTTTTTAGTCAACAGATTTATAAAAGAACAAACCACTGCCGAGTACATTGAGGGAGATGAAACAATCAGCCTCAGAAGGGGAGCGATGCAGTAGGGGGTGAAATCATCCCTGGAGTGGAATCTAGAAAACGTTCCAAGAATCTCAGAGACCAAAGTTTCCATTCAAGTGTTTAGCGTTTTAATACATAATTACTATGAAAGACACTCATTAAACAATTTCCATTAATATTCTCCACTGAGCATAGATGGCTCAACTCTGCAAAGCTTTCTGGGTCTGTCTTTTCATGTACTATTTTTAAATGTTTTATAAGTCTTTTTACATTCTATTTCTCACTGCATCCCAACATTGACTGGAATGCAATCAAACTCCAGTCACAGCATACTCCATGCTACAGTCCATGCACTTTTAAGCTACACTAGAGTAAATCGGATCTGAAGAGAGTAAGAATCCAAAATCAATGAAGACAAACACACAACACTTCTATAATGGCAAAATACATTAATTTTAAGGATGAGGACACATCTAGAAATAATGCTCTCAAGATAAAGCTATGTCCAAAAGAAGTTTAATGTGGACAACTATCTACAGAAATGAGGCTGAGTTGATAACCAGTTTGGACAGGCCCAAGCAGAAGCAGACAATTTATACTTTATCCTATTATGCTATTTACACAACTCCCATTTTACACATAATTGCCAGTTATCCTCTCGATTTAATAGTTGACAAAACTGGCTGTACATTTCATGATGCTCCAGTAAAGTGGAGATTGGGAGAAAGACTGAGGCTTTGCAGTCATACAGATGTGGGCTTAAGTAATCCCATTTTGTAGCAGCTATAGGGTTAGGAGAGTGACTTCTGCCAACTCCTCCAGCCCTGGTTCTTCTTGTTTTACAGGTCTCAATTTAAATTCTCCAACCTCCTTGAAACCTCCAATATCACCCAACCTTAAAAAACTTCTAATCTCTCTTCATGATATCATTCTATTTTATTTTTATCTTTGACAGTTATTACTAGCTGCTTTTTTTTTTTTTTTTTTTTTTTGGTGCCAGGGTGCTCACTCTGTTGTTCAGGATGGAGGGCAGTGGCACCATCTCGGCTCACTGCAACCTCCGCCTTCCGGGTTCAAGCAATTCTCTTGCCTCAGTCTCCGGAGTAGCTGGGATTACAGGCACACGCCACCACGCCCAGATACTTTTTGTATTTTTAGTAGGGATGGGGTTTTGCCATGTTGGTCAGGCTGGTCTCCAACTCCTTACCTTTGGTGATCTGCCTGCCTTGGCCTCCCAAAGTGCTGGGATTACAGGTGTGAGCCACTGAGCCTGGCCACTAGCTACTATTTTAATTTGTTTATTTTTTGCCTTTTCCCCACTGAAATCTAAACATTATGAAAGCAAGACCCTTTTCTGCCTTGTGTACCTCAAGTCCCAATGCCCAGAATACTACCTGGTACCCAGTAGGCTCTCAGTACCTGTTTGTTACAGGAATACTAAATGAGTGAGCGAATGAATCACCTTTTGTTGCCTCATCTCTCACTTGGGGATGGCATTACCTACTTCAGAACTTTTCATAGCACACACTAGGAAAGTCCAATTTTAAATGATTTATCTAAGAAATGTCCAGGCAATACATTCATTCTTTTCCCTACCAGCTCCCAGTGTTTACTTTCGATTGCATTTAATGAGAGAAATAAAAATCTTCTTGAGTTGAACTTTTGGCATGTTCACTTTTCCTTAATGTGAAAGGCTAAATACATCCCCAGGAAATAGATATGCCTGGCTCTCCTTTGATTCCCAACAACCCTCCACCCACCTTCTGCCCAGGAAACAATTGTTTGGATTCTGTGATTTTTATTTTCTCCAATGTGTGTCTACTTGTCTTGGTGGTTTTGCTTCCAAGAGAGAAATACCTCTTAAGTTTGTGTGTATGTGTGTTGTTTTTCTTTGTCTTTCCTCTTTTTTTTTTTCTAAGAGAAGATAATCAGGTTCTCATGTTACTACTAAGTGTTCTAGTAGATGGAAAAAGGTTGCCACATGAGGTCATTGCTGTGTGGATGAACTTGTAGACACTGACATATCAGAGAGCATCTAAAGGAAATATTATAGGGGCCATCAAGGCCGTTTCAAATTTCCTGATTGCATATATTAAAACAGGATAAGCTCCAATTACTGGAGTACTTGCTTCAATATAATGGAGAATCGGAGCTGCATGTGGATTCTGATCTCTCTAAGCAGCCAAGTGTATCCAAAAATATAAAAATAAAGTTAAATATCTATAGTTGGAAGATCAGGAGCACTAATAAGCCAGGGCATATCATTTGGGGCAGGAAAAAAGGGTTACAAGAGTTCAGTTTAGGTTTGTGGCTTTTCACCAAATGCGGTGTGAGCTTGAAATACATAGCTTCGTATTTCTTTTTCCTGGTGATAAGTCAGATAAGACATGGAAACTTAGCCTGAATGGTTTTAAACCTTTCCCTCTGTGACCATAAAGTGACCATTTACAAATTGAAATGCGTTACTGACCTGAGATCCAGTTGCTTCTGGACCTGTAAATACAAGTAGGACTTCCATCTAAAACGACAGCAGACTCGTGCATAAAGTTTCCCACTGTCTGTATGAGAGGAGCTGTGCCCGAAGACAGCTGCTTAGAACAGCTGTCTACTTACACAGCCATCTTAGGGGAGAATGATTAATGAATTCACTTGGGCAGCGAGGAGCCCAGTTCACTGATCCATAGTTGCAGCACAGGTATTGATGTGAAACTAATGAGAAATTTGATACTCAAATTTGAATGTTTATTCCAATTACCGAACAACAGATCCAAATTTTTTTTAAAGCTTAAAGCATTAACCTTTTGTTAAGAATGGGGCAATGTTGAGCTGCGGTTTTACGCTGTGTGCTAGAACTTGCAGACTGAAGTGATTGGGGTCTGCTTTGACAAATGGTACTCCTCACACATACACAGCTTTCTTTAAATTTCATGTTAAGTTTTGAGCCAAGGAGGGGAAGGAGAGAGAAAAGTACCTGTCATGAGCCTGTCATATCAGTAGCCACTTAGCACTAAACACACGGAAGCAATGAGGAGTCCTTCTCAACCCAAATTAATATAGCCCTAGTCTGAAAAGGTCTCATTATGGACTCCAGAACAAGCTACTGGGATTTTAGGTTTTCTCTATGCTTAGAAGATACCTAAATTATTATGCACAGTCTTGACTTTCACCCTTTAAGTGAAATTATTACCCAACTAGACTTTACCCCTGAGAAAGGCAAATACGGTAAAGACTGGAAAAAATACCTTAAAATAAGAGATTTGCTTAAAAGAATGAAGTTACTGCTAGTGGGAGAAGAGAAGACTGTGTGTGAGTTGCATGAAATACAGTGCAGACCTACCATATGCTTATGCGGAATAGCAACTGCCACTCTCTGTTGGGCATCCATAGCAGATATTTCTAATCAAATCAAACACTCTTTTACACCAGCCAGGGCAGGACTGATATCTCAGCCTTCAATGTGGAGATCTGGACAGCACTACCAACCAAACAGAATCAACGGAAGGGGCTAAATCTGCTTGCCACTCCAGACTGGGAGGAATCAGGAGCCTTGCACTCACACTTCTGTCTCCCCACTTCATCTCAATTCTTGAGGTCTCTGCATACCTATCCATTGCAGGCAGCGCTTCCACGACCACTCGAGATAACCTCACAGCTCCCCTCCTCATCCCACATACTGTAGCAATCCCCCGTTCCTGAGTTTTCTCCACCAACATATTACGTGTTTACTTATAATTGCTGGCTTATTTTCTTCCTCTGTACTGTCTCCAGAATGTGAGTTCTAGGAGGGACATAACTTTGTTTGCTGTTATATCCCCAGTGACTAGATGGGTGTCTAACTCATAGTGGATGCCCAATAGATGGCTGAATTAATAAAGGAATGATTTAATCATAATAGTAGTAGGGCTGTCCTGTGAGAAAATAATTGGATCTACTCTATGCAACCCGTTAGTATAGAAATTGCTCAGGTAGCTAAAGTTTTGGAAGGGTAATTAGGGCAGGCTACAAGGAAGAATTTCATATTAGAGCTATTAGGCAAGGTCATGGGCTGCTTCTTGGGGTGGGGAGTTCTTTGATAGCAAAGGTCCCAGAGTCCTTGAGCCTCTCTATCAGGAGAACAATATAGGGGATTCATTAATCATACGGAAAGTAGACTGGACCACCTCTGAGACTGCTTCCAAATGTTATGTAACGTACCTGCTCCTTCAGAGGTTGAATGCCATGGTTAAAGATGTATGTTGTTTCATTAAAGCCATTGAGCACTGCCCACAGGCTTAAAGACAGTTGTCGTAAGACTCAAGTCACTGTCTCTTCCTGGGATAATGCTAAGAATATTCTTATTATCATTTGTGCTAGGACTTACTGATGGACATGTAAGTGTAATTTTGGTATACTATTCTTGCTACAGAATGATTGAGGTTATCGCAGTATGTCAGCTATATCCTCAAAGCACGGATCCTTTCAAAGCTGGGGGAAATATTTCAGATTATTAGAATGTCATTTAGGAAATCACAACTTTATTGCTTAAAATGGAATAATGATGTGCAGAAAGAGTTAAATATTCTTCCAAAGGAACCTGACTCTAAGCCAGGATATGGCATTAAGCACAGAGAAAATTGGGCTGAATAATCCCTTTAGACTCTTTAAGGTGCTGAGCTGACATTTTGATATGCTGCAAGTTGGCAAGTCAACGTTTCATAGTTTATCTTCAAATTCCACATTTTAAAAGTCTTATTTCCCTCTTCCAAAAAGACTATACCTGCAACCACCTTAAGCCATATCTACACAAAATTGGATATCTTTTTTTGTTAGTTCAATAAAGCGAGAATTTAATGTCCCAAATTTTGTGAAAAAAGGAAGCTCATTTCTACTTAAAACTCATCTTGTCAATTTCATAATCCTACAGAATTTTGTAAGGACAATAAATTAAAAAATGATAAGGTGTAAAGTGTTACAGAGTTAGTGCTATTGAAAATAAAAATATAATATATGGTTGAAGTGTGAATTTTTACATCAATTGGGGCTATTTTGTGAGGTTTGATTATAGATGTCAAAATACAATTCTTTTTCTATTCTTAATCAGACAGACGACTGAGAATGTTTCCCTGCTGGGATTTCCAAATTTAATTGAAAGAGAGATTTCAAATCTAACTAGTGTGTTGCGATAGCTAACAAAAGAAGTCAGTGCAGGGTTGGAAAGGAGAAAATGAGTGTGGAAATTATTATATAGATATATCTGATAGTCATAATTGAGAAGCAGTCAAATGAGGGTTAAAAGTCAAATGCACATTAATTTTCTTCCTTTACCATGTAAACATCCTGTTCTCCAGAAAGCATTCCCTATTCCTCAGCCTAGGTTTGCTTTTCTGGTATGCTCCATTGGTGTCCATCATTTTTTCCTTCATGTGGCTCAACACAGGGAGAATGACCTTTCTCATGTCACCATCCTTCCTAGGATGTGAGCTCCATGAGGGCTCAGCTGTGTCCATCATGTTTAAGTATATCCAGGGACTGAAATAAAGTCACAGCTCAGTAAATATTTGCTGAATGAAGGCATGATGCTTGAACCTGCTTTACGGTATTCCCATCGCAACGATTCTCCAGTCTAAGCTCAATCACCCCCCACACTTTCATCACAGCAAGTCTCTAATTTCTTCCAACCCAGAGCCTCTCAGTAGATGCAGAAATGGAATGTAACCACAGTGCTCAGCAACACACCTAGCATCTGAAACATCTTCCAAGCATTCCAAGAGCTGCTTGATAGTGTCAGATGTTTATCAATCATTGGCTTATGAGCAAGACTGCTTGTGAGGGAACATAATTGCTGCTCTTTTGCAAACAGGAAATGTTTAGGTCCGAGGGGCTCTAGTTTCACAAACTTGCTGGGGACACCCACTCATTGTGATGATTTTGCTGACTCGGCTTGTCAAGTAAGCTGTAAGCAGCCAAGGAGGCAAAATACAGCAAAAGACCATAGCCCTGTGCATATATACCAGACAGAATCCTCTGCCTGATCCCGATAGCAAGAATGGCATTTTCTAGCCTTTTTTTTCTTTTTTTTTTGAGATGGAGTGTTGCTCTTGTTGCCCAGGCTGGATTGCAATGGCACGATCTCAGCTCACTGCAACCTCTGCCTCCTGGGTTCAAGCAATTCTCCTGCCTCAGCCTTCCAAGTAACTGGGATTACAGGCATGTGCCACCACGCCTGGCTAATTTTTTATTTTTAGTAGAGATGGGGTTTCACCATGTTGGTCAGTCTGGTCTCGAACTCCTGACCTCAGGTGATCCACCCACCTCAGTCTTGCAAAGTGCTGGGATCACAGGCGTGAGCCACTGCGCCTGGCCATTTTTGAGCATTTTTTTGTATTCATCTTTTCATGTATCAATACTGGTGGAAGGACATCAGCCTAGAGAGAAGAGCTTATCTGGAAAATTGTATATTATATACAAAAGTGTAAATCCCGCTATTTTCACTCTATTCCTTCAAAACAATGGATACAATTAAAATAGAAATTTCCAACTCTACAGTGTCACTGATATTCTCAGTGTCTTATAAGTTATTTACTAGTGAAGATGTGATTTCTCCTATTTCTGTTTCCTATTTTTCTTCTGCCTAATGTGTGTATGTGTGTAGCGTTCCTAGATTTGAATGGCCTCCTTTGCCTTTGTAGCATACACACACACACACACACACACACACACACACGCACACATACACATACGCATACACATACTCTTGAAATAAAGTGCCTGATCCCTGCTTTGGTTTTCGCCCCTCTGGTGGGTCAGGGGTCTCTCTCTGAGGAGTTTCCCTGTGCACCAGCAGTCATGCGGAACCTGCTTGCTGGCATGCCGCCCGCACACTTGAAAGGGAGTGCCATAGAGATGGGCTGACCTTCCTGGCCTTGCAACCGAAAGGGAACCCTGTGGGGAGTACCTGGAGGGGGTGTTTCTCCTGTTGGTCACATGAAGGTTGTTCACTTCAGTGGCTCTGTTTTAACTGTGCCCTTGTATTCTTTACTGACCGTTGGAGAAGCCGATTGTTTTCTTGCCCCAGCTTCAGAGGCACTAAACCCTTCACCTTGACTTCTCTTAGAACAGCAAAGCTAGGGAAGGAAGAAAAAAGGAGGGCTGAAAGATATAACAAAGGACCTTGATGCTCTTATCACATGGGTAATTATTGTGCTCACATACATGGGATGTCAGGGAGGCAGCGTGTTTGCTGCACGAGGGGGCTTCTATTTACAACATGTTTGGCACTTTTTTTATGTGTAGGGAGTTTGTAAGTTGTGCATTTCTACCTTTGTAGATTGTGAAACTTGGTCATGAAACATGTGAGTTTTGAAAATCGTGTCCTCCTGAAAAGAAGACAATGAAAACGACTTTTCAATATGGATAAATTTCAGAAAATCGATTGTCTTAATGCCTTTTCCATGGTAGTATACAAGAGGTGTAGGACTAATGGTGTGCTTCCAATAGAGCTAAGTGCTAATGCTTTTAATAAACTTCCTTTTCCTCATGGCAGATGCATATTTAGTATATATTTTTATTTGGCTTTACAAATTCTATCGCAGCTTCAAAGATACCTCCTAGAAACTTTAAAAGATTAAGTATTTACCTTGGACAAAGCATTCAATCCTTGCATCTCACGTTGGATAATTATAGGCCACATTTCCTTTCAGTGTTTCCGAGAGCTGAGTTAAATTTTGAAGGAGAAGTGTTCTATTTGAGCTGCGTGAACAAAGCCAAGTTTGTGTACTACAGGGCAAGCCCAAGGGGGTTTTGCTAAGACAGATGAAATGATTGTGGTGAAATCAAACTACCTCTGCAGCTCCTTGGTCCAGTTTATCCACTCTCCTGGGGGTTCTCCTTTGCCTGAGAAAAAGTCCAGCAGTGGCCAAGCAGAGGTGGATCAAATGAAGCAGAGATGAATGTCTACACCCACCCTGGGGGCCTCAGGTGGGAGGAAAAAGACAGAGCCGAAGGAGCACTTGGAAAATTGTGAGATGTTATTGTTGTTATGATTCTGATCTTTAACTGCCGAAGATATGCAGGTGGCTTTGCTCTCGTTCCCTTCACTGTTGGAGAAAGTAATCAGACAGGTGGAACTAGTAACGTGTCTACCTTTAATTTTTGAACTGATCCAAATGTAACAAAATTACAAAATCCAGTTTTGTCTAAACAGTCTAGCAGAAGTAGTTGCTTACACAATACACTCAATTCAGAAATTGATGAAACTGTTACCTCATAGCTACGATGAACTGATGCTTTAGAAAGACAAAACACCCAGGACACCAGGTCTTTTTTGTGTATGTGACTTGTAAAATCCCTGGTACCAGGGTTGTAGGGATGTACCCCATTTTACACACAACGTATATCAGAGTGAAAGTGTTGTCCTTCACAGGGTGAGGATTTACAGGACCATGGCAGAATTATTGGGCTTTGTTTCCCAAAGGAGTAATGATCTTGGAGCCATCTTTCTTAGCAAATGGAATATTCTTAACGTGATGAAAATCAAGTTGCTGTACCCTAAAATCTCATTGCAAATGAATTTTCGTATTTGGATCTGCTTACACACTCAGTATAACCAGATCCAAATATAAACAGCCTAGTTCCCTAACTTCTCAGTAACATCTGGCTAATTTTAACTTGTGGCTAGAGGTTGAAACCATGTGAAATCCTGTGGTTACAGTAATTTCCACCAGGAAACCATGAGCAGCTGAGTGGCATGTCAGTGAAGAATTTTCAGGACAGTGTATTTTTATTTCCAAGTTTGAACTTGAGGTTTGGTAACAAACACAGACTCACTGGCAAATGAGTTCTACACACAGCTCTGGAAGCAGAAATGTTGAAAGTTTTCCTTTCTCTGAAAAATGTTCTCTTTTATTAATAGAATTTTAGTAGCTGGAAGAGAGTCTTTCTGAGACGAAGCAGACAGTAGATGATAAAGGATTCCTCATTGCCTTCCAAACAATACCCTGATTGTTAAGACGTGCCAGGTGTTGTGTGTGTGTGTGTGTGTGTGTGTGTGTGTGTGTGTGTGTGTGTATGTTGTTGTTTTTTTTGCTTTGTATTTTAGTAGAGACGTGGTTTTGCCATGTTGCCCAGACTGGTCTCGAACTCCTGACCTCAAGTGATCCATCCGCCTTGGCCTCCCAAAGTGCCGGGATTACCAAGTGTAAGCCACTGCGCCTGGCCAGAGATGCCATTTTCTGAGTAGGTTTATTTATCGCCTTGAATCCAGACCATGATCTGTGAAATTGGCAGTATTATTCCCATTGAAAACATGAAGTAAATCAGGCTGTGAGTGGTTTCAAACAAACAAAACTTCAGAAACTCCCATCTTTCTTCCTTGACATAAAACAGCTTCACACATGGAACTCCCACTGTGCCTTGCCCTCCTTTCCACCCAGGCCATTGTTTTACCTGTTTCAGAATTGGGAGACACGTGTGATTTAGGTGGGGAAGAAAGCACACGGTCAGCTTGTCCTGGGCCCGGCTTAAGTATATTCTAATCATCACCCACACAGCATTAGCTCTGATGTTGACTGTGTGGCAAACGGGGCTTCTTTGCAACAGTTTGTTCTCAAGGTTGGTGGCCTCCAGTTAGGGCTTATCTTTAAGTTACTTCTTGGGAACGGGGCCAGATCAATACTGTATTCTTTCAGACCTCTCTAAACCCAGCGGGGAAGGCAATCACCGTAGTGCAGCTCCCTGCACCTTCTGGAGCAGATCAATATTCCGACAGCGCGAAGCTTTGTTCCTTCCCCAGCTTTAAGATGTCCTGCATGCTCTACATGATTGCTTAAAGGCGTGCTTTCCTTTCCCCGGTATGACAACACCGCTCCCGACCTGATCTTCCTAATACCATCACTGTAATTGCCTTGACATGAAATAGCAGCACCAACTCAGCGCGCGGGCTTTGAGGTGTTTTATCTTTTTTGAACATCTCTATTAGCAAAGGGTGTTGATTTGGCTTTAATATGTAGCCGGAGCTTTAAGGCGAACCTGCACTTATTTACACTGGTTTGCGAAACCCACCGAGATGATTTTACCCATGGGAATCATATAGGGGACTGTTTCAGGGGAGAGGAAGATATAAACTCCTAAGCCCAAGCATATTAGCTTAAACTTTATGCTGCTTGAAGCCCATTATATCTACCCCATACTGCCACAGCAATTGTCTTAGAAGGGCTCTGTGCCTTATTTACTTTTTAAGTGATGCTGGGTAAAATGAAGTATTTATTTTACTGTTTTCAGCCAACATTCCATTAAGCAGTAAATAACACCAAGGCTCAGCAATCTCATTTTTCCAATTTTTATTTTTTTGTTGTTGTTGTTGCCTGCTAAGCAAACTCATTGATATAGTCTGAATCCTTACCATACATGACTTTCCTCCTTTTCCCTCCTACTTTCTGCAGCTCTTCCAAATAAAGCCAACTGAAATGCATTTTAAAAGATGTCGTTACATGACAGCATTAACAACAGAAAAGTTTAGATGGAAACCCACTACTTTGCCTAAAGAAGGAAAGCCAAGTACTTCAGTCTGCATTCAGTTTGCTTTAAACACATCCGTTTAGGTGGCTCACGCCTGTCATCCCAGCACTTCGGGAGGCAGAGGCACGCAGATCACCTGAGGTCAGGAGTTCGAGACCAGCCTGGCCAACATGGTGAACCCCATCTCTACTAAAAATACAAAAATTAGCCGGGCATGGTGGCGGGTGCCTGTAATCCCAGCTATTCAGGAGGCTGAGGCAGGAGAATTGCTTGAACCCGGGAGGTAGGAGGAGGCTGCAGTGAGCCGAGATCATGCCGCACTCCAGCCTGGGTGACAGAGTGAGACTCCATCTCAAAAAAAAAAAAAGACTCCTCCTAGGACTTCATCTTATAATCTATATGTGCTGCACTTAGTCCTAAATTCCACTATGCTCTGCTGTAGCCTTGAGACTCTCCCCATATTGTTCGCTTGTCCTAACCCCAGACACACAGAACTCTCAGTCTTTCTTTGTTCCTCTATCCTCTCACCCTTCAAGGTCTGGTATCAATCTCAGCCCCTTTGGAAACCTTTGGAAACTGGTCCAATCCAATGAGTCACAACAAAGCACTGCAGTACAATTGCTTGGATTATAATCAGTGTGATCATATAAACATTTGCTGCCAAAAACAGCTGAACTTCCAAAATTTGCCAATGATTTGCTTTTCTAAAATGATAATTGGGGTGGACTCAAGGTTATCCTTAATCATCTTATTCTCTCACTGGCATGCTGATATATTTTTAAGAATGATAGGAAAGGGTGGGGCTGCACAACCTTAATTGCACCTTTCTTGAAGCCTGTCTTATGGAACTCAGAGGTCACTGATGACTAACTGCTGCGTGGTGTTAGGTATTCGAGGTATGTCATCATGTCCCCAAATATATCATTTTGATGTACTGGGTCATCCACAGACTCAATACAATACTTTATGCATATCATTAGGAACAGAAAAAAAATACTTGTTAAAATGTTGGCTGGTAGAAGTTATCCTTTCATAGAAACCATGTGTATCAGTGGATGCTACATGCACCATTACTATGAAAAAATCCACAGCAGAGGGAAATAATTCAGAACGACTCGTGTGTTGCAAACTAATTAGATGAATTGTCACTTCTTATGGCAGATATATCAAGTAAAGTTACTTTAGTTAGTAGCTTACTTTAATTTAATACTCAGTCCATTTCAGGTTGAATATTTAAGTACAGCTCCTGATTATGTTGGCTTGCTAAGCTATATAATTAAAAAGTGGAGCTGAAATATTCTGATGCTTTAAGCTGTTATATATAGGCAAGGAAAGAAACCAGCTTGTCAGATAGTTGACTGTCTTCAGGGGAGAGGGGAAAGAATTGGTTTTACTCCCTGGAACAGCTCAGAATGACAGCCCCATAGCAATGTGAGGTTGCAAAATACATGTAACATTTATAATGTATAGAGATGAGAGGAAGAGAGCAAGACAGAGTAAATTATCCCTCTTGCATTTATGTAAGTTGATTGCAAATAAATTAATATGTATTTTCAAGCACATTGTATTACTGCAATAGAAGTTACAAGTAACATGGACAAGATTTTATGAAATTTATTTAAAAGCCATTTGTCTGAGATACAGATGTAGACAATGAAGGCATAGGGGAAGACAACCCTCATTATACAGGAGAAAACATGGTGCTGATAAACAGTGGCACTACAACTGAGTAGCAGGTGGAAAGAAATTAAAACTGAAGTACCATTTTTAATTGTTAATGTAATACATTCTGAATAAGCAAAAGCCTGCTTGCCTGCCTCCCTCTTGTTTTTCTTCCTCTTCTTCTTTCCTCTTCCTCCTCCTCCTTCCTCCTCCTCCTCCTTCCTCCTCCTCCTCCTTCATCCTCCTCCTCTTTCCTCCTCCTCCTCCTTCCTCCTCCTCCTCTTTCCTCCTCCTCCTTCCTCCTCCTTCCTCCTCCTCCTTCCTCCTCCTCCTCCTTCCTCCTCCTCCTCCTTCCTCCTCCTCTTCCTCCTTCCTCTTCCTCCTCCTCCTTCCTCCTCCTCTTCCTCCTTCCTCCTCCTCCTCCTTCTTCTTCTCCCTCTTCTTCTCCCTCCTCCTTCTCCTTCCTTTTTTGTTTCTTTGTTTCTTCTCTCTCTCTCTCTCTCCCCCTCACTGCTTCCCTCCCTCCCTCAATCTAGAAGACTAAAAGAATGATCAGACTCCTCAATTTGGGCACTTATGTGTGACGTGGTGGAAAAAGAAACTAAACTGATCAGTACTTTACAGTTCATGACCATGAGAATCTGTTTACATTTATATTTTTGCTTTATGATCACAATGGTAATTAAACCTGTTTACCCAGGATCTCATATCAGCTTGCTGAGAATATGCTGCAGAGACTTCTTTTAGTTTTAAAAATGAGCAGTGCTATAGCAAAGAAAGGAATTATTGACGCGAGCATTTCTTCAAGTACCTCACGTTTCTTGCCTGCTGTTTATCAATTTTACTAATTATTGAGCACCCACTAGGTGGCTAGCACAGTTTTTTTTTTTTTTTTTTTTTGAAATAAGGTCTCACTATGTTTCCCAGACTGAACTCCAATTCTTTGGCTCAAGGGATCCTCCTGTTTCAGCCTCCAGAGTAGCTGGGACTACAGGGATATGCCACCAGGCCTGCATGCCTGGCTGTGGATTTTTATTGTTATTTTTAAATGCATTTGGATAGCTACCTCTCTCTATTGATTGACTGCCCTTCAGTGTTAAGAAGATTGCTGTTTTAGAGTGGTTTAGAAATTCTCCTTTTAATTTTTTTCCAAACTGATCAAATAAAATTTATTCATTGTCGTGCTACTAATGGCACAGATTTAGCACTTAATGTTGAGCTTTTGACATTTTTAAGCTTATAAAATCAAGCTGGCTTAAAACAGGTTCAATTCAAACAAACTAACTTCTGGAGAAAAATAATTCTACCAATCTGATGGTTCACCAATCAGACAAATCTCGGTGTTTGATATGACGTGCCCGTCGAGATACCGGGCAGTCCACCCGACATCATCTTCAGATTGTTGTTTCACTTCCTAAAGTTACAAAAGAGTCATAAGCTTTTTACCGTTTTTTCTTAAAAAAGAAATAGGCTTACAGAAATTTGTAGCAATAGTACAGTGCATCTGCAATGACTTCTAACCAATTACCTAGAGTGAGGCCAGACTTTAGAGGTCAAGGGGACGGTCATTCACAAGACAGCCCTCACTCCTGGCACCAGTGGCAAGTTGACAGGGTCCCCAGACCAACTGCATTTCTGACCATCTGGCCTCAAATCTGGGGGTTCCCACTAGATGCTGAGGCTCAATAATCTGCTGCAGTGACTCACCGAACTCAGGGGGTGCTATACTTATGACTAGAGTTTTATTAGGTTAAAAGGATACAAATCAGAACCACCCAAAGGGAGAGACATGTTGGGAAAATGCTGCAGTTCCATAGTTTCTGAGGACATATCTTCTCGACACCATCGATGTGGGAAAGGACACAGACTGTTGTCAACTAGGGAAACTCACCCATGCTTTGGTGTCTATAGATTTTACTGGGGCTTCAGTGAGTAGGCACAATTGATTGAATTATTGGCCATATGACTTACTATCCAGCCACCTTCCCTTCTCAAAGTTTGGGCAAATATCAAGAGGCTCAAAGTCCCCTCTCTCTGATCACATACTTTTTCCTTTTGGCATGGCCGCATATCATCTTAAATAATTTCATTAGCATCAACTATTAAATGTGGTCCATGGGGCCCATCATGAATACAAAAGAGAGACAGTACTATCACTCAGGAAATTCCAAGGGCTTAGAATCTACCTCCCAGAAACTGAGGTCAAAGACCAAACAAATGCTTTATTGTACAGACTCTGTCATTGTTTTGTGAAACCATGTAAGTTGCAGACTCCTAAGTATTTCCATATGTATCTCTTAAAAGAATAAGTATATTCTAATGGCAGAACACAGCATTTACAATACAGTTATCAAACTAAGCAAATTTCATACACCTATGATAATAGTCTGTAACACATAGGTCAAATTCAATCTTCTCTAGATGTCTCAATCTTTATTTTTCCTTTCAACTCAGGCTCCAATATAGAACTACACATTTCATTTAGTTGTTAATATATCATTATACTTTCTTTAAACAGAAACTGTTCTAGTTTTATTCTTTCTCTCATGACATTGACAGTATAGACCAGGTGCTTTATAAAAATGTCCCCCAATTTGAGGTTGTTTGATTATTTCCTGATGATTCGATTCAGATCTACATAAATATACTATTTTTTTCTTTTTTAAATTCTCTCTCTCTCTCTCTCTTTTTGTTTTTGTAGGAACAGGGTCTCCCTGTGTTGCCCAGGCTGGTCTCTAAACTCCTAGACTCAAGAGATCCTCCCACTTCAGCCTCCCAAACTGTTGGAATTACAGGTATGAACCACCATGCCTGGCAGTATGCTATTCTTTAACAAACTTTCACCCAATATTTTTAGTATCCATTGATGACTCTTGCCTACATTAACTATGACTGTGGTGTTTGCAAAGTGGTTATGCTCTAATTCTAGTATTCCTTCTATATTATTAGGTTGGTGCAAAAGTTATTGCGGTTTTTGCCAATTACTTTTAATGGCAAAAACCACAATTACTTTTGCATCAACCTAATACTTAGTATTCTACTATAGAAAAGAGCTTTCCCTTCTTTCATTTTTATTTGCTGTTTGTTTAGCATTTAGTTTCAGTGTCATAGACTCTTTAAGTGCAATGTGTTATTACAATCATGTTATATTTTCACATACAAATTTATGTTTTCAGCAATAATCACAAGCAACTGTACATACGATGATGTTCTTTGAGGAATGCTGTTTTGTATCTCTCACAAGTAAGAAAGCTGTGATTTTTAAATCAGCTGAAATAGGAATCCTTCAGCTCTTAACTTTCTAAGCCCACTTATTGAAATATGGATGTTGCAATAAACAAGGTTTATTTCAGACAAACAAATGAACGAAGCAAAGTTAACAACAAAAATCCTCCATAGTTGCGACTGTAACCATCCAGAAAATGAGTTTTTTGTCTAAATAATCCCAAAGCCACTAACTCAGTTTGTACTCCAAAACATATTCTCTACTGAAAAAGGAACTGAGCACATACTTCAAGGCCAATTGGTTTAAAATCAAACCAGTCTTGTTCAGAATTGTACTACATAGTAGGCAATGATCTCAGTGAGAGGTGTGGACGAGCATGGACCTCCTGGAACCCACCACGTGCAATGAGGTAGGCAGCAGGGTGTAGGAGGCTCTGTGCTGGATGTGGAGTTGGTCACCACCTTCTGACATACCAAGTCCTGTCTACTGCTCACTGCATGGTTGTCAACACCTGGAACTCCACCATCATCTTTTCTGCCCTGACACCTCATCTAGACTCCTCTGCCCAGGTTAGCAGCATGCACCTTGGACATTTCCATCTTCTGCAGATATGGAAGTGTAATTGATTAAGCATAAATCCTTCCTCGCCCTGAAAGAACACTCACAGAGCAGTTTCAGAAAAGAGGCTAGAAATAAACATAAAGATACTGGGCACCTATTGGGAAAGAAGTGATGCATTGGCAGCAGTGAGGGGACTAAGTCTCCAAAGACAAGGTAGTCTGCCTCCAAGCCTGGTCCCTCCACTAACCTAGCCCTAATATAGGTGCTTTCTAGAGACAGTGTCTTACCCCACAGTAGTGGTATTCAGAGGGGACAGGCACATGGTGAGCCATTCAGAAAGATATTTATTCAGGCATCTCTACAATTGAGCACATAGCTAGTTTGGAACTCCTGGTTTTCATACCCTGCTTTATTTTGTCCATTGTTTTCCTCCCCTTCTAATACACTATATGATTTACACGTCTATAATGTTCAACTTTTCCTATCTTCCCAGATAACTCTCCCCATCGGGCAGGCTGTAAGCTCCAAGAAGGCAGGTGTTTCTACCGGTTTTATTCGTTGACACATGCTAAGTCATTTGTACATAGCTGAAGCTTAATAATATCTGTAAAATGGGCAAATGTCTACATAGCAGATAGAGCATTCCTCCAAAATTCCTGCAAATGTGTAACTAAAGACTTAAGTTTACAACTTATACACAATGGGATTATATGCTTATGTCATTTAGAAAAGGGACAGCTGGATACATAACGAGTCTGCTCATTAACATCAATTTAATATTCTATGTAGACATTTCCTGCTGTTCTTGGCTATGTCAAAAAACATTCCTCAGCCTTTGTATATTTTTTACTGTATTCATATCTAAGATTCTGAACTGAATTCTTTCTCAGTGTAAGCTTATGTTTGGAGATAGGTCCATGCTTCAGGGCATCTTTCAGTACTAGATGAGAAAATGCTACTTCCACAGATGACAAACTTACTCCCAGGGAGTGTAATCATTGGGGAACCTCACTTTTTCAGAGTCCATGAGTGTTGTGATTGGTTACAGAATGCAGAATGAAACCAGGGTAGTCTGGAGCTAGGAACACATGCCTTTTAAAATTGTAATTGCCTGCTCATGTTTCAGGTCCCATGAAGATTCCCAGCTCTTACTGGAGAGGAGCTCTATTCATTTTTTTTTTTTTTTAGATGGAGTCTTACTCTGTTGCCGAGGCTGGAGTGCAATGGCATGATCTCGGCTCACTGCAATCTCCACCTCCCAGGTTCAAGCCATTCCTCTGCCTCAGCCTCCCAAGTAGCTGGGACTACAGGTGCGCACTACCATGCCTGGCTGATTTTTTTGTATTTTAGTAGAGACGGGGTTTCACCATGTTGGTCAGGATGGTCTTGACCTCCTGCCCTCATGATCCACCTGCCTCGGCCTCCCAAAGTGCTGGGATTACAGCACTCTATTCATTCTTATTGACAAGACGCTAGCACATGCTCCACAATCAGGTGTCCATTTCCAGCCCAGGTGTCTTTCAGGGAGTGGAAATCTTTGCTTTGGCCTATTTGGATGATATTTGCAATCTGGAACAGATAATTGCTAATGACACTTTAAAGAGTAAACCATAGTTCTTAGTTCTTCTGCAATATTAGTCCTTATGTAATATGACAAAACCACCAATGAGCCAGAAATTCTATGCAATTAGAGAAGGAGGAAATGAGTGGTGTGAGCAATTCTATGACATAGTTTAAGACACTTTTCAGAAGTTCGAGTTTTGTTATTGACACTGGCTAAGGAACTTAACAGATTCTACATGAACACTAGAATTATCTTAGAACTTGCACAAGTATTCTTAACATGGCTTCCATGGACCCCTAGAAGGTCTACTTCTATATGCGTGTGATAAATTTTCTGTGGAGAGAGTCCATAGATTTCACTTAATTTTTAAAGAAATTCATGATTCCTATCTAAAAAAAGGGCAGGGGGCTGGGTTTAATGTCATTAGATTTTTGTCTGATGTCCTTGTTTTACAAATGAGAAAGGAGAGACACAATGGTGCAAACTGACTATTTTAAGAAGACAATTCAGATGTGCTGAGATAAAGCTCAGGGAAGAGCCTCAATCTGTTAATCCATTGTCCTCCTCTATAAAATGTGTGTAATCACATTTGCCTGGCGCACAAGGTTATTTGGAGATACAAGGAAGTATGTGGAATATTCTTTATGGTTCAGTTATCTTTATTGTCATCATGCATAGTATTTTGTAGATAACTTCTTAAAAGCTTGGTAAGGTTTGGCTGTGTCCCCACCCAAACCTCATCTTGAATTCTAGTTCCCATAATCCCCACATGTGGTGGGAGGGACCCTGTGGGAGGTAACTGAGTCATGGGGGCATTTTCCCTCATGCTATTCTTGTCATACTAAGTTCTCACAAGATTTGATGATTTTATAAGGGGCTTCCTCTTTTGCTCAGCTCTCATTCTCTCTCCTGCCGCCCTGTGAAGTGGGGCCTTCTGCCATGATTGTAAGTTTTCTGAGTTCTTATTAGCCATGCAGAACCGTGAGTCAATTAAACCTCTTTCCTTTATAAATTATCAAGTCTTGGGCAGTTCTTCATAGCAGTGTGAGAATGGACTAATACAAAGTTCCTATTCAGAAGCATTCCATAACTGGACTTTGGGGTTCTGAATAATTATTCTGAGAAGAGTGGACATTCTGGATTGAAGAGGCAGAGTGGCAGGAAGCCGAGACCCCTCTTTGAAGGGTATGGCAGTGGTCCAGGCTGGAGACAATGATGGCTGATGAAGATGCAGGGGCGGGGGGGAAGTTGCTAAGACTGATCACTGAGAGTGTTGGGACAGTGGAAGTAATCAAGAATATTTCTTAGGTTTCCAATATGAGTGACAGCATGGAAGATGATGCCATAATTGGGAATACAGGCTGTCTGAAAGGAGGCCACGAGCTTGCTTTTGGACATATTGAGGCAGGTGGAAATATAGGAAATATATGGAGGGGAGGACCAGTGTTAAGAGGTTCAGAGTTCAAAAGCCAGTGAACCAGGGGCTCTGATGTCCAAGGGCGGAAGCAGGTGGATGTCCTGGCTCCAGCAAAGAGAGAGAATTCACCCTTCCTCCACTTTCTTATTATATTTGGGCCCTCAACAAATTGAATGATGCCCACCCACATAGATGAGGGACTCAAATTCTAATCTTTTCTGGAAACATTCTCACAGACACGTCTAGAAATAGTGTTGTACTAGCTATCTGGGGCATCCCTTAACCAAGGAAAGTTGGTGTATACAATTGTGATGGTTAATATTGAGTGTCAATTTGATTGGATTGAAGGATGCAAAATATTGCTCCTGGGTGTGTCTGTGAGGGTGTTGCTAAAGGAGATTAACATTTGAGTCAGTGGGCTGGAAGAGGCAGACACACCCTCAATCTGGATGGGCACCATCTAATCAGCTGCCAAAACAGCTAGAATAAAGCAGGCAGAAGAAACTGGAAAGAGCAGACTTGCTGAGTCTGCTGGCCTTCATCTTTCTCTGATGCTGGATGCTTCCTGCCCTCAAACATCAGACTCCAAGTTCTTCAGCTTTTAGACTCTTGGACTTACACCAATGTTTTGCCAGGGGCTCTCAGGCCCTTGGCCATAGACTGAAGGCTGCACTGTCAGCTTCCCTACTTTTGAGGTTTTGGGACTCAGATTGGCTTCCTTGCTCCTGAACCCGCAGACGGCCTATTGTGGGACTTTACCTTGTTATCATATGAGTCGATACTCCTAATAAATTGCCATTCATATATACCTATATCCTATTATTTCTGTTCCTTTAGAGAGCCCTGACCAATACAAAATGAACCATCACAATAGGTATATTTGGCACACAGTTTATGACTAACAAGGCAAAACTGTTCATTTGTAGGTGGTAGCTAAAATTAGGTATTTTCTAGAACACAGTGATTTTTTATTAGAGTGCCATCTCCTTGAAAGCTGGGACTCTCAAGGCCTCTTTCTTTATTGCTCTGTCTCCAATATATAGATAAGTGCCTGCCTTATGATAGGCCTGAAGTAATTATCAAATGAATGAACTAAATATATGTTCAATTATTGTTCATCTCAACAGTGGCTACCTACGTATTATTTTTTAATATTATAAACTGGATTGCATTTGCTTCAGAATTAAATAAACAGCTTTAAGTTGAGGTCTGTGAACGCCTGACTCTTCTTTGACTTAAGAGCAATGGACCCTTTACACCTATGCTTCTAGTCTCCTGGGTTCTTCCTTTGCTGTTCCCAGCACATGAGTCCCCCTCATTCCTTTATGAAAACTAGCTCCTTTAAACTAAGGGGTATTTGCTAGCCTGAGAGTAAGATGGTTTCATTTTCACAGACTACAGAAACTTACTGAAGGGAACAAATCACTGATAGTAAAGTTTCAGGCATTGAAAAGCTATAACCAGTATAAAGCATGGACTAGAATTAAAGGCTTTTGAATCTAACTCACATTGTCATGAGAGGCCGTTTAACCTTCTTGTGTCATATTGCCTTCATCTGCAAGTATTATGAATCATAGTGGTTTTGCTTGTCTTTTCAGTAGGATGTTGCCAAATAAAATATTGAAGTAGAAATCATGTCTCTTCTAGCTCTCATTTTATTCTCAGAACCTTGTAAGATAGCTCTCTGTGTGAGGCAGCCCCTTCATTAGTATGTCTATGACACCTGTTGAAGGATTTCAGGTGAAAGATCAAATAAAGGTAGTTCTAATTCATTGTACAATATCATTCCTACAATTATATGCTTCACAAAATCAGTTTACCGAATTCAGTTTGCTATGAGACATATTTAGAACAAGCTCACTGTTATTGCTTCTCTGAGATGATCGAAGGATAGCTTTATAAAATGTTCACTATGAAGGAGTAAGGGAGAATTGGCATAAACAAGGGTTTTGCTGGGAAACCGTTTGATTTTCACCTGGTTTTAGAATCAATGACAGTGATATTGATTTCCATTTTTAATAAATTACATTTTCAAAAAACATATACAATGTAAGAGGCACTATTCAAAGCCACAGGAATTTATTTTAAAAAGTAATAATACTTGCTGTATCAATTCAGGAGTGTGTATGGTGTGTGTGTGTATGGTGTGCATATGTGTGTATGTGTGTGTTTGGAGGCAGAAAGGTGATCAACAGATAAATACAGTATTGTTGTAAACATACTGTTGTTGAAGTGGACACAAAACACTGTAAAAATGCAGGGAAGTAGTGATCAATTTCCAGATGGATCCAAGCTCTATAGCTAATTCTGAAGCTGCCATGGCCTTTGTGCTAATAATCAGTATGTCAAAAGAGAGCTGCGTAGACCTGCCCACTCATGGCGAGACCATCATTTACCTCGCCTCTTGCCTTCATTGACAGAGGTACAGAGGAATCCAGAAAACTCACCTATGGTGTGAGAAACAGGGTAAAGTGGTCCTTCATCTGTGTGCTGTTTACACAGGTGGTTTCAAACTTCAATACATGCGGGTCTGTAGGTTCTCTATTCTTCAGTTAAAAGGGAAAAAAAGATTCTATTATGGACTAAATGTTTGCATCCCCTCCAAAATCACATGTTAAGACATTAACCCCGTGTCATGATATTAGGAGGTGGGGTCTTTAAGAGTTTATTAGTCCAAAAAACCCGAAAGCAAATGCAACAATAGCAAAGATAAATGGATGGGACTTAATTAAGCTAAAAAGAGCCTGCACAGCAAAAGAAATAATCAACAGAGTAAAGAGACAACCCACAGGGTGGGAAAAAGTCTTCACAATCTATACATCCAACAAAGGACTAATACCCAGAATCTACAAGGAAATCAACTCAAATAAATCAGCAAGAAAAAAACAATCCCATCAAAAAGTGGGCTAAGGACATGAATTGACAATTCACAAAAGAAGATATACAAAATGGACAACAAGCATATGAAAAAATGCTCAGTATCACTAATTATCAGGGAAATACAAATCAAAACCATAGTGCGATACCGCCTCACTCCTGGAAGAATGGCCATAATCAAAAAATAAAAAAAAATAGATGTTGGCATGGATGCGGTGAAAAGGGAACACTTTTACACTGTTGGTGGGAATGTAAACTAGTACAACCACTATGGAAAACAGTGTGGAGATTCCATAAAGAAATAAAAGTAGATATACCATTTGGTCCAGCAATCCCACTATTAGGTATCTACCCAGAGGAAAATAAGTCATTTTACAAAAAAGATACTTGCATACGCACGCTTTTAGTAGCACAATTTGCAATTGCAAAAATATAGAACCAGCCCAAATGCCCATCAATCAACGAGAGGATAAAGAAAATGTGACATATATATATACACACACCATGACATATATATGTATATATACACACACACACCATGACATATGTCACATGAAAATGTGACATATATGTATATATATATATACACACACACACACCATGGAATACTACTCAACTCCAAAAAAGGAATAAAATCATGGTATTCACAGCAACCTGGATGGAACTGGAGACTATTAAGTGAAGTAACTCAGGAATGGAAAACCAAGCATTATATGTTCTCACTCATATGTGGGAGCTAAGCTATGAGGACACAAAGGCATAAGAACGAGACATTGGACTTTGGGAGCTCAAGGAAAAGGGTAGGGGGTGGTGAGGGATAAAAGACTACACAGTGGGTACAGTGTACACTGCTCTGGTGATGGGTGCACCCAAATCTCAGAAATCACCACTGAAGAACTTAGTCATGTAACCAAACACCACCTGTTCCCCCAAACCTATTGAAATAAAAAATAAAAATAAAAAAAATGATGAGGGTGGGGCTTCCATGAATGGGATTAATGTCCTTATAAGAAGAGACATGAAAGAACTTGCTCTGTCTCTCTGCTTTCCCCTATGTGAGGATACAATGAGAAGACAGCCATCTGCCAACCAGGAAGGAGTCTCTCGCCAGATCCAAGCCTGTGGGCACTTTGATCTTGAACCTCCTAGCCTCCAGAACTGTGAGAAATAAATGTTTATTGTTCAAGCCACTCATTCTGTGGCAATTTGTTATAGCAGCCTGAGCTAACTAAGACAGATTCCTAGAGTTTTGTGTGTGCATAAGATTTCTCCCCTCAGCCTCCATAGCACCATGGACAGGGGTGTCTCCTGAACACACCTATCTGTTTTTTTTTTTGGTTTTTTTTTTTTTTTTTTTTTTTTTGCAATTCCCTAAAAGCATCCTACACCTTCACACCATTATCTTCCTTGACTCACTCAGGGATAATTTACTATTCTGGCTTGTGGTAATTTTCTTTTCTGACTCCATCTTCACGCTTTTAAGGAACAGGTATCTTCTCTTTCACACACACCTGTTTGGTTTGGGGGTAGAATAGATGTGTTTCTCTCTCTGCCTCACTCCTTCCCTCCCACTTCTGTTAACACACCTCATATGAGTCTCATGTCATCATACTATATCATCCAGTACCTTTCTTTTTGCAGTTATCTGTGGGACCTGAGTCCCATGGTTTTCCATTGAGATTTTAGCTCCTGGCTCATGGTCTTTCTCTCCAGCATCATTGTCATAGTTCTTGATAATTTCATTATCCACATAGGTGATTCTTATCTTAGCTATTAATGCCCTTGACCTCCTCTCCCCCAGAAAGTCTTATTCTCCAATCCACTTCAGCCACTCCATGTCCAGAAGTTAGGTCAAGCCATTATCAATACAATACGTCACCCATTACCTCAACTTCAAACAGGCCCCTCTCTGACCAGCACTTCTTGTTCTCCAGCTTGCCCCTAGTGCCCCAAATCCAACAATCCTCAATCCCTGCTGGAAAATTAAATCCACTGACCTACTTCCTTTTCACTCTCCTTCATCTCCTCATGCTCTCACTTCCCAGACCACTTACCTTCAGCTCCATGGGGGCATCATTATAATCACGCTCTTTGATTATTAAACTGTTCTTCTCTTCCCTTGCTTCAGCTTGCTAACCTGCAAAACCCCTACCTTAGTTAAGCCACTATTCCTTTTAAGTTAACCAACTCATTTTATTAGTTGGAAAACATATTTCAACCAAGCTGTCAGTGTGATATAACTTTATGCTAACTATTCTACTGTATTTCCTCTCTTCATTTATTCTCTCAGTCTGAGACCAGTGCTTCTTGAATTTTAGCACACATTGGGTCACCTGGGGATCTTCTTGAAATGCAGTTCCTGGTTCAGTATATCTAGGAGAGGGGACTGAAATTCTGCATTATGAAGGAGCCCCAAAGTGCTGCTACTGTTGCTGCTCCATGGACCATACATTAAACAGCAAGATCCTAGGCTACTCTTTCATGCTTCTCTTTCCTGGAACCTCTATTTCCTCCCTCATTCACATTTAATATGTGGCTTTGTCCTTCTTCTGAAAAATTAGAAGCAACCCAGAGCCTCCAGATACAATCTCTATTAACTTTACTATACCTGTGCCCACATAAGTCTGCTTTATCTCTTGAACCCGGGGATGGTCTGGTGCCTATACTTGTGCACTAAGTTCTATTACCTCTCACCAATCAAGCCCACAGCTCCAGGTTTCTCCTTTTCTGTACTATCAATTTTTTTTTCAATTCTGCTGGTTCATTCTCATTAAGATTCAAACATGCTGTTATGTCTTTCATTTTTGAAAAAAAATAGTAATTATTATATTGATAATAAAGGCTCATAATCTGTCTCTCTGGAATCAATTTTCCCCTATAGCTAGGAACCATGGTTCTGCTCTCCATTACAGAAGATTGTGTTGGAAGAGTTGTCTACAGTCACTGTTCCCCAAGTTATCCTGTTCTCTCCTAAGAAATTCACTCCAATGGCTTTGCCCTCCCCTTAGCCTGCACCTAACAGAACTGCTCTTTTTGAGGTCACCAATGACCCTCTATGTTGCCAAGTCCAATATAAAATTCTCAGACCTTATCCTAATTAACCTAAAAGCAACATTGGACACGGCAGACAACTGCTTTTCCTTAAAATAGTTGCTTCACTTGGCATCCAAATCATCACACTCACCTATTTGTTTGCTTGTTTGGTTTTTAGTCTTCAGTAGGAAATTCTTCTGTCTCCTTCACTGATTGTCTCTTAACTCCCTGACTTCTTATGACTTGGATTCTTTTTAGACTAACTGAACCTCCACTTTTTCTTATCTATACTCATTCTTCATAGAGTATAGACTTTATGGAGACCATAGACTATATATTCTCTCACTCTAATTTAAAAATTTTAATCATGGGTCTAATATGCAAATTATTGTTCAAACTGAAACACTTTTGAGAGTGAAAGTGGGCCTTAAAATAATGAGAAGTAATTTTTGAAATATTTATTTATAGAAATACATAAATTGGTTTTAATATACAGATGAATTTATAAAATAGTCCTATTCAAAAGATTTTCAAAAATAAATTTTTTTCTTAAAAAGTGAACATAACAAATTCATATGCATATAACTACTGATTAACAGAACATTAAATAATATAAGCAAAATGATTATTCTTATTATTAATTTGCTTTAATGAGTTTCTTAGTTGCATCTGTGTCTAATGCCATGCCATTGGTAACTTTTACAAAGAATATATTTTGTAATATGATCTCATTATTCTCCATATTTTATTAAAACAAAATAAAATACTAATTTTATTATTTAAATAAAAAATAATAATTTTATTATTTAAATAAAAAATAATAATTTTATTATTTAAATAAAAAATAATAATTTTATTATTTAAGAAAATTTCCAGTAGAGATCTTTAATGTTGCACCCCATGACTAACATGTTTAATATTATCTCTATTCTTATAACCCTAAATTCAAGTTTCATATTAAAATGCACAAGTAAATATTTCAAGTCAAATATAGGCCATTATATAATAGGTCTACATAATAGGTCATTATAATGATGACACTTCTAATGATATATGTAAAGGATCTGGGTCTTTGAGAATGTTGTTGAACAACTGTATTTAGTAATCTTGGAAGTACTCTACTTCAGATTATTCTTATTGTTAAACCAGTCAAGTACTTTTTTCTGTTAATTGCATAGAAAGGATTTTCATGGATAAAGTGTTTGCATTTTTTTTTACATGTAATAGTTTTCAAAATATTCAGTTACATCATGGTGTTCTACTATGTTGGCTCTGCTTTTCAGAATTTTCTGTTTCATATCATACCTCCTATCTTACTCATCCTGCTTCAACCAGCTCTTTTCATCTAAATTAGACGTTGTCTTAGCCCATATGTGATGCTATGACAAAATAGCAAAGACTGAGTAATTTATAAACAATAGAAATTTATTTCTCACCATTTTGGAGGCTATGAAGTCCAAGATCATGGTGCCAGAAGATTCCATGTCTTGTTTCCTGTCTTTAGGGGACATTCTTGGGGTGTCCTCACATCATGGAAAGGTGGAAAAGACAAATACTGTGTTCTCACATGGCAGAAGAAATATAAGGGAAAAAAGAGATTCATGTTTATCTTCACATGGTAGAAGTGATGGAAGTTCCAGGTAGCTCTTTGAAGCCTGTTCCATAATCCCATTAATCAGGGTAGAGCCTTTATGATGTAATCCATTCCCAAATGCCTTTCTACCACCTCTTAATACCATCACCCTGGGCTTTAAGTTCCAACATATGAATTTTGCAGAGACACATGCACTCAAATGAGAACAGATATTTCTTGATATTATTACCTCTAATCTCAAAGAGTTCATCTTTTTATTTTTCTTACATTTTATTGTAAACATAGACTGAATATTCACACATATATATGTGTGTTTGTATGTAATCTAGGTTGTCCTTCTCCAGATTAAGATCTTTCTCCACATATTCACTAGTACCTTCTTCCCTTGGTTGTTAGTATTGCTCTCAAATATTTTTGTAGACCCTGGGCAGGTTCATTCTGTTGAATATGCAAAGGCTACAAAGAGTTACGGTGTGCCTATTGACAGAATGACTGAATTGCTTCTCAGTCCTTCACTGACCCCCTAAGTCCTCTGAGAATTTTCTCCTTCATTCAGAAGTTCCAACTTGCCTAATGTACACATCCCCTGTCCTGTGATTTGTTGTTTAGCAGTCATTTATTTTATGTGGATATACTGGTTAGTGGAGTGAACTGCATGGTCGTCCAGCTCTGAAATTTGAGATTTATTTTGTGATAACTTAAAGCAACCAGTAGTTTATTTCTTCCTACCCGCCTGCTTTTTACCAGCAATAACAGATGAACTACTATACACTTCAGAGATTACCCCTCAAGTGGTTTTTCCAGACTCGTCTCTTCCCACTTCTTACCTGAGAAAATTTTCTTTTAAATCATAAATATTTTGCCTCTGGCCATGTTGTCACGCCAGAAATGGTGGCTAGGGTGGATTACTAAGGAACTTTAATGTGCTCAAGCTCTCAGGAGAGGGCCAGCTCTGAGACAACCTTGCACCACTGTGAGGTGTTCCCAACATTTAGCTGAGTTTTTTAATGCTGTGTAAGGGGGATACTTACTGTTAGTGGGAGGCTGACGTGTCACCTAAGAAAAGTTGTGTATATAGGGGGTCAGGAAAAAAAACTTCATTTTTTGAGGACATAAAATATAATGACTAGGGCAATAAGTATTCCTAGTCAAGCAGCAACAGAGCACTGAGCTGGCACCTGGTTGTGAAGGGCATGGTGGCTTTGGATGCGCCCATAGACCGTGGGAGGCACCGACCCCTGTCCTAGTGAGGACGTTGTAACTATCGCTGAAAAGGCGGGTGATTGTAAGTACCTATGTTGCTTCAAAGGTGGTTTGAAGCAACAAAAATTCTGGTCTACAGTAATATTCTTCAAATAAACAACTGAAATCCACCTATGTAGAAAATGATGTGAAATAGTGGGCCAATGTCTTTCCCTTCAGATAACGGGAGTGTGGAAAGGGTTATATGTAGAGGGAAGATGGGTGGAAATCATCCTTCATCTTAGACCCCAGTTATATTTACTGGAAATTCCTCTGTGAATCCAGAAGTTAGTTCTGTGTTTTGGATTGAATTGAACACCCCTCATCTTCATATGTGGAAGCCCTACCTGCCATCCCACCATGTGACTATACTTGCAGATAGGACTTTTGAGGAGGTAATTAAGGTTAAATGAGATTGTAAGAGTGGGGCCCCAATCCAATATGATTTGTGTCCTTGTAAGAAGAGAGAGAGAACAAGAAGGTGAAAGTACAGAGAAAAGACTAAGTGAGAACACAGGGAGAAGGTAGCCATCTGCAAGCCAAGGAGAGAGGCCTCACCAGAAACCAACCCTGCCAGCACCTTGATCTCAGACTTGCAGCCTCCAGAACTATGAGAAAATAAATTTGTGTTGTTTAAGTCACCCAGTCTGTGGTATTCTGTTATGGCAGCCTTAGCACACTAATATACTTTTGTGTTAACATTTTACAATTTTGATTATATTTCAAGTCTTTCAAT
Source organism: Homo sapiens (assembly GCF_000001405.40). Lineage (NCBI taxonomy): Eukaryota > Metazoa > Chordata > Mammalia > Primates > Hominidae > Homo > Homo sapiens. Next base: position 97,104,572 of record NC_000015.10, read on the forward strand.
GATAGCTTTTCACCATTACAACCCAAAAGTACAGATGAGGCCTTTAAAAGGGTAGCTGACAGGTAAAGACTATTTGTCTCAACCTATACTTTTATGCCTATCTGACACACCTGCTGTAAGGGTTAATTTTAAGTGTCAGCTTGAATGGATTAGAGGATACCCAGATATCTAGTAATGCATTATATCTGGGCATGTCTGTGAGGGTGTTTCTGGAAGAGATGGGCATTTGAATCAGTGGACTGAGTAAGGATGATCTACCCTTACCCAGTGGGACTGGGCACCATCTAGTTGGCTGAAGGCCTGGATAGAACAACAAGGTCAAGAAAAGCTGAATTCTCTCTCTCTCCTGGATCTGTGACACTCCTTTCCTGCTCTTGGACATCAGAACTCTAGGTTCTCTGGCCTTGGTCCACTGGAACTTGCACTAGTGGCCCCTCCTTGGGCTCTGGCTTCCTACTGAGAGTTACACCAGTGGCTCCCTTGGTTCTTAGACCTTTGGATTTAGATGGAGCCATGCTATTGGCTTCCTTGGTTTCTGAGCTGGCAGATGGTCTATCAAGGGACTTCTCAGCCTCCCTAATTGTGTAAATCAATTCCCTAATAAATTCCCTCTTATTTATGTCTATCTATCTAATGTACCTATCTAATCTATCTATCTGACTATCTATCTATGTATCTATCTATCATCTATCTCCGATTGACTCAGTTTCTCTAGAGGATCCTGACCAATATACCTGGTAACCAATTAGGTGGACTAAGCACATGGCAACATCACCTGTAGTAACTGCCCAAGACCCTCTGATTGCCACCCCCAACTTCTCTACTGATTCAATACTTTCCCTGTTCCTGGATTTTTGCTTTATTATATGTTAAGTCTTTATTTTTTGGTCCCAGAAAGGATTTCAGGGGTTTGGACTTCAAGATCTCATTTAAAATTTTGTGGGGAGCTGAAGGCCCCTGGGACATGACCCTCTCAGCATTCCACTGGAGGCTCTATGATCAAACAACAAACTGTTTATCATGAATGCAGGATGTGGGCAACCTCACGACTGCTCCCACTGCCAGGAGATTTGCTAAGGGCAACCAGTTCCTGGCGCCAAGCTCCTTAATGTTATCTACTGGGACATCTAGAGAATGCAGTCTTGCAACCCTACTGTGGATGGAGCAGCTGACCTCTTCTTCTACCCTCCTTCTTGCTATCTCTTTTGCCTAATGAATATGGAGGGCTGTGTAAAGCTCAGGGCCCTTGTCCACTAGAGGCAAGATGTCCGCTGACCCCTTATTCCATATATACTCTTTTTGTCTCTTGTCTTTTATTCCCGCATTCGCCCACCATTGTTCAGTCCCCCTAGGTCTGTGTGTGTTACATAGTGGCGCCATGAACAGCAACAGAATCGGGTGCTCCACAAGATTTTGTGTCTCATTCCCCACTTGTTGGTTCTATCTTGCCTAGTTTACAAGGCTTTGCCATATCACTGCATCTTACCTGTCATACTGCTGTATTTTATTTGGTTGAATTTTGATATTAAAATTATCAAGTGTAATTAAGACAATGTCTCCTTCTGGTGCACATTTTGGACAGGTTTGCTGGAATGTTCCCTATAAATTACAAACTCTATAGTTAGTATTGGGAAAAATATATCACTGGTAAGTACAGAAGATAATCTATATCATGAATAAAACAGTTACTGCATATTGGCATTCAGATTTGAAGTAGAATTAACCAGCTTAAATGTCGGTTAACCTGGTAGTCTCATCAACCATATCAATCATGACCATGGTTGTTAATAGTTTTAGCATGAAATGTACCTGGAATAAAACTGCAAATTATTAGATCTTGGTTTACTAAAGCTCAACTTTATAATCAGAAATCGAAATAATCACAAAGAAAATTTTTGAAAAGATAAGTGCTTTTGAATTGATAACACTTCAGGGGACTGTGAGGCATATGAGCAAAATTTCTATGGACAATATATTTAAGATATAGGAAATGGCTGCTAATTTTAGTAAAAAGAAAATTTAAAAAAGCATAAGGTCATTCAGTTCATAATGTAATCAGGTTAGCAATTTCATAGACAAGAAACGATTAACTCCTCAAATTTATTCTTTTGTATAAAACTTTCAGAAACATGGGTGAGTCTAATACTCCCTTGAAGCAAAGGTCACAGCAATTATTATCTTTCCCCATGCTTAATTTCCAACTTTGACTTTTACGTGTCAGGAAATGTGTAGAAAATACAGAGTTGTGAAATGAATAGTTTATAGCAGAAAATGTTTGTTCAAGAGAATAGCTATAAAGGCTAGAAAGAACTAACTTCAACATTAGCATTTGTAAAAGATATGGAACATTTCAGAAATTCTGCCATTAAATATGAGTACACTTAGATGAATAATAGATGATTATGATCTAATTGATCAATAATAGATGTTATTGATCTAATTGATCAATAATTAGCTGATTTAGATCAAGAATGCAAATATTTTGCATTCTTCATATGTTTATACTGATGTCTTTTATTACACAGCTCCTGAGCTATAAGGTGATTTGCAAAGGTGAAAATGAGACTATACCCAGACTGTCTTCCTACTCCAGAAATGTTAGCCATGTAGGTAAAGCTGACGTATTTAACATGCCTGTGAATAAAGGTATATTCTTCAACTATTATGGGGATTTCAGATAAAATACATACTGAAAATTTGTATTTTCAGTATTCCATGTCATTAACTCTTTGGATCAGTAAGCTTTTGTTAGATTGTTTTTCTTTTTCTTTTTTTTCAAAATAAGAGATACGATTTGAAGAGTAATCATGAGTTTTTTAAATGCTATTCCTTATATTCAGTACTTCACAAGGAATGTAGAGAAAGTTTAAAAAGAAATTATATTTTAACTTCAATACGGTGGCATCAATATCAGCTTTAGTGGCAGAAATACATTTCGGAGGACAACTTTCTGTTGTATTTCTCATGTTTCTTAATATCTTACAAGTAGAGTCACTGACAGTTTCTGTTCCAAACTATCTTTTCAAAGATATTTGTATAGAGAATAGCCTTGGAAGATAGAAACAGTTTCTCCTTCCAGAGAGCAAAGGGAAGAACTGTTTGCTATCCAGTATAATAAAAATGTCTCCTTCAACATAAATGACCTGATGGAGCTGGAAAACACAGCACATAAACTTCTTGAAGCATACACAAGTATCAATATCTAATTGACCAAGAAGAAGGAAGGATATCAGAGTTTGAAGATAATATTGCTTCAATAAGGCATGCAGACAAGATTAGAGAAAAAAGAATGAAAAGGAATGAACGAAGCCTCTGAAAATATGGGACTACATAAAAAGACCAAACCTACAATTGACTGGAGTCCCTGAAGGAGATGGGAGAATGGAAACAAGCTGGAAAACACACTTCAGTATATTATCCAGGAGAAATTCCCCAATTTAGCAAGACAGACCAGCATGCAAATTGAGGAAATACAGAGAACACCACTAAGATACTCCATGAGAAGATCAACCCCAGCACAATAATGATCAGATTCTCCAAGGCCTAAATGAAGGAAAAAAATGTAGCAGGCAAATAGAGAGAAAGGCCAGTTCACCTACAAAGGGAAACCCATTAGACTAACAGTGAATCTCTCAGCAAACACCCCACAAACCAGAAGAGAGTGGGGCCAATATTCAACATTCTTAAATAAAAGAATTTTCAACCCAGAATTTCATATCCAGCCAAACTAAGCTTCATAAGCAAAGTAGGAATAAAATCCTTTCCCAACAAGGAAATGCTGAGGGATTTTGTCACCACCAGGCCTGCCTTGCAACAGCTCCTGAAGGAATCACTGAATTTGGAAAGGAAAAACAGTACCAGCCACTGCAAAAACACACCAAAGTATAAAGACTAACGACATTATGAAGGAACTGTATCAACTAGTGTGCAAAATTACCAGATGGCATCATGATGACAAGATCAAACTCACACATAAAAATACCAACCTTAAATGTAAATGGGCTAAATGCCCCAATTAAAAGACACAGACTGGCAAATTGGATAAAGAGTCAAGACCCATCAGTGTGCTGTATTCAGGAGACCCATCTCACATGCAAAGACACACATAGGCTTAAAATAAAGGGATGAAGGAAAATGTACCAAGCAAATAGAAAGCAAAAAACAGCAGGGGTTGCAATCCTAGTCTCTAACAAAACAGGCTTTAAACCAACAAAGATGAAAAAAGACAAAGTAGGTCATTACATAATGGTAAAGGGATCAATTCAACAACAGCAGCTAAGTATCCTAAATATATATGCACCTAATACAGGAGCACCCAGATTCATAAAACAAGTTCTTAGAAACCTACAGAGACAGACTTCCACACAATAATAGTGGGAGGTTTTAACACCCCACTTTAAATATTAGATCAATAAGACAGGAAATTAACAAGGATATTCAGGACTTGAACTCTGCTCTGGATCAAGTGGACCTAATAGACATCTACAGAACTCTCCACTCCAAATCAACAGAATATACATTCTTCTCAGTGCTACATGGCACTTATTCTAAGAGCAACCACATAATTGGAAGTAAAACACTCCTCAGCAAATGCAAAAGAACTGAATTCATAATAATCAGTCTCTTAGACCTCAGTGTAATCAAATTAGAACTCATGATTAAGAAACTCACTCAAAACCACATGATTATATGGAAATTGAACAGCATATTCCCGAATGACTCCTGGGTAAATAATGAAACTAAGGGAGAAATCAAGAGAACATGTACCAGAATCTCTGGGACACAGGTAAAGCAGTGGTAAGAGGAAAATTTATAACCCTAAATGCTCACATCAGACAGCTAGAAAAATCTCAAATAGACATCCTAACATCACAATTAAAAGAGCTAGAGAAGCAAGAGCAAACTAATCCAAGAGCTAGCAGAAGACAAGAAATAACTAAGAACAGAGCAGAATTGAAGGAGATAGAGACACAAAAAACCCTTCAAAAAATCAGTGAATCCAGGAGCTGTTTTTTTTTGAAAAAATTAACAAAATAGATAGACTACTAGCTAGACTAATAAAGATGAAAAGAGAGAAGAATTAAATAGACCAATATGATAAAGGGGATATAACCATTGACCCTGCAGAAATACAAACTACCATCAGAGAAAACTAGGAACGCCTCTATGCAAATAAACTAGAAATTCTAGAAGAAATGGATAAATTCTGGAACATATACACTCTCCCAAGACTAAAGCAGGAGGAAGTCAAATCCCTGAATAGACCAATAACAAGCTCTGAAATTGAGGTAGTAATTAACAGCCTACCAACCAAGAAAAGCCCAGGATGATAGATTCACAGCTGAATTCTACTGGAGGTACAAAGAGGAGCTGGTACCAATCCTTCTGAAACTATTTCAAACAAGTAAAAAGGATGGAGTCCTCCCTAAATCATTTTCTGAAGGCAGCATCATCCTGATACCAAAACCTGGCAGAGACACAGCAAAAAGAGAAAACTTCAGGCCAATATCCCTAATGAACATCAATGTGAAAATCCTCTACAAAATACTGGCAAAACGAATCCAGCAGCACATCAAAAAACTTATCCACCACGATCAAGCTGGCTTCATCCCTGGGATGCAATGCTGGTTCAACATATGCAAATCAGTAAACATAACCCATCACATTAACAGAACCAAAGACAAAAACTACATGATTATCTCAATAGATGCAGAAAAGGCCTTTGATATAATTCAACATCCCTTCATGTTAAAGTTAAAAACTCTCAATTAACTAGTCATTGATGGAACATATCGCAAAATAATAAGAGCTATTTATGACAAACCCACAGCCAATATCGTATTGAATGGGCAAAAGCTAGGAACATTCCTTTTGAAAACCAGTACAAAACAAGGGTGCCCTCTCTTACTACTCCTATTCAACATAGTATTGGAAGTTCTGGCCAGGTCAATCAGGCAAGGGAAAGAAATAAATCGTATTCAAATAAGAAGAGAGGAAGTCAAATTATCTCTTTTGAAAACGACATTATTGTATACTTAGAAAACCCTATCCTCTCAGCCCCAAAATTCCTTAAGCTGATAAGCGACTTCAGCAAAGTCTCAGCATACATAATGTGTAAAAATCACAATCATTCTTTTACACCAACAATAGACAAGCGGAGAGCCAAATCATGAATGAACTCCCATTCACAATTGCTACGAAGAGAATCAAATATCTAGGAATACAGCAAACAAGAGATGTGAAGGACCTTTTCAAGGAGAACTACAAACCACTGCTCAAGGAAATGAGAGAGGACACAAACAAACGGGAAAACACTTCATCCTCATGGATAGGAAGAATCAATATTGTGAAAATGGTCATACTGCCCAAAGTAATTTATAGATTCAATGCTATTCTCATCAAACTACCACTGACATTCTTCACAAAATTAGAAAAAACTACTTTAAATTTCATATGGAATCAAAGAAGACCCTGTATAGCCAAGACAATCCTAAGCAAAAAGAACATAGCTGGAGACATCATACTACCTGACTTCAAACTATACTTCAAGGCTACAGTAACCAAAACAACATGGTACTGATACTAAAACAGACATATAAACCAATGGAACAGAACAGAGGCCTCAGAAATATCACCACACATCCACAACCATCTGATCTTCAACAAACCTGACAAAAACAAGCAATGGGGAAAGGATCTTTTATTCAATAAATGGTGCTGGGAAAACTGGCTATCCATATGCAGAAAACTGAAACTGGACCCCTTCCTTATACCTTATACAATAATTAACTCAAGATGGATTAAAGACTGAAATGTAAAATCCAAAATTATAACATTCAGGACATAGACATGGGCAAAGACTGCATGATGAAAACATCAAAAGCAATTGCAAGAAAAGCCAAAATAGACAAATGGGATCTAATTAAACTAAAGAGACTCTGCACAGCAAAAGAAACTATCATGAAAGTGAACAGGTAACCTACAGAATAGGAGAAAATTTTTGCAATCTACCCATCTGACAAAGGTCTAATATCCAGAATTTACAAGGAACTTAAACAAATTTACAAGAAAAAAATAAACAACCACACCAAAAAGAAGGCAAAGGATATGAAAAGACACTTCTCAAAAGAAGACATTTATGCAGCCAACAGACATGAAAAAAAGCTCAACATCACTGATCATTAGAGAAATGCAAATCAAAACCACAAGGAGATACCATCTCATGCCAGTCAGAATGGCAATTATGAAAAAGTCAAGAAACTATACTTGCTGGCGAGGCTTTGGAGAAATGGGACCACTTCACTGTTGGTGGGATTGTAAATTAGTTCAACCATTGTGGAAGACAGTATGGAGATTCCTCAAGGATCTAGAACCAGAAATACCATTTAAACCAGCAATCCCATTACTGGGTATGTACCCAAACAAACATAAATTATTCTACTATAAAGACACATGCACACATATGTTTATTGCAGCACTACATACAATAGCAAAGACATAGAACCAACCCAAATGCCAATCAATGGTAGATTGGATAAAGAAAATGTGGCAAATATACACTATGGAATACTATGCTGCCATAAAAAAGATGAGATCATGTCCTTTGCAGGGGCATGGATGAAGCTGGAAGCCATCATCCTCAGCAAACCAACAGAAAACCAAACTCCACATGTTCTCACTCATAGGTGGGAGTTGAACAATGAGAACACATGGACACAGAGAGGGGAACAACACACACCAGGACCTGTTGGGAGGTTGGAGGTGAGGGGAGGGAACTTAGAGTACAGGTCAATAGCTGCAGCAAACCACCATGGCACATGCATACCTATTTAACAAACCTGCATGTTCTGCACATGTATCCTGGAACTCAAAATATTATTATTATTTTGTTTAAAGAGGTCTCCTGGCCGGGCTCCGTGGCTCATGCCTGTAATCCCAGAACATTGGGAGAACAAGGCAGTTGGATCATGAGGTCAGGAGTTTGAGACCAGCCTGGCCAAGATGGTGAAACCCTGTCTCTACTAAAAATACAAAAATTAGCCAGGTGCAGCGGCAGCCACCTGTAATCCCAGATACTCGGAAGGCTGAGGCAGGAGAATCGCTTGAACCCCAGAGGCGGAGGTTGCAGTGAGCTGACATTGTGCCCCTGCATTCTAGCCTGGGCGACAGAGCAAGACTCCGTCTCAAAAAAAAAAAAAAAAAAAAAAAGGCTCCTTCTGGATCAAACTTTGGGCAGGTTTACTTAGCACCCTCTTATAAATTATGAGGATTTTCTAAGCTCACTCAGAATTCCTCAGCCGTGATGCACAATACTGTGTGTATAGCATCCTTCTGGCCCTGTGTTCCCATTATCACCTGGGAATTTTGGGAGACTACTGAAACTGACATAAACAAGAATTTCATAGTGACTGCTTGGTTGTAAGTCATAAAGTCTTACATCTTTTGCCAGCATTTGTAAAACTAAGGCAATTTTCTTTTATTTAAAAAGCACACATGCACTATAAAAAGCTTAGGCCCGATACAGTTGAGTTCTTCATAAATGTCTAATAGCAGCAGAAGTGTGGTAGCTACAGCAGTAGCAATGGTAAGCAGCAACACAGAAAGACAGAAAGTCTCTTGTAATTTACAAAGCCCCTCCAGTTTTCAAACTATGGAAGTGACATATTTTCAAATGTACAAAGGTCATTTTCAAAGACTAAGTCAGCTCCTGGCACAGCTTTGCTGGTCATTTTCCTGCAGCTTTGGCTGTGTCCCCTTCTTCACTTTAATAGCCTTTATTTTTGTATACTTTCTTATTTATTAAAAACTCCAGCTGAGTTTATTCTTTTCAAATAATCGAATCATAGATGAATTGATTCTTAGTGTCCAAGCCAAAAGTAGAGAAAAATTTCCAAAACAATAAAAGACAAAAATGGTAATAAATAATAATTAATCTGATGGAAGTCAGGAAGGGAGAAAAGGAAAATAAGAAAATAATTCATTAAAATATAGAGAAAATATTAGATAAAACTTAAAAATCAAGATATATTAATATCAGTAATAACAATTGGTAAAAGCAAATTAGGCATATTATTATTAAAATGTTATTAATTTTGTCTTCTATTTCCTTCCTTTTAGTGTTTCTTTATTTACTATTAATTTTTATGTTGTTCCTAAGAATTAAGCATTTAGCTTAATTCACATTCTTTCTTAGTTTCTAACATATACATTTCAGACTATATATTCTCCTCTAAATACCGGTTTTAGCACCATGACACAAACTTTAATAAGTGGAATTTTCATTGTGCATTTGATCCTGTATAGATTTCAATGTTAATCATTATTTCTTGACTGACCCCATAATTGTAGTGTGAGAATATAGTCTTCTATTAACAGATTTTTCTTTTTGTGTATTTGTTAAGTCCGGCTTCAAATCCACTCTTGCTTATTTTATTTCTCAATTGTCTACCCAATTTTTAGCTCTGAAAAGAAGGTATTAAAAATATTGCAACATGGTTGTGTATTTGTCCCTTTTTACTTGAAATTTTGTCAATATTTTTGATAATTTTTGATGCCAATTTTATGGATGTACAAAGACTCAAGTTATTTATGACATTCTAGAAAATTGGTTCTTTTTTCACTATTTAATGATGCTATGTATAAATAGTGATGACTTTTGCCTTAAAGTCTATTTAACATTTACATATTAGCTTTATTTTGGTTAATACATAATTTTACTTATGCTATTAAAACTAGCATATAGTCATTTTTTAATTTAAAAAAATTAAAGGAAAACCTACCATATGAAAAAATGAGAATTTAGTAAAGTGGTGAGTTATAAAATAATCCATAAAAAATCTTCATAAATAGTGCTTTCATTAAACTGTTTTCTAATTACCTCATCTAAATGTACCATGTTTCCTCTAGAAGACTGATTGGTACAGGTATCAATACAGGCGTCAATTCAGCTAATGTGATGACATATGGTCACACAGCAATTAAATAGCCTACACAGGTTCCATACACATGAGGACAGGCCTCCAAAGGCCTGTGATCCCTTAAACACATTGCCCCATTTCCAAATGTCCAAGAAATGGAAATATTTAATGTAGGCAGTCAAACAAATGTTCAGGCCATGGAGAAACTCCAAAATCGTTTAATAATAATACATTTTTCATTTAAAGTTTCCCAGGCCAAAGTGGTGAATATTTTCAGTGATTCCTTGGAATTTCTGCATAACATTTTTTTTTTTTTTTTTACTTCTGAATTAGAAACGTCATACTCAGCAGCTTTGACAGGTAGTACTCAGAAATGGTGAAGAAAGTTCATGTTAGGGATTTTAAAAAATTCAGGAGTTTTGACAAGGAATTAAAGAGGAGGCAGCACTTTTCAGCACTTGTGGACAATGTGGGAGAAAAAGTGGAATATGCCGGACTTAGCAGGGGCTGGGGAGTTAGGGTCATATACTCCTTCTTTGTGCACTGTGAATGACATGGCATTTAAGCTGAGACATAATAGGTTATGAGATAAGGATGGACAGGAAACAGATGCTATAAATAACTGGAGGCTTCAGATAGCATGGCACGAGTGCTCCTTGCACACACAGAGGCGCGTGTGTATACATAGGCCCATGCCCCAAATCCTTAAATATATAGCAGAAGCACTGTAAAAAGTTGATGAGGAACCAAAATAATGTTCAGCTTTGCTAACTGTGCTCTGACATGGAGGAAATCACTGTGTACTGAGGAGGGTTCTTGCCCTCCCAACCTTCAGTGACTGAACTTTCTTTCCCCTTTGCTAAAGCTGTAACGATGCTAACACATGGCACTCAAAACTTTTTTCCTGTTAAATGTATCTATGATTTATCTGTAAGGCCGGGGCTTTTGGGGAGACAGCCTCTACACTCAAAGCGTACCTGTAATGAGTTTGAATGATCAGGCTGCCATTTTCAAAAGCCCAACCTCTAGCATTTAACTATTCCATAGACCTCTGGAAGAAGTGGCAACAGAGGGCTTCACTGCTAAACTGTTCTAGGGAAACTTCTCATTGCTTACAATGCACAATGTGGAAACCTCTTAGACTGGATGAGTCATCTCAGGTAGGCGCTTTGCAAATCAGCCTGGTGTATTTTCTCACTTGGAGCCCAGGCTGTCAAACCCCACAGTGGTGTCACGCAAGGTGAACAATGTGGTAACCTGTTAATTTGCTGGATATAATGACAGCAATAATCTGATCAGGTTTGCCAAACTGTCTCCTTTCTAAGTGGACAGTGGACGCTCCTGTTAAGATTGTGTCACATTGAGACAAGTGTGTGATTACTGTATCCAGTTACGGCACTTAGGTAACTTGAGACATCCCACTGTTATGCGAGTAACCCCCATTTACCATCCTTTGCATCCCTGGCTGTGATTGACATATTGATGTGCTTGAACCTGTCTCCAGGCCCCTTATTTCCCTTTGAGACTACCTCAATCACAGATACCTTCAGCTATACTCAAGTGCATTTATCAATATGTTAACCCCTCTCTGAAGATATTCCAACAGGAGTTATTTCTAGCCTATACTGAGAAAGCTACTTGACCACTCCAACTAAGGAGAAGAAAGGCAAACATACTAGGGTTGTAGAAGATGCATCTTTAGACTTTTATGATACAGCAGGAATTGAATCTTTGTTTTCTTTTAGTACACAGGGCAATTTTCTTCCAAGGTATTAGACATGCCATACAGACCTCCTTGATACCTAAACCTGAGTCAAAAAGAGAATTTGAGAATATGAAGACAGTAAAATCATTTCGGTTTAGGTAGATTTATTTTGACAATTGTTCGTATGCAAACTTGTTCAAATAGTTACTATGTTCAGTAGATACAGTTTGGGAAATGTCATTTGAATGATCCATGAAAGTACATCAAGATTGCAAAGAAGTTGTCATGAGATTTTTTTCCCCAATCAACTATTTTTGTCAAAAAACATCACACAATTATTCAAACATATTATTCAAACATACTTAGTATCACAGCTGTATTACTTCAGCTTTACTTAAATTAAGGCCCACTTTAATATCCTGTTTACTATCTTCTTTCTTTGGTTTGTTTTTATGGGGAGGAAAAAAATGTTTAATCATAACAGGTGGAACAAACATTGGTAAAACAAAACAAATTTTCTAAAATTTATATTTCAAATATCTTGTGAGATAAATAACAAAAAGGCTGCTAAAATAACTGGTTGATGGAAATAAGAAAGCTAGATAGATGCTGGCCCTAGAGGGGAATGAGCTAAAAGACTAGATATAAACAGAGATCCCAATGTGTGAAAATAAAAATATAAAGAGGGAGGATCTGCAAATTTTAGAAGTTAGTATGATGTCACTGGTCAGAAAAATTCTGGAAGTAATTATTATATGAGAAGCAATGATCATATAATTATGGACCCACCATAAGTTCCAAAGAAGTGAGCCATGTGAGGAAACTTTATTTATTTGATAGAATATTCTTCAGTACCTCTTTTCTATCCTTTTGCTTTCTCCCCCTTTCTGCCACTGATTCATTCTTCACTCTGCACATTGAATTTTCATTCTAGCTCATTTTCCAAATCTGAGCATGGGTCTTGACATCTTTCAATGGCTCTTTCATGCTTTATGACTAAATGTCCAAACCGCTTTTTGTGGCATACACAGTCCTCTGTGATTTGTCCATTTCCATAACTTCTGCCTCCCATAACCCTAAACAATTACCTCTGTCACACATTACTTATTGTTAAATTCCCATGTATCTTTCAATGCCTGGCTTGAATATTACTCATGCAAATTTCCTCTGACTCTTGCCTCCCCTTTCTCCACTACAAGATAGAGTCAGATATTCCCACATCTTGGGGCAAAATAAAATGTGCACTTACCTCTATGAAGCAATACAGGGAGAGTGATACTTGTCGCCTTCCAAAACATCAATTTGAACAACTATCCACACATGACAATATTTTCACAAGGGCTAAAGAATCCAGGTAAGAGATTATAGCACCTGGGGATAGCACAGAAATAAGAAAAGATGCATTAAAGAGGGTAGGAAGGATAGTTTTGTATTGCCTTCATCACCCCAGCCCCAAGCCTACACAGTACAGCATGGAGAGAGATATCCTCCATGTGGGGGAAGGAGAACGAAGTGAGCACCTGACTTTGCTACAAACCCCAGCTCCAGGTCATCCCAGTGAAACCTGGTACCAGATCTATAATAGCAGACCCAGGGTCCAGGCCCATCTAGTGCCAGGCTAGTCCCTGAAGACCAAGGTCTAGGATGGCCTCAACAGACCCAGGATCCAGGCCTGCCACTGAAGTCCAGGCTCTAGCTGTGCCACCCACTGACCCAGGCATCAGGCTGGACCTTTTGAGGACTCCAGCAGCAAAGCTGCTCACCCAGAACCTTTCCCAGACAAATAAGAGCTATGTGAGTTCATTATTACTAGACTTGCCCTACAAGAAATGCTAAAGGGAGTTCTTCAAGTTGAAATAAAAACAATAGCAAACGCCGGGCACGGTGGCTCACACCTGTCATCCCAGCAATTTGGGAGGCTGAGGCGGGCGGATCACGAGGTCAGGAGATCGAGACCATCCTGGCTAACACGGTGAAACCCTGTCTCTACTAAAAATACAAAAAAATTAGCCTGGCATGGTGGTGGGCGCCTGTAGTCCCACCTACTCAGGAGGCTGAGGCAGGAGAATGGTGTGAACTCGGGAGGCAGAGCTTGCAGTGAGCCGAGATCATGCCACTGCACTCCAGCCTGGGCAACACAGTGAGACTCTGTCTCAAAAAAAAAAAAAAAAGAAAAAAGAAAAACAAATGAAAGTATAAAAGTCACTGAAGTGTAAAAATATCAACTACAAAATACTCTAATACTGTATGGTAGTGTGTAAGCCACTTTTAACTGTAGTATAAAAGTTAAAAAAATTAAAAGTGGTGGAGGGGAGAGCATCAGGAAAAATAGCTAATGCATGCTGGGCTTAATACTTAGGTGATGGGTTGATAGGTGCAGCAAACCACCATGGCACATATTTACCTATGTAACAAACCTGCACATCCTGCACATGTACCCCAGAACTTAAAATAAAATAAACACAAAAGACCTGGCTTTGGTAGGTATATCAAGAACTCTAGGGAATGAGGTGATGTATTGATACCTTGAGGATTTTCAGCATTAGGAACCTAGGAAGAGTATTCCCTTGACACAAACAGCAGTATTCTCACAGAGTGGGAACATCACCAGCTGTGGTAGGGTGTAGACACCAACCTGCAGTGGTTTTGTGGGAAACACATTTCCACAAGAGTACTGAAGAGGAAGAAGTTCAGATGACAAGTGATGAGCTTATGTGAGACTCCAACCAAGACTCAAAAAATAAATAACTGGATGTGTGTTTAAGAGTCTAGGGGGATGCTGGAGGTCTTTGCTGTACATAAAAGGGCAGAGCCAGTACAATTTGAGCTAATTAGATAACGCATAGTGGAGCAAAGACAAACTTACCCAGCTGAGGCCACTTGAGACCAACAGCCTCGCCACTATCAGTAAGTGAAGGCATCCTGGACCATTCAGTCTCCACAGCAGAACTTGACCAGAAAAAAGTAACTGCCAGCTGGCACACAGAATCATGAGAAATAATAAATATTTGTTATTTCCAAATAAGTAAAAGTAACTATAGCTACAATAATTTATTAATGAATATACAATGTATAAAAGATGTAATTTGTGACATCTTTGACATAAAACAGGATAATTATAAGATGTTTTATGAAAAACCTCATGGTAACCACAAAAAAAGAACAGTAGTAGATACACAAAAGAGAAAGAGAAAGAAATCAAAGCACACCATACAAAAAAAAAATCATCAAATTACAGAGAAAGACAGCAAGAAATGAACAATGGAATGAAGGTGCTACAAACAGCCAGAAAACAATTAACAAAATAGCAGTAATAAGTCCTTACTATCATTAATTACTATAAATGTAAATGGATTAAATTCTTCAATAAAAAGAAATGCAGTGGCTCAATGGATAAGAAAAAAAGAACCAACTATATGGTGTATACAAGAGACTCACTTTAGCTTTAAGGACACACATAGGCTGACAGTCAAGGGACAAAGATATCACATGCAAATGATAACCAGGTGCAGCAGAAATGGCTATACTTATATCAGACAAAGTAGATTTTAAGTAAAAAAAAAACTATCAATAGAGAAAAAGGAGGTAATTATATAACAATAAAGTGGTCGATTTATCAAGAGGATATAGCAACTGTAAATATATAAGCATCCAACATCAGGGCACCAAAATATATGAAGCAAATATTAACAGAACTGAAGGAAGAACTATACAGCAATACAATAGAGAATTGGAGGCTTCAATAACCCACTTTCAATAATGGGTAGATGACCCAGACAGAAAATCAATCAGGAAGCAGGAGGCTTAAGCAACAACATGGACCCAAATAACATTTACAGAACATTTCATCCAACAGCAGAAAATGGTATCAAAAAGAATAAAATACCTAGGAATAAGTTTAAGTCTACAAAAAAAATCCCACTTGGAACTAATAAGTGATTATAGGAAGATTTCAGGATATAAGGTTAGCATACAAAAGTCAGTTGCTATACTACATACCAGCAATGAACAAGTGGATTTCAAACTAAAAACACTCCATGCTCACGGATTGGAAGAGCAAATATCATTAAAATGGCTATCCTGCCCAAAGCAATTTTCCAGATTCAGTGCTACTCCTATCAAACTAACAATGTCATTCTTCACATAATTAGAAAAAAAAATTCTGAAATTCATATGGAACCCAAAAAGAGCTTGATAGCCACACCAATCCTAAGCAAAAGGAACAAAGCTGGAATCATCACACTACCCAACTTCAAACTATACTATTAGGACCAAAACAGCACAGTACTGTTACAAAAGCCAACACATAGACCAATGGAACAGAGTAGAAAACTCAGAAATAAAGCTGCACACTTACAAGCATCTGACCCTCAACAAGGCCAACAAAAACAAGTAATAAGGAAAGGACTCCCTATTAAATAAATGATGCTGGCCATATACAGAAGAATAAAACTCAACCCTTACATTTACCATAGACAACAATTAACTCAAGGTGGATGAAATATTTAAATGTAAGACCTCAAATTATAAATATCGTAGATGAAAAACTAGGAAACACCTTTCTTGACATCAACCTCAGCAAAGAATTTTTGGCCAAGTCCCCCAAAACAATTGCAACAACAACAACAAATTAAACAGTGAGACCTAATTAAAGAGCTTTCCATAGTAAAGAGAACTATTCATAGAGTAAACAGATGACCCACAGAATAAGAGAAAAATATTCACAAACTATGCATCCAACAAAGGTCTAACATTCATAATCTATAAGAAACTTAAACAAATTAACAAGCCCAAAACAAATAAGCCCATTTTAAAAATATGGGCAAAGGACATGAGCATACATGTCTCAAAATAAGACGCACAGGTGGCCAACAAATACATTTAAAAAATGCTCATCATCGCTAACCATCAGAGAACTGCAAATGAAAACCATAACGAGACTCCATCTCAGACCCAGTCAGAATGGCTATTATTAAAAAGTCAAAAAACAACAAATGCTAGTGAGGGTGCAGAGAAAAGGGAATGCTTATACACTATTGCTGAGAATGTAAATTAGATCAGCCACTGTGTAAAGCAATTTGGAGAGTTCTCAAAGAGCTTAAAACAGAGCTACATTTGACACAGCAATCCCATTACTGGGTATATATCGAAAAGGAAATAGATCATTTTACCAAATAGATGTATACACGTGCATGCATGTTCATCACTGCACTATTCACAATAGCAAAGATTTGGAATCTACCTAGGAACCAATCAGTCCTTCACTGGATAAAGGAAATGTGGTACATACACACCATGGAGTACTACATAACCATAAAAAAGAATAAAATTACGTTCTTTGTAGCACCATGAATGAAGCTGGAGGCCATAATGAGAATTAATGCAGAAATGGAAAACCAAGTGTCACATATTCTCACTTGTAAGTAGGAGCTAAACATTGAGCACACAAAAGCATAAATGTGGCAACCAGAGACACTGTGGACTATGGGTGGTGGGGAGTGCAAGGGAGGAATGGGTTGAAAAACTACCTTTTGGGTACTATGCTCATTACCTGAAAGAAATATGTCCATACAACATGTGACAAACCTGCACAGTGTGCCCTGTATCTAAAATAAAAGTTTGATTTAAAAAATACTAAAAACAGAATACCATTTACATTAGCTCTAAAAATGAAATATGTATTTAAAAATGAATTTTACTTGTAATAAAGTAAAAATCTAAAAAATAGATGCAGAAGATCTATATTTTAAAAATCTCATAAAAACCTGAAAAAAGAAATTTACAAAACAAAAATGAGGAGATAATCTGTGTTCATGGATAGAAAGCCTAAATATTGTCGTCAAGATCTCAGTTATTCCCAACTAATCTATAGTTTCAATGTAGTCCCAACAAAAATTCCAGGGAGTTATTTTGTGGATATTGTTAAATTGACTCCAAAGTTTATATGGAGAAGCAAAAGACCCAAACTAACCAACTCAATACTGAAGGTGAAGAACAAAGTCAGTGTGGACTGCAACTATGTAACTTCCAGACTTACCTATAAAGCTAGAATAATTAAGAAGTGTGGCATTGGTGAAATAATAGACACATAGATTAAAGGAACAGAATTGAGAGGTCAGAAATAGACCCACATATATATTATTAATTGATCTTTGACGAAGTAGCAAAGGCAATATAATAGTGCAATGATAATCTTATCAACAAATGGTACTGAAACAACTGCACATCCGTATTAAAAAAGATTTTAGACACAGACCTGACACACTTTACAAAATTACCTCAAAATGGATCCTAGATCTAAATGTAAAATATAAAATTATAAAACTTTCAGAAGATAACAGCAGAAAATCTAGATCACCTTGGATATTGTGATATTTTAGGCATGATACAAAAAAGAAACAATTAAGGACTTCTTTAAAATCTGGAATTTCTGTTCTGTGAAAAACCATGTCAAGAGAATGAGAAGACCAGCCACAGACCAAAAAAAAAAAAAAAAAAAAAAAAAAAAAAAATTGCAAAAGACATGCTGATAAAAGACTGTTATTCAAAGTATAGAAAAAACAAAACCTTAAAACTCAGTAACACCAAAAAGAAAACTTGATTTGAAATACGGGCAAAAGACCTTAAAAGACACTTCACCAAAAAAGATATACAGATGGCATTTAGGCATATAAAAAGGTGTTCAATATCATATACCATTAAAGAATTGCAACCTAAAATAAAAATTAAGTCAACAATGAATTGCCACTACACGCCTATTAAAATGGTGAAAATCCAAAACACTGACAACACTAAATTCTAGCAAGGATGTGGAGTAAAAGAAACTCTCATTTATTACTGATGGGATGGCAAAATGGTACAGCCATTTTGGAAGACAGTTTGGCAGTTTCTTATCAAAACTGAACATCTTCCTATACAATCCCGTAATCATGCTTCTTGGTATTTACCCAAAGGAATTGTCTTTATGGCCACCCAAAAACTTTCACCTGGATCTTTTTAGCACTTTACTCATTATCAGCCAAATTGAAAGTGAACTGAGATATTCTTCAGTAGGTGAATTAATAAATTGTGTTACATCCAAGCAATGGAATGTTATTCAGTGTTAAAAAAAAAAAAAAGTAGCTATGAAGCCACTGCAAGACATGGAGAAACTTGAAATGTATATTACTAAGTGAAAGAAGTCAATCTGAAGATGTTCTAATTTGGGGTATCTTGACCTAATCAGGCTCAGCCACATTTTCACTTTTCTTGAACATTTTGTCTAATTGAAAGGCTTTACTGGTCTTGACAACCTTATTTTGATCTTTATTCTGAAATAAATTATACCATTGGGAAGTTTTAACAATAAGTGTGTCAGTCATTCTAGTAATTTTGGTTCTCCAGGCAACATTGAGATAATTCATCTTTTTACTCAAAAGATTTATCAGTGTTTTTCTTTACGGATATTTGTTGAGGAGATTTTCATTTTATTAACCATGAAAATCTTCCAATTTCTAGACTCTATTCTCTTTCATTTCAGCTTGGAACTATTTAATGAGTTCATCTCTCTCTTAAAATACCTTTTCAAATGCAGCCAGTGGTCACTAATAAATACTATACTAACTTGTAATTTCAAATTGTAACCTTAAAGCTATAAATTTTAGGTGTATTATTACTTTCAAAATTATCTCATATAACTTTTTTTTAACAATTGTTTACCACTGTTATATAGGGATTGATTTTTTCCCAGCCTTTCAGAAAAGCTTCCTTAATCTCTGTTCCCAATACAATAACATTTATTTTATTATTTTTGTTAGGAAAGAACCTTCCTTCTAGGTACCAGTTTTTGTATAGTCTATAAAAGCCCCAATAAAATAACACTTATTATTTTTGCGATGGAAGCATTCTCCTTCTAGGTATCAATTTCATCAATTTCTGCACTAGTCTGCAAAGGCTGTGTTATGTTATGGCAAAAAAACAACTCCAAAATCTTTTTTCCTTTTAAAAATTTTAGTACACATTTTAAAATATTTTTAATAAACTTTTAAAATTATAGATAAAATTGTATGTATTTATCATATATAACTCAAAAATCTTAGTGACTTAAATCATCAAACATTAATTTTTTTCTCATCTTACATATCCATTTTGGCTATTGGGGGTTCTACTCCATGTATTCCTCACTCCAGGAATCAGGCTGCCTAGCGCCATTTGGAAATGAATAAGTAAACTTTTTCCTAAAATACCCAATAGTAAATATTTTATCTCTCAGGACAGTGTTTAATGAGAAAGAAGGGGTATGAGATTAGTAGCTAAGCTTATATCAGGAGAAATGTAGGCAAAATGGCAATGGAATGATGTGCTCAAAGTGCTTGAAAAAAATTTCAAATCCATCAATCAATAATTTTTTATTAGAGAAAATATCTTACAAAAATTAAGGTGAAATAAAAACATTTCCAGCAGTGCATGGTGGCTCATGCCTGTAATCCCAACACTTTTGGAGGCTAAGGCAGGAGGACTGTTTGAGCCCAAGATTTCAAAAACGGCCTGGGTAGCAAAGTGAGACCTCAACCCTACAAAAAATCAAAAAGTTAGCTGGGCATAGTGGCACAAACCTGTCATTTCAGTTGCTTAGGAGGCTGAGGTGGAAGGATCACTTCAGTCCAGGAGGTAGAGGCTGTGGTAAGTCACTACTGCGCCACTGCACTCCAGCTTGCCTGGGTGACAGGGTAAGACCCTGACTCAAAAAATAAAATAAAATAAAATAAAATAAAATAAAATAAAATAAAATAAAATAAAATAAAATAAAATAAAATAAAATAAAAACATTTCTAAATAACAAAGCTAGAAAAAAATTCTAACAAAATAGCCTTACAACAAATTCTACAGAATTGTTTAGAATAAAAGGTTATGATACCGAGAGAATAACTTGAAACCGCAAGAAGAAGTGAAGAACACTGGCAAAGGTAATATTTTGACAAAAATAATAAGTTCACGAATGTCACAGGATGCAACATTAATATATAAAAATCAATAGTCTTTCTGTATAGTAGCAACAGTGGCATTTTAAAAAAATTCATTCAAAGTAGCAGCAGCATATCAAATAGAATGGAGTTCAACATTCATGGATTGGAGGGCTCAAATTTATTAAAATGACAATATTCTCAAAACTGATCTATAAATTCAATATTATCCGTATAAACATTCCAGAAAGTATCTAGTAAAAATTGACAAGGCATTCCTAAAACACATATAAAAATGCAAAAGTCCTAGAATAAACAAAATGTTTCAGCTAAAACAAACAAAATTGGAGGACTTATACTTTCTAACCTCTAAACTTATTACAAAGCTACAATAACCAACACTGTGGTACTAGAATAAGTATATAAATATATACCAATATGACAGAACTGAGAGTCTAAATATTTACCTTTGCATATATGATCAAATGGTTTCTGGCAGCCATGTCAAGGCAATTCAATGGGGAAGCATATATTTTCAATAAATAATGTTGGTACAACTGGATAATAATATATATCTGGATGAATTTAAACCCTTTCCTAATGGCATGTGGAAAAATGAACTCAAAATGGAACAAAGAACTAAATGTAAGAGCTAAAAATGACAAAAGTTCTAGAATAAAACACAGGAGAAAATCTTAATGACTTTGGATTTAGTAATGAGATTCTGGATGCAACACTAAAAGCACAATTCATGTAAAAAAATTGATATGTCGTACTTTATTAAAATTTAAAAATTGCTTTATTACTCTTCATTATTATTTTTTCTTTCTGTTCTGAGATTGCATAATCTACACTGATCTATCTTCAAGTTAAATAATCCTTTCTTCTGCTAGTTCAAATCTACTGTTGAGCCCCTCTATTGGATTTTTCTTTTCAGTTATTGTACTTTTCAGCTCCAAGATTTCTATTTTTAAAAATAATACAGTCTCTTCATTGAGATTTCTTAACTGTTGTAACATTATCATCAGAAAGTATTATTTTATATCTTTGAGCATGGTTTTCTTTAGTTCTTTGTATATATTTATAATGGCTATTTAGAAGTCTTTGTTAAATCTGACACCCATTCACTCTCACCTTTTTTTCTCAGGTTTATGTCCAATTGTCCTGTTACATCACTATATCTATCTGTCTATCTCTAAATATATATATATGTGTGTGTGTGTGTGTGTTTGTGTGTGTGCATGGGTGTGTGTGTGTGTGTGTGTATATATCTCAGACATTTAAAATAATGTATTATTGCATTCTGGATATCTGCCCCTCACACCCACCTCTCTAAGACTTATTATTACTCACTCAGTGACTACCTTAATTATTTTAGTGAAGCCTACTCATCCCCACAGTATAAAGCTTCTGATCCTTCCCCTTGAAAATGAAACCTTGGGCATATGCATTGTCATCTGGATTAATGATGGTTTTGGCAGAGCCATCTTTGATAGTCTTTTTTTTTTCTGACCACATGTAACTGTTAAGTTCCATGAATTTCTGGCTGATTGCTCCATTATGTTCAATAAGGACCTAGGGCATATACTGCTCCACAGAGTGATCCAACTAAATTCAGGCTCCTGTAGGGGGAGTTTCTGAGGTCTGTGTTTGAGATTGTTTTTGCCACAGAATGTCTTTCCTTAGCTATCTATTTCCCTGATTTCTTCTGGTAAAATATCCATATAAGGATTTAGCTTACATGTCTAAATAGCCTGCCAGCTTCCTTTTAATTACCTTAAGCCACACAGTCCATTGATTTAGTGCTCCTAGGCTTAACTTTCCCATGCTGTTGCAATTCAGGCAGTTCCTTTAGGAAAAAAAATGTGGACCGCTCTGTTTTACGGCCTGCCTCTACCCTGGGGCAAAATCTCTGAGTCAGGGCTCTAAGCTGAGCGGAGGGACAGCAGTGCATTTCTCTCTGACACTTCTTAGGAAGTGAGCAATCAACTAGGTATAGGGATGGGGCAGTTGTGGCTGAAGCCTCAGGTCTTCTCAGTTTGTTTCTCTCTGAGTGGGACAGAGAGGTGGCCATCTGCGTCTCAGAATATTCTAAACACTACACCCAAGATAGAGCCCCTATCCCATAAGTTGGGGCAGGGCAGAAGAATGGCGCTCTTACCTCTTGGCTGTGCCTGTTTGGAACTTAGCCTCTGCAATACGTAGCTGGAGCACAGTGAGCAATTTTGATGTACTGCCCCTCCTGAAGAGATACCACAGCCCTGCAATTGGAACTGTGTGGAGAGGATTCCTGTATTCTTGGCTATACCTATTTGGAGAGGAGTTTCCATCATACTGAGTTGGCATGGGGAAAGGAGGGAGTGGACCGTGGTTCAAACACCACAGGTGCTTACTGTTCTTAGCAAATTTGAGTAGGTTTTTTCAATTACGTATGTATATTTTTTCATTTGCTGTATGTTCTTAGGTACATTTCCAGAAACTTTAGATTGTCATTTTTCTAATTCTCAGCAGTTTCACTACGGAGGCTGTCCACACTGCTCCTCGGGCTGCCCACCAGAAGTCCATCTGTCAGGCCTTTTTGATCCTGGTTTCCCAAACTGTCCTGGAGACCTCATAGGACAGAAAGAGAGTTCCCACACTGAATCTTTTCTCAGAAGCTCCAACATACCCTAAAGTTTCCACTGAGCCCTGTTTTGTATGGTCCTCAATAGCTGTTTTGATAGGGAAGTTGGGATTGGAAAGAAAGGAGATTCTGTTCCTGACACCAAGTTTCCAGAGCTCTGTCCACCTTTTCCCTTATATAGCTCCACTGTGCAGAAGAACAAAACACTCAACAATTTATTAATGTGAGCAAACTTTTCCAAAAATACTTAGTCCACTATATTAAAATTGGCACCATGGTAAGGAATAAAATCTGACTCATTGTCTTCAGACCCTAAGTCTAATTCTACAAAAATCCTCCGTGATGCACATATTCTGCATGAATAATTTTATGGCTCTTTCACTTTGACCTTTGGCTATATTAAAGCAATCATAAGATTTACAGATGAGAAACATAAGAAATATATAATGATTAAAATTTAAAATACATAACATAACCTTTCATAATCAAATTGAATGTTTTGCTAATTTGTTCTCAAAAGTATATTGATTAAATGTGTTTTATAACTAAGAAATATAAGAAAATCTAATTAATATGTGCCTGAAATGAAGATATTCATAACAATGAACTCTAGATCATACATGTTAATGCATCTTAGAGAATTCTCCAATACATTTAGTAATTGGGTCTCATTCTTGGCAAACATTTTAAATGATATTTCCTATAATTGTTTGTAAAAACATTTTATTTGCCATTTGAAATATTATTCATTGTCTTTATGCAGATAAATTTAAAATAATTTTTGTATAGTCTCTTTTTTTCAGCATCAGTGCCTTAATTATTGATGCTGAGGGTGTTTTTTTCTTTTTGTCAGAAGTGTGGATTTTGTCAAGGACCTAGTGAATACTGGCACTAAACAGATGTGCATTGGTAAACATATGTGACTAAATGGATAAACACTTTTAAATAAGATTATATCTCTTTCTGAGCTCTTTGAGGATGTGTAGAGTACCTCACTGATTTTGGTATTTTGAGGGCCTGAACCCTCTGTAGCAGGCACTCAACAAATGTAGAAACACATGTTAATCAAGCACTTTATAATACGGTTCTATTTTTAAAACTTATTTTATACAACTTAATTTTATCACTTATAAAAACAAATGCAATATTAATAAAATAATCTTTGGAAGTACAAAATGCATATATAAAAGGAAACATAGGCCCGGCGCAGTGGCTCACGCCTGTAATCCCAGCACTTTGGGAGGCCGAGGTGGGCGGATCATGAGGTCATGAGATGGAGAGCATCCCGGCTAACACGGTGAAACCCTGTCTCTACTAAAAACACAAAAAAATTAGCCGGGTGTGGTGGCGGGAGGCTGAGGCAGGAGAATGGCATGAACCCAAGAGGTGGAGCTTACAGTGAGCTGAGATCATGCCACTGCACTCCAGCCTGGGCAACAGAGCGAGACTCCGTTTCAAAAAAAAAAAAGGAAAGATAAATTACCGAAGATTACACAATCCAAAAATGAGCAGTGACTGATTTAGTATAAATATATACATTTCTATTTATATATTTCTTTTTGTGCTTAAATATTTTTAAATAGATATATTTTATCTTATGACTGTATCACAACCAATTTAACTATTCCTTTATTGTAAGCTGTTTAGAGAGTTTTTAGTTTTTCTCTGCTATAAATAGTGCCAGAGATAAACATTTTCCATATAACTCAATCTATATCTTGAATATTTCTTGGTGAAGGGTATAAGAGGTGGAATTACCATGTCATAATGTAATACCTCCTTAGAGCTCTTGAGCAATATTGCCAAATTGCTATGGCTGTTAGATATATTTAGGATCGGGTTTTTTTTTGTTGTTGTTTTTTGGCTCTAGTTGGCTCAGAGAAAAGCCTTTGAACCAGAGGTTTGAAATTTAATAATGTCAAGATTTTAAAAATTAGTCACCTCAAAACAAAATGGGCTTCTTCAAGAAGTCTGAGTTCTATTACTCTCCTATCTTCAGGCTTTGCACCAACCCTGGTGGGTCTGTTTTCCCCCTGTGCCCTACCACTCCCACACAACACCTTCAGATCCCAGCTTGGTGCATGGTAACGGCTATTGCTGCCACTGCTGTCAAAAGCACTGCTGTTCAGGGAGTGTTTGCTGCGTTCAGACATGCACTAAGAACTACCTCCCACGTCTTGGTTCGGTTTCACATAACTCTATTCTGTAGGAGTTCTTTTTAGCTCCTCTTAGAAAAGATAAAGAGCTTGTCCAGAATTACATAGGTAGGATTGATATGCATCTGTCTGCCTTGTGTTAAGCATGGGAGGGCTGAGGACTGGCGTTTCCATCAAATTAAGAGTGTCATTGGTCTCTATAATCTCCACTGTTGTGTAATCAACTTCCTCCTCATAGTTTATCCCATCTATGGCATCTAAGAGTGCACAACTCAATAAACCTAACCTGTATCTCTACTACGTCTCTTCTGTTACCAGAAAAATCCAGAGATATTTTTCCCCTTGTGCAAATATGATGGTGTGCCTTGTGGTCCTTCTGAACTGTTAATCAGTTATACATATTTCATTTTGTTCCATCTGCTAATATGTCTGGAAAAAGTATGTCTGTAAGTCTGTATCTGTGGAGAACCCATTTCCTTCTTGTACACTTCCAAGAGAATTTAATGGAAACTTCAAAGGAAAAGTGGGTTTTTATTGGAGACTACAAAAATACCTAGCACTTCTGACAAGATTGGGAAATAAAAATACCACTGAAGGTGGTATTTCTGCTGTCAATACCCGATTTCAGTTTGGGAAGAATTTATGTTTAAAGATTTTATTATGGAAGTTGTTTTGACTGGGACTGCTAATGTGTGTGTGTGTGTGTGCGTGTGTGTGTGTGTGTGTGTGTGTGTGTGTGTGAGACACAGAGAGAGATTTGAACATGCCACAAAAATGGCTTAAATCTCAATGCTGATTTTAACAGAGTGTAGTTAACCTACTCCAATTAACCCTTGTAGACATAATTAGCTCTCTGGGAACTACCCAAATTCTATCAGAAGGTGATGGGGAAATTCACTGTGAGGGTTCTGTATCACCTAAAAACCAGGATCTGAGATTCCTGTGAAAAGCAGAATCAGGTGGAGATGTTATTCAGACCCTGGGGCCAGGAACAAGAGAATCCAATGAGATCCCGTGTCCTCTGGAGGGCAGGGCTCCCGAGGACAGCTCCACTTAGGCCTAAGTTGGAAAAGCCAACTTGAGGGCACTGACAGAACCCCTAATTGCGTGATGCCAAGACAAAGATGATTTATATAGAAAAGAAATCTTTAAAAGTAATAAGTACCAGCAATTGTACAAAATATTTAGATAGAATCGTAGATTGTTAGACTTGGGAAATGTATAGTTAGAATTAAGTTTTATAGGTGAGGAAAGTAAGTCCCAGAGTTGTTAAGGGACCAGTCTAAAGTGACGCAGCAAGTAAGTTAGAAAATGTATATCAAAGGAGAGCTCAGGTTTCTTGATGGCTTCTCTGGGTTACTTGTCATGAACTCACATTACCTCCTTTCATAGTTTGCTTCTGGTAGATTATTTCGGATCTGTTCCGCTGGAATTTAGATATGTATTGCACATGCCAATTTTTACAGTACTTTGCAGTTTTGTTTATAGGTTGCACTGTTGGATTTATGTTACTTGGTGGGTCTAGTTCATATCTAGTTGTCCCTGGTTAACCACAGCAAATACGTTCCAAGGTTCCCAGTGGATGCCTGAAGCCACAGCTAGTACTGAACCCTGTATGCAGTGTTTTTTTTTTCCTACATACATACCCACAATAGAGTTTAATTTTAGTAAGAGATGAACAATAATAACTATAATAAAATAGAACAGTTATAACAATATATTCTCATGAAAGTTATGTGAGTGTGGTCTCTCTCTCTCACTCCTCCCCCATCTCTCTATCTCTCTCATATCTTATTGTATTTTACCTCAGGTAGCTAAAAGCGTGGAAAGTAAAACTACAGTTAAAGAGAACTACTGTACTCCTGGAAATGGCCAGGCTCTTAGTAAATGCTACTAAAACCTAATATATGTACTACAACTGAGGGATAACAAACCTAAAGCGTGTGGTATTAATCTTGCTAAGTGCATGAAAACAACATGGAAAATTACCACATTGGTCTGGTGAAATGAGATGTGACATTAATGTTGTCATATGTGTATAATCACTGATCTTATCTTCAGGCAGAGGATATACTATTGAAAGATACATACATCTAGAAAGTTATTACGGCCCCCAGTGAAATTAAATAGTAACCTGCAGACTGAAAACTTCTCACCCTGATAGTCTAGTGCCACATCTAATTTTTATCAGAATGCTCATTGTCAGTCAGGGGATAACGGATCCTCAGTCCTCCAGGTCATCTGCAGCTTTCCCCAGTCTTCCCTCCTGTGCCATCACAGATCCTAGATAAATGTTATTAGTTTCTAGTAATTTATTGCTGAAATAAATTACCACAAACTACGTGGCTTAAACCCACCAAAATTCATTATCGCACAGTTCTGGAATCCAGGAGTCTGAAATCAGTATCACTGGGCTGAAATCACGGTGTTGATAGGGCAGAGGGAATCTTTTCCTTTCATCTACCAACTTCAGGTGGCTGCTAGCATTCCTTGGCCTGTGGCCACATCACTCAAATCTCTATCTCTGTCTTCACATCATATTTTCCTCTACTTGTATTCAAATATATCTGTGCCTTTCTCTTATGAGGACAGTTTTGATTACATTTAGAGCCTCCACCAAATAATTCAGGACAATCCTCTGATCAGGGTAGGGGGGGCAGTCTTAATCTAATCATACCTGCATAATCTTAGCCATAGAAAATAACCTCATAGGGATTAGGACCTGCTATCTTCCAGGATCATTATTCAGCCTACTACAAAAGTCCACATTGTCTTCTGGGCTTACACAGGGAAACACAGAGGCAAAACACGGGAAGTCTAAATTCTGCTTGAAAAGCTTGACAGCATTTACTACCTGGAAATTATATGAATCATAAAGAGGAGATTTGGGAGTGATATTTTTATAGATAGTCTGATACTATTAAATCCATATGAGAGACTGCTTTTCTCTGGCAAAGGGGTATAGATAGAAAATAAAGAAGTACAAAGCTGAGCCGCTAAGCCCTGGAATTCTTTTTTTTTTTTTGAGTTTGGGTCCTCTGATGCACAGGCTGGAGTGCAGTATACAATCATGGCTCACTGCAACCTCTAACTCCTGGGCTCAAGGAATCCCGAATAGCTGGGACTACAGGTGTGCAACACCATGCTCTGCTAATTTTAAAACTGTGTGTGTGTGTGTGTGTGTGTGTGTGTGTGTGTGTTTGGAGAGATGGTGGTCTTGCATTATTGCCCAGATTGGTCTTGAACTTCTGGCCTCAAGCAACCCTCCCACCTCAGCTTCTCAAAATACTGGGATTACAGGCGCGAGCCACCACGCCTGCTCAGTTCCTGGAGCTCTTTAGGCTTAGAAGTCAAGGAGATAAGGAAGTTTCTGAGAAGCGTTTTCTGTAGGGGAAGCCAGCAAACTAGGAGAAAAGCAAAGTAAGAAGAGCACTCTGTGAAGTCAGCTGGTGCACTTCATCAGAGGAGGACTGAAACAGTTAGCAAAGAGGATGTTGATATGGTTTGGCTGTGTCCCCACCCAAATCTCATTTTGAATTGTAGTTTCTATAATCCCCACATGTCCTGGGAGGGACCTGATAGGAGATACTTGAATCACAGAGGCAGTTACCCCCATGCTGCTGTTCTCATGATAGTGAGTGAGTTTTCATGAGATCTGATGGTTTTATAAGGGTTTTTCCCCCCTTTGGCTAGGCACTTCTCCTTTGTCTGCCATGTAAGGAGGAATGTGTTTTCTTCCCTTTCCGCCATGATTGTAAGTTTCCTGAGGCCTCCCCAGTCATGCTGAACTGTGAGTCACTTAAACCTCTTTCCTTTATAAATTACCCAGTCTTGAGTATGTCTTTGTTAGCAGCATGAGAATGGACTAACACAGATGTCATTGATGAGAACAGTCTTGGGAAATGGTGGGGACAAGCTGGATTAGAGCATAAGCAAGGGGATATGAAAAGAACAACATGGAGCTGGAGCCTCATGACAGGAGGCTGAGGAGGAGGGACACATATGGGAAGTTCAAGGAGAGGGGAATTCTGCTAAGACAATCAGAGAGTGAAAGAACCAGGCACAGCCAGGCACAGTGGCTCATGCCTGTAATCCCAGCACTTTGGGAGGCTGAGGCGGGCGGATCACGAGGTCAGGAGATCGAGACCATCCTGGCTAACACGGTGAAACCTTGTCTCTATTAAAAATACAAAAACATTAGCCGGGCGTGGTGGCAGGTGCCTGTAGTCCCAGCTACTACGGAGGCTGAGGCAGGAGAATGGCATGAACCTGGGAGGCAGAGCTTGCAGTGAGCCGAGATCGCGCCACAGCACTCCGGCCTCAGTGATAGAGCCAGACTCTGTCTCAGACAAAAAAAAAAAAGAACCAGGCACATGCATAGAATTTCTAGGTGCCAGTTGGTGTTAGAGAACATATAAAAAGTGACATTAGTTATCAGCATATGATCCCAGCAATCCTGCTGCTAGGTATTTATCCAAAAGAAGGGAAATCAGTATGTCAAAGAAGTATCTTTGCACTCTGCAAAATCTTGTATAGATAGACAATGGAAGGTTAGTTGGCCAAAAAAGGGGAAATCCTATCATTTGCCACAAGGATGGAGTTTTTTCTCCATCAGCAGAGATTTGTTTCAGACCAGATCCTGAGTAGAAGAGAGGGCTATGGCCAAGATACAAGTTGGGTCAGGTTATATGTAGGTGGGAGGCAAGGTAAAAAATAATTAGGATGAAGGACCACAGAATTGAAGTCAGGAGTGCACAATCATGGCAAACAAGGCCAGCTTCATGGGTATGTGACCTATGCAGTCACACAGGGCCCTGTATTCAGGAGGACCCCATGTTTGGTTTAATACTCTGCAGTTGCCACCTTGAAATCATTAATCATTTTATCTTTGACTCTACGCTTTGGCAGGGATGTCAGAAGAGGCAATGGAACACATAGTAGGAACTTGGAGGCTTGATCCCTTGGCTCATGTACAGTTCAGCCTCCTGCCACCTCCCTGCCTTCAAGGGATGGGTTCTCAGCGGCCCACTTTCCAACTCCATGGCCTCCCAAGACCCACCAGGGCCCCCTCTTCTCACTCTACCTAGCCACCACTACTGCCCCAGCTCCCTGGTGCTCTAGGTGCCAGCCAGACAGTTCCTGCATGCTCCCTTACCAGTTACCAGAACCACTGTCCATCCCTGGCAGAGGCCTGGACCCAGGCTCCAGAGTTGCGCATATGTGACCTGACACATTTTGGGGCAGTGCACTTTAACTCTGTGCTGGCAGTGCCACAGTGCATTTGATGAGCACTTTGCCTCTTGCTCACCCCAATCCACGTGTTGAGTGTATCTTGTTGAAGTGGTTGCCATCTCTTGGGGAACACCCATCGTCTGTGGTTCAGGGTAGTGGGCCTGTTGGGAGGAGAGTTTCATCTCCATGTCCCAGGCTGGGGCACAGCATGTTGCTCAGGCAGCTGGTGGGCCTCAGCACACAGTCACAGGGCATGGTGTCCAGGTGCCTATGAGACTCTGCATTCACCTGAGTCTGAGGGAATGCCACATTAAATCACAATTAAAATAACACCATCACTCATTGTGAGAAAGACCATAGAAGAAAGGAAAATATTTAATGTTTGAATCTTTAACTGCATTGTTTTGCGTTTTCCTTGCTTTTTGTACTAGGGAGCCCATATTTACAATATGCATTAGGCCCCAGAAATGTTGGCAATGCCCCATTGACAAGATCGATGCATTGAACGTGTTAAGAGGGTTGAAGGATCATTGAAAGCAATGTGCTAGAGAAAATGAGGAGGGTGACAGGAGATGGTGGTCAGAGAACATGGAGGAGGAGGCTGCAGATGACATCACTGGAGTTATGACCATAAGAATGAGTGGTTGAAATATGAAAAAGAAAAAGACCATTGTCAAAAAGTCAAGGCACCAAGAAATTGACTATTAAAAACAATCAATGATGTGAATATTGAGGAACTATGATATAAGTAGGATTAATAGGGGTAAATTTTCAAGAAATATGGGGAACCCTGGGAGTTACAGGGAGTTGTTACAATTAAAATGCCCATTTTTTCATTACATTTTCATTCAACATTTGGAGTTAATAAATTGTTTTACAGCTATTCATTCAGATCTTAAGTTCTTCTCATTTTTTCTGGGACAAGAATAAAATATTAAGATAATAAGATAGAACTACTTGTTTTTCTTTTTAGAAGACATTATTAAGAAAATGAAAAGACAAACCACAGGCTGTGGGGAAGTATTTGCAAGATATGTGTATTAGTCCATTCTTGCATTGCTATAAAGAACTACCTGAGACTGGGTAATTTATAAAGAAAAAAGGTTTAACTGGCTCGCAGTACAACAGGCTATAGAGGAAACATGGCTAGGGAGGCCTCAAGAAACTCAAAACACCATGGCGGAAGACAAAGGGGAAGCAGGACGTACATGGCTGGAGCAGGAGGAAGAGCACAAAGCGGAAATGTTGCACACTTTTAAACAACCAGATCTCATGAGAACTCACTCACTATCACAAGAGCAGCAAGGGTGAAAATCTGCATCCATGATCCAGTCACCTCACACCAGGCCTCTCCTCCAACACTGGGGAATATAATTCAACGTGAGATTTGGGAGGGGGACACAAATTCAAAATATATCAACATGTTATCTACAAAGGTCTTGTATCCAGACTACATAAAGAAATGTACAAAGAACCTTTGCTACTCAATAAAAGGGCCAACAATCCAATAAAAATACAACAAATGAATAAGCACATTGGAAGGTGTTCATGAAAACTAAAACCAAATGAGATATCACAATAAATCTACTAAAATGATGAAACTAAAGAATATGGACAATACAAAATGCTGATGAAGATGTGGAGCAACCTGAACCCCTTACAATGCTGATGAGAATGCAAAATAGTAGAAAATTGTTGGTTGGTTTCTTATAAAATTAAACACTCATTGCCCAAGGCCTTGGGAGATCACCTCTGGCACTAGTGTGCCCTAGATGTGGGACGTGGAGTCAAAGGAGATTATTTTGGGACTTTAAGATTTAGTGACTGCCCTGCTGGGTTTCAGACTCAACTGGGGGCTGTATCCCCTTTCTTTTTGCTCATTTCTCCCTTTGAGAATATGAATGTGATATGGTTTGGCTGTGTCCCCACCCAACTCTCATCTTGAATCATAACGGTGAAGCCAGGTAAAGATAACTGAATCATGGGGTGGTTTCCCCTTATTGTTGTCATGGTAGTGAATAAGTCTCAGGAGATCTGATGGTTTTAGAAATGAGAGCTCCCCACACAAGCTCTCTTGCCTGCTGCCATGTAAGATGTGACTTTCCTCCTCATTCACCTTCCTCCATACACAGTTGTGAGGCCTCCTCAGTCATGTGGAACTGTGAGGCAATTAAACCTGTTTCCTTTATAACTTACCCAGTCTCAGGTATGTGTTTATTAGCAGAGTTAAAACAGGATAGTACAGAATGTTTACCCAATGCCTGTATCTTGGAAGTAAATAATGTGTTTTGATTTTGCAGGCTTGTAGGTGGAAGAGACTTGCTTTGTCTCAGATGAGACTATGGACTTTGGGCTTTTGAGTGATGCTGAAACAAGCTGAGACTTTTTGGGGGCTAGTGGCAGAAGATGGTTGCATTTCGCCATGTAAGAAGGATATGAGATTTGGGGGCCAGGGACAGAACAATATGATTTGGATCTCTGACCCCATAAAATCTCATGTTGAATTGTGGTCCCCAGTGTTGAAGGTGGGACCCTGTAGGAGGTGACTGGATCACAGGGACAGATTTCTCATGAATGGATAATGCCATCCCCTTGGTACTGTCTTCACTATAGTGACTTCTTGTGAGATCTGGTTACTTAAAAGTATGCGGCACCTCCCCACTCTTTCTTTTGCTCTTGCTCTCACCATATGACATCTCTATATCTGCTTTGCCTTTCACCATGAGTAAAAGCTCCCTGAAGCCTACCCAGAAGCTAAGTAGATGCCAGTACTATGCTTGTACATCCTATACAACTGTGAGCCAATTAAATCTCTTTTCTTTCTAAATTACCCAGTCTTAAGTATTCCTTTATAGCAATGCAAGAACAAGCTAATACACTCACTTCCATGACCCCTATATCCCACTCTTAGATATTACCTAGTGAAGGCATGTGTACACACAAAGATCTATATGCAAATGATTATTAATAATAACCCCAAACTGGAGACAATGGAGTTTCCCAAACACGAATCCAATGAATAAAAATAAAAATGGTGGTCTACCCATAAAATGGAATACTACGTAGCAATAAAAGAACAAGCTTCGGCTATATGCATCAAAATAGGTAATTCTCAAAAGTATTCGTAATATGCTATATGACAAAAGCCAGAAAGAAATGGCTACATATTGTATCATTTTATTATATGATGTATGGGTTAAATTGTATTCCCTAAAACTTATGAGTTGAAGTCCTAACCCCCAGTCCCTTAGAATGTGACCTTACTTGGAGATAGTCTTTTACAAAAGTATTTAAGTTAAAATCAGAAAGTTATTAAGATGGGCCCTAATCTAATATGATGGGTGTCCTTATTGAAAGGGGAAATCTGGGGACAGACACAATGTCAAGACATGCTGAGAGAAAAGCCACCTACAAGCAAAAGAGAGAGGTGTAGAACAGATTCTTCCCTCCAGGACCTCAGAAGATACTAATTTATCTGACACCTTGTTCTCAGACTTCTGGCCTCTGGAATTGTGAGACAATACATTTCTTTTGTTTAAGCCACCCAGCTTGTGCTATTGTGTTATGGCAACCCTAACAGACTAATACCGGTTGACTTCTGAATAGAGCAAAACTATAGTAAGTGAATCAGTAAGTGTTTTCCAGGGATAATGGAGAGGAAGAGGTTTACTGCAAAGGGGCATGAGAAACTTTTCTCGATAATGCTGATTGATAGTGGTGGTGGTTATATGATTATACATAGTTATAAAAGCTCATCAGACTTTTATATCCTACAAGGATGAATTTTACTCTATGTAAATGACATCACAATAAGCCCAACTTCAGCAGAATTTGCAAACTTTTTCCTGGATGCTCTGCTGCAGGCCTTTGTGGAGTTCCTCACAGTCATTGGTAGGGATGTATTACTGAAGAAGAGAGCAGGGAAAACTGTTTTGCACACAGCATGGGAGAGAGAAAAGGACAGAGAGAAAAGAAAGAGGTAGGAAAGAGGAGAGATGAGATGCAGGGAGGCTGAGAGCTGGAGGAAGGTGGAATTTCTGAAGAGACAGAGAGATTTGGGCAGAGTCACATAGAGTATAACTTTGGGGAGAGATATGGGTAAAGAGAATTTTTAGGAAGTATTATTGTGTGCAGTTGATTGAGTCCTTTTGTTGCCACTCTGCCCTCAAGGAAACCTTCAGTAAACGTCTTACATTACCTATAAAGGTTTTTGAAGTCAGACATATTGTTTATTTGGTTCTTATCACTCTGCTGAGAAGAGCCTTAAAAATGTGGAAGTCCCTGTTTTGCCCAGGTTTCATATTTATTTATTTATATACATGCCTACTTCCCCCAGAGAAAAGGATGGGAGCTGGTGAATTTTAATAACATTTGCCCTCCCTGGCCCCTGCTGTTTACACTGAGCATAATTTCAGGTGCAACTTGATGGCTGATCATTGAATTTAATCTGAAGTGTACCTACTTTTCCATGTTGTATACTGATGGCCTTGGTTGAAAGAAGAAAGCAAATGGAATACATTAATCTCAATAAAACAAGTATGGAATTACATCGGAATAAACTATGTGTATTTGCACATAACCTTGCATACCTACATATCAAATTTTTTACAAGTATGCATTTTATGAGGAAACACCTAGACATTCCTTCTATTAAATAGACCTGAAATTGAATTCTCTGATTTTTCCTGTGCGTCAGAGTAGGAGAAATTAGGTCTTTGATTCTGTACTATGATTAAGGCAGTTTCCTGAGTGTTCAAGGGTGAGTTTGACATTGCAGCCAATATTTTGGGGGCTGGATGTTTCAATAGATCAAGGTCCTATTTTGTTTTCTATTTGTGGGCATAATCAGAGGCTAAAAATATTGCTATCTGCTCAAATACCGTATAGTAGAGAGAAATATGCATATCACATTTTATAAAGAGAGTCTATGAGAGAATTAAATGAAGAATCACATGATCAAAGGACTAATGATTCATCCCAGAGCATATAATGCCCGACTATTTTAACCCACGAACATTTGGATGTTTTTCATGTGCAAGAACATTATGGCATGTAAAAAAGAATCCTTACAAATGACTGTTTCTTTGGGAGTTGCCTCTGAGTGGAGACAAGCACAGATGTCTTTATTAGGCTCTAGTCTAAGTAGCTTCCCTTGAGGGGACCCTGGCGGGTAAGCGTTAGCAGGCTGATGCCTAATCTGTGAGAATCTCCGTGCTCATTATGGTGCTCATTAGTGGTGGGTGACCTCACAAGGAGGCACATGGTATTGCTATTTCTGTGATTCTTAGGTCCTGTGTATACTCTAGGGGTAGGCATGTGAGATTCCAGATTCAGATTCTCAAAATGAACCATTGTTCACACTCAGATCAGAAGCACGTTTCACCTAAACATCTCTCTTCAACATGCAGTTTCCATATCATGAGAACAATGATAAGGTGTTCACATATATGGCATTTTAATCTGCAGTCCAGAGCATCAGCTTCTTCTGGCTTTCAGTTAACTGCTGGGTAAAACAACTGTTCCAAGAGTACAGAACTTTTCAAGTTGGGAATTTTATTCATTGGTTTATTTTGGGGAAAATAAAGAAGGTATGACATTTTTTACTACTGCAATTTTCCTTGTAAAAAGTGCTTGTCTGCTTTTATCTCTGGCTCTTTCAGGTATAATTTCTCCCATAATTTAGGTCATATGAAGGGAAATCCAAGAGCATTGATCTGGACTGTAGTGAAAATTTTGAATAAGTTCTATATAAAGTGGTGGAAATGCTTTTCTTTGCTCTAAGCAGTTTGATTTGTGTGAGGATAACCTGATGGTGGGGAGTCTATGTCTATGTCTATGTGTATGTATAGGTATTTGCATATGTATATGTATTTGTATATGTATATGTATGTGTGTATTTGTACATGCTTGCATTTTTGCAGTAGCCCTTGAATCTTGCCTTAAGCGCCATTTTATCAATTTCCCAACAAAAAGCAAATGCTATACAATTAAATATGTATTACTTTTATGAAATTTCATCCTGAATGAAACAATGGTACACTTACCATTAAAGTACACCCTTTATGTAACCACTTAAAACAAGATTAGAATCATGAACCGGAGTTCAAGATTATCTCTGCTGTGTTGGTAACGAGCACAGAGAAAAGGAACACAAAAATGTTGGCCTTTCTTCTAGTCTATGGCTATATTGCCATTTCCCCTATATTCATTTGGGAAATTAAAAAAAGAAACTCATTTAACAACCTTTCTTTTAAAAGAGAATTCATTACAAACTCAGTGACTTTGCATATTTTCACTGATTTTATGTCTACCTACAAAGAGAAGTACTTTTTGTGATTCACTTCGGGGAAAAAAAATAGCCTTGACCCTCACTTTGAGTCACTTGCTTAATAGAAACTGGCTCAGGAACACTATAAATGTGGTTAAACCACAAGTTAATTAAGTTTGACACTGTTGCTGGGAGTTGGTGAGGGTGAAAAAAGAATTATAAAGTTAGTACTTTGACACCAGGGAGATTTCTTTTTGTCAAAAAAAAAAATACAAAAGTTATAACCTTACATTAGGGAATTAATTTACATAGAACCAAAGGAAGTTTGTTTAAAATCTTAATAGTTCTTCACATTTCTCTGATCTTTGGCACACATTCTCTTTGCAATCCCTTCCCTGGCTTTTTTTTACATCAAGAACACCTTTTCTTAAATGTACATATGTGTGCGTGCACACACACACACACACGCCTGCACACAGCAATGAACCAAAAGAAGAGGGTCCAAACCTTACCTGCCATATGCCACTGCACGTTCTCAGAATTGGAAAACAGCATATATCATGCAGTAAGTTAAATAAAAGAATGTTATTTTAAGCTAACCAACCAAGGAAAGCTACCAAATGCATGAGAAGAGTTTTTGGAATTTTCAGATAAGATTAGTGGATCCCATTCCAGCACAAGAGATTAAATTGGTATGTTTAAGACATGAGTTTGTGGCATGAAGATAAATGATCTTTTAAAAAGTATCTTTCCCTGTTATATGAGATGTATAATATGCCTCAATAAAGTCATATCCATGTATACAAATGATTTTCTCTTTGTGCTAGTGGTAGGTTGGAATACACCCTCCATAGCAGGGAGGGAAGGACTTCGCCATTTTTGGGACCCTCTCCCACACACACAGGCATGTGAGAGTTTACAAAGGGAATGTGAGGCTCTCAGTTGCTCCACGGCGGATGCTTAGGGGCTCTTTCCACTACTTGTATGCTTCATTCACCGTAGGAATCACTTTCTTACAATCCTTCCTTCATTCACTTTAGAAATCACTGTAGGGTTCACTTCCTATGATAGAGGAGAGGTACCTCTGTCTATCAAATTCCTGACACATGTCTCAGCAAGATGTAGGGATTTTGAAACCAGGGTTTGAACATCAATAAAGGGAATTGGTGGGGAAAAAAAAAACAAAACAAAAAACTGGTCTAAGAAATAAACTAGCAGGTTACTAAAGTGTTAGTGGACGGATGAGGAGTACAGAAAAATAATAATGATAACAAACAGACCCTGTGATAGTTAGGGTCTGGTAGTCACTATCAAGCCCACCTCAATTAGCAGAGATCTACATTTTCTTCCCCATATACAATTTCAAAATCTAGAAAGCTCCAAAACCAATAGTTTTGTTTCCCCATAATTTATTTGGTGACAAACCTTGACCTGCACTATCATAAGGCTACTCACAGTCTGTATTTATCCTACTTACTGTGACTATTCATGTATTTTAGTTAGAAATATTGTGCTAGATAATGGTGGGGAAGTAGGGGCTCCCTCAGACCACACTGGATCTATCAGGTGCTGCACCTTTCTAGAATCCGAAAATACATCTGGCTCTGGGAGTTCCAGGTGAAGGATTATGGGTATGCATTTCAACAATCTTTTTATTCTTTGATTTAACCTGTTTATATCTTGGCATGCTTTTCTGTCTCATACTGAGTCTTCTCTCCAGTGATGAATGCTAGGTTGAGTACTTTCATGACCCATGTTGACACTCACATGCAGGATTCTTAATCTCTCAGTCATCATTTTGAGTTCAGTCTTCACAGATCTTTGTACAGAGCTTGGTGGTCTTTTCTACTTCTGTTGGCCTCTGAATAATGGCTGGTGAGGAAGTTCAGCCTTCACTTTGGGTGTTGCAGAGATAAGAGCCTCATTTTTCTGAAGACGGCTTGTCCTCTCCTTGCTATTCTTACATGAAGAGAAGGATTGAAGGGACATGTAGATAACTCTGTCTTTTGGTTGCAAGTACTACTCCCCCAAAGCCCTTTATATCGTTCAAACATTTTTTACACAATTCTTTCCTAGATTATCATAGCAAAAGTAGTCTTAGATCCATTGATCATGGATTTTATGTTTTATCTGCTTGATATGCATGTATAAATGAATCACGTTTTCATTTATGCTGATATTCTCCAAAACCTTGTGGGTGTTACTAAATCCATTTATAGATTTGGTAAAAGACACTCATAAATGCTGAGAAATGTATTTAAGTCTCTGTTGCTCAAAGTGTGGTCTAGATACCACTGGCATCACCACCACCCAGGCACTTGGTAGAAATGCAGAATTTCAGACCTTGCTCCAGACCTACTGAATTGCAATCTGCATTTTAATGATATTCTGCATGAGTCATATATGCACAACACAGTTTGAGAAGCTATTTAGTAAGAACTCCAGTGATCTGTCTTCTCTACCATAGATGTTATTGAAAAAGCAAAGGTATGAGATATATGTGGGGACTTAAGAATCCACTCCTCAAACTAGGAAACCACTTGCTAAATTGAAATTTCAACAAAAATCATAAAAGTAAATAAGGCTTATGAAGACACATAGGGTAAAGATTTATTCTAAACACACGATTTATTTTCAATACTTCGAATTGTTTCAATGAGCCTTAGTACGCAGCCTAAAATAACAACTAATGCTGCAGAGTTAATAAATGACTGGATAAGAAGAGGATGGTTCATAAAGATGAGGCAAATATATGGTGTGAATACATGGGGACTTTCCGAGTGCAGCTGGTGGCTCACTGGGTTGGCGCCTGGCTAATAAGGCTAAAGGTCAGGCCCCCTTCCAGTTGCTATGTGCATGATGAAAGCACAGAATAAGGGGCTTGATCCTTGAAAATTCCTCTTTCTTCAGACCATCTAAGTCCGGGGGTGGGGGGTGCTTAAACCCATTGTAATCCTAAAGACTTCAGTTTTCAATCAGAAGATAAATTTTTTTTTTCCCCAATCTCTAAGGCCCAAGGCAGCACAGGTGCAAAAGTACTGCCTTCAACTACCTCAGTTCCAGAGAGCTCTGGTCTTCACTGTGCATTGCAGAAGCTACCTCTGGCTTTTTGGATTTCTCTTTCACTTGCACATGTGTGCATCTCTTACTCCCACATCCAGTCGAGCAATCTGTCAGCCTGAGAGACCCAGAAACTCTCGTCAGATGGTTGAATCACTGACTCTCACCCTATTTACATCCACTCTGCAACTGGGTAGATGTTATTACTCTGCTGAGCCTTGGTGCCCCTGCCACTGCCAACAGTTACACAGGAGAAAATGGGGGCTCAGAAAGTGTGCGTAAAGTCACATCAACTGCAAGTGGCCGAGCTGGACTCTAAGCCCAGTTCCATTTTACAACTTTGTTTGAAATGATCATTTCAGATCACAAACATTGACTGGAACCAATCTCCAATCATGAAATCCTTTCTACTACAAAATAATTTTGTAATAAGAAGTTGTTTGAATGAAGGATTCTACGATGTATTTGATACATATTGAAAACACTTTCAGTTCAAAGACATTATGTCCTGGGGTAGAAAACCGGTGTCAGAAAGACTGTATTTAAACCATAGGTACAGTCTTTCCATTGTTGAATATTATTATTATTATTACTAATTTTTAAAATGGTAATAAAAATGGCAGGTCTTTCCAGCTGCCATGGACTTTACTTCTCTTTATTGTTTTATACTTTCCCTGATTCATAAATGCATGTCATCTGATTGGTTCCACCCAGGTATTTAAATTTATAACTGCTGAATTCTATTTTACTAGCCAAAAGACCATATTGTTTATCAAATATGTTCATTCTTAGAACCTCATGTACAGTATTTTCTGAAATAAAACAAAAAGAACAAGATGATTCCCCAAAATATATTATTTTATTTTTTCGCTTAGTCTTCCTCAACGTTTATCCATATTTCAATGTAATCATGTAACCTATATATGACTTAAGAGGTATGTGATTGGCTGACATCTTTTAGTCTTCGTGTATGTTTATAGCTTTTAATGGTAATCAACAATGGCAAGCTATAAGAAAAGCTAACCTATAAAAAGCATCATTCACATCTTTTTGTTGCCTCCTCCTCCCTCGAGATGAAGTAGTGTGCTTTGTCTCAGCTCAGTTGTGTGGGGTATTTGTTCTACATGAGTCAGGATGAACAGGTTGTGCTGCAATAACAAAGAGTCCTAGAATCTCAATGGTTTGAAACAACTGTCTATTCCTTGCTCAAGCTCCTTGTGGTGTGACACAGAAGCTGTCAAGTGACCCAGGTTGACTGACCACTGCCAGTTTAAACATGGTCAGTCATTACACCAGAGGGCACAGAGCTCCTGGGGGTCTTGCCCTGGCAGTGATGTGCTTGATCCAGAAGTGATACACATCACTCTGGTCAGAGTTCATTGGCCAGAGCTTTTCACATGACCCCACCTACACATGGAGGGGACAAGAGTTTTCCTCCTCCATGTGCCTGGGATTCAGAGACCTCTGCCCCTTTTTTTAAAAAATCTGTCTCTTTTACCATTCTATATTCCTTTTTCGTAAGGACCTTTTATTAAGATCATTGACATTTCTTTTTGCCTGAACCTCAATACAATTCGTAGACCATTATGGCACCAGTGAACAAAATTCTGAGATAAAAGCAATTTAACCAGAGTAGACTGATCGCTTGCATTTCCTATTAGATAAAGGCTATTAAGGACCAGCTATGTCATAATAAAATCTACTATTATGATACATTTTCTTTTCTTTATTATTCAGAGACAGTGGTCTTATTTAATTACCCATATTTGTGTAATGTCAATATGTAGTGATTCTTTTGGGATGGTGATTATTTTGCTGGTATCTGATACCATCGTTTATGAGCAAAAATTAAAGACATCTACTTATTTAATACATCATTTTAAAATGAAAACATCCCATTTTATTTCATTTTGCATAACTGGATTTATAATTATTTTGCAATACTTTTTTTTTATTTCTGGACTCAGTACTCTTTTTGCATTTGGAACCTGGCTGTACATTTTCCATTAGGTTCTCCTAATATAGGATCTCTTTTCTATTTATTGTTTTTTTCAGAGTACAGAACCCTCAAAATTGATTGAAATGTATCAGATGCAGTAGGAATTCATATTATAAATGAGAAAGAGACTGATCTTTGTATTTCCTTCTATGACTCCCAATTTACTATCTATCTTCCCTTCCCTCAAATCACATCATTTTATCAGTGAAAAAAAACAAAGTTATGAGCCAAAAAGATGGAATTCATACAGGTCGTCTACTGTACTATTAGCAACTCTGGGACAAAGTACTCATACGATGTACTGGGGTTACTCGGTTGTTTTAAAAGCCTCTTAAACATTTTGGCAAGAGGCTGTATTCTCATCCTGCTCCATTCAAAGCCAAGCTTGCTTTTAATCAGATTCAGGCTAAATAATATGCACAGCAGAACGTTTTAAACTCTTGATGTCAACATGGTAAGTCCTGTAAAATTATATGGGTACAAATAATGCCGTTTTATCCAAGCGATTGACAGAAACCGGTGGTGCAGAAATTCAGAAAGCCCCTCTGGTAATACTCATGTAGCTGGAGAGGGGACCGGCAACTGGTCACTAGCTCCACCAGGGCCACTCCTGTCTGAGCTTGTCAAGAGGCAGGCAGCTCGCTGGGGTCTGTGAAGTCATTCTATAAAGCTCACCATAGGAACCGAGGAGAACGCTTTGCTGTAAGGACATACACAGCTGTGATGTCACAGGCACAAAGATAATAAAATGTGGCTAGTGTGGTGTCAACTACACCTTGGCTCTTTTGTCTTTTTTCACTCCTCGCATAATTTTGTATCCTTGTGCGAATCGCCTCATTAGGGAAAGAGACTGAAAATTGGGGTCAGGGTATTTAAACCTGACCTGTGCAGAGGCCAGACAAGGCCGGGGCCCACCGAGGCTTCACTTCAGAGCCCTGGACCACCCCTGAGGTGACACCAATTCAAGCCTCATTTTATAAAGGCCTTATTAATTATTGTCCTTATAAGAAGGAGAAGAAGCCTTATAAAGAAATGTGTCATTCTTCGAGTAGGAGTGGGCAGACAAAAAAAAGGAAGAGAGAGGGAGAGGGAGAGGGAGAGAGAAAGAAACAGAGATCAAAAGGGAGCTTTTTTTTTCCTTTTGCTTTTCATGCCTCCAAACCTCAAAGGAGGTCGAGGAACAATCAGGCTCAGGGGTCTCCTGTGCTTTCTGGCAATTAGACTCAGCTGATGGGCTGAAAGGGATTGAATGGCAGGGTTCAAGGCCCTTCTCCGGAGCTGCAGACAACAGGCTTTTCCAAAGCAGCCGAGCAGCAGACACCATCGAAATCATTTCAAATGGAGACTTACAGCGAGGATTCATTAATTCACTGGCCTAAACAATTATGGGAACATATAATGTCTCTATAAACACTTTGATAAAGACTGTCATCTTAGACCTTCATTTTCCCTATTTTATTAGAGATTTTTAATGCCGGGTTGGAAAGGCATCTTTTATTTCTCCAATTACTGAATTATAAATCCTTTTTCTGAAAATCATCCACCCCCCCAAATAGCTGAATATTTCATTTTTAACATTAGGCTGCAAAATCTAAAAGGAAATATATATATATATATATATATTTATATATAAATATATATATATACTAAAGGGAAATATATATATTTATATATAAATATATATAGACTAAAAGGAAAAAAATATATATATATATATATCTCCATATGTCCATTTTCCACCCTGAAATCCATAAAGCTTAAGTTGTCATCTGGCTTAAGCACAGCAAATTCACTCTCTGGATTATTTCTTTCACAGCCCCTTTATGGTTCCTAGTTTCTCTTTATGTATTTTTTAGGGGATAAATTAAAAAAGTAAAATTTTATTATCAATTTAGTTAATGCTAGTTAATCACAGGGGAGGTAAATACAAGAATCTAGTAAGATGTGGTCAGGGCGGGGGTAGTTAGTGATTTTCATTTAGATTGGAAAGAAAAAAAAAGAAAAAAGATAAGCCTATGAGCTGTTAGGCTTTAGGGATAGCTGGACAAATGTCCCAAAGAAAATCAAAGTGTTGGGGCTCCAGGTCGAGCAGCAAGAATGAATGATGCTGAATTTCAGGTATTCTACCTCCCGAGTGTAACGGGATCAAAATGATCGGGATCGGTTTGGTCACTGCCCAGATGAGTGGTAATTTGCAAAAGAGCACCATTAACCAGCTTTCAAAAGATAGGGACTGTTTTAAAATGGTGCCGAGTGGTTCTGTGAACCAAAATCAGCTTGTAGCTCCACTTTTATTTTCTCCATGGGGTTTCACCTATCACACCTGTTAGACTTTGAGTTTTTAGGTGGAGCTGACCTCGTGCACAGCACCCGGAGCAAAAATAGCTGGTCCTTTGCCAGCCAACGTGGAGAAAATGTTTATGTGTGTGTGATCGCATCGGGCTGCTTAGCAGGGCAAGGGTTAACTATTTACATACTGTCGACCCCTTTCAAGCAGGCACTGAGAACTGCTGCTTCTAGGCAACCACATCAAACACTCGAGGGCTTTGGTGATCACTGATGACAAAGTAATAATAAAAAGAAATATGGCCGCTCTCAGGGCATCTTTCATCTGCTTACAGTGGGGCACTTGTTGCACAAAAGGCCAGTACTTTGTTTGACATATTTGGAAACTGAGGTAGCTGGCTCTTTTGCCACCCCCAGAGGTGGTCAGGCAGACTGGAAACTGAACCCAAAGCACTTGACTTGACCACCCCACTTGGGAGAGAGCAGCCATCTTGATTAACAGGGAAAGTGTTGAGGGACTGCTACCTTCTTCATTCTCCAGGGGCCTGAGAGGGAAAGACAGTCGGCTGCTGTTACACAAATAGACACGGATTTAGGCTTCCAAGAGACCATTTTCCTGGGCAGACCATACTCTCATCTTCTGGACTAACGCTCAGCTTAAGCATATAAAGTGGTATCAGAAAACTCCCCGGGTACGGCAGGTTTGCCATGTCCACTCTGAATAGTTTCCTTGACTTTGCTGGACTAAGACAGAAGGTTGC
The DNA here is from genome assembly GCF_000001405.40 of Homo sapiens. Lineage (NCBI taxonomy): Eukaryota > Metazoa > Chordata > Mammalia > Primates > Hominidae > Homo > Homo sapiens. The sequence continues at coordinate 97,149,521 of NC_000015.10, forward strand.
ACGGATGCAAGGAATGCCATGAAAATATTAGTCTAGGAGTTTCGGGTATATTCACCTGAGCTCATCCTTCTGCAAACACTACATTGTTAAATAAGAACTGAATCCCGATATTCATGGTTTGGATGAGTGAAATTTTATTTTCATGAAAATTGTATCCAGGTTACTTTTCTTCTTTGGGTAGGTAATAGGGCAGAAAAGGAAAAGAGTGTACCCTGGCAATCATGGTAGTTTCATTCTGTCTTCACTCCAACTCAAGTGGCTGAGGGAAGATGTTCACCGCTGCTAACTCTGGCCCTCAGCAGAGGGAGGGTGACTGACTATGTGCTGGCCAGCTTTCTAATTTAATCTCTTCTCTTCCTTACCGAAAAGAAGTAAGATTTAGGGAGGTGCAGTTCTTTACCCAAGTTTGCAGAGCTGGTAATGCTAGTCTAGGCTTTGACTTGGTTCTGTATTCCTCCAACGTGTAGGGTTCTTTCCACTTCATTTATTCACTTGTTTTCATTTCTCCATTTATTTTTCCATCTATTCATTCAAGAAATATTTTTGACAATCCAAATGTCCATTGGTGGATGAATTGACAAACAAAATGTGAAATATGCATATAATGGGATATTATTTAGCCTTGAAAGGGAAGGGAATTCTGACATATACTGAAATACAGATGAACCTTGGGGACATGATGTTAAGTGAAATAAACCAGTGGCAAAGGACAAATACTATCTGATTCTACTCACATGAGGAAGCTGGGGTAGGCAAATTCAAAGGCACAGAAAATAGACTGGTGGTTGCCAGGTGCAGGTAGGGGAAGGGAGAATGGGGAGTTATTGTTTAATGGGGACAGAGTTTCAGTTTGGGAAGATGAAAAAGTTCTGGAGATGGATGGAGGTGATGGTTTCACAATAATGTGAATATACTTAATACATTGAACGGTATGCATAAAAATGGTTAAAATGGCAAATTTTATGTTACATGTATTTTACCACAAAGAAAGTTATAAAAACTGTGTGTATTCTATATGAGTTCAAGAGAGAGGATATGAGGCTGAATACAAAGTCCACTTTCATAATTAAGAAAAACAAAATCAAAAACTAAATAAAATGAAAGATTTTTCTCTCTGGTCCAGATTCAGCCCAGACTTGTCCGAGAAACACAGGCTGTGCCCAAGTGGAGCAAAATGACAGATACTCAGTGCCTTGGTTAGGCAGTGAACACACTTTTTGTTTATCTGGGAACAGTATTTGACTCAGTTTTAATTATATTGAGATACATGGGCAGGACATGCAGAAACTGTAACAATAAATAAAGTAGAGAAATGTCAATATTGGTGAATTCTAATTCTTACTCTGAATATTTGCTATTTGTGTGTTATTATTGTTGCTTCACTTTGTTAGACCTGAGGTTGTTCTCATGCAATTTTTAAAAGAAATAAGTCCCAGTGTGATGTTCCCCTCCCTGTGTCCATGTTCAATCTGCACGTTGTGCACATGTACCCTAGAACTTAAAGTATAATAATAAAAAATTCAAAACCAAAAAAAAAAAAGATTTGCCAAAAAAGAAAAAAAGAAATAAGTCGCAACACTATTGTTGAGACATAGTATCTTCTCTTAGAGAAGCATGCTGTTTTCTAAAAACAATACTTCAACTTCCTTTACATTTAGCTCTGTTAATTTCTGGAGTTGATTTGATCGACATATATTATTCCTGGGTTTTTGAGTGCCAATTAAATGTTGAGCTTGCCTTGGGGCAGACACTTTCCTTCCCGTTTTCCTAGAATGCCCTTTCTCTGAGCACAGGGCTCACAGACCCTTCGTTGCTCTCTTGCTGGGTGACACGCAAGTTCCTTTCTCGAATCTGAAATATTAATGCCCCATGTGTGGTAACACATTACCAAAAGAGGCACTGGGTCTGAGATTTGAATTAGCTTTTTCACTCTTGTCTCCTAAGAGTTTTTGTGGTTATTGATGTTTTGCTCCAATGTGTATATTTTGAAATCGGCCAGGTAGATTAAAGAATTTAATTTTAAAAATGCCAAGCTGAGAATTTAAACCTTATCATCTTTGAGCAGAGGTAAAAATCCTTTATTCACTTCTAGTCATTTTGATTGTTTTTTTGTAAAATCTTTATTTTTCTATTGAAAACTGATATAAAAGCCAATTGAAGAGGGCAAAATGAGATATACGTTGGTCTGATTGAAGAGGGGGATGGATGTGGGGAAGTTGTGAGGGTTCTAGAGCCCATCTATGTCAGTCTAGGTAATCTCTCCACTAAGGAATGTCTGAGGGCTTTATAATGAACACTATCAGTGAATATAGTTTGAAATATTGATGGATTGAATTTATTGTCAATCAGTCTTCTTTGGGCACCTCACAACTGTCTTCTCTCTGAGATGTAGAACATAACATTGTGCTTAAACCACCACTTTCTCTGCATGACACAGGGGGACATCATTTCAATTTGCATTCACTTCCAAAATTATACCTCCTTCCAAAATTTTTCTGTACTTTTTTCCCTCCGGAGAACAACTACCCTACTCATTTGTTTTGGATCCCCTCCAATCCTTGGATTCCCTCCTTCCTTTTTCCCAGCCTGTTGCTGCTTCCATCATGATAAACAATCCTCATTCCTCTTCCAGCTAGCCACTTAACCCTCTAAGCTCTGAAGTAGATTCGTTGCATCTTGTTTGGATAAATGACAACACCTGCTTTTGACTTGGAGTATTACTTAAAGTATCGATATATGAACCTTTGTGACAATTTCTTGTTCCTAATGAGACACTATTTAGATGCCATTTAGAATGCTAACATTAATTCAATAAACATTCACTGATTTCCTCACTGGGGACCAGTGGAGATGAACCTGCCATACCCTTGCCTTCAAGATACTTGCAAACAGGTAAGGGGTAAAATGTAGACTTTCATGTATGAAAAAGAGGATTATGAAAAAATAATGATATGAACTGAGGGCCTGCAAGGTGTCAGACATTTTGCATTTATTTTTTTTATTTGAGTCATCATTGCAATCTGATCCAATTTTTATTTTATTATCATTTTTAATATAGGATGAAACAGTTTCAGAGATGTTGGTTGAATCAGATCTGATTTCAAAGACCATGTTCTTTCCACTCTGGTAAATCACCTGTGAGTCACTCTACAGAAGGGCATTGAGGCCCACGATGTGCTAAGTAGGGCAAGGTACCCTAGATTACCAGAATGCAAAGATCTCCTAACCATGGTGCTGCTTGTGTTTTGCACCTACATTTCATTGTTCTTAGGATCAATGGAAACAGCACAAAAAGATACCCACCTGGCAACTACCAAATGGCCAGGCTGTGGCTTCAGCAAAATTCAATCAAATCCAAGGCACACTTCTCCATTCACCCAAAACAACTGCCCGGAGGTCATCAGCGCAGATTTCGCATTTGCCCAGCCCACACTCATGGGAAGAACCTACCCTTTGCTTTCCAGTGAACTGGCTTCTTGCACTGAATGAGTCATTTAAGCATCTACCAGGGCCTGAAAACCAGAGAGTGCAAAATGAATGTGGAAATACTTAGCATAACGTGAGGTTCTAACCATTGATTTATGCTCCAAAAGTGTAAAAGTAACACATGAAGACTGATCAACAGTATCCTATAGATACTATAAGTTCTCGGGAAAGACTTTAGAGAATTCCTGCACAGGAGAAGTGTGCTAAACCTTTAGTGAGAGAAAATCCTTTTATGGATGGTGTTCAGTAATGCCTGAGAGTAGTGGTAGGGGTTGGCAGGGAGGGAGTTAACCAAATGTGCCCCAGAGCCATCCAGGGTTTTCATCTAAGAGAGTGTTCAATGTGCTATGAACCCCAATTAAAAATAACCCCCCTAGCTTGGTGAGCCCACCCCATCCTTAGGATAAACAAGATTTGATTCACTGCAGTTGCACTGTACTAGCTGTATTGTAGAGGAATACTGTATATATGCCTCCTCTGGGGAGGCACAAAAGAGGCAGCTTAATTATCATCTAGCCAGAAGGATGGGGCATAGTTAACACCTTTCTGGGTGGGCTGAAATTAATGACCCTTTCCCCCCAGTATTGCCTACCTCCAAGCCTCTTTATAAATGACTATACAACACAGTAGTTGGTATTCAGATCACAAGAGAGGGCATTTAGCCAAAGCATTTGTCTACAGGGTTTGATCTCTTTTTAATTTTATTCTGATTTACAACTGTGTTATTAAGTGAGATAACTGGATCCTGTCTGAAGTAGACCAGAGCCTTCCGTACTCAAATCTGAACATCTGAAGTTAACATTAATTTTTGAGATTGGACTTCATGCTTCTTCCCTAAGTGTTTTTGCAGGCTGCTTTCCCATAGCCACATTGAACCTTCCATTCTGCAGGACTGTGTGTGCAGCCTGCCTGCCCACTTCAGGCAGAGAGAGTGGGCTTTGGAGACAAAAAAGACTGGCCTTGTGAAGTGTGTTGCAGAAGGTTTAAAATTCACAGATGGGCAAGTGCCTGGGGAATTCAGTTCTCTTTTTTTGGGCAAGGGAAGGAGTGTACTCTATCTAATAATGATTGAATTTAAAATAGCATTTTCTCATATATATTTGTGTGTGTATATATATACATGTATGTGTATGTACACACATATATAGATGCATAAATATACACCTATTTAATAGTGTTTTCTCCTTACATCAAACTTTTGCCATTTACAAAACAATGAGTGAAGATTTGGTGATGTCACAGGTGTTATGTGATGTAATTAGGTCATGTGGTAATCCACAATACAATCTTGAAAAAAGCACTATTAGCCCCACTTTACCTTTGAGAAAAGTGACCTTCCAAGCCTAAGTGATTAATTCAAAGCTAATGAAGATTAGAGTGAAGGCTCAAACTCATTTTTTTTTCTAACTCTAAATTCAGTGGCATTTAATTGCATTATTCTGTCTTTTCTGGAGGTAAAGACATGGGTACAACGAGTCTACCTGCTCATTCTCCCCACTTTTTTTCTCTAGAGTGGCACTGAGGTGTAGCAGTTAGGACCACCGGGTTCAATTTCACTTGCTACTCTGTGTACTAAAGGGAGGTTTTTAATATCTGCAAACCTTGATTTTCCATAATCCCAGCACTTTGGGAGGCCTAGGTAGAAGGATTACTTGAGTACAAGAGTTTAAGACCAGCCTGGGCAACATAGTGAGACTGCTTCTGTACTGAAAATAAAAAATTAGCTGAGCATGGTGACTCATGCTTGTAGCCCCAGCTACTGGGGAGGCCGAGGCATGAGGATAGTTAGAACCCAGGAGGTCAAGACTGCAGTGAGCCATGACAGCATGACTGCACTCCAGCCTGGGTGACAAAGGAAGAGTCTATCTCAAAAAATAAAAATAAATATAAACATGTAAATAAAATAAACCTTGGTTTTCACTTGTAAAAATGGCATCGATGAGAGTACCTATTTAATGGGAAATTTCTAAGGACAAAATAACTCAGAAAAAGTGCTCAGAATATGGTATGCCCTCAACAAATAGCATATTCCACCCTTTGGAGGTCTACGTGAATTCTTTATGTGATAGTGCTTCATTTTTCATGTGCCCGTATGATGTTTCCTACGTTCATTGTATCTTGAGTTATGTTCATTGAGTAGATCTTGAGGATCAAGACCTAAACTAAAAGATTTCATAATTGTCATTCCATTGTGCTCTGTTACCTTTATTCATGTAGCTCTATGGGGGAAGGCCTGTGTAAAAGTCCGCCTTAAATTTGATAAAATAACAGGATCTTTCTATCTTCCCACTCTTGATGCCCATAAATGTCATGTGGATAAGATCCTGAGGTCAAGGATGTGGCCTCTAAGACCTAAAAGGTAGTAGTCAAAATATCATGGGCAGATCTAAAGTAAAGGATTATGGGGGAATTAGGCCAAATGGATATGATCTAGAGTGTCAGCAAAGAGGTAGGTAGATCAGATTTTGTTGAATGCGTCACTGCTCTTTCAGCTAGCTTGTATACATCTCATAGGGTATGTGCCTGTCCTTACACTAGAGAAGCTTGAAGCCACCCTATACATTTCTGACAATCAGCATTAACAATGCATTCTCAAAAATTAATGTCCTCTTATAATGACTATTATGTGAACTACTCCAGAAATCCAGAAAACACTTATCCATGTTGAAGAAAAATACTACTGCCTTACTTCTTTCAACAACATTTACTCCAGAGTTCATTCATTAATAGAAGCAATGTTTAATGAGTACATACTATGTGCTAAGCATTGGAGTAGGTGCTTGGGATTCAGGAGAAAGCAAGAGCATATGAGCATATGACTTAGCTGTTCTAATGGAGCCTTCAGTCTAGTGGAGCAGATAGAACTTCATCAAATAAACACAGTAATGAGCATTTAAAGATATCTAGAGACAGAATAAAAGTGAGCAACCAAGCATACAGGAAAATGGCTTTGTGGAAAGAGGTAATGAAGAAATATGACCTCAACCAGGGGTGAGGGAATTCTTAGGCTTTCTTGAAATACATGTTTCTTGAAAAACATTCTTTAAATGTTATACTGCTTGACATTTAAAGGCTGCAGAAAACTAGATAGGATTGGAGGGAAGGTTACCAACAGATGGACCAACATGTGTAAAAGACCACTGGTGGAAAGAATATTAGCTTATTAGAAGTCCAGAAAAAGCCACTGGAGCTAGAACAGAGGGAATGAGAAGGAGGAAACTGTGCTGTGCAATTGGAAAGATAGTCAGTGGCCAGAGTATGTGGTCCTGCCTTGATTTTGGTGTTTCCTTATGAGTGGTCAGAAACCTTTCAATAGTGTTAAGCAGGGAGGTGACAGAATCCAGTTTTTCCTCTGAAAAAAATATGTGTGCTGCTGTGGGGATGATGGGCTGTGAGAAATAAACATTGCAAAAAAGAAAGTATGGCAGCTTGGAAATGGTATTTGAGATGTGGGCAAATTAATGGACTTGAGAAATATTTTGCACATAAAATGGAAAGGATTGGGCAGTGGATTGGATAGTTCTGAATGTGAAGAGGAGAAAATCAGAGAGAAGCTCCAGACTTGTATAACTGGTTGCATGGTAGTATCATTCATTGAACATTCAGCCAACACTGAAAAAAATATTAAACTTTTATGTCGAGGTTGAATGATATTGGATCATTCAAATGAAGACAGGAGAGTTGGATATTTGGATTTAAAGGCATGAGGGGATTCTTTGGATGCATATATAAAACTGTGAGTCTTTGGCATTTGAAGCCGTAATAATTCAGGCCATGCACTTAGAATGTTTTGGGAAATGGAATAGAGCAAGATGAGAAGAAGCACATGATAAGACTTCAAATATGCAAGACTAGGTGGATGGATGAGCCTACAAAGCAATCTGAGAGGGTACAGCAAGAAAGCAGGAGAAGAACTGGAAATATGCTGTGTCATGAAAATCAAAGGACAAGGAAGGAGTGACTGAGGATCAAATGTTCCAAGAGTCAACATGAAGGCTGAAAAATCCTTTCCTCGATTTAGCAACTTTGTGACTGGTGGGGTAAAGAACTGTTCTGCCAAGTGAAGGGACATTACTCATCCTCTGATTCATATGGTGGGTCAAGAGGCAACTGGAAGGTTAGCAAATGGGAAATATGAACACATATTTTTCAGGAAATATGGCTATAGGAACAAGAGGGGATATAAGGTAGTGCCTGGAGGCCCTCATCTACCCTCATGATTGTAGCTAACATCTACATGGTACTGGTACCCAAATCTGGTTTTCTATCCCTGACACCTTCCAGTGCTACAGATCCGTACCTGCCAGACCTTTGAACTTCTTGAAATTCACACAAATCTCAACCCCATCATATTCAAAATAGAGCTTGTCCCATTTGCCCTTGGGCAAAACCCCCTTTTCCAGCTGTGGTCCTCAGTTCAGTGAATAGCACCTTTCCTCAACCAGCTTACAAGACAGAAAGCTGGGTGTCATAATCCCTTCCCCTTCACTCTCAGATCACCATTTAAGTAATTCCCAACTCTTACATATATCTCAGATCTATTCACTTCTCTAATTGGCATCTCAAACCTTGCATGTCCAAATAGGAAGTCTTGATTTGTACCCCTGACCTTCTAATTTCCCACTGACTACTTCTCACTGCTTCCCCTGGTACCCTGAACACACCACCAAGATCTCTTGCTTGGGCTATTGCAGTAGAACTTCTAGTGCTTCTGGCCATTCTCATTTATGATTCTCCACAAGGAAGCAAAGGCAATCTACAGAGTCATTTCTTAACTCTCACATCTAAAGTAGCTACCCCCATTCTCCTTGCCACTGTCTCTCACAATGCCTGTTTTATTTCCCTCACAGGACAAGCACTGATCTCTTCTCGAATCTCTTATAGAAATATGTGTTTCCTTCTTTATTTTATGCCTCTCTCCATTAGAATGCAAGCTGCAGGAAAGACAGATGTTTTCACTGCTGCATTTTCAGTAAGTTATACAGTGTCTGGTACATAGGAGGGTCTCATTAAGTAAGTTTTGAATAAATAAATTCTAGGATTGATATTAATACAAGGAATAAGCTGGAGGAGGGCCTGCTGATGAGATCCTGCAATTGTTCTAAATGTAAAGAAAGGTCATATGTTTTGAGTAGCAAACAAGAGGTGAGAATATAGATACAGAAGGTGCTACAGATGAAAACTATTTGTTCACTTGAACTTAGTTGAAAAATATCAGATTTGGGTATTTTGTGGTGTGAATTCAAATTGTAAGTTTTATTATAGAAAAAGTATGAGAGGATGGTGTCTAATAAATATAAATAGACTGTTGATTCTCTAATACTGAGTGGAGAATTACTGCTATACGTTTCTGTTGTTTCAGAGGTATCTTTGCTTATTAATGAATTCAATTTCTCTCCATGCACTCCCCGAACTAAACATTATTGTCTGACCTGGAAGAGCAAATTCATCCTTTTCAAAACTATAAACATTATTATTTAATAGATTTGGATAGAAACAAAATTATTACATGCTCTGCAGAAAGCAAAATTAGTCATGTCAGGAAAATCTTCATCCAAATAAGTTAAATAAGTTGATTAGGAGAAAGACACAGGAGAGCAGGTTGTCATTTGAGCTGGGATAGAGTAAAAAATATAAATAAATTTTTTGGTTGCTTTTTACTGTCAAAAACTCAGTAAAATAGTTGAGATTTGAGGACAGGAGTGAAGGAAGAAATAAAATGAGCATAATGAATGTGTCGGGAGAGATTATTCTAAGGGGGAAGGGAAGTGCAAAACAGCAGAGCAGGGAGTCTGGAAAGGGCTCAGGGGACTCAAGGAAGTCAGTCTGAAGCAGAGAGTTGTGTTTTTATCAAATTTCACAAAGTCTGTGATATTCTTCTGAGCAATACACAGTACATTACCCCATGCCGTTGTAATAAATAATTCATTTACTATTTTGCATGGGTAGAAAAGCAGTGGCGCCATTTTGACTTCCTACTGGCACTCCCACTTTTTTTCAAGGGAAATGAGTGCTTCTCATCTCTGCAAACATCTCCCAACTGCAAGAAAGGCAGTAAGCAAATTTCTATACCTGGCTGGCAAACAGGATTCATTTCTTTCTTTGAATTTAGAAACTGTCACTTCTGGGTTTCTTTTGTGAGAAATAGTTCCCATAACAACCTGAGAAGCCAGACCTCTGGGGGACCTTCAGAGGAGCTCTGGAATCTTCTTTGCCTCGGAGGTAGGGAGGAGAATGCCAGCAGTCCCGCTCAGGCGCCCTTGTTGACGCACACTTGCACCTGGAAGAGAGCCAATCCCTGAACACCACAGGCAAATCCGCTGCCCTTCCAGGTTGCCGTAAATTATGCAGCATCTCAAATAGCAAAGCAATAGTTTTACATCTATCGACTAATGACTAAAAGAAGGAACTATTGTAAACTATCCTATATTCTGAAAAATAATGTGTGTCTCAGGGCATTTTAAACACTGATATTGATAAATTCTCTGTACATTTCAAATATATTGTATAAATAGATGAGCATGAAAACATTTGCTTGCATTCTTGAACATATGTATATTTCCTATAAAGGTTATCCATTGAAATTTTCTAAAGAACATTAAGAAAAAAATAAATACAACAAAATTTGGAGAAGATAGCTTCTTTGTAACTGTACCTCACATATCTCACCTATTATACACCCTAAAAGAAACATGTTTAGAATAAAGGGGGAAGCCACTGAATTATATAGTAATTCAAATAAATACATAGAAATATCCTATTTTTTAATAAATTTACTTGGCAAATGTTCAGTTTTGAAATCTTTTTTATGGTTATTTATTGCTATGAATGAATATATTATTTCTAATTTATTATTTAAATTTAGCTAGATGAAAAATGATTGGCTGGGGCATAGTAATATCTCTGTAATGTAAGGTTGCAACAATAGGTCACTTTCTCTTCACATTATTTTATATTTCTAGACCTGCTATAATAGCACAAATGATTCCATTATACAGGTATTTTTCATAATAATATTAAATTACCTTTACGCTCTTCCAGAAATTGTACATAGTGATTTGTGCTATATCCATCTTTTCTTCTGCTAGTGGAAATGAGAATTTGCCATGAGATTTTTAACCCCAGCTTTCCCAACTGCACCCATCCTACATTTGAGAAAGTAAACAAGGTAATGGAGAAAAAATGCTATTGTTAACAGGCCAACATACAATGACGGAACTAAGAGAATTCTGCTAAATAAGAAAGTCCTAATTTAATTTTTTTCCATTTAATGTGTGTAGGTTGCTTTCATTTGTTACAGCCTAATATAAAATTTTCAGTACAATAAGACTTTAAGAATTCAGACTTTATAAATCTACATATTCCCCCTCATGTGAACAGGGACTGAATTAAAATTTAACTTGGTCCTAACCATACTGGAGTACAAAAGTACATACTTAATACAATAAGAAGAAAATTTATGTTTTAATTCTAATTTTTAGTCTAATAGAGCATGGGCATTTTTTGAGAATGGAATATTTTGTGTTTGGCGTTGGTATGATGTTTCTTCATGGTGGGATTCAGGTCATGCATTTCAGTTCAAAATAATATATAAGAGATGTTGTGTTCTCTGCACCTCTCAGACCAGTCATAAGTGTTGTCTGACTATTGCGTTATATAGTCACTTTTTTCCCCTTTGCTATTAAGTAATTTGGGAGCAGATTTTTGACAGTATTCTATAATATTTCTTATTATCAAAATCCCCTCTTAGAGTTTTAAGTCTTTATTTTCTCTCTTCTTCATTTTAAAGAGTTGTTATTGCTTTGTTTGACATCCATATCTCTTTGCAGTTGCCTTTCTCTTTTCAGATTTTGGAATGGGCTTTTGTCCTGTGACTTTGATTTTTAGATAGGTTCCTAAAAAGTTGTTACTTTGCTCCATATCAAGATTTTCTGGTTGCAAGGATAACAGCCTCTGTGTGTTTTTTATTTTTATTTTTTTGGCTCTCTACTTGTCCAAGCTGAAATTAGAAGCCTCTGTTTTTGGCATTTAGATGTTTAATCCATCTGGGCTGGTTCTTGTATATGCAACTAATTTTAGCCTACTGATTTTTATTTATACTCTATTCCTTTCATATTTATTCTTGTATATGCTATAAGAAAAAGTAAAGAGTTTGAAATTGCCTGTGTCCCTCACCAGTTGAGTAATTTTACGTTTAGCACGGTGTGCCAAAGGAGGTCTTGGATTCCAAAAACAAATAATTAATGGGGACTACTCCTTACCATTTAGAGCAATCTGGAAAGAGGCTTGCTAAAAGTTACCTTAGAGACCTTTATGGTATTTCAGATACTCTCTCTTTTAATTGTCTGCTCTATTTCACTAAGAGACTCATTAAAGACTTTTGTGGTAGACCGTTGGAGTCATGAGTTAATTTTCTACTCTTGTCTTGCTTTTTATATTCTTCTCTTCTTCGATACAATCCTTATTTTCCCTGGCCTGGCTGCTTTTTTGGTTCTGCAGTAAGGTTTCCATAGTCTATTACCTATGATGAAAACGATCCAAGACGTGAAGTCAGAGAGATCTGGATTTGAGGCTTGTATGTAAGACTTTGGTCAAGTTATTTAAGTTCTCAGCCACTCAACTTCCTCATCAGTGCTACATCTATTGCTAGGCTATTTTAATTGCTGTTTGTTCATAAATTTTATTTTTTCCTTTTAAAAAATCTTCTCAAATTTTATTTTTCTCTAAAGCCACCTGCACCTCAGTGTGGATCGGAACTTTCTAGTTTTTCACATGTTCACAGAGCCTCACAAACCACAAATTATCTTCTCTTCCTAGGTAAATTATCCCATTCCCACGACTTCCAATGCCAGGTATAAGCCGATGATTTTCAAATTCTTCCTCCATTCCTGAACATCTTTGAATCCCAGACTAAACCCAAATGCCTACACATCATTTTCATTTGATTCGCTAATAGGTATTTCAAACTTCACATCCAATACTGACCTTTTGATTTCCCTCAGGAAATATGCCTTACCCTTAGTGATCCCCTTCTCAATAAATAGCACCAACCATTATCCAGTAGCCTTGGACAAAATAATTTGAAGTTATTCTTGACTCTTTTATTTCTTTACAGCCCATATCCAGTCCATCAGCAAACATATATCCCAAATCCTTTAACATATGTCTGCTACTACATCCTAGTCCACATTAGCATCATCTCCCACCTAGAAAACTGATGTTGACTCCTAACTGATATCCTCTGGAAATCACAACCTGAACAGTCTGGATTCTGTAATTGGCTCTTCTAGCCCAACTGGAGTTACTTCCGTTATTCACAGCCCATTTCTTCTGAATGCCACACATCTGCCTTGCTTATCATGATGTTATTGCTTTCTGAAGGCTCTTTTATTTGTTATGTACTTGGCAATCTAATTCCATCCATTCTGCAAAACACAGATCAAATGCTGCCTATTTATTACATAAATTTTTTCTTGTTCTCAAAGCCAAAAGTAGTATGTTTTTTTGGAAATCCCATGATACATTTTTGTTACATAACTTTCCTTTAAACGATCTATTAATATTTTTAAATTAGAAGAGTAAGACAGCTGTAGGTTGAAAATTGAAACAATGCAAAGGGATGCATTCTAAAATAGATATCTTTCCCTTCCTTCACCCCTCTCACTGATTTAAAGAAGTAAACATGGTTAACAATTTTTCATATTGAAAGTATTTTTCTAGACTTGTCATATGCCTTTTAACTTTGCTCTTTATAATGTTTACTAAATGCTTAGAAATGTCTCAACTTGGCCAATTGTTTCCTTCTTTATTAGAATGTAATGTCCATGTAGTGATCACAATGTGTTACACATTGAAGGTATGCAGCTACTGTAAAATGAGAAAGAAAATCAGAGATGGGAGTTTTAAAAGGCTCCTTGCTGAGCAGTTTTAACTACAATATAGTCATACACTACAGTATCCAGGCAGAATTTAAGCATGGATTTCAGTAAATTTATTTATATGCCCTTAACAACACCCCACATCATGCCAATATGCTATTCAGCTGATTTATAACAACCATACCCATCTGCCTTTTTAAGAAACCATTTAATTTTAAAAATTACATGTATAGAGTTTTTGTCCTTGACCTTCCTACAGATATTACTGAAAAATCAAGCTAAAAACTCTCCAAAATCTCATAAATTACCCCACTCCTACAGCTTACATCACCCTGCCTCTTCCTTGACAGCTGAATTAATTTTAAGAAGTCCCATGGAGTCACCCTCAGCCATTCATTATCTCAGGCCTGTGGCAGAGCCCTATATAGGCATTTGCCAGCTTGTCCTTTTAATCGTCTCCTAATGATGAATTGGCCTTGAGTGGTTCTGTGTTCTATCCCTGTCCCTTTACTGACTCCCTTTTCCCTTGTTGGCCATTGTTTCTTCCTCCAGGGACCTTGTTGGAATCCACAGCCCCAGAGTAGAAACAAAGACATGCTTCACGATTACCTGCACAACCTTAAGCCATGCATTACTTCTGTACAAAATTTCAACTTTATCAGGTCTTTATCACACACCTCACTCAGCCTTCCCACTTCATTTTCTGTGTTTGTCGTTGTACTTACTTATGGAACTGAAGCCAGCTGATTTTGCTTCCAAGTCATAAACCCAAATGGACCCTCTAGCTTCACTGTTTCCTTTCCCAGGCATGCCCTTGGCTTGACCACACCTCTTCTGTTTCTACCTCAAGATTTCTCCACCCTCACCCTTTGCCTTTCCTTGATGACGCAGCTGGCACTTCAGACACTTTTTAGGTGCAGCACTGTGTCATCAGGATTCAGTCAGGGAAGCAAAGACCACACCAGGTATTTCAACAGACATAATTTAATATCAATTACGTAGGTGTCGGAGGACTGAAAGAGCAATAAAAAGAATGAAATAGCTCAGAGATGCTAACACCAGAAGAGCTTCCACCCACAGAACTGGGGAAGACAGGGAAAAGAAATGGGTTGTCATAACCTACAAACGGAGGAAGCTCTACACATCTGGAATTGAGTCCTTAGAGGGCATTATTTTTCTTGGTGCTGGTGCACTTGAGGTATGGATGGTGCTGGGGTGGAGAAAGTAGTTGGGCTTGAATCAAATGGTACAGTCATGGTGAAGAGTCATTGTTGGTGTCACCCTTGCAAGAACCAGAAGCAAACAGAAAGAAGAAAATCCCGTCCCTGTTTCTCTTGCTTCCTAGTTTTCCTCTAGTGCCTCTTATCAAAACCTAACAGGAAGTCAGCTGACAAGGGAGAAATAAATTTTTCACTCCACCATCACAGAGCGGGACACCAGAAGGTGAACTTGAATCTAAGAGACAATAGCTTAATAATTAGCATTCAAAGAAGCTCCCTTAGTTTGGTTCATCTCAAACTATTTGCATTATTTTAAATTTTCACACTTCCATTCCTCTGTCCCTTCCTCTCCATTTCCACCTACCGAATTCTTTCTCAGATGTCATTTATTTCTGGAATTTGCTTCACTTATTCAATTCCTAGAGGAGAAAGAAAACCAAATCATTCCTCTTTCAGGGTCCCATAGTTCTTTACACACACGGCCAATAGGGCCTTCAGCAATGCACTCGGTCTGTAGTTATGAGGTGTGTTTCTCGGCATGAGAGTTAGAGGTCCTCAAAGATGGGAACTTGTATATCCAACTGTCTATTCATAGGTTCTGGATCAAAATTAATGGTTCTATCTATGTTATAATAATGACTTGACCAGAACTAAAAAGTGATACACATCATCTTTTTATTCCACTGGTCAGAACCCAGCATTGTGGCCCAACTCACTGTAAAGGGAGGTTGGAAAATGATGTCTTCCCATATCTGTTGGGAAGATGGGGATAGATGAGGAGTTGTGAGCATCTAGATAGGCTCTGCAACACTTTCCATCTACAAGTATATCCCACCTAGCAAAGAACGTCCTGTAGACCAAGAACACACACAGAGAAACACACATGCACACACACTGCATGATAATACATGACTCTTTATTCAACTTTGGATTATGGAAAAGGTTTGAAGGCTGAGAACATCAGAGCAAAACCATCTTTGTTTCCCTTTGACATGTTTTCATATAAACTACTAAATGAGGAAATATATGAGCAACTAGACCATATATCTTCAGAAGGAGACTTAGCCACATAACTCTAGAAATGCTGATTTCTAATATTTAAAATAAAGTGAATATCCTGCCATTTGTATTTTTCCCCTATAGTTGGATGGAGAAAAGCTGTTGCAATACAGAAACATTATTATCAACTTGGATTGTATCATTTAGGGGAGGATTTTATCCAACAGTCCATTTCACAAGTATTAGGGAATTTTTCCCATAAGTTCTTATCTCTCTAGTCTGACAATCTGCATACGTAACAGACAGCATTTCATACATTCTAATATTACAAGTGAATAAATAAAGAAATGCGTCACTTTTGGCAGATTCAACACTAACAGTCTTCTTGTATTTGGAATGTCTTTTTTGTGTAATAGATACAATGCTGGTTTGGCATGTGGATATCAAGGGTACCAGTAAGAGGGCAAAAGAAAACTTTTAGAGGTTGATATTTGGGAAGTAAAACGATTTCAGGGAGAACCGAGTAGGAGCGAAGTCAAGAAGCTGGACTCTTGATCTTTCCTCCTATACCCATTCTTCCACAGTCTTCCCCATCTCCGTGTGTGAAAACTCCATCCTTCCACTTGCTTATGCCCAGATTCTTGCAGTTATCTCTGAGTATTCTTATTCTGTCACATCCCACATCTAATATCTCAGTAAATCTTGTTGTTAATACCTTCAAAATAGATCTAGCGTCTTACCACCTCCAGTGCTGCCCTCATCAACTCTCACCTAGACTATTACATTTGCTTCCTAGTTAGGCTATCATAGCCAACCCTCGATGCCACAGTCATTTCTCATGTAGCAGCCAGGGTCCACCTCCCAAACCATTCCTCCCCTCCAAAGATGCTCTCAGAGCAAAACTCAAACGTTCATACCACGGCCTCCTATGTCACACCAAATCTTGCCCCCTTTGACCTCTTAGGCTCCCTCCCTCCCTCCCTCTCTCTGTTCCAACTCCCAGCTGTGCTGACACAGCTCTTCAAACACTGTCCTGACCATGAATTGGGCCTTTCTGTCTCCTTTCCTCCCTCCCCTCCTCCTTTCCTTCCTTCCCCACCTCCCTCCCTCCCTTTCTCCCTCCCTCTCTCCCTCCATTCCTCCCTTCCTCCCCTCCTTTCATTTGCTCATACCTTGCTATTCTTTCATGCTGCCTTGTTCTTGCTCCTGGTCAAGTCTCAGTAAGGTGTCCCTGTCAATCTTTGTGAACATTGTATTTTCTCTCTTCATCTTTCTGTAACTTCATTCTCTGCTTTATTTTCCTCCAGAGCACTTACCGTCTTCTAGAATACAAGGCTCTTCTTATTTATTTTAAATTCTCAGTCTCTCCACAGTAGAATAAAAATTCCATGAGGACAGGAACTGTCATCTGTCTTTTGTCTGCTGTATTTTCAGTGTTCAGTACAGTGTCTGAAACATTGTAGGAGCTCAGCAAATACTGGTATAATATATTACAGGAAACACTAGACAGCAGAAACAAGAGAAAACAACTGCCCCTTTTACAGGATGGTTGTGAGTGTCCAATTAAATGAGGTTTTACTTTGCAAGTTATAAGGCACTAGTTACATGTATCCGTATTAGTGCTGATAGTAATACTCAACAATTATTGTGTTTACTTAAATGAGGTGCTGTGTAAAATCTTCATCTGAAATATGTGATTCAGAGTGAAGCCAGTGCAGAATTAGAGATAAGTCCACTTTTTTACTTCTGCCTTTTTTCAGTCAGCTAATGTGTTGTTGTTCTATGATACATTCCCTTTCAAGATGAGTAAAATGGGCACATTCCACTGTTTCAGAAAGTCTGGGAAATTTCACACTGGCCTAATGAAACCAGTTTGTGGTACAGTCAACAACCAAATACATGACAGAATCAAGAAAAGTTCACATTATGTTTGCCACAAGACAGTTTGTTCAGAAACATGATCTTCTTGAATAGTGACAGCTTTCTTAGGCAGAACATGAAGTGGTAACTTTATAGAAGAAACAGGATGAATCAGATTATATTAAAATTACAAACACCTATTAATCGAAGGCAACTGTTGAATAAATAGAACAAAATCCAAAGAGTGGAAGAATATGGCTGCAATACATATGTTGCGTGAAAATCTCGTATCTAGGAGATGTACAGAACCCCTGCAAATTGGTAACAGAGCCAATCTAATATACAAATTGGCAAATTACTTGAATGTACATTTAACAAAAGGGAATATCCAAATAGTTATTTAAGTAGTTACCATATGTAAAAAAGTACTCAATGTTTTAATCTTCAGGTAAATCAAAATTAAACCCACATGAGATACCCTACACACCAAGCATGATGGCAAAACGTATAAAAAGAGAAAATACCAAATATCGGAAGGATGCAAAGCAACCAAGGCTTCTTATCATACGCTCCTAGTGGAAGTGAAAACTGGCACAACTGCTTTGGATAACTGTTTAGCAGTAGCTGTTAAAGCTGAGCATATCCCTACCCTGTGACAAGGCAATTATATTCCTCAGAATACACCCGGTAGAAATGCTTACCTATGTTTACCTATGGACAACACTCTTTGTAGTGGCCAGAATTTGGCTACTACCCACATGCCCAAAACATGAGACTGGATAAATATTCACACAAAAGACACTGTCAGAAGGAGAATGAACCATCCACACTTATATTCAATATGTGTGAATCTTATAAGCATGATGGCGTGTGCAGGAAGTCAGACACAAAAGAACACATACTGTATGATTCCACTGAAGTTCAAAAGCAGACAAAACCAATCTGTGCTGTCTGACGTCAAGGCAGAGGCCTAACTTTGGTGATAGAGACGGGGCAGAAAGGTGATTTCTAGAGTGCTCGTGCAGCTCTCTTTCTGAATCTGGGTATGTGTAGTTTATAGACGCATGCAACGTGCTTTTCTGTATGTATCTCATATTTCAAAGTTAAACAAGACAAAAGCAAAAGCGAATAAAGATTCCTTCCCTATCTTGCTCTATCACCCTTTGAAATAACATTCTGCATATCTATTTTACATAACTGTAAAGAAAACGAAAATCTAGTCTCAAAGGCACAATGCGTCTCATTAGACTGACACATTCAGAAAGCAGGAATACACTTTCAGAAATGAAAATTCTAGTCAAAGACAATATATTTGATAGTGTTCATCATTATGATGGTGACATATCATTATAATGTAAGGGATAAACAGGCATAAGTATTATAATGCATGTGATATTTACTTACTTTTGATAAATTCAAGTTTCGAGTGGTCGAACGTTGTTTGTTCTTCCTATTAGGGGTGTCTTATCGGCTGTGTCATGTTTTTCTAACCCGAGGTTGCTGATTTCTGTTGCTGGACACATGTGAGGGCCACAGGGAAAGAGGCCTGACAAGCATTCCTGCAGATAGTGCCTGGTTCCCTAGCAAGAGTGCTTGGAAATTTTTCAATGTTTCCTCTCTCTTTTGTGAAGCAACATAAAGCAGTTCTTTTAAAATAAGTCCAGATTTCTTTGTGATTGGTGTGACCATCACAGGTGAGTTTGTCAAGGCCAGTATCCTTTGCCCTCCTGGGAAAAGGACTGCAGGCCACCAGTGCGTGAGGGTCCTGCAACCCTGGGGCTAACAGAGAGGCAGCATAGCCTAGGGAAAGCGGCAGAGGACAGGGCAAAAGGACTAGGAGGGCACGAAGGCTTGGTTCAATTAAACCAAGTAGCCGCTATACCCTCTATCCCTTCACCAGCACCAGTAAGGGAAATGATCCTGACCCTCTGCAGAACACCACAACGACTCTAGGTGGATGCTTAACTGGTGGCTGCACTGGCCTGTGCCACCCATTTCAATCTGGGCTAAACTTTTTATCTATCCCTCTCTCCTTGTGCCAGTCTTCCCAATGTTTCTCGACATCACATTAACTCCCCTCCCAGTACAATAATCGACTCCAATCTGCTATTATCATGGAAATAGAAGAGGTAAAGTGCCTGTAATAGGATCCAAATCAAATCACTTTCACTTCAGCCGGCTTTTGCTGTGAAGCCAAGGATTCCCCAGGGAGATTCAATAGAGAGAAACACCTGCAGACACAGGCTGAGGCCCAGAGAGGAGATGGAACACGACAGGCTCCACTTGCCTGTAGCATCTCCTTAGTTACAAGACAGTCACCTCAGGAGTAATGACCTCAGGCAGGCTCTGATAAACTTGTGACTCAAAGGCAAAGCCAGGATCTGACTCTCACTCTGTTGGACGCATCCGGAAGCAACACGTTGGTTTACAAATCACAGCACTGGGGCTGTGGTTAAGTGTCCTTCCCTGAAATATGTGCTTTCAATGGGGTTGCTTTTGCATGAATTGCTGCTTGTTCTTTGAGCAGCCTACCCTCAAGGAAAAAATTACATGTATGTATCACTTGCTCTTAAGAAATAAGCAAGGCCAGAACAAATGGAATTAAACATAATTGAGACCTGGCAGCGGGTAAGGTAAGAAAAGCCCAGCAACATTGTCCCTTGGACGTTTCAAATACTGAAATCCCTCCACTTTTCCTTCCATTGCATTTCCCAGATGGTTACAGGTTGAAGTGCTTCAGAGTGAAGCCTTTTCTTCTATACGCAAGTCTATCAGTCCACATCTATTTTGTTGACTCTCCTGATGCATATTTCTAGTTAAGTAGCAATGCTGCATACATTTATGATTGTACGTAACTTCTTGTTTTGGCTCAGAATCTGACACAGACTTGGGAAGAAGACCTTGCAGTGAATGATTACTTTTCTGCCAGTGTCTGAAAATGTTAGCTACCTAGACTAATTGATAGTTTCGGTAAGCAAGTTATCAGAGAAGCAATAAGTGCAATTCTAATCTTCATTTCACAGACATAATAGAGCATCATGGTAGATATTTCCAAAACAAATGATTCACTGAAAACATTCTCCAACAAATGCCTCCTTCCGTACTCTTTTGTAGTTTTACCCTTGAACTTCATCTGAAAAGTAGACAAAAGGGTTGGATAATAAGAAAACCCGAAATAGAGTTAAAGATACTGAGTTTGCATTAAGGTTTCACCCTTTGTCAGCCATTTGACTTTAGGCAAATATCTTAATCTCTCTAAACTTGTATTTCCTCCTCAAAAGAATTCTTTCTTCTGTGTAGTCATGAGCATTACCAGAGGTGTGGTATTTGAAAGCATTTTGTTATCTCTAAATCACTATGCTGATAAGAAATTGTAAATTTCCTGAAAGTGTTATGAGATCAAAATGTAAAAAGGTAAAACAAATATTTCTTCTGTAAATGAATTTAAAAGGATCAAGAGAGAACTGTGAGGATTTGGAATATGGGGTACTTCTCAGGAATGGTTCTGCTCAGTTGGGTAGAAAATAATGTGTAAGTAAATCCCACCAGAGCAGGTACAGGGCAGTGTGCACGTGTGATTAATGTTAGTGGTAACTGGAGTCTCCATGTAGGCTTTCTGGACGAACTTTTTGTTCCTAGGGCAACCAAGGCTGTGGGATCTGGGGGAGGCAGCCGGCAGGAACTGCAGTGGCCAGGTGGGCCTGAAAGTTATGGTTCTAGAAAGTGGTCACTTCCAGGCTTCTTGTGGGTGCAAAGAAAAGAAGAAGCATTGCCAAGGGAACATTGCAGGGATTCCCTAGGGATGAAACCATTAGCAGGATTTATGCCTAGACTTCTGCATGAGCTCAGACCCCTTAAATTACAACATGTATCTAAGGAAAATGGTTTCATAGTGAATGTGGCTATCAAGGGAAGAGCTGATTGTTATTAACAGTTACAGCCTGTTTCCTTCAGAGGCTGTAATGCACTCTATTTTTATTTGAGGCAGGACCCCATCATGGCCTTTCAGATAACAGGAGAATGTGATGTGAATGTGGCAAGGTCAGGACCAGGTTGTATTACATACAACAGGGGGATGGAGGCATACATTGAACGAATGGCCACCTGAAACCAAGACAGGCCTGATTTTGCACAAATTATTTTTTCAGTGAAGAACTTGTATTAAATATATAACTAGCCTAGTTTAATGTGCATTGCTTTGGAAGAAATTTTATACAGATACATGGACATGTAAAAAAATTACGTGTTCCAGAAAACCAAACACTGCATGTTCTCACTCATAAGTGGGAGTTGAACAATGAGAACACATGGACACAGGGAGGGGAATATCACACACTGGCACCTGTCGAGGGTTGGGAGGCAAGGGGAAGGAGAGCATTAGGACAAATACCTAGTGAATGCAGGGCTTAAAACCTAGATGACGGGTTGATGGGTGCAGCAAACCACCATGGCACATGTATACACATGTATCCCAGAAATTAAAGTATAATTTTTAAAAAAGAGTTAAAATAAAAAATTATGTGTTCCAGTTTGAGGTTTTGAAAACAATGATTACTTTATTCTGTCTTTCAACAATAGGCTTGTTAATAGTTTTGATTTAGAAACCACATATGTGATTCACATATTCAAAAAAAAACATCAAAAAGAAAAAAAAATCCTGAAAACTAAAAACAAACATACCTTACTGCAAATCAAAACAAAAACACAAACAAAACAACAAAACCACAGCATCTGTCGCGTGCCGGGAGGCGCTGTGCAGAAGCTCAAGGACCCACAGCACAAGGCACATGCTTCCGTTTTCCACGCCGTGTGTATCTGGGCCTGTGCTGGGGAGACATGAAGATGATGAAGCTATGGTAAGAAGATTGTGCTCATGGAAGGCACCTGGTGAAGAAGAGTGCAGGAGAATCCGTGCCTGACTTCACCCTCAAGATTTGGGGGATGCCTCGGAGAAGAGGTGATGCTTGAGTCAAGATGTGGCGCTGGAGTAGAAAGTTGTCAGGCAGAGAGGGCACATGGAAAAGGAAATTCCAGGCGGAAAAAGTAGCAGGTGGAAAGGTTATGGAGGCATGAGAAAGTATGTAACACTTTCAGTGTGTACCCACTGGTCAGTTCATCAGAAATGCATAAACCCATGGGAGTACATACATTATGTTACAAGAACTGACTTAAGTTCCTGATTTAAGAATGCACAGACTCCAGCAGCCTGTAACTTTAAAATAGTTAAGGCGTGCACAGGGAATAATCACCAGCAATAGCAGGTCCAGATGGGCTGTTCTGTGGTCCTTCGTATACCTCTTTCCCTCTGTGGCCACCCCCTTCTGTTCAATGACCTCCCCTACTTGTTGAGCATTTAATTTGACCAGGGAATTATCACCCCATTTTATATATAAGGAATCAAAGTTCAATTACACAGAATTAAGGGATGACATAGAATAAAATGGTGCATTCAGTCAAACCTACGGTTGATTTCAAAGCCAAGTTCTCAACCTTTTCCTTCAGCTTCCTCCCTCCTAATTGCCTGGAACTTTACTCATATTTCTTAGCCATATTCATTTTCTTTGTCTCACTTTTTAAAGAGACATTCCCAGGCCTGGTTTCCATGATGGTGAAGACCAGCATAGGGGACAAAATCAAAATGACTGTCCCTAAACCAGCGAACCATGGGTGCAAAATTTTTGCAAGAAAAACAAGTAACCTAAGATGGTCCCCCAAACTGGCTTTCATTTACTATTTGGGAAACTCTTTCTATGATATTCCTATAATAGCAACTCCAATGCATGAAGAAATCTGGTAAATTATGTGCAACTCACTATTTCTCAAACTCTATTGATGTCCACTTTTCCAACATACTTGTTAATATCCTGGGAAAAGAGAGCCTGAGGAACACACTTTTTCTCATAGTTCTGAAGGCTGAAGTCCAAGACCTAGGTGTCAATAGAATTGGTTTCTCCTGAGGCTTCTCTCCTTGGCTTGCAGACAACCACCCTGATGTCTCTTGCTGTGTGTCCCTGGTGTCTCTTCCTCTCACAAGAACACCAGTCATATTGGTTTACAGCCAACCTTTACTGAGAGGTGAAGCCAGCTGGACTTCTGGGTCAGGTGGGGACTTGAAGAACTTTTCTGTCTTGCAAGAGGATTGTAAAACGCACCAATCAGCACTCTGTAGCTACGATTGTAAAACGCAAATCAGCACCCTGTGGCTAGCTAGAGGTTTGTAAAATGCACCAATCAGCACTCTGTAAAAACGCACCAATCAGCTCTCTGTGGCTAGCTAGAGGTTTGTAAAATGGACCAATCAGCACATTGTAAAATGGACTAATCGGTGCTCTGTAAAATGGACCAATCAGTGCTCTGGAACCAGTGTTCTGGAAAATGGACCAATGAGCACTCTGTAAAATGGAACAATCAGCAGGACATGGGCGGGGACAAATAAGGTAATAAAAGCTAGCCCAGCTAGCCACCCTAGCCAGCAGCAGCAATCTGCTTGGGTCCCCTTCCACGTTGTGGAAGCTTTGTTCTTTCACTCTCCACAATAAATCTTGCTGCTGCTCACTCTTTGGGTCCGCAGCACCTTTAAGAGCTGTAACACTCACCGCGAAGGTCAGCGGCTTCATTCATGAAGTCAGCGAGACCATGACCCCACCAGAAGGAACAAACTCTGGACACATTATGGCCTCATTTAATCTTAATTACTTCTTAAAGGCTCAAATGCAGTCAAACTGGGCTTTAATGTGTGAATTTTGGGGAACACAGTTAAGTCCATACTGGTTCCATTCCCATTCTATTCCTATAGTAAAATGTCCAGGTTAGAGTGACCAGTTGGCTTGCAGGAACATAACATTGTGCTTACTTTAGTTACAATGATCTTTTCAGTTCCTTGAACACCCATCACTGCCACGATCTAAATGAAAAAAAGAAAAGAAACGAAGGGAGGCATGAAAGTAGTGACTTCTCCATTGCATTTATGATTATTGCTGAGAATAGGACATTTCAGAACATGCCAAGTAGTCACCTGCACCTTTGGGGACAGGAGAGAGAAGCTGCCTTGGGGCATTCTACTTTCCAGCAGCGAGGAATGGAAATCTGATGATAAAGTCTAGACTGTATTGGTTCCATGTTTGCTTTCACTGCTAGGAAGCTCAAAAGTGCAGCTTTAAGTTCTGCTGTTTTCTTTAGCCAAGAATTTTTGATATATTTTCCTTTCCATTGTGTTATATGATATTTACAGTTTATACATTTTATGCTTTGGTGTACATGTTTTTAAAATGATTGTGTTTCTAAGTTGGCTTTTGGCGTTGAGTGCGATGGTGACATTGAATAGGGAAGTGGGTGAGCCAATCCTGGTACTAATAGAAAAAAAGTGGAAACTAGAGAATTAAGTTTATGGGCACTTGTGTCAACATTGTTTGAAGTAGAAGCTCCAGAACCCCTTATTCAAGAAGGAACAGCAGAAATGTTCACCTAAATGCAACACTGCACCAGGGGATCAGAACCATTTTCAACTCCTGGTGCTTTTGGTAGGTTCATCCAGAGACTCACTGTTGGATTTTAACTTGATTTCTGACATTGCGTTAGCATTGCTTCAATCAGAACTGATGGAATAAGGCCAAGTTACTAATCTTAGAACACATGTCAAATATAAACCAAACAGCACTGGCATTTGCTTTCATCTGTAAAATGGGGGTAAGAATCCCAACTTCACACAGTTTATGAGCCAAACTAGATAGCATATTCACAAACACCCGACATAAAGCCTGCTGTTCAAATGCTTTCCTTCTTTTTCTTTCTCTCTCTCCTTCCCTTCCTTCTTCTTCCCTTTTTTTCCTCTTCCTTCCACCCACATTGATTCTTCAGTCTCCATTAACTTCCCTAGTCTTTCTGCTGTTTCATTATATGATTCCAGCTATGTGAGACATAATTTAATATATATAATTTTCTTAAAAACTGTATAAAATTTTATAAACTCTTAAAAAGATAGATGCACAGGAAAAACTCCATCATATAGACAAAATATTAGTCTAGGGTAAGGGCCACATATAAGGTTTCTCTTTGTTCTCCCCTCACTCCAGTACCAAGCACAGTGCTGCGTGCAAAGCAGGCACTACTAAGCAATTTAAACTAAAAGAGGAAGTGAAGGATGATTTAAAGATTCTAAAAAGTTACAGCCAGTACTCACAATTGCAGAATTTGACTCCAGGAAGACAGGCGTTGATTTCTGTCATTTCTATTATGACACATTTTATGTAGGAAAGTCCATTTGTGTCCATTATACATCCATATATATGCATATACATTCTACTTGATATTACTGAAGTAATCTGATAAACTGGTGATTCTAAAATAGCTACCATTTATTGAACACTTGTAAATGACAAGGAGTCTAAGTGCTTGGCATGAGTCATTTCCATAAGTATTAGATATGCTAGTGCATTGTGCAACACACTGCTGAATCTATGTGCTGAACACAAGCCCCTCTTTCTATAGGATTTCTAAAGAAAAAAATTAGTTGTGTTTGTATGTAGAATTATTCTGTTAATGTTTACTTCTTTGTTACAAACATGTAGGTAATATCTAGATATAATATCTGCATTCATACTCTTTCTCCAGAATTCTGATGTTATTTTCATCATTTTATATGTCTGGAGAATGAAACTATCAGATTTGAACTTGATCTTGGACATTCCCTTTGATAAATGCAGGGACCCCCCCTTTCAGCATGGAGGTATACGAAGTCTTCCAGATCAGTTTATCAGCTTCATTTGTAAGAAGCTTAGAGGTTGAGCATAGGAATAAAAAAAAATCTTCAACGCACTATAAAATTGTAATTGTTATTTTCTTGGACTTTTATCATCTTTTGGCAGAAAGCTTAATGTTTGGCTTAAATACACTGTTAGCTGAGGAGGGATTTTGCATTCTGTTCAATAATAGGCAGGTGGATCACTTAAAATAAAATATAATTATATCCAGAAAAAAATAAGTTATCCTCTATGATATTTCTGGGAAACAATGACATATTGTGGATCTTTTATGGATAAACAGAAACATTTCCCCATGTCCAATACCCACTGTAGCATTTATATCATTAGAAAATTATAGTGGTGACTGCAAATTTTTGACTAATTGGGTTTCTTAGATAATAAGAGCTTTTTAATAAGGTACATATCATTTACAATATTGCAAATGAAATGTGAAAGCGATTCAGTACCCGGTAAGATAATGGCTAACTTGTTTTAATTGTTAACATTTTTTCTTGCCTACAATGACACAGTCATTATTTCACAGTCACCACTTATCATGAAATCCAAGAGGATTAATGGTTTCACTTATACTGGCGAAAATGTTTAAGCTGTCCCGATTATCAGTGCAGTTGGAAAGAATAATGGTTATTTGTCATCGTGTTTAGCAGGAGAATGAATTGTCCCTCCAATAGTGGCGCCATTAACCCTTTGGGGAGGTGGTAATAGAGTTTTACCACACAGCTAAAGGATGCCAAGATTTAGGATCGGATGTTTGTTTGTAGGTGGTTTATTCTCATCCGCAACTACCTTAAAGAATTGCATACTCTGCCGGCAAAGTGGAAACACACAGCTAAGCTTGTTACACAATTTTGGATATCTGAAATTAAAATTAGATCGCTACTGATCTGTTCTTATGATGAATGGACAAACTGCTGCATTAAAAATATAATCAAGAGAAATATAAAATCTGTAAAGGGAAAAAATATATTTGTAAATTCTTCGCTCTTTGCTTCCTCTCTTAAAGAAAAATAAAAAAACGTGGATTGCTGAAAACAGCCTCTCATGATTTCTCATGCACAACACTCAACTATTTTAACTCAAATACTACATTTTAATAGATCCTATATTACTTTAAAAATTCTTACCATACATACCTGGCTTAACCATACATAGGTAATAATTAAGAAAACTTTCTCAATTTTTGAATGACTAAAATTATGCTAATTGCAGATAAAGGCTGATGATAATTGATAAAGTCTGTACATAAGAATCAAGACTTTGATTCAGTAAAAATGTAAGTGTAGGAATATAAATATACATCTGCTGCATGATGCTTAACATTCTGGCTTAGGTGAGTGATTTCAGTTACAGATTGCAATGGTAAAACCAAATTACTGTATCAAAACAAATGCAGAGCTATGTTAAGAAAATAAATATTTGCCTTCAGTAAAATTAACAGAATCTCCCCCTTTCTGGACGGTGGCTGGGATTGGAATGTAATGAAATACCTCTCTCATCAGTTCCCCTCTCAGCGTAACCAGAGCAGGAAATGGCCTTGCCTGCCTCCGACTCCCCTTGTTCCCTCTCCTGTGGCTGAGACAGTAGGGCAACTCTAATTCACAGAAAGGGAGAGGCGGCCATAAAGCGCATGTACTTCTCGGGAGGGCACTGAGGGCCGACCTGGGGGAGGGGATGGGAGGGGAGAGGGCAACAGCAACAAAAATAAAGCGTGTTTTAGGAGATACAGCTGGGCTGCCTTATCTTGTTACAGAGAAAACAGTGTTCTGTCTCCTCTGGAGAAGCAGCCGCAGCTCAGCCCGGTCAGGCAGCATGAGGGCCCCTCCGCTCAGCACCTGGGCAGTTGAGAAATCTGTCTCCTAAAGACATGCACTTCTGAAGCATTACACTGCGTTCAGACGCCTCCAATTTTGAAAGGAGGCGGCAACAAGAAGACCATCATCCCTTTCAGCAGAGTCCATACACACAGTTTCCTTGACAAAAGCTAGCTCTACCCCCAACACATTCACAGACCAAGTTTCAAAATGGAGTGGGATGCCTCTGGAAGTAAGTAAAGTGCAGGCAGTTGAGGTGTGAATAGGAATTACATTATTCAACACTATAGGGAAAACATTTGACTCCTGGGGGCCTTCCATCTTTGGAATCAAGATGGTCGTATATGGAAGCTTCTAGCACCACCGCGATCATTATGTGTGTTCTGTTGATAAACTGGTGTTCCTTTGAGATGGTAAACAAGACAGCTTCTCCTAGAGCCCCATGAGGTATGCCGAAACTACACACACCACTCGATTTAGATGTACGAGGTCAGGGGAAACAGCTGCCAGTAGATGAAAAGACATAGGTGAAAAAAAGAGAATAGAAAACAAGGAAAGACAGACAGAAGAGAAAAAAGCAAGCCAGAGAGAAATAACAAGCCGCAACGTGTTTGCGTCGTCCAAGTACAGTGATACGGAGACACAGACTGCAGATGTGGCTGACAAAATTATAGTGAGAATTTAGCGAGCAGATCCAATTCAGAGTTTCTGACTGACACAATGAGATTATGGTCCCTTCTGCAGATTGGAGTCTTTGTTTCTGTAAGGCTGCTTTTTGAGTTTCCCTGACTTCATTTGGTGAAGGGCAATTCTAGTGGAAAATGAGGCAGAGTGCTAAGGATGATGATTTTTCAGAAAGACAGCACCAGAAAATACCCTCTGAGAATTTAATTCCTTCATAATGGAGTTCAGCACCTTCTAAGTTATAAAACAAAATGGTACCGTAGCCTTTTTCAGCCAGCCAGATGCTTGATTTCCAAATAGCACAGGCTAAAATAAAATTTAACTTTTATTCTTGTCTCTAAAATAAATGTAAATGCATTATCTGGGTATGGGTAAGCAGAAAAATAAAGATCCCAGACTGTGCCTTAAAACCCTACTGACAGATGGTGAGGTTAAAGAGTGAAGGCCCCAGACAGAGGCCCCAGTACCCAAGAAGGTGAGCAGCCATCTGAAAAGAAAAATGATGTATATGTTTGAAAGATTTTCCTTTATAATTATTTACTTCAATTTTTGTCTTCTTTGCTTGGATGTTTATAGAATTAATAATCTATAGATTGTTAAAATATAGAATTAAGGAGTGTGCATATCTTAGTAAGTGCTGAGTGTGAATGTAATCAGGACACTTTTTGCCTCTTAACTCTTCCATTTTGTGAACCTGATAAACTCAGACATTTTTAAAGAGGCACATAAAATCGCCTTCAAAATTCTGGACTGCAAAAGATAGGAAAAAAAGAATTTAAAAAGTGATGTTTACTTAAATATAAAAAGACAGCTATTCTCCATCAAGAAAACACAGGAATGGGATGCAGTTTTTATTATAGCAGTGCGGGAACTGTAGTTTTTACAAAATGGTAAAAGTGAGATTTTGAGGCATACTGATCTAGTAGTAGCAGAGTAGCAGCTTGAGTCTACTGAATGGCTGCCTAATCCAAGTTTTTATTTTTCTCAGTTATAACCACCTCTGCCATGCCAGCTGGAAGCCAATAGTCTGATTCCTCCCAGTCCTCCAGTATTTATTATCCCGGAATCTGTACTCCCTCTTTTTCCTCCAAAGGGCACATTTTTAACTGACATATTCCTGGAAATATACTAGGTCAATTTAGCTGAGAATGTGCCAAATATAC
This sequence comes from Homo sapiens, assembly GCF_000001405.40. NCBI lineage: Eukaryota > Metazoa > Chordata > Mammalia > Primates > Hominidae > Homo > Homo sapiens. The sequence goes on from NC_000015.10 coordinate 97,179,384, forward strand.
AGGAAATTCTAGTTCTATCATAGGACAATTTCTTAAATGATGGTATGGTTCAATTTTCATTGTCACTTATACTTAAATTATGAGTTACCTGTACAAAAAAAAAAGTCTCTGTTATCTAGTAATCTAAATTCACAATTTTCTATCTTTTCTCACTCCCTTAACAACTAAACAGGATCATCATCTGCAATTAAGTATCCTTAATGTACCTGCGTTCTGAAGCAGGGTCATCATTTCACTAGAAATAGCACATGCTCTGGTTTGCAAAGCAGCCCTAATGGAAGATCAGGTGAATAAAATTCCCTGAAATAATCGGCTCACCTGGTGATAGAAGTGACTGGATTGGGGCACTAGGATGCTGTCCAGTGTCTTGGGTAAGATCTTATCTCAGATAATACCTTGGTGCCTTCCAAGGGCAACTGGAAGTCCTTGTCTCATATAGCTAGCTGACAATAGGCAAAACTGTTCTGAAAAACTGCTTCTACTGCTTTGGAGAAATCACCAGGATGATGCAACAAGAAAAAAAAAAAATCCAAGAAAGCATGAATGCTTGGTAGAGAATAAGGTAAAAACATTGAGATGGAAATCTTCCTTGCTGACATTTCTACCCATTTGTTCAACAACTGATATCCATAATAATTTTAACTGACATTTATTGAGTACTTACTGTGTGTATATGAGTTCAATTCTTCTAGTCTACACAATAATACTATAGGGCAAGAACTCTCATGACCCCCATTTTACAAATATGGTAGCCCAAGCACAGAGAGGTTAATCACACACAGTGAATAATTGGTCGAACCATACATGATTTCAGGCAATCTGAACCCAGTGCCTACATGCCTAAACATTATTCAGTACAGCATCCTCAGTATATTGGACAGAGCAATGCTACACTGTGCTGTTACTCTCAGGAACTGGGGGGACATCAGTAAGTTACCAGGAAGCAATGCCTGGATTATATGTTTTATTTATTTGCTTTTTAAAAGAAACAAATTACTTGACTAGCTTTTAGATAAAGAAGTTTTTGTGTGTGTGAGGATAGGATTCATTAAAAGATAATAGAGGCTCGGGAATGAAAAAGCCAAATTCTTTCTCTTGAACGTACTCATCAGATGACCTTGGGGAGGCACCTTGCCTCTCTAAACCAAGTTTCTCCATTTGTAAAATACAGATGAAATGCTCAGCTTTCAGGGTTGTGACCCGATGCTCAGCTCCAAGCAAGTGCTCTATATATGTATGAAAACCACCATGTTACCAATGTTACTGCTATCAAATACCCTGGCTTCCACAAACTCTTAAACAATTTTCTCAGCTTTCTTGAGACCTCTTGTTATTCTTCCTGTCTTTGTTTTGTAAGCTAAAATTTATATTTTATAAATATATAAAATATATATATATTTGAAATTATTAATGTTCATAATGGTCACAAATGTCTTTAAAACCTATTCTTGAATGCTTTCCAGTTTATTTTAATTTCTAAGGTAATTATTAAGGAGCATGAAGTCTTAAGGATTACACCGAGTATATATCAGACATTGCTTCACTATTTAAAAATTTTAACAAGGAATACACTAGAAATTTTTTACCCACCATGGAGCCTCAAAGAACTGTGTGAAGTCTGGGAGACAGAAAAACTAAAGCAAACCCAAATTCACTTGGTTGGATGCTGCAGAAGATTAAAATTCAGATCAGATTTTAGATATTTTGTCCATCACTTTATTTCAAAAATTGGAAAAGGTAATTATCAAAATACACCAACCGGTGTCAAACTACATCACTACACACCTTTGGAAGTTCAATGATGAAAAGTCCCTGTATTACAACAATGCACTTCACTACCCGACTCTTGACTGGTGCAGAAGCCGTAGATCTTTAACTATGTTTCTTCATTAGTTGTACTGAAATGATTACCAACTTATAGTTATTGTGTGGGTCCAGGAGAAACCTGAAGCTATTGCCATAACTTTCTAAAATTTTCTTCATGGAAAACATTAACTCTGGAAGATCAGCAAAAAGAAAAGGAATTCCACCTGATTTGAGACCCTAAAACCCTGATACAGCTCTTATATTTCAGGTGATGAGACAGCCTTTGCAAGTCTGGTCCAAAGCGCTTCCATTGTCCCAAAATATGGGTCCATGGAAGATGGTGAAAATGCACTAGAGAAAGCACATTAGCAAGACCTCAAATAGAAATGGGAAACAAATAAGTTCACACTACTTGTTTCCTTATGAGACAGAGTGAAAACAATAGCTTTGGATTTCTTCTGTTTAGTATTGTTAAGATAATGGTGTTGTTCTTGCTTTAGTTCAAACTAATAGATAAATTATTCCCCCAAGATTAACCCATAAAACACATACAGAATTGGCATCCTCTGGCTTGTTCATTTGCCCTCATGATCTAGTTACTTATTTTTTATTATAAAACTGCAAAATGAGTAAGTGATTTTTTTACAGTTAGTAGTAGCAATTCTAAATTGGTCATTGAAATTTAGTTCACAAATGGAATCTTTCCCACTGAAGCTAGGTTATCTAATTCTTTCTAAGATATGTGAAGAGTTAGGATATACATTACCATGTTTTAACTAGCTGTTTTCTGTCACTATGCTTTAGGCTAGAGGTGCTATAAACTTAATAAAATTATGAATGTAACAAATATTTCCTTAATACCAATGTTGCAAGTTTTATGAGGACTCTGGCCTTCAAAAACCAATGAAGTTTAAAAAAAATGATGGGTTTGTTGGAGAAGCTCTGTAACATAATAGTAAAAAAATATGATTTGATTTAGACAGATCTGGGTTCAAATACCAATGCCACGTGCTCTAGGGCAAATAAATAAGCATCCGGAGTCTCCAGTTTCTTATGCATTATGGTAGCTGTTACTGCTTCCTTGAGTTTTGCTATTGGCATTGGATGAGACTATTTACGTACTATGTCTGGTTCATCATTAGAAACACAATAGATGGTAACAATATCATGGTATATGTCATGAGGGAAATGAGTGAGCAAGCCATGCTGCATTATGCATCTTCCCACAGCGTGGCATAAATCGGAACCATCAAGCTCTCTGCACACTGGTCGGCTCATTACCAGAATTGCATGCTTAGCTGTGGGTCAGCAGAGAAGCACTCTGGCATTTAGGAGTGTGTGGGGAGTCTGCTCAGCATCTGCCTGCATATTGCCCAAGTCCAGATGGTACTGTGTTACTGTCACTAACATGAGCACGCGACGTCACAAATTACCCCTTTTTCTGTCTTCATCGATCCCACTTTCTCTCTCCCCTGTGAAATTAAGAAACAGAACAACAATAAACTAAAAATTGAAGCATATATACACCATACATCAGTCTGATAAGTTTCCTCCCATGGAATCCTGCCATCGCTGAGGCATCTCATATAACACACCGAGCTGCTGGTTGACTATTGCTCACTGTGTAGCTATGGCCACATGTGCTTGTGCACAGTCACCACCCTGCATCTAGCATATTATCATTTATTTCATTGTTCCATAAAGTGTGCAGAGATGCAGAGGACGGAAAGCACCAGGGCTCTCTGGTGCAATTCAATTTAGTCAAATATCAAACATCCACATAGAGTAAATGGAACATGAGTAAAGAATCTGATCCAACTGCCTACTGGTGTAATTGACTCAACAGAGCCAGCCTGTGTCATTAGTCCTATAAACAGTTGCATTTACAACAATAAAACTGAAAAGCATGGAAATTAAAAGCTGTTAGGATTTTCTCTGGTGTGCATTTATCTTTGAAGAAGTGTGTACACTCTCTAAACAAATTTTTTTAAATCTCTTTGGTAAACTGGCATCATAGCAACCTGTGTCAACAGTACCTTATGTATCAAATGGTGATCAAATTTGAGATAGGTGAAAGGAGAGTGGGAGACAGTGGGGGTGATGTACTAATTTAAATGTCTAATATGTGAATTCAGTGTCGATTTAATGGCACGGCATCAAGCCTCTGAACAGTAATCTAGGGGTGTATCTGTAAAATGGAAGTTATTTTGGCAAATACTGTAAATACGATATTCATTGTCACACAGAATATGTAGCTTAAATAACTGTTAGCCTGCAAGTTCAGCCTGTGGTATCTTAATAGTATTTATCCCGAGTGACTGTACTACTTGAAGGACAAGTGCCCCCTAATAATGTTTGGCTGATTAGCAGAACTCTGTCAAACAAGCAGAAAACACTCTATAGGGGCGGCCTTTTTACTCACCCCTCCCATTTCCATCACTGTTAAAATGAAACTTGAGCTTGTCTTTGTGCATTCTCATGTCAACAATGAAGAACTAGAATATCTTTCTGTCCCTGGTGCTATACCCCTGGACCACTTAACCAAAAATTGCGAGAGTATATTACAAGGTTAAAGAGCAGAGAGCTCAGAGATTGTTATAGTTCTCATTAAGTGATGTTTCTATGCACTGACTGCAGGTGAATGAATACATATTTCCATCTGAAAATGTTCAGACTTGGTAAAGATGACTTTAACTAGGGAGATGTTGTTCATGGAGAGGAGCATTTATGAGTTTTCATGGCAGCAGTCCTCATAGATTATGTGGTTTGCAGCAAGATGGGATATGACCATTGAGATGACATAAGACTTTGACATTTCAGGCCTCCCTGGAGTAGGCAGCGTGAAGAGCCTTAGGATTGGTCCAGAACTCCTCAAATCCCAAACTGGAATTTGTGGTTTCATATACACATCGATAGATTTAAGTATGGCTTATGTAAGATTTCTCTTTTCTTAAATTTCATGTTATTTCTGCAGAAGAGAGAACATTAAACTCATAGGTTTTCCAATCTTTCACAAAACTTTCTACCTCTAACATGAAAAACTACTTTTGCAAACACATATTCAAGTAACAAATTGCAAGAAAGAAAAAAAAAGCACAAATTTAAATAAAAACAAACCCTATTGCAATCCAAAGAAGGCCATGAAGATTTGAACACACTTTGTACTCCTAAAGTTTTTACCACCAAAATTACCTTAAATTAAATTTCTATGAATAGAAATCAAAGTTTTATTTAAAGAGACACTATAATATAACCCCTCTCTTCTAATTCCATATATTTATATGGACTGATGTTAAATATGATTAGAAAATTATAAAGAAATACCTTTTAAAACTAAAAACATGTCATTTTCACATTGATTTTCAAATCTGGACACGGTAAATGTAAAGGAAAGTGGGACCTTCTGAATCTACACAAACTTTCAATAATAGACACATATATGTAAGCCAGTGAAGGAGCCACCAATTTGTTTTATATTTAGAGGTTTAAAACTATAAATAATAAACAATAGTGTTGCTTATTGAAAACTTAGCTCACCAGTTGGTTTCCAAAAGTTGAACAAATCTGTTCTCATATTAGACACTTCATGGAAATGCTAGTAAGAATGTAATTCCATAGGAGGCTTAACAGTCCCCGAGGTTTGTGACAAATATGCTATAAAGCTCGATAACTCATATCCAAAATGCATCTCTAACAAGTACTTTGAACAATGCTCTATTGTTCTTATTTAACAGTTTAAAAATCCAGGGATGGGGAGAAGAGATCAGAATACAAACACACCTCAGATATATCATGGGTTGAGTTCCAGATCATGGCAATAAAGAAAATCTTGCAATAAAGCAAGTCACAATTTTTTTCCAGTACATATGAAAGTTATGTTTATGCTACACTGTGGTCCATAAAGTATGCCATAGTATCATGTCTAAGAAAAGTAGGCATACCTTAATTAAAAATACTTGACTGCTAAAAAATGCTAATAATGATCTAAGCCTTCAGGAAATTGTAATCTTTTAGCTGGTTGAGGGTCTTGCCTCTATGTGGATCGCTACTGACTGGGTGGTGGTTGTTGAAGGCTGGAGTGGCTGTGGCAATTTCTTAAAATAAGACAATAATGAAATCTGCTGTATCAATTGAATCTTCCCTTCACAAAAGATTTCTCTATAGCATGTGATGCTGGTTGATAGTATTTAAACCACAGTAGAATATCTTTCAAAATTGGAAACAATGCTCTCAAACCTTGCTGCTATTATATCAACTAAGTTTATGTAATATTTTCAATCCTTTGTTGTCATTTCAACAATGTTAACAGCATCTTCACCAGGGGTAGATTCCACTTCAAAGGACTGCTTTTATTGCTCATCTATAAGAAACAACTCCTTGTCCATTCAAGTTTTACCATGAGAGTGCAGCAATTCAGTCTCACCTTCAGGTTCCACTTCTTATTCTAGGTCTCTTACTATTTTCACCACATCTGCAATTACTTCCTCCAATGAAGACTTGACCCTCAAACTAATTTATGAGGGCTGGAATCAACTTCTTCCAAATTCCTGTTAATGTGGATATTTTGACCTCCTCTCATGAATCACAAATGTTCTTAATGGCACCTAGAACGGTGAATCTTTTTCAGAAGATTTTCAATTGACTTTGCCCAGTTCCAACAGAGGAATCACTATCTATGGCACTATAGCCCTAAAAAATGTATTTCTTAAATAATAACATTTGAAAGTTTAAATTACTCATTGATCTATCAGCTTCAAAATGGATTATGTTAGCAGTCATATAAACAACATTAATCTCGTTGTATATCACCTTCGGAGCTCTTGGGTGACCAGGTGCATTGCCAATCAGCAGTAACATTTTGAAAGGAATCTTTTTTCCTCTCAGCAGTAGTCAACAATGGGCTTAAAATATTTAGTAAACCTTGCTATAAATAGATATGCTGTCATCCAGGCTTTGTTGTTCCATTTAGCATAATTCTTATGAGCCCTGGGATTTTCCGAATGGTAAATGAGCAGTGGCTTCAACCTAAAGTCACTAGCTGCATTAGTGACTGACTTTCCCTAACAAGAGAGTCAGCCTGTCCTTTGAAGCTTTGAAGCCCCGCATCGACTTCTCCTCTCTCAATAGCAAAGTTCTAGATTGTACCTTCTTCCAATAGAAGGCTGCTTTGTCTATATTGAAAATCTACTGTTTAGTGTAGCCACCTTCATCGATGATCTTAGCTGGATCTTCTGGATAACTTGCTGCAGCATCTCCATCAGCACTTGCTGCTTCACCTTGCATTTTCATATTATGGAGATGGTTTCTTTCCTTAAACTTCATTAACCAACCTCTACTAGCTTCCACCTTTTCTTTTGCAGCTTCTTCAGCTCTCTCAGTCTTCGCAGAATTAAAGAGAGTTAGGGCCTCACTCTGGGTTAGGTTTCGGCTTATGGAATGTTGTGGCTGGTTTGATTTTCTATTAATACCCATAAAACTTGCTCCACATCAGCAATAAGGCTGTTTCACTTTCTTATCATTTGTATATTTACTGGGGTGACACTTTTAATTTTCTTCAAGAATTTTTCCTTTGTATTCATAACTAACTGGTGCATGAAGCCTAGCTATTGGTTAGTCTCAACCTTCATCATGCCTTTCTGACTATGACTAAGCTTAAAGGTTTCTGCCTTTTGATTTGAAGTGAGAGATGTGCAACTCTTCCTTTCATTTGAAAACTTAGAGATCATTTAGAGTTATTTCGTTTTGTTTGCTTGTTTGTTTTGTTTTGTTTTTTGAGAGGGAGTTTTACTCTTGTTGCCCAGGCTGGAGTGCAATGGCGCGATCTCAGCTCATTGCAACCTCCACCTCCCGGGTTCAAGAGATCTGCCTCGGCCCCCGGAGTAGCGGGGATTACAGGCTCCCACCACCACGCCTGGCTAATTTTTGTATTTCTCAGTAGAGACAGGGTTTCACCATGTTGGCCAGGCTGGTCTCGAACTCCTGACCTCACTCAAGTGATCTGCCCGCCTCAGCCTCCCAAAGTGCTGCGATTACAGGTGTGAGCCACCGCGCCCAGCCCATTTAGGGTTATTAATTGGCCTAATTTCACTATTGTTGTGCCTCAGGGAATAGGGAGGCCGGAGGAGATGAAGAGAGATGGGAGAACGGCTGTTTGGTGGAGCAGTCAGAATACACTCAGCACTTACCAATGAAGTTTGCAGTCCTGCATAGGTGCAATTCATGGTGCCCCAAAGCAAGTACAATAGTAACATCAAAGATCACTATAACAGATATAAAAATAATGAAAATGTTTGAAATATTGCAACAATTACCAAATCACATTTTTGTGATACAGAGACACATATAGAGTACACCTTGTTAGAAAAATGAGGCCGACAGTCTTGCTTGACACTGGGTTGCCATAAACTTTCATTTAGTGAAAAACACAATTATCTGTGAAGCGCAATAAAGCAAAACACAGGAAAACGAGGTGTGTCTGCTCTCAGTCCTTACAGCTGCCAGTTTCTTGTTGCCAATACCCATGAAGGGACTTTGAAAGAGCTACATTGATGAGAATGGAAATCTATTATCATAGAGGAGAGACTGGAATCACAGCTATTTAGAAGTAAAATGAGTTAAGTTAAAAAAAAAAAAAGTGAAAATGCCCTGGTTGACAAGAACTTGGAAAAATGGCTGTGTCAGAAACGTACAGTGCAGAATTATAAAATGTTTTCTTTCCTATGAGCACAAAACCAGGTGAATCAAACACAGAGACTGAGCTTCTTTCCTTTCCTTCCTTTCCTTCCTTCCTTTCTTTCTCTCTATTTCTTTCTTTTCCTTCCTTCCCTCCTTCCTCCCTCCCTCTCTCTCTCTCTCTCTCTCTCTCTTTCTCTTTCTTTTTGATACGGAGTCTCACTGTGTCTCCAGGCTGGAGTGCAGTGGCGTGATCTCGGCTCACTACAACCTCTGCCTTCCGGGTTCAAGCAATTCTCCTGCCTCAGCCTCTGGAGTAGCTGGGACTACAGGCGTGTGCCACCATGCCCAGCTAATTTTTGTATTTTTAGTAAAGATGGGATTTCACCATGTTGGCCAGGATGGTCTCGATCTCTTGACCTGGTGATCCGCCCGCCTAGGCCTCCCAAAGTGCTGGAATTACAGGTGTGAGCCACTGAACCCGGCCCAGAGACTGAGTTTGACCAAGAAGATTTGAGCTGTGAGACTTTTCCTTGCTTAATGTCAGTTAATAAAATGATAAAGAAAAATAATACCTGCAAAAGAAGAAATAATAACTCGAATAATGTAACACAGATTCCAGATAGTTGAAACTTGAAGGAGAATCTGAGGAGAAGTATGGCAGGTACCTGTGTATTGACCAAAGCCAGGGTCATAAGGGGAACACTGGAGTTATATGTAAAACATTACCCAAACCTATGTATTCCAGAGCCTCTGTGCATATTACATTAGTTATTTCCCTTCTGTTTTGTAGAACCAGTGCCAATAAATTAAGTAGTTGAAAATCCACATTGTCTCACATGTTCTGCCCCTGGTTTGGTAGCCTAGAATTGACTTTAGTCCAGAAGAAGTCAAAATGTACTCTCTGCAAATTGGCTGTAGATTGTAACTGTTTTAATAACAATTAGGAGTAGCCTGTAGGGGATGTGAGAATAGAACCAGAAATAAATAATAATCTTCTGGGGCAAAAGAAAGTCAAAAAGCAAGAGTTATTCTGTACTTATTTTCTAATTTGCTTGCATATTATTATGAACTGAGTTGTGTTCCTCCAAACTGTATATGTTGAAGCCCATCCAGTTCAATCACTTGAACTCACCCAGTCTTTGGTATTTCATTATGGTGGCACAAGCAGACTAGCATACATGTATTATTGTACTTTGGTATATATTTACTATTATTTATACGATTCTCAGAGAAATTGTATGAGAGACATATTATTGCTTTCATTTTTAGGTGGCAAAAGGAAGCTTAGTTTCTAATTAATTGACCGAGTTTACAAAGCTGGCAGGTGGATAACTCTGAAATGAACCCAGGTCTTATTACTCTGATTACCATGAACCTTGTTTATCCCAGCTTAGTGGAGTAAAGGCTGAATTTATTAAAGAACTGCAGATTTCAATTCCAACTGTCTGACTCATAAGTGGATGAGTTTTGAGAAAAATATTCTCTCTTAGAACCCTACTTTACTTATGCATGAAAGAATGATAATAATGATATATTTAAGGTTGTCATCTATAAGGTTGATGTGGGATGATGCAAGGGCTGGATGCATTTACTGCATCTCTACGTGCTTAATAATTGTTAGCGCCTCTGTTCTCTGTGACTTCTTCTGTCTTACATTGGAAAGAAACATGTTTTCACAGCTTTATTGGAGTATAATTGGCATACAACCAACTGCCCATAATTAAGTGTTGCAATTTGTTATTTTGACATCACATACACTGTGAAACCATCACTCCTCTTACTTCCTCCATCCTATATTTTTCCAAGAAGTTTTGTAGTTTTAGTTTTTACATTTAGATTTAGACTCATGTGATCTATAAATGTATTTTTGTCTATGATAGAAGGACTAGATCAAAGCTATTATCTTTTACATTTGGATATTCATTTGTCCCAGAATCATTTGTTGAAAAGGCATGTTTTCTTCACTGAATTGTCTTTGCATCTTTGTAAAAGTCAGCCGTCCATATATATGTGTGTTGTTTCTGGATTCTCTTCTGTCCCCTCAGTGTATTTGTTTAGCTTTACATCAAGACCTCACTGTCTTTATTAATCTCACAATATAAGAAGCCTTAAAACCAGTTGGTGTTAATTATCCAACTTTGTCCTTTTAAAAAAAAAATTAACTTTGTTCTCAGAAGCTTTTTACATTTCCACATACATTTAAATTTCTACCATAAAAGCCTGCTACCATTTTAACTGGGATTCTTCAGTTTAAATACTGATTTGGGGAAAATTGACAACTTGAAATATTGAATCTTCTTACCCAGGAACAAGGGGTATGCCTCTCCATTTATTCTTTAATTTTCCTTAGCAAAGCTTTGTAGTTTTCGTTGTGAGGGTCTTGAATATTTTTGTCAGATTTTATTCCTCAATATTTCAAATTGAGTGAAGCTATTGTAAGTAGTATTTTTTAAAAATCCAATTTTGGAAATTTATTGCTAGCATACAGAAATATTGTTTTTTACTTAACAATCTTGTATCTTGCAACTTTGATAAACTTATTTATTACGATTAGGAGTTTTGTGTGAATTCCACTGAATTTTCTACATAGTCAATCATGTAATCAGATAATAGAGTTAGATTACTGACTTATTTATTTTTTCCTTTCCCATTTGGATGCCTTTTATTTATTTTTCTTACATTACTACACTGGCTAGTGCTTCCAATACAATATTGAAAAGACGTGGTGAGAATGAAAATTTTGGCTTTGTTCCAGATCCAATCAGGAAGCATTTAGTCTTTCACAATTAATTAAACGTTTGTTTTAGGTTTTTCATAGATGTGCTTTATCAGGTTTACAAAGTTCCCATCTATTCCTTGTTTGCTGATAGTATTTTTTTTTCTAATCAGGAATAAATGTTGGATTCTGTCAATTTATTTTTTTTTTGGTCTATTGAGAAAATCATACAGATTTACAGATTTTATTTTTTAGTTAGTTAATGTGGTGAATTCATTGATTGTTTTGCAATGCTAAACCAACTATGCATTTCTGAAACAAACCTCCTTGGTCAGGATATATTATACTTTATATTTGTTGTTAGATTCGATCTACTATAATTTCTTTATAGATGTGGGGCTACTTAAGTCTTCTATTTCATCTTGAGTGAGTTTTGACAAAGTTTGTATATTTCAAGGAGTTTGTCTATTTCATTTGCTGTAAAATTTATTGACATAATAATCGCTAATATTACTCCTTTAATATCTTTGTAATATATATAAAATATGTAGTGCTATAATTTTTCTCATTCCTGATAGTGATAATTGGTGTCTTGTCAGTTTTTTTCCTGATCAGTATGGTTAGAGGCTTAACAGTTTTATTTATTACTTCTGAAAAAAGATTTTTGGTTTTATTCCTTTTCTCTATTGTTTTTCTAATTTCTTTTCTTGTTTTTTTTTTTTGGAGACAATCTTGCTCTGTTGCCCAGGCTGGATTGCAGTGGTGCAACAGGTTCAAACAGTTCTCCTGCCTCAGCCTCTTGAGTATCTGGGACTACAGTTGCGCATCACCACGCTGATATTTTTGTGTTTTAATAGAGACGGGGTTTCACCATGTTGCCCAAGCTAGGTCTTGAACTCCTAAGCTTAGGCAATCCTCCTGCCTGGGCCTCCCAAAGTGCTGGGATTGCAAATGTGAGCCACCATGCCCGGCCTCTAATTTGTATTTTATTGTTTCTTCTTCTATTATTATTATTATTATTTTCTGTCTTCTGCTTCTGTTGGGTTTTATTTCCTATTTCTCTAATATCTTAAGAAAGAAGTTGTAGTCATTGATTTGAAGCCTCTCACATTACAAATTTTTCCAAAAGTACTGACTTTCAAAATCCACAAAATTTGATATGTTTTCATTTTCATTTAATTGAAAATAACTTCTAGTTTCTCCATTGCTTTATTTTTATCAAGGGGCTATTTAGAAATGTGTTGTTTAGTTTTCAGATACTTGGGAATTCTCCGAGATCTCTTTGTTATTTTTTATTTAATTCTATGGTGACTAGAGAGCATATTTTATAAGCCCTGACTTATTTTAAATTTATTGTTACTGTTTTAAGGTTCAAAGTATAGTCTGCCTTGATAAATGTTCCATTTGTGCATGAATATAATGTGTATTCCACCATACTTGAAATGTCAATTAGGACAAGTAAGTTGATAGTCTTGTTGCCCAGGCTGGAGTGCAGGGCACGATACCGGCTCACTGCAACCTCCGCCTCCCAGCTTCACGCCATTCGCTTGCCTCAGCCTCCTGAGTAGCTGGGACTACAAGCGCCTGCCACCACACCCAGCAAATTTTTTATATTTTTAGTAGAGATGGGGTTTCACTGTGTTAGCCAGGATGGTCTCGATCTCCTGATCTCATGATCTGCCTGCCTTGGCCTCCCAAAGTGCTGGGATTACAGGCGTGAGCCACCGCGCCCTGCCTAAGTTGATAGTTTTATTCTGTTTTTACCCTTACTGGTTTCTCTATAATTCTTCTATTAATTATTGAGAGAGGAACACTGAAGTTCCCAGCTATTATTTTGGATTTGTCTATTTCTCCTTTCAACTCTATAAGGCTTTACATTGTGTATTTTAAAGTGTTGTTATTAGGTACATGGAAATTTTGTATTATAATGTTCACTGATGAAATGACATCTTTATCATTATGTAATGGCTTTCTTTTTCCCTGGTAATATTCTTTGACTGGAAATATATTTTGTCAGATATTAATATAATCTCTCTAGGTTTCTTTTTACTAGTGCTAGCATAGTATGTCTTCTTAAATCCTTTTAATTATAAACTATTTATGGATTTATATTTAAATTCTGTTTCCTATAGTCAGCTATGTTTCCTATAGTTGGATCTTGCTTTTTGACCCAACTGAACACTCTCTCCCTTTTAAGGAGGTGCTTAGACCAGTTATATTTAATCTAATTGTTGACACGTTTAGATCAAATCTAACATATCACTATGTTTTTTATTTTTGTCTCATCTATTGAAGTTGATGTGACTTTTTTTCCGAATGCTTTCATTCTTATCACTGATTTTCTGCACTTGAATATAATATGATTTGGTGTAATTTTCTCTTCTTGGCATTAATTGAGTTTTTTGGATCTTTGGGTTTGTAATTTTTATCACATAACAAAAAATGTAATTTCATTGTTTCTTCAGATATCTCTTTGGTATCCCCCTCCTTCTCTCTTTTACAGATTTTCAATTATATATGTATTAGCCTGCTAGAAATTGACCCACAGCTTACTGATACTCTTTCTAAATTTGTATTATATTTCTCTTTGTATTCTCTTTTGAATTGTTGCTATTAGTATGTCTTCAAGTTCATTAATCTTTTCTTCTGTAAAGTCTAATCTGTTGTTATTACCATCCTGTATAATTTTAACCTCAGTAACTGTACTTTTTACCTGTAGACATTCAATCTAAATATTTTTAATATTTGTTATGCTTCTATTTAACCTTATTAGCATATGTACTGCAGCTGTAATCATTGTTTTATGTTCTTGTATGCCAATTCTAATATCTCGATCAGTGCTTGGTCAGTTTCAGTTGATTTATGGTTATATTTTCTAGTTCTTTCTATGACTGGTAAACCTTGTTTGGATGCCAGGCACTGTGAACTTTACCTTCATTGTTTCTTGATATTTTTGTATTCTTATAAACATTTTTTTAGCTTTTTCCTGGGATGCAGTCATTTGAAAACAATTTGACCCTTTCAGCTCTTTATTTTAATATTTGTTACATGGGATTAGGGTTTTGTCTACAGCTACTTCTTTCCCATGATTGAGTAAAGATCTTTCTGAATAATCCACCCAATGCCCATTCTGGCTGATGAAAACAGGAATTGTTTCTGTTTCCATCTGGGCACCAAGCATTGTTCTTTCTACTCTCTTTGGATGGTTCTTTTCATAACGTCATATACAGATTAGCAGTCAGCTGAATACTTAAGGGGATGATTTTGTCTTGAAAATTCTCACCACGTTGGTATCTCAGGCCAATCTCCTTAACTCCGGGAGCCCTCTTCCCTGTGCCATGGCCCAGAAACTCATTCAAGGCGGGAATCTGGGGCAGTCATCGGGCTCACCTTCATTATTTACCATTTCTCAGGGATGACTGTTCTTTCTTTTCTAATGTCCAGTGTCTTGAAAAACCACTGATTCAAGCCATTTTTCTTTCTATTTACTTATTTTTGGTTGTTCACGGTGGGAGGATCAATTTTATTCCAGTTACTCTCTCCTGATTGGAAACAAAAACCCCAAGACATTCTTTATCAAGTAAATAATTACTAAGGAAGAAAATGTTACCAGAAAAAGGCTTTGTAACACATGAGAAATAATGAATAAGAATAATGATGAGGGTGATTATATTTGTATATCTTTTCACAATATGCTTGCAATGACCCATTTTACATTTTCACAAAGTAGGTCCACTTTTTAAATAATTTAGTGACCGAATAACTTGGCATATAAATAAATTTATTTTATACATATATTATTTGCTAAGAAGACAATCAAGTTTTTAAAGATATGAACGTAGTTTTACAATGTAAACACAAATGACCAGCTGCAAATAAAATGGCTTTTTTGTTGTTGTTGTTATTCTTTTTCTTTTTTGAGATGCAGTCTCGCTCTGTTGCCAGGCTGGAGAGCAGTGGCACGATCTCAGCTTACTGCAACCTCTGCCTCCTGGGTTCAAGCAATTCTCCTGCCTCAGCCTCCCAAGTAGCTGAGACTACAGGCACACGCCATCACGCCCAGCTAATTTTCTGTATTTTTAGTAGAGACGGGGTTTCACCATATTGGCCAGGATGGTCTCCATCTCTTGACTTCCTGATCCGCCCACCTCGGCCTCCCAAAGTGCTGGGATTATGGGCATAAGCCACAGTGCCTGGCCATAAACTGTGTTGTTAAGCAATTTTTTGTTTGCTTCTAGATTTAGAATATTGCTTGTACAACAGTAATCTCTTAATAACACTTTATCTTCTTTTATGCATTCCTTTATCTTATCTAAGTCAGTCAGTCTTCATGTAGTCCACTATAATGGTGAACATTTCACTTTTGCTGATAATGCAAATATTCACATACAAACCAAGTCCTAGGAATTTCTCCCCAAGTAAAGAAACTTTGGTCATAATGTCTGTGTTGCGATGAGCAGATGAAACATTTCCATTCTTAATATATTTATTACCATAAAGAGGAAATAATATGTTTCTACATTTCAGAAAGTAGTACTAGGTTGGTGTAAAAGTAATGGTGGTTTTTGCCATTACTTTAAAATTTTCAAAACATGGGAGCTTCTGGGCAAGAATCATGTTATCTGTCGTGGTTTCCAGAAAAGCCAGATAGATATAATGAGTAATCTTCAATGTCAGCATGAAGCAAATTACTCAATTACTAATGGCCACATTTCTTTGAATTTTTATATTTTACGACTTACTTTTTGAGATAACTGGTAGGAAAATCCTTCCTTTGAGTAAATATATTTGTACAACCATGTAATGAAGCAGAGAATAGCAGCTATCATAAGAATTGGTGATTTATGCAGTCACTTTAGACCCCAATTTTTAGACCTAACAATGAATCTATAAATACATCATCGTATAATTCCACTGCCAGTTTTGGTGAAGTGGTTCTTGCTTAATATGGTTGCTAATAACATACTAAATTTGAAATCTGGATTACCCATAAAACGTAGGGAAAGATCTAGAAAGGAGATTTCTGAGTATAGAGATGAATAAACAATACAAAATTGCTAGGAAACAGCCACCACTCAGAAGAAAAAACATTCTGGATATTAGTACGCAAAAGGGCACAGCATGGTATTTTTGAGTTGTTTTCATACCTCCTGAACAAGGCAGAAGAATTTGCCTCCTTTCCAAGAATTCTGTATGGAGCCATAATCCTAATGCAAAAATTTATAATTAAAAAAAATTTCTCTCTAGGCACTTCTCCACTGTAGGGAGTTTATTTTTGTTTTTGTTTTGTTTTTATGCCCTAATTCTTAGAGGAGATAAAAGATTCTCTATTATTATAGAAAAAGTGAGATGGGAAACCTTGAGTATAGTAATAAACTATATGGGAAATGAAATTGTTTATTTTAGCAACCAAATAAGGGCTTGCTTTGATTATACACAGAATAAATCTAAGATTGGCTTTCTGCTCTACCAGTCTGAGTTTACATAAAGACGTGCTTTTAACACCTCTATAAATACTGCTAATATCAGGGGGGACATGATTGGTTTAGAGATAAGCACTGTTGAGATGCAACCTGGGATGATCTTATACAGAATCAGTCACCAGAAAAAGTATTCAGAGCTGACCTCCCACTCCCACTGCCCAAGCCCAGATCACTCCCACGCATCGTGATGAAATACTGAGACGCAGCAGGTGTTAGACTTAATTCTCGGGAGAAATCCTATTTAGAAAAGAAAATGAATAAATAAATATATGAATGAAAAGAAGGCAGGAAGCCAAAACACATGCCCCCGGCTGCCTCTATCTGATGCAAATTACACATAGGGGCCTTCCTCACAGACAGCCCAAGCTTACTTCTCTTCAAAACGTCAAGAGAGTTAACATGGGAGAATGGAGAATCATCCCATACACTTTGAGTTGCCAGCTGCAAAGTGTTTCTTGAACAGCAATTAAACACATGCTGGGGGACCATCACAAGGGCCAGAGCCAGGGAGCTGGTGCCACTGACGTGAGGATTCTCAATCTCAGGGTCCTCGGGCTGCAACTTGCCAGGGTGCGGGTGTCACAGGGCTGAAACCCATTCCCAGGCGCTGACCTCCCCTCTGTTGAAATGGATTTGTTCTGTCACGTGCAGCGAAGACCTCTTCATGTGTCAGGTGCACCCCATAACCTTTGTGCTAATTCCCATGACATCCTCTGTGTCTCACTGTAGGATTCTGTGAGCAGGTCTTTCCAAGAGCAAGGAGAACAAAAGATTCTTCGGCACATCTGAAGAGGGCTGGTTGAGTGTGCCTGAATGTAGGGTCATGGTTTGAAAAAGGCTGAGAACCCCCTACCTTGCACTAAAACGTTTTCAATACACTGAGACACATTTTTTTTTAAATGTGCTCCTATAAGCCATGTTAGGCCCCGTTCATTTGTGTATTCAGTTCAATTGCATCTGAATCAATTGGTTCCCAAATGAGTGAATACAAGAAAATCTAAGATGTCATTTTCACTCTCTTATTTTCTTCTCTTTTAAAAACTATAAATTAAGCCATCTTGGATCAAAACTGTGTTGTAGATCAGAGGATTTCAGAAGGGAAAAGAGTACTACAATAATTATACGCCGATTCCAGCATAATTCACACGTAAAACCCTCTGAGGGTTAAACATTCTCTGCAGATAATTTCTTTAGCTATTTCTTAAAACTAAAGATTGCAGTAATATAGCAGTCATGTAAACACTGGTTGGAAGAATAAGCATTTTCTTTAGCTCAGTTCATGTATATTGTAAATCACTGTAACAGCTGTTTACTTGGTGTATCAATGAGGGCTCTAAACAGGAAATGAAGTTGTGTGTGTGTGTGTGTGTGTGTGTGTGTGTGTGTGAGTGTATGTGTTTTGCTTATATTGTACTGTAGAAACCAAAGGTTTATCTCAATTGAGGAATGCCTAAATGCCTAACAAGTATACGTAGAGATGTAACATATAAATTTATGTAAATATGAAACATCTTTGGGATCTAGGAATAATCTATGATATCAATGTTAATATTTGCAGCAATTACAAATTTGCCTCCCTTTTCAGCCCCTGTGATAAATACTTAATTTGGAATATTTACTCATTTTCATTGATGGGGCTAAAAAACAGATCATGATTAAAGTGACAATCTGAAAAAAGTTCTTATCAGAAAATCATCACTATAATTTTGTCATATAATTTTAATAAGTTAATTTAACTTATTTTAATAATCTATACAATATAACCATTACTAATACTTTATTGGTAATAATTATTAAATTATAGGTAATTATTATTGATAATTAGAATACTTTATTCAATTTAGGAAATTTAAAGTTGGCTTATTTATTTTAAACCTATATAATCTTAATTCTTCTAACGACATGGCTGAGCACTCTATATGACCTGGCATCATGCTAGCCACAGCCCACATGTCATCACTAAACCTCACAAAACCATGTTTTATTTGGATTATTACCCTTATTTGGTGGTAAGCAAGTGAAACTCATAGAGTTTACGTAACTAGCGTAAGGGCATAGAGCTAGAAAGCAGAAGATCTAGGCGTGAATTTTGTTACAGTATTATATATATATGTTGTTGCAAAAGTAATTGCAGTTTTTGCCATTACTTTCAACAGCAAAGACCGCAATGACTTTTGTACCAACCTAATAGCAAATCTGGGTCTGTGCATTTCACAATGACAATAAGAATTTGTTGATCGAGGTTTTAGTACGACTTAATCCTATATAACATTAAATGTAATATTCTCTAGAGCAGCGCTTTGTGTCTATCTTCACATTTAGTTACTCCATTAGGGAACAGCCACTGTAGTTGTGCACTGCTTCCAGCTCCTCTGAATTCCTCAATGTGAAGACAGAAGGCTTCCTATGAAGATCTGAACATTAAAGAACTGGTAGCTGCCTCCACTCAATGCAGATTATGATGGATATTGTGGACTTATAGTTCTATTGGTGGCTCTTAGTAGTTGCCAGGGGACTTATCTACATGGCGACAGCAGTGGATTCTGATAAATATAATATCCATTGTGACTAAGTGTTGGAATTGAATTTGCCTATTGTCAATTTGGTAGTGCTTTTTATAATCAAAATGGCCATTGTCATTGTTGCCTAGTAATTAATGTTGCTGAAAATATATCGCATAACTTTTCAAATATTTTGTTTGGCAAAACCAAAGATGGGTTTTGCAAACACTAGCTCCCTTAATTCTTGAGCCCATGTGTACTTTTAAGAAATAGTGAATCCATATGTTCCTGGTGTGTTTACATTTAACTCACCAAACTGTTGCCTTATGGGAATTATATTGATGTCCAAAAGTCCTTTAAACATTATTTTACAAGTGTCTTTCCTTTTATAATGCTATCATCCAAGAAAATGAATCAAAAGAAAACACTATATGTGCACCACCAAAACTCCAAGAAGGACTTCAAGCTGGCACTCATCTCCCTGCATTACTAATAAGTTTTGTTACTATTGAAATTGGAATTGCTGCCACATATTGAAATAAAGGGATGTAATTTTAAGGCATATTAAAATTTTGGATAGATCATTGTTTAAATATGAAATTTCTAGCAGAATAGAAAACACATTATACCTTTATAGAACTGACAAATCTAAAGTCTTTCAAATCAACTAATTCTCAGCAAAACTAGACCCAGTCAAAAAAAAAAAAAAAGGAAAAAGGTGAAAGTGCCCAATTCAGGTTTGTTTATTCCAATGACATATACCTTCTAAGCCAAAGTGATCCTTATTCATGCACAAGGGGATAGTTTAATTACCTGATTTTCTGGAAATGCCTTCAACCTGATGCAAATTTTAAAAATGAACATGTTGTAACTATAGCACTTTTCAAAACGCAAGAAAACAATTTCTGGCCTCATCAGCCCTAGGACAACATTATGCAGTCCTTAGGAGGGGAGAGAATTTTAGAGAATATATGATATATTAGGGAGTGAATGATTATTCACAGCCATGAGGCCAGCCCATGTTTCAATAAGACAAATTGCTGTGGAGTGTTCTGGTGGCAACCAATGATAACTCATGATCCTGAGACAGAGTGGGTGAAAATTACAGAGAATTGATGAAAATCAGGAGCAAGAGGACAAATGGCTCTAAAGAGAAGAATCTGTGATTATTATTTCCTAATCCTTCAGTCTGATAGAGCTTGAATCTATTTCCTTTGAAAAATCTATAGAGTGATAGACACTATATGTCAGCGTGAAAATGGCTGCATTTGTTTCTTGCCAATGGCAAATGATTAACTTTTCAGTGTGGATGTAGGAATCAGCCCCCAAGGGAAGATGCATTTCCAAGGAGATGGCTCATATGGTTTGCAGCCTTCCCATCAGTCAAGTGCATCCTCAGAAATCTAGGAGCTACAGACACTTCAGTCCCATCTACACTATTATCAAAAGAGCCGCTGAGTTCCATACTTTTAAAAGAAACACAATTTGTTTCCCATCTCTGAAACAAATGTGTTTCTTTTAAAAGTTTAGATGGATTTCCTAAATAATGAATGATAATTGTTATTTTATAGTTGTTAGTGTAATGAATTTATTTGGGAATGAGAAAGAACATTGAAAACTCAGGTAGGATTTATAGTGAATACAATATGTACATGATGGAGTCTTCAAAATTACTGATGGCTTGGGATCATAAGCTAGTTTAAGTAGTTCCCTGTGTAACTTGGACATGCTTTCTGGAATTGTTTAAGACAGTGTTATATAGCAAGATGCTTCCTGGAATATGTTCTGCGGTCACTTTATTTTGTAACCTCAAGATTAGTCATCAAGGTTACTGTCACATGTATTTTTCTATTCTTCCTTAAGGAGTAATTAGGCCAAACACCAGTGTCTCTGAGTTTTCCTTAACTTTTGAAAAATTGAAAATAGTGCTTAATCTAGCTTTAATTCACATTTGAGTGTTTATACACGATTAGTATCTGAATAACCCACATTCAACTACTGGTACTCGATAGCCCCACGTTGTCATTCTGAAATTTATTTGTACTTATTATAATTTAAGTAATATGGTTAAAAAAACTGTTTTGCTCCTAAATTGGCTCATTTAGTTTAAAGATGCATCATCAGTGATACGGGTTCTTAATTCAGTCCTACACTCAGGTGAATCTTAGATAATTCATCACGGAACTTGGCTTTAAGGTAAGAATTTGAGTGCTCTATTTAAAAACATTAGCATTGCTTCCAAGTCATTTGTATTGGACTTTTCCAAAAGTACATAGTAAGCCATCATGGAAATTTTGGGAGGAAAAAGTAAATGTGAACATTCTTTTAAAATCAAATAAAATCATGATGCTGAAGCAGTGCCCACTGGCCTCCTTCCCCTGTGAGGGTGGAAGCTTGCTCACAGTCCTGCTGAGAGGCCGCAACATGCCCTTGCAGTGCTAGTCAAGCCCCTCTCTAGCGAAGTATGGCCCAGAATGTGCCCTGGGGCATTTGGCTGATCCTTTCTAAAAACCCCAAAGAATACAGTGAGCAATGCTCATTTCAAGATAGGCACGCCAATGGCTGCAGAAGTGATACTGCCATCATAGTCACATCCCAGTCCCTCCAGACAGCTGGTACGTGGAAGAAATGTCTTTACAACCCCTTAAATACCTCCACATCGCCAGCGGATAGAGTCCAAACTCCTTAGCCCATCTCTGACCTCGAGCCATCTCTAGTCAGAATTTTAGACCATAGTATTTGACTTATTACCGTAGTAAATCTCCTCTTTGTGCCACCACTGTTTAAGGAACACACTTCTATTTCTGCACTCATTACTGTGTTACAGTTATTTGCTTGAAAGTCCATCTTTCTAGGCTGTGAACATATTGATTCCTGATCTGTATTTTGTTTTATCTCCAAAAATATTATGAAAATTTTCAAACATACGTAAAAGTTGAAAGAATTTTATAGTGAATACCCCTTATCCCAAAGTGATTCTACATTTGACATTTTAATGTACTTGCTTAGTAACGTCTATTCATCTATCCATCCATCCTTCCAGCCATCAATCCATTTTATTATTTTTATGAATATCAAAGTAAGTTTTTGATCAGTAAACTTCACTTTATACACACAAAATAGAGTTGAATATTTGTTTAGAATTCTTTTTCTTTAAAGTAAACATAACATATTAAAACCACAAAACTTACGTATACCATTTGGTGAGTTCTGACAAATGCATTCATCTGTGCAAATCAAATACCTATGATATGAAATATTATCAACAGAAAAACTTCCCCCATGCACCTTCCCAACACCTTCAAAATTAACCTCTGTTCTGCTTTTTTCCCCAAAATATATTTGTTTTCAATTTCAGAACTTTACACAGAATCAATTCTTTATATCTCTTTTTTTTCATTCTCTATTTTTGAGATTTACCCATGTTGTTTCAAGTTGCACGTATAAGTTCATTTGTTTTGGGGGAGAAGTAGTAAAAAATTGCGTGTATATATCACAGTTTGTTTACGCATTCTTATATTGATGGATTTATGAGCTGTTTCACAATTTTTGCTAATATGAATAAAACTGATAGGAATTTTCTTGAAAAAGCTTTTTGTGGCTATATATGTATTTTTTCTCAGATAAATAACTAGGAATCAGATTGGCATCGTGTAGGTGGATGTATAGTTTTAGGATAAACTGCCAGAATTATTTCCAAAGTGGTTCTATGGTTTCACTCTTAATAATTTATGAGAGTTCTGTTGTTCCACATATTTTTGATCATTTGGTGTCATCTGTCTTTTTCAAATTTTGACAATTATAGTTGGTGTATACTCATATCTCTTTTTAGTTTTAATTTGAAATTCCCTTATAACTAATGATGCTGAGCACATTTTTGGTTGCTTACTAGCTAATTAATGTATCTGTTTTTGTGAGATGTCTATTAACATTTGTTGCCTGTGTTTGAATGTTTGTTTTCTTATTATTGAATTATAATGATAAGCTACATATGCTGAATACTAGGTTTTTGTCAGATACATGTTTTGCAAATTTTTTCTTCAAGTCTGTTCTCATGATTTATTTTGTTAATGTTGCCTTCAGATGAACAGAACTTTTTACCTTGATGAAATTTAAATTATTATTCTATTCATGACTCTTACCGTTTGTGTCCTAAGAAAATTTTGCTTCTCCTCAAGTCACACAGATAGCCCGGAGTGTCTATACTAATGACAAAATAAACCTTAAGAGAAAAATTAATAGAAAAAAATGGCATTTTATACTGTTAGATAAGACATTCCATCAGGAAAACATAACAATTATAAACATACTTCTACCTAACAACGGCAACTCAAATACATGAGAGGAAACTGACAAAATTGAACAAAGAAATAGACAATTTAACAATAATAGTTGGAGACTAAAACACCCATTTTTAATAATGGATGGATCAATTTGGAAGATGATGAAAGAGAAAATAGAAGACTTGAAAAAAACTATAAATCCACAGAACTAGTAGACATTTTTAATACATTCTACACAATAACAACAAACTATTTCCATGTACACATAAAATATGCTCCAGGATAGACCATACATTAGGCCACAAAATAAGCCTCGATAAATGTAAAAGGATTACAATCATACAAAGTTGTTATCTGATTATAGCATAAAAAATTAGAAATCAGTAACAGAAGGAAATTTGGGAAATTCACAAATATATAGAAATTAAACAGCACACTACTGAATAACAAATGATTCAAAAAAGAACTTACAAGAAAAGTTATAAAGTATTTTGAGACACATGAAAAGAAAAACACAACATGGCAAAGCTATTGGATGCAGCTAAAGAGAGTAGTTAGAAGTGAATTTATACCTCAAAATGTTTATATTAAAAAAGAAGAAAAAAGCCCAAATTATAATTATTAACTTCAACTTCCGCTATAAGGAACTAGAAAATGAACAGCAAATGAAATGCAAAGCAAGCAGAAGGAAGAAAAGAAATATCAAGTGTAAATTAACAAAACAGAGAATAGAAAATCAGTATAGGAACACACCAAAATTGAAACTTGTTCTTGGAGAAAAGATCATTATATAATTGGCAAGCCTTTAGCTATGCTTACCAAGGAAAAAAATAAAAGTCTTAAATTAATAAGATCAGGAGTAAAATAAGGGGTATTACTGCCAACATTATAGAAATAAAACAAATTATAAAGAAATATTGGGAATGATTGTGTGTCAACAAAATAGACAAGCTAGATGTAATGAACAAGTTTCTAGAAAAACAAAATTACCAAAACTGCCTAATGTAAAAACATAAAATATGAATCGATTTTTAAAAATATAAAGTTAGTAATCAAATCTTGCCATGAGGAAAAGCCTTGGCACACATAGCTTCACATATGAATTCTGCCAAATGTTTAAAGAAGAATTAGTGCAAATCCTCTTTCACAAACTCTTTCAAAAATTAGAATTTGAGGAAACACTTTTCAGTTCATTTAATGAGGTCGGTATTACCCAAATACCAAAACCAGACAAGGATATTACAAGACAAGAAAACTATGAATTAATACTCTTTATGAATATAGACACAATACTTCAATAAAATAGTTAACCTTTGAACAATGCAGGGTTTGAACCATGCAGGTCCACCTATATGCAGATTTTATTCAATAAAAGATACACCAAAGGTACCTGCTTCTCCTGCTTCACTTTCACCTTCTCCATGTTTTCCAACTCTGCTACCCCTGAGATAGCAAGATCAACACTTTCTCCTTCTCAGCCTAGTCAATGTGAAGGTGATGAGGATGAAGACCTTTATAATGATCCACTTCTATTTAATAAATAGTAAATATATTTTCTCTCCTGTATGATTTTATTAACATTTTCTTTTATCTAGCTTACTTTATTGACAGAATACAGTATATGATACATATACAAAATATGTGTTACTTAACCGTTTATGTTACTGGTAAGGTTTCTGGTGGACAGTAGTCTATTAGTAGTTAAGTTTTGGAGGAGTCAAAAGTTATACATGAATTTTGGATGTTAAATGGCACTGAAGTTCCTAACTTCTGTGTTGTTCAAGGGTCAACTATGCTAACAAACTGAATCCAGCAATGTATATAAGGAATTATACACAATGATTGAGTGAAATTTATCTCAGGAATTCAAGGTTGGTTTAATATATGAAATTAATCAGTGTAATTCATAATTTAATAATGAACAAGAAACACATAATTACTTCAATAGACATAGAGAAATAATTTAACAAAATGCACAATGCTTTCATTATAAAACACTCAAAACTAGGAATAGAAGGGAACACTACATCATTCTGATAAAGGCCATTTACCAAAAACCCATAGCTATTATAATGCTAATGGTGAAAAACTGAATGCTTTTCCCTAAAATAAGAAAATAGACAAGAATGTCTACTCTCATTTCTTCTATTCAGTATTTTCTGGCGATTCAAGCCAGAACAAATCTACAAGAAAAAGATAGAAGGAAACAAGTAAACTATCTTTATTCACAGAAGATATTATTTTATGTAAAAAATTATAAAGGACCCCTCCCTTCCCCAGAAAAACATTAGAACTCATAAACAAGTTCACTAAGGTCACAGGAAAAACATCATCACATCATCATAACAAAATCAATTGTATTTTTATATGCTAGCAACGAACAATCCAGAAACAAAATAAAAAAAACAACTTTACAATAGCATCAAAAAAGAATAAAATCTTAGACATAAATATGACAAACGAAGTGAAATCTTTTTTCACTGGGCACTACAAACATCATTGAAAGAAATTAGAAACCTAAACAAAGACATACATGTTCATGAATTGGAAGACAATATTTCTTTCAAAATCCAAGTTACACTTTTTGCATAAATTTACAAGCTCTTCCTAAAATTCATATGGAAATTAAAAGCATCAAGAAGAGCCAAAATAATTTTCAAAAACAAACAAGTTGGAGCACTCACATTTCTTGTTTTCAGAACTTACCAAACAGCTGTGGTAATCAAGACAGTGTGGTATTGGTTTAAGGATATACACAGAGATCAGTGGTGTGTAATTGAGGGTCATAAATAAACCCTTACATTGATTTTTCAGTGGGTTCCAGTATAATTGAAAAGGGAAGAAGTAACATTTGCAATAAATCGTTCTAGGACAAGTAAATATCCACATACAAAAGAATGAAGTTAAACATCTTTGTCACATCATATTCAGTAACCCAAAATATATTAAATGCCTAAATGTAACAGCAAGTTTGTATGAAATTTATGGTAGAAATCAAAGGACTAAATCTTTGTGACCTTACATTACGCAATGGCTTCCTAGATATCACACCAACAGCACAAATGAAAAAGACTATGTTAGATCTCATCAAAACTAAAAACTTTTCTGCTTTAAAAGACATCATAATAAAGTGAAAAAACAATCCAAATAATGGGAGAAAATATTTGGAAATCATATATCTTACAAGGACTTTCACCCAGAATATAAGAACTCTTACAACTCATAGAATTCTCTATGAAGAATCTCACCAGACACCAAACCTATCAGCACCTTGATCTTGGACTTTCCAACCTTCAGAACTGTGAAATCTACTTTATTCAACATGATGTACAGCCACTCCAACATCCTTATGAATATGCTTTACATTGTATTTCTTTTTCTATTTACTTTCAATCTATCTGCATCTTTATATGTATAATACTTTTATAGTGGACAACATCTATCTAGTTAGTTCTTCATTCTATATCCATTCTGAAAATCTCTTTCAATTAGATTATTTAGTTCATTATCTTTTAATGCAATATTTGATGTCATTTTACCATTTGCTTTGCTGTGTTTCCTCTGTTTTTTTAAAATTTATCAGGTTTTCCTTTCCTGATTTTTTTTATTTTTTTATTTTTTTATTTTTTATTTTTTATTTTATTATTATTATACTTTAAATTTTATGCAAATCTTTAAAGATTTCATTTTAATGTATGCACTGGATTCCTATGTCTACATATTGGCATTAATTTTTCACTAAAAATAGAAGATTCACTATCTTCTATGGATTAAAGTATACATCCTCAACTTTAAGATTTGTTATTATGCCACATTATGAAAAATATAGAATCCTTGAGATGATGCAGTTCCATTTGCAACCTCTTTCTATCCTTTATACTATAGTTTTTATTTACATACATTAAAAGTTCCAGAACACTATATAAGAATGTGAACTTTAAGCAGCTATATGAATTCTAAAGAAATTTAGAGGATAGGCAGTTTTTTTAAAAAAACAATTATTTACTATTTTGAGTTTCCTCATATACAGAAGATCTGCATATCCATCTTGTCTTATTTTTTTTTTCCTTCATCCTGAAGAAGTTCCTTGGGCATTTCTAAGTAGTGCAAATCTATTTGCAATGATTTCTCTTAATTTTTGTTTAACTCAATATGCCTTTATTTTGTATTCACTCTTGAGGGTTATATTTGCCAGATGTAGAATTCTAGGTTGAAAGTTTATTTACTTTTCAGTGCTTCCCTTTGGCCTTCTCTCCAGTGTTTCTGATGAGAAGTCTGTGGTGATTGAAATAACTGTTCTGTATTTAATATACTCTCTTGCCTCTTTCTAGATTTTCTTTGAAAACATTTTGACTATAATGGACTTAGTATGTTTTTCTTTGCATTTAGCCTGGTTGAGTTTCACTAAGTTGTTTGAATTTGTAATATTATGTCTTCAACTAAAATTTGGATATTTTTGGTCAACAGTTCTTTGATTTTTTGGAAGCCCCATTCTCTTTCTGATCTGGCACTTCAATATATTAGACCTTTCAACATTTTCCCATAGGTCTCTACCACTTTATTAAATTTTTCTGCCATTAAAAAATCAATTTTCCTTCATTAACATAATTTCTATCATTTTAATATCAAGATCAGTGATTTTTTGTTTTGTCTTGTGATCTTCACTTTTCTGGTAAGCTCATCCAATGTAGGTGGATAGATTGCTAGATTAGACATATACATAGATATGGATATACATAAATAGATAGATGTAATACATGAGTGTATAGAAGCTGCACTTAACAGTCCTAAAATTTCCATTTGGTTTTCTTTCACCCATTATATTTGTCTATTGAAATGTTATTTTTTTCCTCATACTTTGTTTTACATCATTAAGTACCATCAAAACAATTACTTTAAAATCCTTTCTGCTAATTCAAATATCTGAGCCATGTCAGGGCTTATCTCTATTCATTTTTTCTTGTTAAATATCATTTTATTCTATTTTCCATGTATTCCAAAATTTTCAGTTGTATCCTGGACATTTTGAAGAATACTGTACAGAAGCTTTTTCATCATCTTGCATTCTTTTGAAGAGAAAAACTTTTTTAAAAAGTAACCCGTTAACTCAAACTATAATCTGAACTCAAACTATAATCTCTGTTTTGTCCTTAAGAAAATGGAAGGTTAACTCCTCTTGAGTTCTTTTTAGATTTAACTGGCCTGATTGGATTCTGTCTTGTATATGTATGTTTCAGGGTTCAGCCAAAGACTTGAGCAGAGTTTATGCAGAGAATGTGGGGCTGATTCTCTACAGCATTTCCTTTTCCAGGATTTCCACCAACCCCTCATTGCCCATTGATTCCCATCATTAGTCATTGCTTCAATCTCTGTCATACAGTTTGTCAAATCAGTAGGACTGTGGGTTTCCCACTGGAGTTTTAGCTACCTCTTGTGGTATAGACAAGGGACTTTTACTGGGTGAAAACTTATAAAAATAAGAAAATTACCCAGATTTTTTCCCTTTTCTTTTAGTGGCAACTCTCCTCAAATTTCTGCCTTCTTTTCATTCTTCAGTGCCTGCATGTGGAAGTTTTTCTGTTTTCTCCAGAATTTATTGTTAGCTGTTGTTGCTACTCAACCATATTGGAGGCAAAAATCTCTGTATCTTCTCAAAGTTTGTATTATTGGTCCTAAACACAGTACAGATACATGCAATATATGTTTAATGAATTGAGGAATATTTAATGAGGAATTAATAAAATAATAAATAAAAATAAATGAATGAATGGAGACTAATTTGTACCCACTGACAACCCAAACATCTTGCAATAGTGTATCTCATTATATTTCACCTTTACTATGCTGTTTTTGTCAGCTCTAACTGCATACCTCTGTTGAGCTAGTCTACAGAGAAGAGGAAATTATATGTCTGATGCAGAAGCTGGAGGAAGAAAAACAGTAACTTAAATGAGGAGCAGGGCAAGTCCTTCCACATCCATGATATTTTCTACAGTTTACAAACCCCTCTTCATCTCACAGGCTAAGTAATTTCCACAAGTCAAGGGAAAGTTTGAATTCAGTTACACAAAATAGTTTACAGTTCACAAAATAGAGCTGGTCAGATTGACCTTTTAAAACCAATAAAAACTGTGCAGTGTATAATCCCATAGTTATAAAATAAATCCCGAAATTTTGTATTTTTTTAAATTTTGGAAGTTTTGCAGACTTCCAAATTCTCAGATATCAGAAAGCCATACTATAGTCTGGGCCTCCAGACAAAGCATCATTGTGCCAGCTAGTCATGTTCCAAGCTACCTGAGTCTTCTTGTAAACAATATTTCAATATCTCGTATGTCATAGGGTCCCTCACTGTCTCTTTGTTGCTGATGCTTCCAGCATAGAGTTTGGGGCCATTGATCCCAAGTGATCTCTTGAATATTTAGAACACATTTTTTACTCCTTGTCCTACTTCAGTCTTCCTCATAGTCACCATGGTAATTGTTCTAAAACAAAAGCTATGTAATATTTTTGCCCCTTCTTGAATGCCTGTGATCATGGTCTGCTAATTAAACAATAAAATCAGAATGAATTACAGGTGTATGCAATGTCCCCCATAGTGCTCCCCCAATGTACCCCTCCAGAGGATCCTACCACATTCCTGAGCTCAAACACACCTTCTTTATACATGCACTTTCTTCGGAGGAATTAAAGTACTTAATGTGTTGCAGTAAGAAATCTTCTACCTAATTCCCTTCCTCACTGTGAAACAGAAATGTAATTATTATTTGTTTGTATGTTTCATGTTGTCACCCAGCCTTGAGTGCAATGGCACAATCTCAGAGCTCACTGCAGCCTCCGCCTCCCAGGTTCAAACAATTCTGTCTCAGCCTGCTGAGTAGCTGGGACTACAAGCGTGCACCACCATGCCCAGCTAATCTTTGTATTTTTAGTAGAGAGTAGAGACAGGGTTTCACCATATTGGTCAGGCTGGTCTCCATCTGCTGACCGCAGGTGATCCCCCTACCTCGGCCTCCCAAAGTGCTGGGATTACAGGCATGAGCCACGGCTCCTGGCCTGTTTATTTGTTTTTAAACGCCTGGGCCTTGCACAGGACCCAGTGTCAGGATTTTTTAAACAGATATTTATATAATTATTAAATAACACTCAGGAAATTATGAGTAAAAGTGGCATAATCATCAAACACTTAATAATTTCTTTTTTCCCCAGAAATATATATTATTTGAAACACATTAACATTTATTTTAGTCAAGCTTTCTGTCTTCTGGGCTGAATGAAGACTATGCCTTAATCTTTACAGGTAGAAGATAAAATCTGACCAAAATAGCCCTTAGAGATATCTGAGGACAATCAGGATATGAGCACTGTTGTTTATTGGTGAGCATGACAATGGAATTTGCCATATAAAAGAATGAATCTTTCGAAAGCACATGCTTTCTAGAAGTGGTAAGATTGAAGATATTCCTTTGTATCTTACTGATGCAAGACAGGGAATAATATAATCCTTGATGCCAGAGCTCTAAGTAATTCTTGCTTCCAGAATCTTTGGCTTGTAAGATTTGGAAGACCATAAGCAAGCAAGCCAGCAAGCAAGCAAAAAAATAAATAAATAAATAAATTAATTAATTAATTAATTAAAGTTGTGAATGCAAAAATAGGTGAATAAAATGAATATTTATTTCAAAAAACTATGAATATTAAAAACCTGAGAAATAGCACATATGTTATAAAATAAAAAAATAATTTTATCTTTGGCAAATTTCTATAGTATGATTTTTCTTCATTTTTGGCAGAATTAAAAAAATTTTATATGGTAGCCATTTTATAATATTATATTTCTGCAGATAAAATAGAGAAATAATTTGTACTTTCCTTTAGCATGTTTGCTCAATAATTGCTTTGCATGGCTTAGAGATATTCTTTCAGATTTACAGAAAGAATATCTTTGGTCATGTCATGTAATTTTCAGGAATGTTGTCAAAATGAGAAAAATTATACCAAGTTTATGTCATATATGTTTTGTCACCGATATTCCCATAACAGCCCTGCTATGGGTCAATGTTCTACCAACACAAGGATTCTGGTACATTTCATTTTGTGGAAATCTTCAAAAAAAGAAAAATAATCGTTCCTGCATTGATAATCCTATACACAGTATTATCAATTATATAACTGACAAGATAGAAATATTGTTCTGAGTACGCATTAATAAGAAAAAATCTTCTACTTATAGTTGTGTTTACTGATGAGAAGAATTTTTCATAGAGTAACTTCTAGCTTTGTACGCTTCAAACTGTATGCCCTTGCTGTAGCCACATATTTTAGATGGCATAGGGCATGTTTATACCAACACAGGCCTCTGGACTGATCTTGGTGTCACAAAGCTGGGCAAATTGACAAAATAGGGAGTGGAAGTACTCTTGGAAGTCTTCCCTATACCAGAACAACTAAACCTAGACGAAGAGGTAGCTGTAAAGTACCTCTCTATTCATTTAGACACAATCTAAATGAAACTGTAATTCAACTTTCCTTTAATGAGATGCTCAAAATGACCAAGGCCACCTCAGTGTTTCAACAGCTATGGAGAAATATAATGGAGGGAAGAATGTGTGTACTGAAAAGTGATTTAGTATCTTTAGTAAATATTATGAAAATTATGGCCACATTGACACTGTGCTGATCTCTTCGGAGGCTTGGGAGAGCCTTGTATATGAATGATTCTGAAGTCTGTTTCTTTCTTTCCATAGTAAATCCACCTCTGCTTGCTTTATGTCTTTTTGTGCCAATGAGTTTCCAGTCTCTTTAGGGAAACCAAGGTGGCACCCAGTATATGCCCATTAAATTAGGTTGAATAAATAATACAGTTAATTAGCTAATGAATTAAGCATTTCATGGTTTTCATGAAATCAAGGTTTAATTATTGTGATCACATTCAGCAAGGTTGATACTGTTCCTCTATGTGCTCTTAAAGAAAGGTTAATAAAAATGTTTTTCCCATTGCTCTTCAAAATAATTTTTAAAAAGTTATTAGAATCACACATAAAAATGTGATTATCTCACCATAAGGCTCTGGATATCAACGTGTTTCCCCATTTTGCTCAGAACAATAAGAAAAGGCGAGAAAGAGAACTGAGTTTTATTTTCTTTGTCTTTATTTATCACTTATCTCACTCATCATTCTGTACTCATGTCCATATATGAGCTCTCTTCCAAATAGGAAAACAGCAAAGAGAAAGAACACTGATGGTGGCAGCAGATGTGATTTAATCTAAACTCTCACCACAGTCCTGCATTTCAGTGGATACCCACAGCACATCTTGTGCAGAGCCTTGCCTGTTAGGTTGGAATCAGCTCTGTGTGTTTTACCCATTTCTTCAACTTAACTCCATGTTGAGCCCATAAGCCTCCCTACATGGATGTTTGATCAAAGCTCTTACTTTCTAGGGAACAGAATGACTCCCACTGGGGTATACTAGCTACAAAAATTGCTGCTAAATTACCACCATTTTCACCAAATCA
This sequence comes from Homo sapiens, assembly GCF_000001405.40. Taxonomy (NCBI): domain Eukaryota; kingdom Metazoa; phylum Chordata; class Mammalia; order Primates; family Hominidae; genus Homo; species Homo sapiens. Next base: position 97,212,367 of record NC_000015.10, read on the forward strand.
CCTTCCAGACACCATCTCTCCAGTCTGCCACCTAGAGAAGATATTAAGCAAGAAAGCAAACTTGCATCAATGCGTCTCATTGGGGGCCAAATCTCCAGGCCTGAGGCGGTGAACTGAATTCATCTTCTGTGGAGTCTGGAGACCTGGAAGGCATTGCTTTGAAGGCAGCCGATATCATAAATCCAGGCTTGTTTAGTGTAAAAATGCTGTCCCCTGTAGGGAATGTGAACGATTCTGTCAAATGTGATCGTATCTATCAAGTGTCTCAAATTATGCTTATAATTTTTTGGTGCTTTTTAAAAGTATAATTACTATCTTAAACATTTTAAAATTTATGATATTCGAGGATGGAAGCTTATTTTGTGGGTTTAACTGTAATCAACCAATTTGACTCTGAAGCCAACCTATAAACTTAAAAACTTAGGAAAACTCTTAATAACCTTCAGAATTTATATGCCCATATTACAGAATATTGAATATCTGAATATAAACTAGGACCCCTTTGCAAAAATTAATTAAAATGAGACCAATTTGGGAGATCAATTTTGTAGCTCACATGTGGAAGTTTTGTTTTAGTAATCAGTAATGTTCAAATATTAATTGATTGCATGTCTTATTTTGTATTAGCAGATTAGTGACTATGGTCTTTGCATGCACCAATGCTATATTATAAAAGCATACCTACTTACATATTATTCTATATATATAAATATATAGCATGTTTAGGACATGAAAGACAAAGATAGAAATGTGACCCTCTGTGGCCATTTTAATAGTAACAGTTCTCTAAGGCTGTAAGATTTTTTTTTTAGACAGTCTTCCTCTGTTGCCCAGGCTGGAGTGCAGTGGCAAGATCTCCACTCACTGCAACCTCCAACCCCCGGGTTCAAGCGATTCTCCTGCCTCAGCCTCCCAAGTAGCCAGGATTACAGGTGCCCGCCACCAGGCCTGCCTAATTTTCCTCTTTTTTTTTTTTGTATTTTTTGTAGAGATGGGGTTTCACCATGTTGGCGAGGCTGGTCTCAAAATCCCGATCTCAGGTGATTTGCCCACCTTGGCCTCCCAAAGTGCTTGGATTACAGGTGTGCGCCACCGTGCCCAGTCTAAGGCTGTAAGTTTCTTAAAAGAGAACATGGAAAATGACAGTTTTAGGCACTAGATAAGATGTGGCTTCCAATGGAACCATGCTACTTCCTCACTAAGGACGTTATTTGAATGGCTCTGAGACCCTCAACTTTAACATGGAATAATACATCCTTCACTAGGCCGTTAGGAAAATTAGATAAGAATGTACACAAAGTGGCATGCACAGCATTTGGCAATAAAGAGTTCTCACCAATTTTGGCTTCTATCTCCATAGCTTTGTGACATTGGTTTCTTAAGAAGGACTGCTTTAATGTATTTTACTCAATCACTATGAATATTACATGTACATTTGTTACTTTCAAATCTTAAAGGAGGAGACCTGGTTTTGCTTCCAACCTGCAGGTATGCAGACACACATATGCAGACTTCAGAACTCCTCCCTGTTCCTAGTGATTCGCTTTCTTATGTTGATTCATTCTTACTTCAGATATCTACTTCAAACATTTAAAATAAATTTGTTTGGGTTTCCTAATTGTATTTGAAACAAAAGAAAAACACAACTCTGATGAGCTTATAGTCAGTAACATAAATAGAATTCAAGGACCATATGTAGTTTAATAAATGGAAAATTCCCCTCTCACATGCCTTAATTAGAAACATTTGTTATATAACAAAAAGACATTCATAGCTTTCCCAATAGGAAAATATTACATGGAGGTGATAAATAACTTATTAGCTATGTTTGCAACTCTCAGTCTTTAAGCTCCTATAAGTTGAAGCCAAGGATATTGATGTCGGGGAAAGAATAGTGGTTAAGAGCCTAAGCTTTAGAGTCCAGATGCCTTGCTCTCTCACTCACAACCTGTTTGACTTTGAGAAAGTTTAGGTAACTTCTCTGTCTCAGTTTCTTCTTCCCTTAAAGAGAATAATAATAGCACTACCATTCAAGGTTGTTTGAAGATTAAATGATACGTTGATGTAAAGAGCTTAGAATAGGGGTTGGCTAAGGGAAAGTTACCAGTTCTCCAAGTTATTACTATACCGCTCCATGTAAAATAAAATTAATCCTATCTCTTCAATACCAGCATTCAGACAAACCAGCAAACAAAATAGGCTCAATCATTCAGAGTCTAAGATTTTACTCTTCATGATCTCGTTGTGTTAGAATAAGTATGTTGGTTTATTCTGTTAGGTTGGTGCAAGTGTAATTGTGATCTTTTCCCTTACTTTCAATGCCAAAAATCACAGTTACTTTTGCATCAACCATAATTCAAGAAAAGAAAGCAGTTGGTAGAACAAAAGATAATTTAAAACTCTTAAAATTTTAGGTGAGAAAATGTAACTCTAATTTACTGAGAAATGTTAAAGGGCAATACTAACTTAGATTATTAAATAAGTGTTTAACTATGATTTAGATTTAATAAAACAATTATGTACATTAACTTATAATTGATCATTATTAAACGTATAATTAGTGAGATCAAATAACCAAGGAAAAAATAAGTCTATCTATATCGTTCACTCTCAATATGTAAGATTCTAGTAATCATTGGAACATAATATAATTATGAAGTTATAAATATAAATTAGATTACTTTGTAAGATGGATTTAAAATCCTTGAGCATTTTATTTAATTACTATAAATTTGATTATGGATAAATAGCTAAACTATAATATGGTATTTGAGAGTTAAGCTTTTCTGACTAAAACCTTGCATGCTAATCTCAAGCTGTTCACTTTTATAATGATTGAGCAGCTGATCACCAAATTTAGAGGCTAAGATAAAAATATAAATAATAGATTATGGCTAAGTTTGAGTTTACATCAAAAAAGGTAAAAAAAAACTTGGAAAGATAAGATTCATTAAGAGATTGAAATACTGTTAGGAAGTTAAACTATTTTTTATTTTTATGAATGCTCCTGGTGTATTGCTCCCTTAGATATGAACAACCTCCTCATTATAATTAAATGGGTGATACTGTGTCACAGTCAGGCCTATAAATAAGCAGCATGATCGATGCTGCAACCCACACCATAGCAAATGCTAAAACAATCTTATATCTCCTGATCATCAGGGAGCTCCAAAAATATATGCACTTTCCTCTTTGGTACTGAAATTCGCATTTCTTAGTGCTCAAAGAGAACTTTTTAAGAAACAATAATTAAGCAGAAAACATCACATCAATTTGAGTCATTTTTATTTCAAACATTGGATGTTTTTCATACATAAGAAGGAATTTAAAGTATGTTTTGAGTGAGTAATCTAATTCATGACTGAAACTAATAATCAGAATAGGAATAATATACTGGGAAAGGTCCCCCACTCCATGTAGTAAATCTGTCAGCTCCTCAAAAGGAGGTGAGTCAGTCCATTTCAGCCTGGAGGAGTGCTCACTCAGCTACACCAACCTTTGCAATGGCCTTCAGCTCCTGGCCACTCCTCAGGTGAGAGAAACTAGAGTGTTGGCATTTATTTCCATGATCCTTTGACTGGAGATGTAATAGTAACTGTTGTATTTGTTGCTGTGAGTCACAAAGCAACCATTTATTTTAAGCCCCCAGAACAGTTATTGGTACATAAAATTAATTATTCATTTAAAAACAGTGACAATTATTTTGATGATTACCCCTTCCTTTAGCCTTCACATATTGAGAAGTGTTTAGTAAAATAACTGATATGGACGAGAAAGCAAAATCTACTTTTCCTACTCCTGATTTGTCAAGTTTAATAAGTTCTGTTACCCTCATCTTTAAGTACACCTTTCAAGGCAGCTGAGACTGGGTATGTTGGAACCACTTGTCTCATCTTTATACCCAGCATTACACATGAGTTGTAGAGTTTCTACTGTTGCCTGAAGCCTATCTTTAGCAGGAGGGGGTGATCACTCTGCACATTATTTTAATAACCAATGTTTGGGAAATACAAAGAACGAGACACTGTGTTTTCACCTTACTATGATATTTTGTTTTAATAGCAAATGTTTATTTTCCTATATACCACTATCATTAAGTTGTATCTGTTTTCTGAAATTTATATAAATAGGTTCATATGGTAAGTATTCTTTTTCATCTGACTTATTTTGCTCAATATTTATCTATTTCTAATGTTGCAGTATATTAATCACTACAATTTCGTAATGTCTTGCTATCTGGTAAAATACTTATTATTCTTTATTACTGTCATGTCTACTTTTGTCTTTCATGTTTTCAACATAAACCTGCAAACACTGACTTTTGTTTTCCTTTTCTATACTGTAACTTAACATTGGGTAGAGCTTCCAGTGTGATGTTTAATAGATGCTCTGATCACAGCCATACTTGTTTTCCCCAGATTCCAGAGGGAAACTTTTAACATTTTATCATGAAGTATATTTGCTACAGGTTTTGTAGATACCATTGATCAGATTTAGAAAGAGCATAGTTGCCTAGATTGCCTTTTTATTTTCTTTAAGAGATAGAATCTTGCTCTGTCACCCAGCTGGAGTGCAGTGGCACGATCATAGGTCACTGTAACCTTTAACTCCTGGGCTCAAGTGATCCTCCTGCCTTGGACTCCCAAAGCATTGGGATTACAGATAGGAGCCAATGCACCTGCCCTAGATTGCCTTTCTATTTCTAAATTGCCCATGGCTTTTATATTAAAAGAATCCTAAATTTTATCAAGAGCTTTTATCAGGGTGACTATACAATATGATTTATTTCTTTTTTTGTCTTGTCTGCATCAATTATATTGGACAGTTTTTAAATGTTAAATCAATCTTGCATTGGATTCCCAGAATAAACTAAAGTTGATCTTCCTTATTTATCTTCTATGTATTGCTGGTTTCAATTTACTAATATTTCATTTTGCCATTGTGAATCCAGTTATATGATAGCTGAGTTGGAATTTTCCCCTTTTGAAATGTCTCTGTCAAGTTTAGAATCAAAGTTAAGGTAGTCTCATTAAATAAGTTAGAGAATATTTACTCATTTTATTCTCTGGAAAATTACTGGCATTCTTTCTTTCCTTGAATGATTTCGTATAAGTGGAATTATTGCATCAAAACAGCACATACTTTAAATTGTGATAAATACTATCAGATCTCCATAGCTATTGTAAAAAGCTACTATCTGAAACTTGTCATTAGAATGCACATTTTCAATTGGATGGTAATACTTGACTAGTCTGTAATTGAACCATGATGTTTTAGTATTTTAACATGCATTTAAAAATTACTAGTCATACTAAAATTCTATTTTAAATCTATTAATCATCTGTGCATTTTATTTCTCATATTGCATACATGTTTCTGTTCATTTTTCTTGTGGGGGAAGCTTATTATTTATCGACTGATTAGTAAAATATATTTCTAAATTAGAATGAATTGTTTTAATGCTATCATTTGTGGTGCAAATTTATTTTCCAGGTTTGTTTCTCTTAAATTTTAGTACTGATTACTTGAATACATAAAATGCAAACAAATTCTCTAAAGAAGAAAAATTGCATTTATCAACTAATCTATATTTCTTTCAGATGTTTTATAAACTGTTTTCATTGTGCATGAGATTCCCATAAATGATTGGCTTATTTCAGGGCCATGTGCTTTAGAGTATGTTAGTGGAAGTTTATTATCATTATTATCCCTTTTCAATATATTGTTGGATCTTTCCATTGTTTATTCATCTGAAAGAATGTTTTGTCAGGGTATCCAAATTCTGCCAGGTTGAGGCGGAAGGGTCTCTTGAGCCCAGGAGTTCAAATACAACCTGGGCAACATAGCAAGAACCCGTCTCTTAAAAAAAAATTAGAATTGTAATGATAAAACTTGTAAATGTCACCTTTTTATTTTTTTGAACAAGTTCTTGTATTTACTATTGAATTTTAATGAGTGAAGTTATTTTCTTTATTCTCTTAATTGAAATCTTCCTGTTCACCTTATGTTTCTTGTGAAGATATTTTCAAAGTTCTTTGAAAAGCTAAATAATTAATTTCAAAGCTAAATAATTAATTCACATAAAATATTTCATAATAATATATTAAATATAATAAACTTATTTTGTGTATAGTTTTGTTTCTACATTTTTCAATTATTTTAGCCTGCTTTTTCTTACATTTGCAAATGTAGGCTTCATATCCTTTTGATTTGTTAGATATTTAGAAAATTTTCTGTATTTAAACATTTGAAAAGTTATAGTTTTTACTTTAGAAAAAAGTTAATAGTTTCTAGGGTTTTATTTTTAATGAGTTCATATAAATTCGCTGTATAAATTGTGCTTTGTGACCATTTGGTTAAGAATGTGAGTTTTGGAATAGACAGATCTAAGTTTGATATCACTATAGAATTTATTAGTTACCAGACCCAGGAAAATAACTGATTTCTCCAGTCTCAGTATGTTTTATTTTCATCTGTAAAATATATAACAGAAGTAACACTCTCAAATGTTATATGCACCGTCTTGGATAACCCATTTAAACACGCATTGAGTAAACTGTTAGGCAGTCTTAACCATTATTGTTATAGGTAGTAAGAACAATAAATATACAAGTCAACCTTATTATATTTCTTTTTTCTTTTTTTTTTTTTTTGAGATGGAGTCTTGCTCTGTCACCCAGGCTGGAGGGCAGTGGCGCGATCTCTGCTCACTGCAAGCTCCACCTGCCGGGTTCACGCCATTCTCCTGCCTCAGCCTCCCGAGTAGCTGGGACTACAGGCACCTGCCACCACGCCCGGCTAATTTTTTTTTGTATTTTTAATAGAGACGGGGTTTCACCGTGTTAGCCAGGATGGTCTCGATCTCCTGTCTTCGTGATCTGCCCGCCTCGACCTCCCAAAGTGCTGGGATTACAAACGTGAGCCACATATTTCTTATATTTTGAATATATCTATGTTTTCTACGGTCTACTTTTGAAATACTGAAAAAAAATTTCCACATCTCCCACAATAAGTGTATTTCTATTCATTTTTCTTGTATTGCTTTTCTTTCCTTTTTTTTTTTTTTCTCACCCTATAGAGTCTCACTCTGTTGCCCTGGCTGGAGTACAGTGGTGACACCTTGGCTCACTGCAACGTCTGCCTCCCGGGTTCAAGCGATTCTCTTGTCTCAGCCTACCGAGTAGTTGGGATTACAGGTGCATGCCACCGTGCCTGGCTAATTTTTATATTTTAGTAGAGACGAGGTTATGCCATATTGGTCAGGCTGGCCTCGAACTCCTGACCTCAGGTGATCCACCCGCATCGGCCTCCCAAAGTGCTGAGATTACAGGCATGAGCCACCGCGCCCGGCCTTTCCTTGTATTTCCGATAATGGATTACTAATATTTTTGCTCTGTGTTATGTCTCATATGAACATCTGCTGCTTTTATATCACCATGATGAACTATACCTTCTATATAAGTAGAAAATGACTTTTTTTCCTGCTTAATGGCTTCTGGTGAAATCATATTTGCAATAATGGCATGGCCTTATTTTTTGTTTGAATTTTCCTACCAAATCTTTGGTCCTTTTTTCCCCATTTTTCTTTTTTTCTTCTATTCTGTGCATGTCCTGTAAATCGCATTTAGTCGTGATTTGGTTTTTTTGTTTGCTTGTTTACTTATTTGTTTTGGATGATTTATCAGAAATTATCTTTGTAGCACTAATATTTAATTTTTACTCTTTGCAATATCATTTTAAGTTCTTTAAATGTTTTATTATTGCACTTTTAGCTTAGCTTTCTAGTCACTGAGAGTCAGTTTATTTTTTGATTGATTTTGTTTGGACAATTTTATTCCACTTTTCTTTGATATCCTTCTTCCCCTGCTCCCCTCTGTGTCAGTATTTTTAAGCTAATCATCTTATTCTAAACTTGTTTATAATTACTTTTGAACTTTACAAAGATATTACTTAATTTTTATTTTTCTAAATATCGAAGTTTAAAATACATTCTCCTAATGAAAATGAGGAATCAAACATATCCTTATTCTCCCCACCAGCATTCTATGTGCTTGTAATTTTTCCTGGAAATATGTTCTTAGTTTTATTTACTGTTGCTCAATCATTTTATTCTTTACAAACATTTTAAGAGCATAATCTTTGATGTTAGAATCTAATACTATAATCAAATTTAACTATCTAGAATTGCTATCAAAATTTGTTATATTTATATAAATTCAGTCCTTTTTATAGTGAATTTTATGTTCAATATTTGTATTTATCTCTTCTTTGACTGGACTATATTCTTCAGGTAATATTGCGAACATTGCACAAGTTGTATATTTTCTTAGCTATTACATACTTGAAATTTACAGTAGAAAAGTGGGCTATTTAGAAATATAGTATATCAAAACCGTTCCTCTTCATAAATGTATAGCATTTTCCAAATGTGTTTCGTCATTCAGTGCTGCAAAAAATGTCTGAGTCTAACCTATTTTGTGGTTATTAGTGGAGCTGTAAATCAGAGAATATTTTTCTTAACCATGTGACTGTAATTTTTCCTTTATAAATAACATGTAATTTTCTTTTCATTGCATTTGGAAAGAGGATATGTCACTTAGATCGTATTTCTCTTTTGAGTGGCAAAGTGGTATCTGAAGACAGTTTTCCTCACTATACCATGTTTTCATTTGCTGCTTCTGTTTCACTTTTCTGAGGGATGCCTAAAATTCTTAGATAGTTTTCCATTGTTCATTTCTTCATTCACATCTATCTCTTTGTGTTTAGTTGTTTTGAAGGTTACCATCTGACAACATGTTTAAAGAAAGGTAGTGACAGGAGAAGTAAGCCACACTTTGGCTCTTGAAAAGCAGATTGTGGGCTGATACCCAGAATCTACAAAGAACTTAAAAAAATTTACAAGAAAAAATCAAACAACCCCATCAAAAAGTAGGCAAAGGATATGAACAGACACGTCTCAAAAGAAGACATTTATGCAGTCAACAGACACATGAAAAAATGCTCACCATCACTGGCCATCAGAGAAATGCAAATCAAAACCACAATGAGATACCATCTCACACCAGTTAGAATGGCGATCATTAAAAAGTCAGGAAACAACAAGTGCTGGAGAGGATGTGGAGAAATAGGAACACTTTTACACTGCTGGTGGAACTGTAAACTAGTTCAACCATTGTGGAAGACAGTGTGGCGATTCCTCAAGGATCTAGAACTAGAAATACCATTTGACCCAGCCATCCCATTACTGGGTATATACCCAAATGATTATAAATCATATGCTATAAAGACACATGCACACATATGTTTATTGCGGCACTATTCACAATAGCAAAGACTTGGAACCAACCCAGATGTCCATCAATGATAGGCTGGATTAAGAAAATGTGGCACATATACACCATGGAATACTATGTGGCCATAAAAAAGGATGAGTTCATGTCCTTTGTAGGGACATGGATGAACCTGGAAACCATCATTCTCAGCAAACTATTGCAAGGACAGAAAACCAAACACCACATGTTCTCACTCATAGGTGGGAACAGAACCATGAAACACTTGGACACAGGGTGGGGAACATCACACATTGGGGCCTGTTGTGGGGTGGGGGGAGGGGGGAGGGATAGCATTAGGAGATATACCTAAAGTAAATGACGAGTTAATGGGTGCAGCACATCAATATGGCACATGTATACATATGTAGCAAACCTGCACATTGTGCACATGTACCCTAGAACTTAAAGTATAATAATTAAAAAGAGAACTTAAAAAAATTGTGATATAATTTATATATAATAAAATTAATATATCTTAAATATACCAATCAATGAGTGTTGACAAATATATATACACTAATGTGGTCATTACAGAAATAAACTTGTAGAACATTTTCATCACTCCTGAAATTCCCTTGTGCTCCTTTACAGACAGTCCCCTTACCTGTTCCAGAAGCAACTAGAGTTCTAATTTCTATAAGTAAAGGCTTGTTTTACCTATTTCTAAATTTCATAACAATTAAATCATACAGTGTGTAAAAAAATAAAAAAGAAAAGCAGATTGTGGCCAGTTTTCTGTTTGGGTGAGAGTAAGTTTCAGGTCCAGTTGTTAAATGTTAGCAGGGACTGAATGACAGTGACTTCTTGTCCACTCTCAGACTGATAGATTTGCTCTTCTTCACTAAGCGAAGTGTTGTTATGCCAGCAGCCTTATATTTTCAATCTATTTCAGCATTCCTAAAGTTAGTTCCAATTCATTCAGATACATCAATACCTGATAGGCTATTCATTGTACTTAGAATGACTCTATGATAAAAATAAACCAATTGCTCGGAAAAGAAGTAAAAATAACTGCTATTTAAACACAGAAAATAAAGAAACTTCCCCTAAATTCTCAGTCTCCAAAATATTTAATAGCCTTCCATGAAAACCTTTCATATTATCTTCCAAATAAATACCTAAAAGGAAATGAGAAGGATTGTTCTTCATCATATTGTAAATACAGGCTTGTGACACACTATCAGAGCATATTCCCAACCTTACAGTTCACTGAACTCTCTCGCTCTCATTGAGCCCAAGGGCATATTTTAGAGTACAAAAAGGTGTGAATAGACAGCATAACCAATACCTTGGTATTATTCTTTAAACACAGCAAACGATATCTTTTGGTATGGTATATACTTTTAAATCCTTTATCTTTTCTTACATTAATTTCCATTATCTCACTTTTATGATATTTTCATAGAATGCTTATGTCTGTTTTTTTTCATTTTTTGCTTTTAAATACCTATTTTTATTTATGTTGTGTTTCATATAAGCAGCACATAAATGGCCTTGTTTCTTAGAGCCTGAAATTCTCTGGATTTTAATTAAAGTGTTTAGACAATTTACTTTTAATGTAATTTTCAATTTATATGAGTTTAAGCCTCCAATCTTGCTATTATCCATCCCATTGGGTCATTGTTGCTTTCCCCCTCTTCTTCTTCTTTTGTATTGAATATTTTAGTTATTTCATTTTATTTATTCTATTGGCTTAATCTACATCATTTTTTAAGTGACTGCTCTAGAAAAACCTCTCTGATTGTAAGGTAGGTTTATTTCTATTGATTTATTTTCAAATTCATTGACTCTTCTATTAGCTCTATTGTGCTGTTAAAATACATCCTTGGAAGATTGTGCTTCAGTTACTGTTCTTCTTAGTTCTATAATTTTCATTTCGTTTCTTTTCCTATTTCTACTCTCCTAATATTTCATATTTTAAAAATTTATTACATGAATATTATGACCTTGGTAACTGTAATTATAACAGCTGCTATACATTCTTATATGCCGAAAAGACTTCTGACCAATGACAAATGAGAAGGTCATTCAACCCTCTCCACAACAAATCAAATATAAAGGTGGACAAAGTTGACAAAAAAAAACCCCACAACTTCAGCACCCTGGAAATCAGCTGATACCATACAACAACCCAAGAAGCATTTATGCTCGACAAATTGCTGAATTGCAAGTAAAAGAAGTAAAAGTGTGAATCTGTGAGTTTCTTACCTGGAGATGTTCCCATCCTAGTTCTTCCGGTGTGAAGGTTCTACCACAGTGAAACAGACAGTGAGGACTGGCAGATCTTCTGACATAGCTAAATGGGTTTTCTCCTTTCCCAACAGTTGTTGAAGCACTCATTCAGCATCACTGACAGTGGCAGGAACAATCTCAGTGGTAGGTAAGCAGGCGGTGAGAGGTGACAGTGTGTTCGCAGCCCTCACTCGCTCTCTGCGCCCACTCTGGCCTCGCTTGAGGAGCCCTTCAGCCCCCAGCTGCACTGTGGGAGCCCCTCTCTGGGCTGGCCGAGGCCGGAGCCGGCTCCCTCTGCTTGCGGAGAGGTGTGGCGGAAGAGGCGCGGGTGGGAACGGGGGCTGTGCCCGGCGCTGGCGGGCCAGCGCGAGTTCCGGGTGGGCACGGGCTGGGCGGGCCCCGCACTTGGAGCCGCTGGCCGGTGACACTGGCCCCAGGCAGTGAGGGGCTTAGCACCCGGACCAGCAGCTGCGGAGGGTGTCCCGGGACCCCCAGCACTACCGGCTCTCCTGCGCCGCGCTTGAATTCTTGCCGGGCCTTAGCCGCCTACCCACGGGACAGCGCTTGGGACCTGCAGCCCGCCATGCCCAAGCCCCCAGACCCCGCATGGGCTTCCGCGTGGCCCCAGCCTCCCCAACGGGCGCCACCCCGTGCTCTGCGGCCCCGGGTCCCATCGACCACCCAAGGGCTGAGGAGTGCGCGTGCACCGCGCTGGAGTGGCAAGCAGCTCCACCCGCGGCCCCGGCGCGGAATCCACTAGGCGAAGCCAGCTGGGCTCCTGAGTCAGGTGAGGACTTGGAAAACTTTTTTTTTTTTTTTTTGAGACTGAGGACTTGGAGAACTTTCATGTCTAGCTGGAAGATTGTATAGGCACCAGTCAGTGCTCTGTGTCTAGCTAATCCAGTGGGGACTTGGAGAACTTTTGTGTCTAGCTAAAGGAGGTAAATGCACCAATCAGCACTCTGTTTAGCTCAGGGATTTTAAACGCACCAATCAGCGGGACCACGAACCCACCCGAAGGAAGAAACTCCAGACGTATCTGAACATCTGAAGGCACAAACTCTGGACACAGCATCTTTAAGAACTGTAGCACTCACCGCGAGGGTCTGCGGTTTCATCCTTGAAGTCAGCCAGACCAAGAACCCACCAATTCCGGACACAGAGGGACAGCGGCTCTACCAGTTTGGGGTTGTGGTTGTGGTAAGCACATCCCTGGTTGATGCATATGCCATGGAGATGAGAGGGTACCCAAACTATCCACATAGTCTTGTCCAACCTTGGAGTGTGTACATGCATAGAGAAGAAGTGAAAGGGCTGAGCAGAGAAGATAAGGTGAGACAGACATCACCGTGGCTGAAGCTTTGAACACGTTCCCCTAGCCACATGTAGATCCCCTGCGGTGGCTGATCACTAAGCGCTATCAACATGGGGAAGCTCCAGGGTAGAACAAGAATGAAAATGAGCAGAGGTATCAGAAACCACATAATATAGGGGAGAGAAATTTCAGATTTAGCCTAGGAAAGTTAAAGAAACAAATACATCAACAAAAGCAGTAACAAACTTCAGTACACATAAGAGAGAGTGATTATAGTAATATCAGAATCAATTATAGTGAGATAGTAAATACTAGACACCAAAATATTGGAGTCAAAAAATATATTTTGCTAATAGTTTAATGTATGAGGAAAACAATTATAACAGAGCCTCAAAATATATGAAATAAATTATGACAAAATCAAATTAAAAATAGTCATTTCAATTTTAATGCTGGGAGACTTCAGCATCCCATTGAAAATAATTGATAGCATACCTATGGATAAAATGAGCAAAAATATAAAACATCTTATCAACAGTTTCAACAAATCTGACCTAACAGGCATATATAAAACTCTCTAGAGAGAGACCATATAGATTATAATATTTTATGCACACAGAATATATTATTCAGGATGTATCATACACTAGGCCACAGAATAAGTCTCAATGATTTTCAAAACATTAAAATTTCACAAAATGTAATATCTGATTATAATGTAATTAAGTTAAAAATCAAAAACAGAAGGAAATCTGGGCTGGGCACTGTGGCTCATGCCTGTAATCCCAGCACTTTGGGAAGCTGAGGCGGGCAGATCGCTTGAGGTCAGGAGTTAGAGACAAGCCTGGGCAACATGGCAAAACCCCGTCTCTACTAAACATACAAAAATTAGCTGGGCACAGTGGTGGCACGCGCACCTGTAGTCCCAGCTACTCGGCGAGGCTGAGGCACGAAAATCGCTTGAACCTGGAAGGCAGAAGCTGCAGTGAGACAAGATCGTGTCAGTGTACTCCCGCCTGGGAGACAGAGACTCTGTCTCTGCCCCCGCACCCCGACGCCCCGCAAAGAAGGAAGTCTGGAACGTATCCAAATACTTGCACATTTAAATAATCTACTTCTAAGTAACTTATGGGTCAAAGAAGAAAGCCTATAGAAAATTAAAAAATATTTTGAACTGAATAAAAATGAAAGTACATTGTATGAAAAATTATGGGACACAGCTAAGTAGAACTTAGATGGGACTTTTCTGTTTCAAATGCTTATATTAGCCAAGAAAAGTCTCAAAGTAATCATCTAAGCTTCCACCTTAAATAATTAGAAAAAAAGTAGAAAACTAAACTTAAGACAAGTAGAGTAAAAAGAATAATAAAAGAAAAGAAAAAAATGAAGAAAATCAATTAACTCAGAAATTGGTTTCTTAAAATTTCAAGAAAATTGATCATCCTTTAGCTAAACTAACAGAAAAAAGAAAGAAGACATAACTTATCAAAACTAGGAATGAAAAAATGGATATCATCATTAACTCTAACAAATGAATATGATTATAAGGGAATATGATGAACATTTCTTCATATTTTATATTTTGATATGTCAGAAAATTAGGAGAGATAAAATGGCACGTGCCTTAAGAGACGCAAATTACCAAAATTGACTTATGAAGAAATAGAACATTTGAATATACTGATAACAAGCATAGAAAGTATGTAATAACAAATATCCCTCTCTCCCAAAAATTTCAGGCTCAGAAGATTTCTTTGGTGAATACAATAAAATATTTAAACCAAACCAATCTTTTACAAGCTCTTTCAGATGATAGAGGTAGAGAAAACCTGTCCCAACTCATTCTAAGGACTCACGATTACTCTGAAACTGAGGCCTGATGAAGACACCACAATAAAATAAAACTGCAGACCAGGAACCCTTATAAACAGAAACACAGGTATCTTTTAAAAAAATTAGTGAGAAATCGAGCAACATATTAAAAAAGCATCATATATCATGACAAGTGAGGTTTACTCTAGGAATCAAAGCTTAGTTTAGCATCCAAAAAAATTAATGTAATGTACCATATTGATAGAATAACAAACAAAAATAGTATCCTTTTAATAGATTAAGGAAGCATATTACAAAGTTTAACACACATTCAACAATTTACCAATTTAACAATCATTCTGCAAATTGGTTATAAAATGGAACTTCTCAATTTAATAAAAATATCTATTAAAAATGCTTCACAGCTGACATCAAGCTTAACGGTTAAAGACTGAACCATTAGTGTTTCTAGCTAAGATGGGGGACATGACAAGTTTGTCCAGTCTCACCACTTTCTGTTCAACATTTTCCTTGATATCTAAGTATATTTCATAGTGGGGGAGAAAAAGCAATGGGTTTGGAAAGGAAAATTTCACGTCATTTTTTGCACCTAACTCGATACTTTGTGTAAAAAATCCTGAGGAATCACCTCAAAAACTACTAAAACAAACATTTTCAGCAAGGGCAGAAGATACAAATTCACTCTCCAGAAATCAATTGCATTTTTGTTTACTAGCAAGGAACAATTCAAAACTAAAATTAAGAAAATAACTCCATTGATAATATCATAGAAAGAAAAAACACCTAGGAATAAGTTTAATAAAATATTGCAAGATTTGTATATTAAGAAAAATAAAACATTGTTGAGAGGGATTAGAAAAAGATTTAAATAAAAGAACATTTATTCAATGTCATAGATTGAAAGGCTTAACATTATTAAGATGGCAATTCTACCTCAAATGACCTACCAATTCTGTGCAATCCTGCAGACCTCTTTGTAGAATTTAACAAGTCAAATTTCAAAATTTGTATGAAAATGAAGAGTGCTTAGGACATCCGTATCAATTTTGAAAAAGATAAAGTTGAAGAATTTACAATGTCTTCGTTAGTTTACTTTTGTCATAAAATAAATGATCACAAATGGAGCCATTTAAACAAAAACCATTTAGTCCATCACAGTTCCGTGTATCAGAAGTGCAGCATGGCAGGGCTGATTTTTATGCTCGATGTATCACAGGAATGAAATAAAAATGTCAGCTAGCTTTGTTCTCAACTGATCTCAAAGCTCATTCCTGTTCTTGGAAAAAATTGCCTTCTTCCTGCTGCAGAACTGAAGCACCTACCACCATGCTGCTATCACTTAGAAGCTGCTGTTTGCTTCTAGAGCCCTCCTGCATTTGTTTTCATAATGCTTCCTCCATCCTTAAGGAAGCAACAGTGTACCACATCTTTCTCACACACAAAATCTCTCCTAGATATTCTCTGCTGCTGTCAGAGAAAGTCTGCTGTCAAAGCACTGGTGTCATTAGATTAGGTCCATGCAGAGAAGCCTTTTTTTTTTTTTTTTTTTTTTTTTTTGACACAGAGTCTCACACTCTGTCTCAAGGCTGGAGTGCAATGGCACGATCTCGGCTTACCGCAGCCTCTGACTCCCTGGTTCAAGTGATTCTCCTGCCTCAGCCTCCCGAGTAGCTGGAATTACAGGCATGCGCCACCAAACCCAAGAGCTCTCTTTTGATTAACTCAAAGCCTACTGATTAGTAACCTTAATCACACATGCAAAGTCACTATTACCAAGTAGTGTCTCATAATCTAGGCATAATATTTTATCATATTCATAGTCCCAGGGATTATGGTGGGAAATCTAGAAGATAATTTTAAGGTGCTGCCTACCAAACTACCTTATAGAAAAGATTACTGTAAAGCCAGATTAATCAAAAGGTGCTGTGATTATGCAAATATAAGCATTTAGATTAATGGAACAGATTTCAAATTCCATAGGTAAATTTGTACATCTGTGGGCAATTGGTATCTTTAACAAAGGTGCCAAGGTATTTCAATCAGGAAAAGAAGAGTCTTTTCAACAAGTGAAGTTAAGACAAGTAGATACTGCATGCACAAAATGAACTTGATCTCTATCTCTCACCATTTGCAAAAGCTAACTCAAAAAGGATAATAAGCCTAAACGTAACGGATAAAAAATATAAGTTCAAGATTAAAGATTTGTGAGAAAATCCTTCCTAACTGTCAATACACAAAGAGTTGATAGATATGACACTGAGGTCTTGATATATAGAAGAACAGTTGGATACATTTCACTTCATCCACATTCAAAAGTTCTGCTTAAAAGGACAGTGTTAAGAGAATAAAAAGAAGTGAAAGCATGAGAATAAATATTTTCAAATCATATATCTGATTTTAAAAAATCGTAGATCTAAAATACATAAATATCACTTACAATTTAATAATAAGAAAGTAAAATCTAATTTAAAACATGGGCAACAACTTCAATAAAATTTCACCAAAGACCAAATAAACCCATGAGAAAATGCTCAACATCATTAGTCATTAGGGAATACAAATTTAAACCATAATGAGACAACACTAAATGTCCACTGGAATCATCATAATGCAAAAGTCAGACAATGACAAGCATCGGTGAGATCATGGAGTAACAGGAACCTTCATACATTGCCCAGGGGTATGTAAAATAGTACAGCTATTTTGAAAACTCTTTGGCAGCTTCTTAAAAAGTTAAACGTAAACTAACCATATAATCTGGAAATTCAACTTCTAGATAGCTGCCCAAAAGAAATCAAAAGATATATATTCATTTCAATGGCATACATGCAAATATTTATGGCAGCATTAACCATAATAGCCAACAACCTGGAAACAATTTAGGAGAAAGACATTCTATAAGAATTTTTTAAAGATAAGGAGAGATGAGAGGGCAGTGTAACTCTCTTCAGGGAACCCGTATTAAGTGTAAACCTTATCCTGCATACTAAGATTAGCGTATTTTAAAACACGGTCAAGATAAATATTTAATTAATTGAAAATCACTTCTTGGGTACTTCTTGGGTACTAAGCTCTGTAGTCAGTACTTAGGACAGGCTTAATAATGTAAACTCATAAATAACTTGGTCTACGATATCTGCATTTCCTTAGAAGTTGAAATGCTGTATCTGTTTATGCATAATAATAATTAGTTAACATTTATTGAGTATAAATTCTTTTTTATATCCTAGGCTCAGTACTTTACATACATTCACTTATTTAATTGTTGTATGCCTAGATAAGCCAATTATTATTTTTATTATAATGTTGCAAAGAAAAAAATAATAACTAAAGAGGCAAGTTAGTTACTTGGTTAAGGTCATTCTGGGGTAAATGATGGGAGAAGGACTCAGATGCTAGCCCTGTGTTAGTCATTAGAATGATAAAATAACAACAACAATAATATAATATTAACAATAATAAGAAAATCTAACTAGTAGATTACTAATATTTTCAGTGTTGATGGGTGGGTTAGTTTCAAAATTGAGTAATTATGTGCAAAGACATCTTTTACCATCATCCAGATAATAAAACACACTAGTGGCATGTATGTGTTACACATATGTGCACATATATATGTACAATTGTTCAAAGGATGTAGCTATATACTTTACATGGGTTCTATGGGTGATCACTTTTCTGAATATGGGCTGCATCCCACAGCTAGTCCTGCCTGCTTTCTGTGGGTGGCCCACAGCCTTTTTTTGGGGAGTCTTTTTGTCCAGCTGATATTTTAAGGCTTCGTCTTTCTGGAGATTAGTGCAGGAGGAGCACACCTCATTTCCTTAAATGGGATGTATGCTTGGCTCTTCATTCCACATATAACTGTGTGGGAGCATGGGGATTCACTGCATCAGCTTGTCAGGTGAAACATTATCTCAACACGGGCGTTCCAAATGTGTGTCTTTGCCTAAGTACTTCAGTTTCTACATTTGAGAAATAATAATCTCCTGTCTTACGTGGCTGTCATGAGTTTTAGCTCATGCAAGCAATTATTAAAAAAAAACGGTCTTGCGAAGGTAAACTTTGAAAAACTATCTGTTCTATGCAGTGGGCTAATCTTGAATTTAGTCCTAGCATCATTCACAGTTATACTGGTAAGTTTTTTGAATACTTTTCTAACTTTAGAATTATTATATCTACATTCTGTGAAGATATTTTCTTAATGTGTTCCTTTCAGAATTAAATGCAAGCATGCGTCCCCCTCCATGACAAAAATATGAATTTTATAATATAATATCCTGTAAAAGCTGACCTCTCAGTTCTCTTTGAGATAATTCTACTAATGTGGAAATCATGTGAAACAAATAACTAAATCATATACAAATATATTTTTCTGAGCCTACTTTTTATGAAGAAATAAAAGAAGAAAGGAAGGAAAGACGAAAGAGAGGAAAGAAGGAAGGAGGCAAGGAAGGAAGAAAGGAAGGAAGGGAGGGAAGGGAGGGAGGGAGGGGAGGGAGGGAGGAAAGAAGGAAAGAAAGGCAGACTGACACATTTAATATAATTTAATAATAATACATTTATAAAGGAAGAAAAAACAGTGTTCAAAAGTGAAACTGAAAGAACCAAATTAAACCTTTCTTTTCCTCTACATAGTTCCCTCCTAGGCTTACTCTAACCAAGAAATTGCCATGGAGGCTTATTTGTAGGGGAATCGGCAGAGAGCATTTGGTCCAGGAGAATTTCAGCTCTTGCTTAATTTCTAGTTAAATCTCTAAGATGGGGGGACGATCGCCCAAGATATTTCACTTAAAACAATGTGAAGAGGTCTCTCGCAAACTGTTTTCTCTCCAGGACTCCCATCTCAGATGAATACTTAAAAAACGATGCCTGGGCTGCACTATTCCCCAATTTTACCTGCTTAAAAAGAAATGTATAACCTGCACACTGACAAAAAGTTCTTCCCTGCGTTCTTGGAATGATAAATTATTCAAGTGGTGTGCTCCGGAAAGAGCCACCAATGAGTTTACTATCTTGTTGCAGTAAAGATATTTTCCTAATCTGGAGACATCTAAAAAGGTTCTTGAAATATGTGTTTATGTATCATTTTGAAAAAAAATACATGTCTGTGTGAGTGTATGCTTTGTATTATAAGCTTCTGGAGGATAGGAATCAAATCTGGTTAATTTGCTTTTAGGGGTACTTTATAAATTTTGGATACTTTTAAGTGAAAATTGTTTTTTAAAATAACTTATCTTGGCACAGAAACATCAGTAAAGTTGCATAGCCATATATTTTTCTCATATCAAGAAAGAGTATACATAACAAAACACAGGTTTCTTCTGCTATAAGTTATCACACCATTGCCCCTTTATCAGTTTGGGGGCTCCCTGCTACTGAACACCTCAAAATCTGGCCAGAAGTCTAGAAATAGCTACTACTATTCTCTTTTTGTAAATAAATTCCCATAGATCGAGTCAAAGGAAAAAGTGTGTTTTTCATATGTGAGTAATTTTCACTGACACACATTTCCCTGCATAGGAAGACAGTACTAATGTAGCAATCTGAAAGTCCTTGTGATGAAAGCGTGTGTCACCATGTGCAAACTGTGAAATGTAATTGAAAGTAAAATGTTTAATTAAAATGGACATTTCTGAGCCTGCTTCTGGCAGCAGCCATCTTGCTGAAAAATTATATTTGTTACACCGTCAACCTGGGAGAACAGTTCAAGAGATTGTGAGTGCCAGGTTTCATCCAAAAGTAAATGGGGTGAAAATCGGAAAGAGAGCTTAAATGCTGATCCTTTTGTAACTGTGCATGTCTCCAACACATGTGCCCTGGTACAGACCAGTCAGAACAAGGGGACCTGCCACGTGTAGCTGTTCCTAAGTCAATATTAATTATAGCAAAGCATCCTTTTCTGTCCAAATAATTGTCCCTTTCACTCACGTCAGCAAGTTTCCTTAACAATTGGGCTTTCACGTACCGTGCAGTCATTGTACAGCTTGAAATGTGAGGATACTCATCATTTCCAAAATTATTTCTCCATTGAGACCACTGGGATCTTCTTCCACCACTCCCCAATAAGAGCCACTGATCCTAGATAATTCACATACTTGAGTGGAGATGAGCTTCACTGATGTCTTCAGTGCAAATGTGAAAACTGAATTGGAAAACAAAATTCTGTCTGGCATCCAAAGGGCAGCTTCTTCTGCCTTGGGTTTCCGGTATCAAAGAGCCCCTGGCCTGAATGGGCAGGTTGGATCATCCAGGAAGTGTCACAGTTTCCAGAAATTTCCTTCTTGGAGAAAATTGTCTTTGACATTTTATAAAGGGCAAGTGAAATAAACTTTCTCTTCCATCTCTCACTTAATCCTCTAAAATCTCAGTAGCCAGTAGTGGATCCCGTGATAGAACAGAATATGTGTACTGCTTCATAAAGGCAGAAGTCCCAACTTTTATCCATTTTTCAATGTTATTAGGCTTACTTGCGCTTTTTATATGTCTACCTGCTCCTGAGTCCAGCGACCATCTCCAAAAATGAAGAAATGAAACAAACCAACAAATAGATAAATAAAAGATCTGTAAATGTAAAACCCGTTAAAAATGTAAATAGCCAAGTATTGTGGAATAAATTTAGAAGATTTGATCACTGTTCTGTAAATCATGATTTGGGCATGAAAAAAACTCTCATGGTCTAGATCCAGCAGCCATGACATTTGATCATTTTTCCCTACCTGACCTTGTTTAGTGAGCTCTTTCTCAATAATATGTTCTTTATTGCCGAACGAATGCTCTTTGAATTTACTTTCTTTATGATGTGATTAAAAATCTTCATGACATCCCTAATGATTCATCTCTTTTGGAGCTGGGCAGAAGGGTAACAATTTCTATAATGCACACATTTCATTTAAGGTGAAACCAGAAGGAGATTTATCAATCAGAACAGCGTTTTCAATGTCGTGAGAGGTGAAGCCAGCTGGACTTCTGGGTGGAGGGACTTGGAAAACTTTTCTGTCTTACAAGAGGATTGTAAAATGCACCAATCAGCACTCTGTAGCTGGGATTGTAAAACGCACCAATCAGTGCTCTGTAGCTAGCTAGAGGTTTGTAAAATGCACCAATCAGGACACTGTAAAATGGACCAATCAGCACACTGTAAAATGGACCAATCAGCAGGACATGGGCAGGAAAAATAAGGGAATAAGAGCTGCTTACCCCAGCCAGCAACGGCAAACAGCGCAGGTCCGCTTCCCGTCTGTGGAAGCTTTGTTCTTTCGCTCTTGACAATAAATCTTAATGCTGCTCTCTCTTTGGGTCCATGCCATCTTTAAGAGCTGTGACACTTACAGCCAAGGTCCGGGGCTCCATTCTTGAAGTCAGCGAGACCACGAATCCACCGGAAGGAGCAAACTCTGGACATGGTAGGGTGAACTGCAACCATTGTAAACGAATCTTCGGCACATTTTCTGCCTGAAACATCCAATAACCCTTTAAATAGGAGGTTGCTTTTAATTTGTACATGATCTAGACCACGATATTTTTCCTCTGACAACAAATGTAAAATTTAGCCTAAGCCATAATATGGAAATTTTTAGTGAATATGGAAAGATATTAGCTAGATTATTTTACGTATGTTAAGTAAAATAGACTACTTAATTTGAACTTAGATTAGTGGTTGTTTCCTGGGTTTTGCCATTTATCATTAAAATTTTTAAAGAGATTTCAGGGATGCTAAGATGAGAAATCCTCTTCTTTTTTGGGGGGGGGGGGGTTGGAATTCACTTTAGTGAGCCACCTGCTTCATACTATTAACAATATTGCCCACACCTTTGACAAGCTTTCAGTCCTAGATTTCAATGGCCTCAGCAAGGTGTTCATGATTGGAAAATCCTGAGTCCCATGGGGTAAATATCTCTCCCAAAATGTTCTAGCTCCACAGTCTTGTGAAAACAGAAAACTACATGAGCAGATTACAAACCTATTCAGGAGAAGCCAACAACAGGGGAAGAAAGCCTTCTGCAAAAATACTTTTGAACTTCAGAAGAGGAGGCACATGCTCCGTCCACGAAGCTACAACAAATAGAAGTTTTTTTTTCTTTACAGACATATGTAGAACATTTGTTTCCATTTTATTTCTGCTGTCATAATATGATGGTTTTATTCAGTTTTTAAACATGCTTCAGCTGGAAACACTACATCTTTAAATCAGGCAACCCTGGCTTCAGTGTGAATTCCCTTGCCGCACTCCCTCACCTTACCCAGGTGCATGTTAAATCAGTATTAATGACAATATCATTCTTGTGCAGTCATCTCCTGCCTGCAATTTGGTTTTAATTACCCGCCGCGTTGTCTTTCCCCCTCACTGACAGCCATTAAATAGGGAATGACACCGGAGCCATAGTTGTGTGGAATATTCACTTCGCCAGATTTCATCCCCTTCATAAAGCAGGCTGCAGTGCCTCCTAGTGGCAGAGATCAGAAAGGGAACGGTGGACTTTCTGGGCACTCTGTAGGTGAATTTGGAGATCTGGGCAGATTTGTAACTGCAATGACTATATTTAAAGAAAAAAATAAAGTTTAAAGAGCACATATTAATTAAAGGACAATAAGTGCGATTTGGTTAAGTTGTTTTAGAAATTGATATATAGCAATAAATCGATGCACTATTTAAGCCTTGTCTGACCATCTATAAAAGTGAAAATGAGGATTCAGAAACAACAAACTTGTGGAATAAAACGTAACTGACAAAGTTCTCAAGGCCAGTTGTTCAACAGAGGTGAGCTGCAAGTGCCCAGTGAGTTAGAACTTCAACCGTTTCTATTTCCTCTTTCGCCACAGCACGGATCTTCTTGTTTTCGTTTTTGTTTTTCTTTCTTATTTTCTCTTTTATTCCATTGTACAAAATAATTTTATATATGATCTTAAAACATTCTTCTAAACTACAAATGCATAAATGTCTGTGAACAGTATCTTTTGTGTACAATTAGGTCCTTAAGTGTTTTTTTTTTAAACAAAGTTTTTCCTTAAAGAGGAGTTTAAAATTAAAATTATTTGTCTAAATGTTCAATTTAGACACTGTGCAGATGCTCTGGATTGAAGGTATTCATAAAATGGCTATCACGTTTTGAATCTTTGAAAATTTTGGTTAAATCTGCAGGCATGTGCTTTTGCAGGAAGGACGCTGGACTCTTGCACTATAAGTTGAAAACATCGCTTATAAACAATACATCACAGCACACTTGCAGAGAGAGCACTGGTAAGATATCACATTTGGTTTTTACTTTCTGATTTTTCTCTCTACCAACTTTTTGGTTTAAAGGTTGCAGATCTATGAGATGCTCTTTCACAGTTGCTAAGGCTGTTTCGTAGCCTCTTTCAACAAGCATAATTACTCATTTTACGTGCTGCTAAATGAGAGTCATAGCTAACTGCTTTAATTAGAATTTTAAGTATACATAGTATATGCAATAACTTGTACATACATTTATTGTGTGCATTTGTGTTTGTATGTGCATGTTTGTAAAAATCCAAACATAAAATAGAGAAACCAATAATTATAGTGCATCTCAGTCATTCCCCATTCACCAAACGAGCAGGGCAATGATAAACATAAATTCATTCGCGGTTATTGCTGCATATTTTAATAATAACTTTATATTTTTATATGAGACTCTGAATATTTTCTTGGTAAAAAGGGAAGTGCCTTATAGTAAACTAAAATAATTTTAAGCAAATTATATTGGTTAGAACTTGATCTTGAATTAAAAAAGCAAAGACTTTGGAATAAGAACTTTTTTGCTAAATGAGAATCTTCAGATTGCCTTATAAACTGATTTTTAGTACCTTTGATAGCATCACTAAAAGAGTAAAAGTATTACTCCCTTTAAAATTTAAGAAATTAACATTTTAGAGGGAAAATGTGCTCATGTGATTCATGCTTTTCTTTCAAAGAGAACAATATTTGGTCTTTTGAATGTTGCCTGAATTGATTTGATTTATTGTTTTAAGGAATATTTTACATCATTAAATAACAGCTAGGAAAATGGTTATTCCTTCCAGATTGAAATGGGAAGCTCACAAATGCAACGATGACGGCTTAATCTCTGATACTGCTTACATATATTGGTTTACAGCTATATTGAGTCCAGTTAGACTGATTTTTTCACTCCTAATATGAAACTTGATGCTGGGAAATCTGATAAGTGAGTTTCATTTCCCTGGAAATTTATTGCTTCTGCATCCAAGTGCAAAGAAATAGCACAAGTAAAAACAATGAGGAGTCTGTGCGCAAGGCATTAATGAGGACCACTGTTTTCTCACAGAGATTCTGCATTGGGAAAAAAGAGGTTTCAAGCCATTAACATTACAAAACACGCTATTCCTTTTAGAATCGATATCGTTTTCTTTGTCAGAATGGTGTAATATCAAATCAGCGTATTGTTCAGGCCTGTTAGATCAAGAAAGAGAAACATTATAAATGACGAGAGGGTGTTCATGTGCCATTCTCATGGCGCTTGGTTAGAGAAACGACCGAGTGGCCTGTGTAGTGGGGCAGCGCTAACCCTCAAAGCCCTTTGCTGGCTATAACCCCACCTCCTCTCGACCCTCTCACCTGCAGCTTCTGTCCCAGAGCCCTCACCCTTTTCATCCCTGCAACATGCTTTGCACATTCCCATCGCCACTGCGTTGTCTATGCCTATTGCTTGGTGTGTTACAGATGGGATAACAGAAGCTGAGGAACTTTACAGAGAGCAAACAGTATCATTCCATTAATTAAACCAATGACTAAAATCGTTCAGTAACTATAAAAGGCTAGGCATCATGGGAGCGACATGACAACAATATTAATGATATTTATTGAGTGTCCTCTGTATGCCAGATCCTTCACATAAAGTATCTTACTTCCCAGCACTTTGGGAGGCCGAGGCGGGCGGATCACCTGAGGTCAGGAGCTAGAGACGAGCCTGGCCAACATGGTGAAAACTCCATTTATACTAAAAATACAAAAAAATTAGCTGGTTGTGGTGGTGGGTGCCTGTAATCACAGCTATTTGGGAGGCGGAGGCAGGGGAGTTGTTTGAACCTGGGAGGCAGAGATTGCAGTGAGCTAAGATCACGCCATTGCATTCCAGCCTGGGCAACAAGAACGAAACTCTGTCTCATTAAAAAAAAAAAGTATCTTACTTTATACTGATAGCAAATCCATAAGGAATGTTCAGACTGTGATGTTGAGGCCCTGAGGGGAAAGACTTGCCCAAAGCAAGGCCACCAGTGAGAAGAGGTTGGGCTGTGAGACCTCATCCGACAGCCTGACTACAAAGTTGATCCATTTTTTAAAGAACTGAACAGTGATTGATGATTTCAAGAACTTAGACTGGCAATTTGCATATGTAAAAATGAGAACTGATGTGATACCAGGTGTAAACGGCAGGACATATAAGATAGTAAGGGCTGAAGCCATCTCGGTCAGGGAGAAAGTCATCGTCTGCTAGACATGACAGGAGAGGCTCAAATGGCACAGTGTGGGTGTGTCAAAATGTGGGAGAAAAGGATTCCTAGGGGAAGGAGGACCAGGGATGTGGTCAACTTGAGAAAACTCATGCACACGCATACACACAGACACGCACAGGCACACACTCAGGAAATAGGGGTGGGGGCATACGTTATTTGGAAAGAGAAAATAAATTAGTCTCATTGAATAATTTTTTCTTTTACGACAGTGTCTCTCCAGTTGGTTGTGCCTCAAATGGCAAAAGTTGCTTTGGGGTTGGGTTGGTTGTTCACTTCATTTGGTTGGATAAGTTCGAATTAACTGAAATCAGGCCAGTTTCTTTAATGCAGGACTTCTCAGAGCCTTTATTATGTTAAGTACAGTATGAATACTTAGAGAAGCTTAGAATATGTTTCTCGATCTAATTGGACCTCAATTTTAATTTTGTTATAGAACTCTGTGAGAAAAAGCTTATAGACACGTTGTAACAAACACTGTGGCCAAGAGGATAGGTGATTAGAGCTAATGGACGGGAGCCCTTAAAGGCTAGGTAAGATAGACTTGATCCTGTAGGCAAGGAAAAGCCACCGAAGCTCTTTGCAAGGGGAGATGATTTTTTACTATTATTTTAATGATAGTTCCAATTTCCAAGGTTGAGACAGCAAGAGTAGCATATTCTCAAACCCTGTGGGGCCAAACTTGTCAAAACAAACACTATACACTCCCTTCTTGGTTTACATAGTCAGCAAGCATGCGCTTTGCAATGATGTTATACTGGAATTAGTCCAAACACTGTGGTTGGAAGTAACCTGCACTCTACAGGTTCTATGGAGTACTGGGCTGATATTTTAATCTTGCTGAGTATTAAAGAGAACAAAGAAAAGAAGCTGGTGTAGATCACTAAGCAAAATCTCTCAAAGGTTTTTGAGCACATATGGCACCTCACGAGAGGAAAACAGGAGTTGTGAGCCCAAGTAAAAACTAAGGCTGCCTTGGGGAGCTCAGACATGTGTTGCTCTTAATTAATATTTGCAGCTGTGGATTCTGAAGGTTCCAGACTTTTCCCCAGAAAATAATTTTTCTAAATATTGCACTTGTCCATGTAGATTTTTAAGAGCTTCCAAGAGTATAGAAGTGCAGCAATGGTTGTTATTCTAATGATGTTATCAGATACTGAGCTGTAGTGAAACCTGTAGATGCTCAAGGAATGATAAAAGGTGGATGTGTATAGAGTAGTCACATGTGTCAGGGACTGTTCCAAGCACCTTCAACCTATCTGCACATGTCATTCTCATAACAATCTCAGAACAAGTGCTATCAATTATGCTTGTTTTCCTAATAAGAAAACTGAGTCATAGGTTAAATACTAATAGTATGCCAAGATCTTACAACTAGGTAAGTTAGAGTAAGATGGAGTTAATTAGAGTTAGGCTTAGTTGGGGCTGGATAGGGTTAGTAAGTGTCAAACTCAAGCAGTCTGACCCAGATCCGTTGCCCTTAACTACTCTCAGCCACATGCTGGTTAAGGATGTGGTTTACGAAGACTTCCCTGTCCCTTCTGTTTTGATAATATAACATTAATAATAGCTAACAGATTTAATCATGCACCAGGAACTGTATTAAACATTTAACTGTTTATCTTATGTAATTCTTATAACTGTTGTATAAAACATGCCAACTTATTAACCCCGTGATATATATGAGAAAACTGAGATACAGAAGATTGAAGTCCGTACTGAAACTCACACAGCTAGTAAGAGTTAATTCTGGAATATGAATCTAGATCTGACTCCAAAAACAGTTGTCACAACTACTTATTCTGTGTAATCATAGCCTTTGGAAATTTGTTAAATAAATTACAGATGAAAATCCCAGATCAGATCTTGTATTTCATGCTTTTCATTTTCTTCCTTTGCCAAGGAAGACTGTGGAAAAATATTGTTCCTGAATCCCTGTGCTTTTGAGAGCTAAATAGGTGTACCTATGATTCATCTACAACATTCATTATGACCTTTAAAAATAGCTCCTTTCATTCACTTCTTTTAAAAAAATGTTCTAAATAAACAAAAATTATACATGGATGAATTTTTTTTCCTCAAACACTAATAAAGCTCAATTGCCCTATTTATATAGCATTTTTCCCTGTATTGATCAAGACAATTGAAAGAAAATACATATGCAAGAATGGCAGGTTATATATAATAATATACCAGTTGAATACTCCAAAAACTGAGAGTTAGAAATACCACAATCAAAATGGAAGATTTGTACACTCAAATGATTTCTTACATTGTCATTTTTCTTTGAAGAAATAAGTTAAATATTTCTTTATGAACTATTTGCCACAAAAGGAATTGCTAATAAGTAAATGCTATACGTAATCTATCTCTTGAATTAAAATTTTAAACCATTTACAGTGAGTTTTCTCATTTTCTTTATGTTCTTGACAACCTTTTCTCCAAATCATTGAAAATGTTGGTATGGGGCTTTCAGATTCTGATTTTCCTGTCTGTAATAAGTGTATTACCATAT
This sequence comes from Homo sapiens, assembly GCF_000001405.40. Lineage (NCBI taxonomy): Eukaryota > Metazoa > Chordata > Mammalia > Primates > Hominidae > Homo > Homo sapiens. The sequence continues at coordinate 97,241,087 of NC_000015.10, forward strand.
GTCAATATTTCCCTATAATGCACTATCATTAAGCAAAATATTAATATTTTTATCATCAACCAACTTTTCATTTTCAAGTATGTTTGGAAAGCTTTGAATACCAGTTGATTTTTCTTTTTATTTTTAAATTTCTTTTAAATTTATCTTCTAAAGGTTTATAAATATTTTAATTTAAAAAATTGACAGATAACATTGTATTTTTTGTTGTGAGCCACATGATGTTTTGAAGTATTTATACATTATGGAATGGTTAAATCTATCCAAGTAACAAATACATACATCTTCCCATCCTCCCGTGTGCTCTAAATCCCCAGTCTCTGATAACTATAATTACACTCTGTTTCTATGAGATCAACTATTTTCGAGTCCACATATGAGAAAGATCATGCAGTATTTGTTTTTCTGTGCCTGGCATATTATACTTAGCATAATGTCCTTCAAGTTCATCCATGTTGTTGCCAATGGCAGAATTTCATTATTTTTTGTTGTTGTTGAATTGTATTCCTTTGTGTGTATGTACCACATTTTCTTTATCCATTTATTCATCAATGGGCACTTGTGTTGTCTCTATATCTTGGCTATTGTGAATAGTACTGCAATAAACACGGGAAGGTGGATATCTCTTTAATGTACAGATTTCATTTCCTTTGGATATATACTCAATAATGGGGTAGTTGGATCATATGGTAGTTCTATTTTGAATTTTTTGAGGAACCTCCATACTGTATTTCATAGCAACCGTATCATTTTACATTACAATCAACAGTGCATTTTACATTACAATAAACAATTCTAAGTTCTCCACATCCTCAGCAATACTTGTGTTGTTTTCCATTTTGTTTTGTTTTCATAATGGTCATGCTAACAGGTATAAGGTAAAATTTTCTTGTGGTTTTGATTTTTATTTCCCTAAGGACTAGTGATATTGAACATCTTTTTATATTCTCATTGGCCATTTGTGTATCTACTTTGGAAACTGTCTATTAAGTCTAGTGCTAATTTTTAAATTTGACTAATTGGTGTTTTTTGATGTTGAGTTATAGGAGTTTTTGCGTACTTGTGAGATTTATCCGTTATCAGATATGTGGTTTGCAAATTTTCTCTCATTCTGTCGGTTGCCTTTTAACTCTGTTGATTGTTTTGCTTGCTGCACAGAAGTTTTCAAGTTTGGTGCTATCATTTATCTATTTGTGCCTTCTTGCTAGTGCTTTTGATGTGGTAACCAAGAAATCATTGCAAAATCCAATGTTACAAAACTTTTTTTTCAACTTTGTTTTTCCCTAGGAGTTTTATGGTTTCAGGTTTTGAGGCCTTTAATCCATTTTGAGATAAATGTTGAATATGGTGTAAGGTAGGGTTCAAATTCATTCTTCTGCAAGTGAGTTCTACTGCTTGAGAAGTATCACTTTAGTTCACACTAAATATTCCCCGAGTAAATATCTACTTTAATAGTACTATAGTTGTATTTAAAATAACATTAATTAATAAACACATTAAGAAACTAGACATGAACAAAAATATCTAGAGTTGACTTATCCTTTATAAACTCCATTTTCTTCTTGAAAACAGGCACAATACAATAAGCAATTGCATTTTCAATAACAAACTCAAGCATTACGAATATACGTTAACTTTCCTACAGCTATTTGTTGAAGAGACTATTCTTCTCCATTACAAAGCCTTAGCAGTTTGTCAAAGATCATTTCATTATAAATGTTAACAGTTTTTGTAAAGCATTTTTTTCTGTTTTGTTTCATAGACCTATTGGTCTATCTTTATGCCATTACCATACTATATTGATTATAGTAGCTACGTAATATGTTTTGAAATTAGGAAATACGAGGGCTCCAGGTTTTTAAAATTTTTCTCAAGATTGTTTTGGCTATTTGGAGTCATTTTTTTTATTTCTGCAAAAATGTCATTGGGATTTTCACAGAGATTGCATTGAATCTGTAGATGACTTTGGGTACTATGTGCATTTTAAGAATATGAAGTCTTCCAATCCGTGAAAACAGGATGTCTTTCTATTTACTTATATTGTCTTTACTTTCTTTAGGCAATATTTTGTAGTTTTAGTGTACAGGTGCTTCACCTTCTAGGTTATAGTTTTTCCTAAGTATTTTTTCTTTTTGATACTATTATAAATGAATATTATTTTCTTTTCAGATTATTCATTGTTAATGTATGGAAATGTAATTGATTTTTGAATGGTGACTTGTATCCTCAACTTTGCTTAATACAGTGATGCCATTTGGTCCTGTGCTTTTCTTTGCGGGGGAATTTTTATTATTATTACTGATAAATTACTCGTTCGATCTCATTAGTTATAGATTTTTTATTTTTATCTCTTCATGATTCAGTCTTGGTTGGTTGTATGTTTCTATAAATGTATCCATTTATTCTATGTTATTTAATTTGTTGGCCTACTATTGTTCATATAGTTGTCTCTTATGATCCCTTTTCTTTCTTTTGCATTGGTTGTAATGTTTCCTCTTTTATTTCTAACTTTTGCTAACTGGGTCTCTACTTGTAGTCCAGCTAAAAATCTGCCAGTTTTGTTAAACTTTTCAAAGAACACACTTCATTTTATGGATTTTTAAATTGTTTTTCTATTCTTTGTTGAGTTTATTTCTGCTCTATTCTTCATTATTTCCTTCCTCTGCAAACTTCGGGTTTAGTGTTCTATATATGTCTGTTGGTCTAATTTGTTCATAGTGTTGTTCAAGTCGTCTATTTTCTTGTTGATCTCTCTGGTTGGCCTATCTCTTATTGAAAACAGGGTATTAAAATTTCCTACAATTATTATGTTGCTGTCTATATATCTCTCTATTTCTGTCAATGTTTGCTTCATATATATAAGTGCTCTGCTATTAGGTGCATATATAGTTACAATTGTTATATCTTCCTGGTGAATTAAACCTTTATAACAATATATTGTACTTCTTTGTCTCTTGTGATAGTTTTTGACTTAAGGCCTATTCTGTCTGATATAAGTATTGCCAACCCTCCTCTCTTTTGATTAAAATTTGCATGGAAAAATCTTCCATCTTCTTGTTTTCAACCTATGCATGTCTTTTTTATTTAAAGTCAGTCTTTTATAAACAACATATAGTTGGATCTTGATTTTTTAAAAATTTATTTAGCTACACTGTGTCTTTTGATTGATGAGTTTAACCCATTTATACTTAATTACTGAATTATTATTTCCATTTTGTTAATTGTCTTCTGTATGTATGGTATTAGTTTGGTCCCTCTTGTTCTCTCTTGCTGTCTTCCCTTGGGTTCATTGATCCTTTGTAGTGTCATGCTTTTATTTCTTTCTTAATTGATTTTGTTCATCTTCTATAAGTATCTTCTTTGTAGTTATCATGGGGATCCCATACAACATCGAGAATTGTAGCAATCTATTTTAAAATGAGAACCGCTTAGCTACAATTATATACAAAACTACTCTTTCAGATCTCCTTACCACATACTTGTTACTGATGTTACAAATTACATTTTAAAAAATATTTTGTATTCATTAACATTGTTTTACAGTTGTAGTTATGCTTATATTGCTTACATTTTTTACTTGAATTAAAAGTGCTGTATGCAACACCATTACAATATTATAGAATTCTGTATTTATCTCTATATTTGGCTTTACCAGAGAGCTTTATGTTTTTCTGTGCTTTTATGTTGCTACATAGTGTCCTTTTTGTTCAACGCCAAGGACTGTCTTTGGTAGTTTTTATGTAGGTCTGGTAGTGATGAACTCCCTCCACTTTTGTTCATCTGGGAAGTTATTTCTTTTTGGTTTATGAAAGATAGTTTTGACAGATACAGTTTTTATGTTTGGCTGCAATTTTTATTTATTTTTGCCTTTTGAATGTATCGTCCCACTCACTTCGGCCTCTAAAGTCTCTGCTAAAAAACCCACTGATAATCTTATGGCAGCTCCTTTCATGTGATGAGTTGCTTTTCTCTTACTAGTTTCAAGTCTCTCCTTTCACTTTTGTCAGTCTGAATATAATGTGTCTTGATTTGTACCTATTTGGGTTTTTCTTAGTTAAAGTTATTTGAGCTTCTTGAATTTAATGTGGTCTGTTTTCTTCCTCACATTTCAGATAATTTTGGCCATTATTTCTTCAAATAAACTCTCTGCTCTAATCTTTCTCTCTTCTCTTTCAGACTCTCACATAATGTGTATATTGGTCTGCTCGTGGGTGCTGGTACATCAATTAGACTTTCTTTACTTTTCTTCATTCTTTTTTCTTTTTATTATTATGACTTGATAATTTCAAATGACCTGTGTTAGAGTTTACTGACTTTTTTTTTTTTTTGCTTTGTGAGATCTGCTGTTGATCTGCTGTAGTGAATTTTTCAATTCACCTATTTTATTTTCCAGCTCTAAAATTACTTCGCTTTTTCTCATGTAGTTTCTATCTCTGTACATATTCTCATTTTGCTCATTTGTGGTTTTTCTGATTTCATTTAGTTGTCTATCTGGCATTCTCTTGCAGCACACTGAGCTTCTGTAAAGCAATGATTTTGAATTCTTTTTTAGATAGTTTGTAAATATCAATTTCTTTAGAGTCAGTTTCTAGAGATTTAGTTTGTTCCGTTAATTGGGTCATGTTCTCCTGTTTCTTCATGTGTCTTCTTATTTTTTGTTGTAATTTTTTTATTTGAAAAAACAACTAACACTTCGAGTTTTTACAGACTGATTTCATACAGGGGAATACCTTCATCAGTCAGCATGACTAGAGATTCAGAGGGCCTCTCAAACATGTTATGGAAATGCATTTTCTCTGAGCTTGTGCATGTAATTTCCAGATTAGAGAGATTTGCTGGTTTCTTTTTTAGGAGTTTGTGGGCTCTTGCTCTCTCTTGTGTCTGTCTGTGGTACTGCAGGTTCTCCAGAACTATATGCCAAGCTCTCTTTTGTTCTTTGCAGTCCCCAGGCATTCAAACTATGACAGCTCCTCATCAGTGCCCTAAGTCACATGAGACAAAAATCAGTCCCTTAGGTAGCCTCTTAAAAAGCTAAAAAATTGGACATATATTCGATTCTTCTCTTTCCATCTCATTGTAAAAGTCATTAGCAGGATACTTTTTCCCAATTGTGGTGAGCTGTTTTGGCCTTTGTCTACAGTGTGACAAGTACTGGCACTTCTGGCACTGCAAGAAGCCACTGAACTCTCTTTTGTACTAAGTGGCTACCAGTTATCCAAAGTATTTTGGTTCTATATCAGTACTCTGAGTCAGGTGAAAAAAATACCAGTCTCTTGGACAACCTTCCAAAAATCACACACACACACACACACACACACACACACACACACACACACGTTTTCTATTCCTGTATTTTTTTCTTTAAGCTAAATTAGAAGATGATTAGTTGCTTCAGGTTACAATTTATATAGGAATATTTTAAATATTTTTAGAGAAATATATTCACTTCATTAATGGATTTGGAAATAGATTCCTGAAATAGAAACTTGAAAAAATACTACACATTTACTTATTTAAAAAATCCATTTTATATTCTGCTTTGTTTTGAGAATGTAGTTTGAGTACAAACCAGATTATTTCTGTAAATATGGAGAAAATGTTCATCTTAGTGTATCAAATATAGTGAAAGAAACCAGAATTCCACTGCTTCAGAAGTATCACTTAAGTTCACATTAAATATTTTTCTGAGGAAATATCCAGTTTAATAATGCTATAGTTATATTTAAAATAACATCTTAATAAACATGATAAGGAACTAGAAGTGAACAAAAATATCCAGAGGTCACTTATTCTTTGCAACCTCGATTTTCTTTTTTTCTTTGTGTGTGTGTGAGAGACCAGAATTGTTTAAATACTCAAATCAATCTCCCCAAGCATTAGGGGAGCAGAGTTTTTAAGGATTACGTGGTGGATTGGGGGAAGCCGGTGAGCCGGGAGTGCTGATTGTTCAGGGATGAAATCTTAGGGAGTCAAAGCTGTCTTCTTGCGCTGAGTCAGTTCCTGGGTGGGAGCCACAAGATCAGATGAGCCAGTTTATTGATCTGGGAGGTGCCAGCTGATCCATCAAGTGCAGGCTCTGCCAAATATCTCAAGCACTGATCTTAGAAGCAGTTTAGGGAGGGTCAGAATCTTGTAGCCTCCAGCTGCATGACTCCTGAACTATAATTTCTAATCTTGTGGCTAATGTTAGTCCTACAAAGGCAATCTAGTCCCCAGGCAAGAAGGAAGTCTGCTTTGAGAAAGGACTCTAACCGTCTTTGTTTAAACTATAAACTATGTTTCTCCCGAAGTTAGTGCAGCCTATGCCCAGGAATGAACAAGGACAGTTTGGAGGTTAGAAGCGAGATGGAGTCAATTAAGTTAGATCTCTCACTGTCTCAGTCATCATTTTGCTATTGCGCTTTCGGTCCCTCCCTTTGGGTTTTATAACACCTTAATCTTTAGGTGTAGGCTATGAAGATGGGAAGAGGCTGTTGATCACTCTAGATTTTTCCTGCTTACAGGGGACATAGCGGGAATGGGAGTGAACCCCAAGGAGAGAAGAGTAGACCTGCTTCACAACTGTCTGAGTGTATTTATGCAGGCTTGGCTGGGCTTGCAAGGCTTGTGTGGTAAAAATATACTTTTATTTATGTTTCAGGATGATATTTAAGTAAACAGCATGTTTATAAGATAAATAACGAGTCCTAGGATGAGGACTACAATTCCCAATTTTAAAAGCAAAGATTTGAAAACATTAGTTTGGAGACTTCTAACCCACAATGAATTTAGAATTTAGTCTAAACTGCAGAAAAAACCTTAAGAACGGTTAACAACAGTGTACTTCAGTTTTTCTTTTGAAGCATACTTTTGTCTCCCTCCAGTCCCCATTTTTATTAAAAACAAATCACAATAGAACTGATTTGTTTACAAAAGAAACTTTAGTCTTACTGTATTTGGCCTGATTATTTGCATAAAGTGCAGCAAGAATAATTATTTTTTACTTAGGTTTTTTAAATTGGCTTTGTTAGAACTCTGTTCCATGAAGAATCTCAGATAACACTTATTAAAAGCCGAGCCCAGCCATGGGTCTGTACCCTCAAGTACCTATGAGTTGGGCAAATTCCTCTCCTCTTGAGGTCCCAAGGTAACTTGGGGTTCCTGGGCCTGTTAGAAAGTGACATTCTTTACTTACCACAGGTCAGGAACCTTGTACAGGTTCCTGTACAGGTATCTTGTACAGGTACTCTATGCGGACAAAGTATGAGGCCAGATGCCCCAATGGGCTTTAATTGGCTCTATAAGTCAACTTTGATTCTTTAAAGGAGGCATGCCATTCCAGTCAAAGCCTTGGTAAAATAACCAATTTCTCCAATTATATCCTGTTACAAAAGAAAACAGATTCTTATTGCACTTATGCAATTAACTGTACTGCCATAAATTGAGAATACTCACAAATAGTTTCCAAATTCTGGAGAAATCAGGTAGAGGGGAACAAATATGCTCCAAATTTTGTTCACAGGAGTATATTTTACTCACTTGTTAAAGTTGCAAATAGCTTTAAAGAAATAAGTTATCTTGACTCTGAAAACAAAAGGATCAGCAACGTTTAACACATCAGATCTCCATGAGACTCCTAGAAGTTTCATTTTTTCCTCTATTCAAATAGCACAATTTTTAAAGTTGTCTGAGACCTGCACTCACAGTCCTATATCTGATTATAAACTGCCTTTTGAAAAGGATCAAAACAAGACAAAATGTCTGTGGATGACAAGTAAATAGCCCCTATTAAAGCTACAGGTGACTAGGAATTTTGGTTACTTCTGTGGCATACAACAATTTTATATAACAATTATTATTAATAATGTACATTAAATCATATCAGAATTATAGAAGTTTCCCATAAATTTTGGAACACATACTAATAATATAATATTTATACAAATACAGTCCAAAGAAAACCAAACACCATTCACTCTTCTATTTGAAAGTTTTCCCTCTCTTCTAATGTCACAATCTCCAGAGTTATTAGTCAGAATCCTGCATTTAAGAGCACCTGTTAAATTTTATAGCTGATTATAAAACCATCTTTTAAAGAGGATGAAAATGAGACAACAATTGTCTGTGAATGACAAAAACACTTTTAGGCCAGCTGCAGTTAAAGACATGGTTGACAAGTAAATTTTTTACCTCTGTGGCACACAGTCATTTAACATAATAATTATAATTATTACAGATAGATAACATATACTAAGTCATATTAGAATTATAGGAGTTTTACTTAATTTCAGAACATACGCCTATAACACATTTACACAAATATAACCCAAAGAAAGCCAAACACCATTTCATATTTGGCAGTGCTTCCTGTATGATTTCTATACAAAATGAGCCAAATGTCATTTTTGGACTTTAGAGAACCTAATATCTAAAAGATTAGTCCAGAAAGAGACATACTTTATAATTTGATTTTGGAAAGTTTGTCAAATATCAAAGGTTTAAAACACTTGATATCACAAAATAGAATCCCAGGTTACCTTAAGTCATTCATTTTGGCCAAAATGATAACTCTAAATAAGCTTTAAAAAAGAAAACCTTTACTCTAGTAGAGGAGACTTAGCTTTCCAAGCAACATCCAATAAAGGTAGCATGAGGCTAAATTTGTCTTTTCTCTCTCCTCCTTTTTTTCCCTGCCATTTACCCATGGGAGAGAAAGCAAAAGTCTTTCATTATCTTTTAATGTTACACAAAAATCGTCTTCAAAAGAGAAAAACAAATTTCATGTTTGCATTAGTGCATCCTTAACGTAAAAGCTAGTTTTTTAAATAAAATTTTGTATCTCTGTCCAGTTTTAATTAGTTTGAACATAAGATTTCAATACACTTTTTAGATCCCTTTACAATTTTCCATCAAACAGCAGGTCAATTTTCTAAGAAAACCCTGTTTTTCGGACACATGGGCCCAGATTCTGGCCTTACAACATCATTATCTTAATGTTTTAATCTGCAGATAAAAGCTAAATAATTTCTTTTAAATTTTAGCCAATTTGTTTATACCCACAGAATTTTTTTATCAGATCAATCCTTTTTACAAATCCTTTTTACTTTGCTTAAACCTTCAGTTTTCTTCCGTTACTCTTTTAGGTTAAGACAATCTTTAAAACCCTCTGAACTAGACAAAATTACATTCCCTTTAACAAAAGCCATATTCCTATGCCTTCTTATAATCTTTTACCAAAAACACATTCCCTACACACCTTGTTTGTAAAATTGTCTCTCCAGTGGTCTCAATTGCATGTTACAATGTTAACTCTTAGCAACTTTTATTTTTAGTGAAAAACCTGATAAGTAAGTGATTTTAATTATGTACCAGGGATGGAGCCTAGGAAATCAGACAGAAATGAAGATAAAGTCTGACTCTTTTTAGCATATCTAGAGGGGATGGCTCTCCATATGTCCCCAGGCTTATCTATAATCTAATGCTCCAAAGTAGGTAAATCGAACAATTTTCAAAAGTCAAAGAAATAATTTGACCTTAAAGCATTTAGCAAATCTGATCTCTGACCTTAATTTAGACCAAATGTCTACATTTTCAAGGCTTTTTATTTACCAATAATCTTTAAAAGTGTCTTTATTTCCAAAAGATTACTAAAGTCACGAGAACAAAAGGCATTAAAGTTTCTATTTTTGTGACAAAATATTTAAGTGCTTATCTTTCTAAGCCAATTAATCAGAGCTCTTTTATATATAAATGCCACACACACACACAACACATACAGGTAGAAGATTTGGCATTTGCAAGATTTTTCATTTGCCAGTTTCTTAATTGGATCACTGGCTTCAGGGTGGAGCCCTTGGAGGAAGAGGGCCAGGAAAGCATTTCTGGGGCCAAATAAGCAGCAAATAAAGAGCTGAAGGCAAAGACAAACCCCCAGAGTTAAGTGCGCCATTTTATACTGGATCCTGGATCCCCAAAAGGAGGGAAATATTACGGGAGAAGACAGTGTGGTGCTTTTACCGACGGTGCATTTCATAGCAAGGCAACCCAAAGCTAATCAGCCCATTTTGTAATTAGACCATCACCCATGGGAGTCTCATCTCTCAGTGGGGGGTGGGGATGTTTCCATATCTTCCAGGTGGTCAAGAGCATGCTTCTCTGATCCAAGTGTGCAAAGAGTCAAGTGTCCCTTCATAACTACTATTAGGCATCCCCTATAGCATGTTTTCTACCTAGTTATTACACACCAAAGCTCTCATAATGAGAAGTAATTTTTGATACCCTAAAACCTCTTTCTCTTCTAGAAAATAAGCACAATACAATAAGTAATTGCATTTTCAGTAACGAATTCAAGCATTACATATTTTTGTTGATTTGAAAACACTTTGGACAAGGGTGATGGGAGGGCAGTGGCCTAAAAGAACTAATGAGGAAGCAGGAACCAGGGAGATGCCAAAAAAATTACTATCAGAAAGGATATTTGTTAAGTGACATCATAAACATGAAGTCAAACATATGCCATAGTGTGTAGATGACAATTCCAGGAAAATGTTAAGAATGTAAACAAACTTCATGGTAGAGTGGGAATTTCAGTACCACCATCATTAAACAATTTCAGGGGACACTAGTTCTGTGCAGTATAGTGTAAGTGTAGCCCTTTGTATCTGTACAACATGATGGCTCAAGCATAGTCCTATAAACAGATAGAATTTAGAGTAAGATTAGAAGCAGCAGGATCAACTAGGTGTCCTGGGGGTTGAGACAAATGCTAATGAGAACACCCGGGCGGAGGAGGTGATATGGTTTGGCTCTGTGTCCCAATCCAAATCTCATCTTGTAGCTCTCATAATTCCCATATGTTGTGGGAGGGACCCAGGGGGAGATGATTGAATCATGGGGGTGGGTCTTTCCTGTGCTGTTATCCTGATAGTGAACGGGTCTCATGAGATCTGATGGTTATAAAAATGGGAGTTTCCCTGCACAAGCTCTCTTTTTGCCTGTCACCATCCATGTAAGATGTGAATTGCTCCTCCTTGCCTTCTGCCATGATTGTGAGGCCTCCCCAGCCACGTGGAACTGTAAGTCCATTAAACCCTTTTTTTCTGTATAAATTACCCAGTCTTGGGTATGTCTTTATCAGCAGCATGAAAATGGACTAATAACGGGTGGTATGGCAGATTGGGTGGTAATACACAGGTAAAAAATGGTTTGGATAGGGAATATAGAGAGACAGATGACTCTAAACCATCATTGGCTCCTATGCAGTTTTGCTTTATTTGATTGTATCACAGTTCTGGATTTGGGTATAAGTCTTGAGAAGAGAATTGTAGAAATGCAAGTTGTTTCAAAATGTGTCTAAATCCTATAGAAAAATGGGGACTCATCAATGGTTTTTGCATATAGAATTACCATGACAATACCATTATAGTAGAAAAACTATTCTATAATGTAGGATAAATTTCAATGTAACACTGAGGTGGAAATTTAGGAGTTCTTCTGTATATACAAGTTTCTTTTCTCATTAAAGATTATCTTTATAAGGGTTAATGTGTATAATCCTTAAGATTTTTCTTCTTCTACCATTAAATAATGTGTTAGTAATATCTAATGTTTCAGTGATTACAATTTGGAGGTTATTTAGAGACCAGAAATGAGATGTTTAGGATCTGAAAGCAGTTAGTTTAAAGAAAAGGAACTGAACAACCAAGGATACTGAAATGAGAGTCAATAGGACTTGAGACTTTGAAGTTCTTAAGGACAGCTTAGAACAAATTAGAGGAATGACACTATTATCCCTAAAAATGGAAGTCATTGTTTGTGGGGTTGGGTATTGTAAATGAATCTGTTTAATGGTGAGATTATGTGTTGTAAACACCTCTTCACTGTAAACTGTCATTGTTCTAGAATCTTTAGAATTTACAAAATCATGTTTTAGATCATTGTGAACAAAATACTGCTTTTGGCATTTGTATTTCCTATCTATTGGCACAGTAATGCTGTAACAAACCACACAAAACCTTGTTGGCTTAAAACAACAACCATTTATTACTTCTCATGAGTCTGCAGGTAAGCTGGGTAGTTCTACTAATTGGAAGGTACTCGTTTGAGCTCAGTTTGTCCATGGTCAGCGACACATCAGAGACAGCTATCTTATGTTGGCCTCAACTGCAATGATTCAGAATTCTCCACTTGTCTAATACATCCTTTCATCAAAATAGACTAGATTTGGGCCAGGCGCGGTGGCTCATGCCTGTAATCCCAGCATTTTGGGAGGCCGAGGCGGGCAGATCACCTGAGGATAGGAGTTTGAGACCAGCCTGACCAACATGGAGAAACCCTGTCTCTACTAAAAAAAAATACAAGATTAGCTGTGTGTGGTGGTACATGCCTATGGTCCCAGCTGCTTGGGAGGCTGAGGCAGAGTCGCTTGAACCTGGGAGGCAGAGGTTGTGTTGAGCTGAGGTTGTGCCATTGCACTCCAGCCTGGGCAACAAGAGCGAAACTCTATCTCAAAAAAAAAAAAAAAAAAAAAAAATAGACGAGATTTGTCTGCGTGACAATTGCAGAAGACCAAGAGGAGTAGAGATGCAGAATTACTTTTGAAGACTCTGTTTATATGAAATTTGCTTCTGTTCTGTTGGCACAAGACACATAACCAAGGACAGAATTAGTGTGGGAGGGTATGACAAAAGAATGTGATACGGAAAGGCATTGTTGAGAAGACTGCATTTAATGTAAAGGCTTTCAGAGACTCCTCCTTTGTGTCAATAAAAAAGACACAGCATCAGATGGCTGTCATTATTTTGACATAGCAAAGGGCCCTGGAGTCTGTCAGTTGACTTCTCTAATCTATGGCCATAAACTCATTCTTGAATACTGGAAAATTTTTCTGCATTTCTCAAATTTCTTTCACTGGTATCTACAAGTCAATCCCATAGTCAAAATGAAGTTTGTAGAATGAATATATTGTGGGAATATTCTTCCACTCATTTTTACTGCCTCAAGTCATTTAGGTGGCCTTCTGTATATAGAAGAGTTTATTTTCCCATTGAAGATTATCTTTTCAAGGGCTTATATGTCCATTTTAGATCCTTTTATTTATTTCAAATGGTCAAGCTTAATTTTCCGTGGAGATTTTTCTTTTTCTAGCATTAAATAATGTATTAGTGATGTCTAGTGTTTAGGCAATGTATTATTTTTAAAAATGTTGGCATTATCTTCATTTTAATCTTGAATTTTTTCAGAGCTCAAAGTCATTTTTGATATTAACCATTGCTTTGAAAAAGGAATTCCATAACCACATTTACTTGTGGGATATCATGTGGACAGAATATAAAAAATTCCATCTGTACCTTTCCTTTTTTTTACCCCAGTATTAGTTTCAATGGGCAAGTATCTAACTTTCCAGAACTTCCTCCTCCACAATCTGTGGGTCCTTGAAGGTATAAGAGTAATGTTAGGCTGGGCGCAGTGGCTCATGCCTGTAATCCCTGCATTTTGGGAGGCCGAGGCTGGTGGATCACTTGAGGCCAGGAGTTCGAGACCGACCTGGCCAACATGGTAAAACCCCATCTCTACTAAAAATACAAAAATTAGCCAGGCGTGGTGGTGCACACCTCTGTAGTCCCAGCTACTTAGGAGGCTGAGGCAGGAGAATCTCTTGAAGCCAGGAGGTGGAGGTTGCAGATTGTACCACTGCACTCCAGCCAGGGTGACAGAGCAAGACTCCATCTCGATAAATAAATAAATAAATAAATAAATAAATAAATAAATAAATAAGTAAGTAATGTTGATTTTCTAAGGTTAGATGACATGTTCATTAGTCATTCTTATCTTCTGTGTCCTATCAGGGGAAAACTTTGCTACCTAGTCATTTTTCTTTAGTTTTACTGCTTTGTCTTACCAATATATGTACATTAGTGTTGGCAATAAAGTAAATGAGATTAATAATAATAATAATTTAGAAGAATACTTATAAAAATCCTAAGAAAGGGTTATATATAAACTAATGGGGTAAAAAGGGCCATCAGCATCCCAACACTCAGTGTTGTTATTCTTTCTCTTCCCATGTGGTTTCCATCTGTTGCTTGTGAATAATTTCACTGAGGTCCAGTTCACAGTAGGGCTAACTGAGCCCTTTAGAAGAGCCTGACCCTCAGCTGAGAGTTTGGGTCTAAGGTGTAAATTGTGGATCTGATTACGTCTTCCATCCTGGCCCAGTTCAGGAAATTAGAACCTGGCCAGCTGTGTTTCCCAGTTTGTAGGTTGCAGGCAGTTACCTGGCTCTCTCTCAGACAGCCTGCTGTCCTTTACTTGAGAGTAGACACAGATGTATCCACTAAGCCAGTTTTACCCAATGTTCAATCATGATTTTGATCTATCAGTACCACCTACCTTCTTATTTACTTAACAGTTTGCATGAATGTAAGATATAGAGTCATTTTTTACAGTATTTAAATGTATTTTTAAAAGTTTGCGTGGTAAGTGAAATGGAAAACAACTACTACCATTTGAAATAAAAACTAGATAGCTATGAAAATGCTGTGAAATCAAAGCAAAGTTTCTAAATGTGAACTATATGTTATGGCATGCCTGAGGCTCTGAGCCTGTCTCCATTTGTTTAAAAAGGGTGAGAATAGAGTGTTAAGAAGAGGAGCCTCGAACTTAACTTTCCTTCTTGAGATAACAAGAAAGACACACAGACCTTTCAAGAGAGAATTGCTGTTTACTTGGTGATTTATCATTTATTGAATTTCTTATTGATATATCATTTTAAATAATTTTTATAGCTGCAATGTCTACATCCTACGTTTTGGGAAACTTAATCCATTTTCAGCCAGGAGGACAACACCAGCTTCCACTGGTGATGGGTGATGGCTGGACTCCTGCAGTGGAGAAAGGCATCCTGAAATGAAGCTTCGATGCTCCTGTGAACTCCCTCCCACCCTATGCTCTGAAATCATGTGTTCCAACATCTTTTCTTTCAGTGTTTTTATTTAGGGCTTTCTCCATGACCTTATTCCAAGCCACATGATCTTTCTTTCTTTATGCACTAGTTCAGGATATTGGCTCCTCTTATGTTCATTAAGGCGGCCCTAACCAAGCACATTTAATTCCTCAATGACTAATTTGGTTCTGAGAGGTTAAGAACTGGTGAGGCTAAGGCAACGGTCTATAGTATCTGGTGATGAGATAAGTGCAGATTAATTTGTGAGATAGAACATTTCTACCCTTTTCCCTTTGGCTTTAAGGTTTATTTAGAATTCATGAAGTTGTGTCTGTGCTGAAAAGCTTTGAACCGTTAAAGGGAATTATTTAACAAAATTTCTAAAAATGCCTGTGCAAATTGGTTTGTCTTGAAATTCTGGTGCTTTGTTATTTTTGCCACCAAGAAAAAGGCTTAAAAAAACGCTTGAGGGAGAATATGAATGTAATAAATATTTCATTTTTGTAGCACATCGTGCAGTGTTCTTCAGTTTCAGACATTGCCAGCAGTCAACACAGTAGTAAATTTCAGCACCTGTGGACCTGTTTTGGTAATTTATGATTTCCATTAGATTTCCATTAGAGATGGGCTGAAATGATTCAGGCAGGTTCATGTACCCCAGCCATGAGCATGCTTGGCCTGAGGGATTGTTTGCATGTAGGTACTTGGCAGCATGCACACGTTTTGTTGCCCTTTTTTTTTTCCTGTCATTGTTATCATTTGGGGGCTGCTCAGGACATTGCCCCGAAATGTCAAAACGCAGAAAGATGTTACAGACTTCTACCATTTAGGATTCCTCTTCTGTCACAATCTGTACTTGTTCTATAATTCATTTAGCAAATATTTAGTGAACCGTTGTTAATGCATTGGAGATACACAGAGGAATAAGAGATGATCTCTGATGTCAAGAGGTTTCTAGGGGAAGAACAACTCATTAAAAATAAGTGCAATTAAGTATTACATCAGAGTATTAAGTACAGTTAAACAAGTAGAATAAATGGCTAGTGCAACCAGAGCCACCCGAAAAGAACTCATGGATGAAATACTAAGTGGACAGGAGAAAGCAGTGCTGAACATAGGAGGGAAGGGGATTTTAAGCGGGAGAATAGGTTTCAGCAAAAACTCAGAGGCAGGAAGCATCTCTCGTCTGCACACGAAGCATAAGACATCTGAAACATGGACTGGCAAAATAAACCAGGAGCTCAGGGAGCCATGAACATTCCTAGAGAGCACTTGAGGGATTGACTGTAATGATGGTAATATTTTCCTACATTTTACTGAGATTTTCTTTCATGCGGTTTTGTGTACTTTCCCTTTTCCCTAATCAGTTCAAGCTATCTGTCAGCCTGGTAGTGAAAGAGGATTAGAATTGTTACAACAGGAATGAGAAAAGAAAGAAGCATTCATGTTCATTCTTTGCCATCCAACACGGGAACTTGGGATTTTTGTCTCCATAACAAAGCAGTGTGCTCCAAAACCTGACTTAAGTCAAAAGTGGGGAGTGGGGAAGATGTTCTATTCTCTTCACCTTGAACAAAGGGCAACCTGACAGACTTGGTCATAGAGTTTTCCTGTGCACTATGAGTAGAGGAACAAAAGACATAGCAAAGGAAATGAAAATCCTCCATTCATCATATCTGAGCTAGGGGACCGGGGGTCAAAGAAGGGAAAAATAGGAAGATCTTATTTCTCTCCAAAACTTCACTGTGTGCAAGGAGAAAGGATAGCACTTTGAATTCAACATGTATTAATATGTATAGGACACATTTTTATAGGAGCACTACAGAGAAAAATGGCACTTTTTAAAGGGGATACTCCACACATAGCCACTTCCTACATAATATAGAAATGTTGGCAGGAGGTAGTAGAAAAGAACAGAATGGTAGATGAGCTTAGGAGAATGGTCCTGGTTTCCTTGAAGCCTGTCTTTGGTGCTCACAGAGCAGTATCCAGGGGTGTCTGTATATTTCAGCAAGGTCATGAGAAAAGGCCACCAAGCTCGCAGGTGGCCCCTCAGAGGCCGAGGATCCTAGTGAGGAGGCCACAGAGATTTTGTGTCCAGAGCCAAATGGCTGAAGCTGCAGCACTACTAGTGGGTGGAGGCTTGTCGTTCTGAAAAGCTAAGTGGGCCAGTAGTCCTCATGGTGTCCAGGCTAAGCAGGGGGCCAGACCAGTCATGCAGGGGCAGTGAGGCTCCACAGGGCTTAATTTGATCTCACTTTTCCCTAATTCTGAATACCAGAAGGCCATATATGCCAGATTCCAACAATTTTGTAGGGAGCAAGGGAAAGGATAGAAAATCTAAGACACTGGACATTGTACCTAAATAACCGAGGTTCTATGGGGCTAAAGTTCTTTTTAAATTTTTACATGGGACTACATTTGCTCAGACTGAACTAACATCTGTTATTTTTTCACTCTTCTCATTGGATCGAAGTTTATTAGGAAAGACATTTTAATTATTAAGAAAAATTCTACATTGTATGTGCCCATCAACCTTGACCTGTGACTTTTAGTGAGTAAATATGCTACAAATCACTGAGATGCTTAATATAGCTTGATTTAATCTCTTCTTTATACACAGTCCTACAAAGTCTAGGAGCCTGAGCAAAATAAATAAATAATAAATAAATAAATAAACAAAATGAGAGCAACATTTTCTGACACAAAAGTGTTCGTTTCACACATTACTTAAAATGACAAAACATTGCAACAACTATATTCCTACTTTAAAGACTTAATAATGCATACCATAGCACAGATATAAAATTAAATAATATGTCATTGTTAGGAGTTTTATGTGGAATTTTTAATAACATAAAATGTATATTTCTATCATTAGTTAAAAATATACATTTGGACATAAGTTATTGTTCAATTAGAGATAACTAAAGAACATTAACAGGAAATACATGAAAATCTTAAGGAAATTCATTGCTGAGTGTAGATTTATGATTGGTTCTTTTACGTCTTCAATAAAAGTTTTGCATATAGTAGATAGTACACCTAATCTAGTTTCATATTGGAAAACCTGAAATGAATTTACTACATATTTTTTAAAAAACGAAGAGGGGAAAGAGGAGGAGACGTGGTGTAAAAGAGATCAGAGGAGTAGATCTTCTCTTCCTATCCTTTGAAAAGCGTTGATAAATAGGGATTTAGGAGGCATAAATACTTATACTTGATAAAACTAAAGTTGGTTCAGTAAGCTGGGACCTACCACAGAATCTAGGAATTGGGCAGAGCTTTACTGATACCTTTAACCTACCATTTTTGCTGCCTTTAAGATGTTCTCTGTCTCTTCTAAAACTTTCATTGAACATAAATCTAAATCATTCATCTGGTATTTTCTAATGTAACTTTCCTTCTAGTCCTAGAAAAAGATAAAAAAATCTCATCAGCTCCTCTGAACAAACAATTGTCAGCCCTCCATGAGTAAATGCAAAAGCTCACTGTGGTTTTTGTCAGTAGGTGCATGGTCCTCAGGACCTGGGAGGCACATTGGACATCACTTCAACAGCATTTCTAAGGTGTGTCCTTGGCCGCAGATTAGCAACGAAGTGTTCCTGAACAAAGGGTTGCATGACTTTGGAGAACTCTTTAAACAAAATTAAACAGATTCCTTCACCAGAGAATTTCTCAGTTTGTGTCTCACTGACTCATAAATCTCTAAGGGAGAATTGAATTACACACTTCCCAATTTTATTTGACTCAAAGCCCTTTGTATACATTAACAAAGGGATTATATTTTAAACTGACTTTTTCTGGAAGCTCCATACATTTACTGACTTCCATGAGAATGCTGGTCAAACACCTAGCTGGAGTGGATTTACAGCAAGGTAAGGGGAGAACTGAAAAGTCAAAAAAAAAAAAAAAAGAGAGAGAGAGAGACCTCATGGAGAGAGAGTTGGGGTCTCCCAGAAGCCAGGTAGCAAGATGGGGTTAACTGAGAGCCTGGAGGTGGGCAGGCTCCACAGCTCACAGAGGAAGATCAGGAGCAGATGCAGCTGAATAATCTGCTTGTGCGTTCACCAGCCTTCCTCAGAATCACTGCGGTTCCTTGTAGTAGTCTCCGCATTAACATGAAAAAGAGCATTAAATTTGTTTGGCACTGCCTGGAAATCTTCTCCCAGGATGAATCACATGCCTCAGAATTTTGGCATTGCTAGGTGGTGAGGGATCTGTACTCCAAATAACACAACTTCAAGTCTCTTCAAAGATAACAGACAAAATGTATTGCATCCTTTTCTGACTGGCTCAATTGAGTTGATGGTAGATTCTTCTCTTGGATGGATTTTGAGAAACAGTTCCAGTTCTAATACAGACCACTTATTTGAGAAAGTTAATTGTCACCGTTAAAGGTCAGTTTTCTCACCTTAAAATAGAACCCTATATATAACCATATGTGTATAGATAGATGGATAGATAGATAGACATAGATGTAGATATAGGTATAGATATAAATGTAGATAACCACATATGTGTAAGACATTGATATGGTTTGGCTGTGTCCCCAACCAGATCTCATCTTGAATTGTAGCTCCCATAATTCCCACGTGTTGTGAGAGGGACCCAGTGGGAGATGACTGAATCATGGGGATGATTTCCCCCATACTGTTCTCGTGGTGGTTAATAAGTCTCACCAGATCTGATCATTTTATAAGGGGTTCCTCCTTTTGCTTGGCTGTCATTATCTCTTGCCTGCTGCCATGTAAGATGTGACTTTCACCTTCCACCATGATTCTGAGGCCACCCAAGCCACGTGGAACTGTGAGCCCATTAAACCTCTTTTTCTTTATAAATTACGCAGCCTTGGGTATGTCTTTATCAGCAGAGTGAAAATGGACTAATACAGACATAAATGGTCTTACACATATATGGTTATATATGTGTGTGAATGCATACACAAACATATGCACAAAACCATACATACATATATAAGCAATGGGGTTATTGTGTGGATTAAATGACATGATATTTATCACATACTCAGAGGAGGGTCTGTCCCTTTTCAAGCACTTGATTAATAGTAGTTATTATTACTGAATTTGTAGTGCTTAATACACAGTAGTATTAGTGTTGTTGTTTCATATATTTACAGCATATCACACCTGAGAAGGACATTAGAAATTAATATTGAATTGACAAGGAACAGAGTCATTTAAATAACAGAGATTTTGACCTGAGTACTTATCGTAATCTTATTTCATTGTGGTTTATTAATTCTTTAAACATATATTGAAATCATTCACAGCTATAAGAAGTGGGAGTAAGGGATGCATGAGTAATTAAATCCTCATTGGCTCCAGACTACATAGATTATTTTAGTAACTCCTCATGGGTCATTGTTTTGACATTGTTAAGGACCACTTAACAATTTCAGTTTTTAACTATTCAAGTTTGAGAATATGGCAATCCCATCAAGCAAAAGATATTGAATCTACGATTCACTTAGTGCTATTCACCAGACTGGAAACACAGAGATGAACAAAACCAACAAAACACCTCCTTTATGAAGCCCTCCTGCAATTGCAATGTAATTTATGCCTATGGATATGAAAATCAAGAAAACAGTGAAAATATCTGCTAGTAAGACCCTGTAAAGCTTACCCATGTTTCGTCATGACCAATTTCCCAGAATTTTTAGGACTTTTAGTTAAGTGCTATTGTAAATTCCTCCTACACAGATTATAAAGGTTAAGGAACCATATCACACTGACACTGCTAAAGCCAAAATCCCTTTACCATTCACCATGACCATTGTAGTAGTAGTCTCATGATTTTTCTGTGCCTTCTGCCCCCTGTAATCTTTCTGATATACTATTAGAGTCATTGTCCTGGAAAAATGTTCTGACCAGGCCATTCTGAGGCTTCTGAAATTTCAAAACCTTCTTGGTACTGAATGTAGTAATCATGATTTGAATGTCTAACCCCAACCCCCTGGCTCTTCTATGCCCTATGCTCCAGCCAAATTGAATTCCTTCTGTTTCCCGTAAATGTCCTAGGCTTTGTCTCTTATGCTTATGCCTCCCGTGCCGTTTCCTTCATCTTCATGTGAGCAAACCCCACCTGTCTTTCAAGGCACAGGTCAAATGCCTTCCCTGACTCCTTCCCTGTCAACAATAATTTATACCTCCTCTGAATTCGCATGGGTAGGTATCCCTTATGGCACTTGCGACTTTAGGAAGATTCTTTTTGTGACACACACACACACACACACACACACACACATATATACACATATACACGTGTGTGTGTGTGTGTGTGTGTGTGTGTGTGTATATGGCTGTGTCTTGAGCGATTTTAGTACCAAATCCTTGGTCTGGTCATCATGACATTCATGCAGCATTTTGGTTTGAGTGACACACACACACACACACACACACACACACACACACACAATTAATTTAAATATGGGTTGATATTGATAAGGAAAAAACAATGAAATAGGGGAAGTCAGAGATGTAAACACACACTCACACTGTTTTAGTCTATTGTAATAATGAATTGAGTTCTCTATATCGATGCAAAAAAAGGTGATGAAATGATACAATGTTTGCATCTTTCTCTTTTACAAAACAAACACCAAAATGAGATGAACTAAATTATTTTTTTCATGTGACTGAGTTGACTCTTATTAACCTATTTTGGGTCCGTTGTGGCTTTGTGTTCATAAAAATATTCATCATACTTATCTCCCTTTCCCTTGAACCCTCAGTAATTCTACTTCATAAATTCTTACTTTTGTATATTGGGTTTGCCTAAAGAAAAAATACTCTTGTTTCACCGTAGTTTTTAAAGATGTTTATCAATAATGTGTGACTTTCTGTGTTTCTGTTTTTTAACTTTTCTACCATTTTCTGTGAATAGAAACGTGTGAGTACTTGGAAGATAATGCAGTGGGTCTATATTTGCGAGAATAAAAACTGTGAATATTGTAGCAAGCAGTAAGTTGCTTCATCTAAGTGCAAATATTCTGCTCCTCACACGCTCCACTTGGGCTGCTTTCCAGGATCTATCATTTAGGCTGTGGGCCACTCCAGGGCATGTGTCTTGCTGTCACAATGCCTTACTACAAGTACATTTTACAGTGATTTTCAACAAGCTGAAGAGTGACATTATCACAGTGGGATTTCTGATCTTCACATTCCAGAGGGGATCTTCATCCAGGAGGTCAGTAAAGATGGAGTTTAAAGCAGTGTTTTAGCCACTATGTCTGCAAATTCAGGGAGGCAAACAGAGAGAGCTACAAGTCTCCAAAGGCGTTATTCATATCATTTTAAAAATTAGGTGCAGTAGTATGTTGTGCCTGTGAGTTTCTTCCTATGTATTTTAAAGGATATATGTGGTTTCCCTGCATTAATTCCTCTGTGACAAAACTGGAAAATAAAACAACATAACTGATATTTAATGTATATCCTCAAATAAAGAACAAGAAATGTGATAGACACACAGACAGATAGATAAACAGATAAGAAAAAGAAAGGAGAAGAAAGGGAGGGAGGGAGGGAGGAAGGAAAGAAGGAAGGAAGGAAAGGAAAGGAAAGACAGAAAAAAGAAGAAAAGAGAAAGAGAAGGAAAGAAAGAGAAAGAAAGATAGTAGTTTCTTGGGGCTGCCATTACAAAATACTGCACCACAAACTGGATGATTTAAAATAATAGGAGTTTATTATCTTGGTTCTGGAAGCTAAAAGTCAAAAACCAAAGTGTCAGCAGGGCTGTGCTTTCTTTGGCATTTCTAGGATATAATCTTTCTCTCAATTGTACTAGATTCTAATGTTTGCCAGCAATTATTGGCATTCTTTGGCTTGTAGATACATCATTCCAGTCTCTCATGGCCATCTTCTCCCTGTATGTCTTCATATCGTCTTCTTTCTATGCATGTCTGTTTCTGTGTCCACATTTTCTCTTTTTATAAAGATAATAACCATTGGATTAGAGCCTATCCTAAGGATCTCGTTTTAACTTCATTACCTTTGTAAACTTACTTTCAAATAAGATCAAATTCTGAGGATTCTGAAGGCTAGGATTTCAACATTTCTTCTTGGGAGAACATAATTCAACCCATAACAGATCCAATAGATTTGTAAATCGATAATTTAAAATACATTTTGGTGACTATTTGAAATATACTTAATTTACTATGAAGATTTTTCTCCTGACAACATCAACATGCCCATTATATATCTATATGTGTTGATGTATGCTTAAGTAGGGAATATTAATAAATAAATTAAATAATTAAGAATAAACCATTTCTGATCATCAGTTTTGTGCAAAGGACTCCCAGTACTCTGTGCTTGGTGGGTAAAACGGTAAAGCAGACACAGGTCTTCTCTTAAGAACTTGGATCTGAGGGTTATTGTGAATGTCTCCAACTTTAATTGGTCCATCTTGCACATGGTTTCCAATCAGCACTAGTGCTCCAATTTATAATTCTGAACCTAACTACTATTCCACACCTTCAGGCTGCTCCACTCTGCCCCACCTGCCTGCTCTTTGTTGATTGTCTTAATTTATGTAAGTATTTTTTCTTACCGCATCCTCCCCTTCCTAAGTGGAAGCTCCTTTGACAGCTGAAAAACAGATCACAGACTCCATTTTGTGGTACATTCTCATCCCTCTATCCAAGAACAACTATTAGTGTTTTACACTTGTATGTTTAATCAAATACCAAATATGTGGAGAGCAACTTTTCAAATTTAAATATCACTCTATCAAATAATCTGGGGATACTAAAGATGTTTGAAATTTTTTTGCCTTCAATGTATTTAAATGTACAGTGAGACAAGATTTTCGCAGTGCAACATTTAGAGGACAAGATAGTTTCTGTGATTCACGTTTGAATTATACGAATATAACATAAGCTATGTATTAAAAAGTCCAGTCGATACTAAAGTAGGCTCGAAGGAACCTTAACATTAACATATTCAAAGCTGAATGCCTGGTCTTATTTCCCATCAGTCCCTCACTGGGATTTCTCTTCTTCTGTGTTTCCCAACTGGTTGCCCAGGCCATATACCTAGGAGTCACCAGTAATGCTATTGCTTCCCTAACTTCCCACTGATTCGTTGTTGAGACCCCTCTCTGAATCTATATTGTGTTCGACATATCCACCACAGAGGCTTTAGTCCACCTATGCTTGTCCAGTCCATGAAAATGCCTCCTCATCTATCTACCTGCATTCACTGTTCCAATCCACTTTCCACAATGCAAACAGGATATTTTAAATATATAAATTTGATTACTTAAAAACACTTCAGGAGCTTCTCTTGGGTAAAGATAAAATTTCATAACATGATTTCTAAGATTCTGTATGGATTTTCCTATGTACTATTCTCCTTTTTGAATATCGACTATTCCCCCAATGAGACTCCCTTTCTTTCCATCCTTCTACTAAGCCTGCTTTCCTTTTCTTGGGACCTTTTTATATATTGCACAGCCTGAAGTACTCCTGGCTCCTTCTTTAGTCCCAGAAGTTTCTTCCCACTCCTCAAGTCTCAGGTCACCCACCTGTTTATTTTTTTTTTTTTAATTTTTTTTTATTATACTTTAAGTTTTAGGGTACATGTGCACATTGTGCAGGTTAGTTACATATGTATACATGTGCCATGCTGGTGTGCTGCACCCACTAACTCGTCATCTAGCATTAGGTATATCTCCCAATGCCATCCCTCCCCCCTCCCCCCACCCCACAACAGTCCCCAGAGTGTGATATTCCCCTTCCTGTGTCCATGTGATCTCATTGTTCAATTCCCACCTATGAGTGAGAACATGCGGTGTTTGGTTTTTTGTTCTTGCGATAGTTTACTGAGAATGATGGTTTCCAGTTTCATCCACGTCCCTACAAAGGACATGAACTCATCATTTTTTATGGCTGCATAGTATTCCATGGTGTATATGTGCCACATTTTCTTAATCCAGTCTATCATTGTTGGACATTTGGGTTGGTTCCAAGTCTTTGCTATTGTGAATAATGCCGCAATAAACATACGTGTGCATGTGTCTTTATAGCAGCATGATTTATAGTCATTTGGGTATATACCCAGTAATGGGATGGCTGGGTCAAATGGTATTTCTAGTTCTAGATCCCTGAGGAATCGCCACACTGACTTCCACAATGGTTGAACTACTTTACAGTCCCACCAGCAGTGTAAAAGTGTTCCTATTTCTCCACATCCTCTCCAGCACCTGTTGTTTCCTGACTTTTTAATGATTGCCATTCTAACTGGTGTGAGATGATATCTCATAGTGGTTTTGATTTGCATTTCTCTGATGGCCAGTGATGATGAGCATTTTTTCATGTGTTTTTTGGCTGCATAAATGTCTTCTTTTGAGAAGTGTCTGTTCATGTCCTTCGCCCACTTTTTGATGGGGTTGTTTATTTTTTCTTGTAAATTTGTTTGTGTTCATTGTAGATTCTGGATATTAGCCCTTTGTCAGATGAGGAGGTTGCGAAAATTTTCTCCCATGTTGTAGGTTGCCTGTTCACTCTGATGGTAGTTTCTTTTGCTGTGCAGAAGCTCTTTAGTTTAATTAGATCCCATTTGTCAATTTTGGCTTTTGTTGCCATTGCTTTTGGTGTTTTGGACATGAAGTCCTTGCCCGCGCCTATGTCCTGAATGGTAATGCCTAGGTTTTCTTCTAGGGTTTTTATGGTTTTAGGTCTAACGTTTAAATCTTTAATCCATCTTGAATTGATTTTTGTATAAGGTGTAAGGAAGGGATCCAGTTTCAGCTTTCTACATATGGCTAGCCAGTTTTCCCAGCACCATTTATTAAATAGGGAATCCTTTCCCCATTGCTTGTTTTTCTCAGGTTTGTCAAAGATCAGATAGTTGTAGGTATGCAGCGTTATTTCTGAGGGCTCTGTTCTGTTCCATTGATCTATATCTCTGTTTTGGTACCAGTACCATGCTGTTTTGGTTACTGTAGCCTTGTAGTATAGTTTGAAGTCAGGTAGTGTGATGCCTCCAGCTTTGTTCTTTTGGCTTAGGATTGACTTGGCGATGCGGGCTCCTTTTTGGTTCCATATGAACTTTAAAGTAGTTTTTTCCAATTCTGTGAAGAAAGTCATTGGTAGCTTGATGGGGATGGCATTGAATCTGTAAATTACCTTGGGCAGTATGGCCATTTTCACGATATTGATTCTTCCTACCCATGAGCATGGAGTGTTCTTCCATTTATTTGTGTCCTCTTTTATTTCGTTGAGCAGTGGTTTGTAGTTCTCCTTGAAGAGGTCCTTCACATCCCTTGTAAGTTGGATTCCTAGGTATTTTATTCTCTTTGAAGCAATTGTGAATGGGAGTTCACTCATGATTTGGCTCTCTGTTTGTCTGTTGTTGGTGTATAAGAATGCTTGTGATTTTTGTACATTGATTTTGTATCCTGAGACTTTGCTGAAGTTGCTTATCAGCTTAAGGAGATTTTGGGCTGAGATGATGGGGTTTTCTAGATATACAATCATGTCATCTGCAAACAGGGACAATTTGACTTCCTCTTTTCCTAATTGAATACCTTTTATTTCCTTTTCCTGCCTGATTGCCCTGGCCAGAACTTCCAACACTATGTTGAATAGGAGTGGTGAGAGAGGGCATCCCTGTCTTGTGCCAGTTTTCAAAGGGAATGCTTCCAGTTTTTGCCCATTCAGTATGATATTGGCTGTGGGTTTGTCATAGATAGCTCTTATTATTTTGAAATACGTCCCATCAGTACCTAATTTATTGAGAGTTTTTAGCATGAAGGGTTGTTGAATTTTGTCAAAGGCTTTTTCTGCATCTATTGAGATAATCATGTGGTTTTTGTCTTTGGCTCTGTTTATATGCTGGATTACATTTATTGATTTGCGTATATTGAACCAGCCTTGCATCCCAGGGATGAAGCCCACTTGATCATGGTGGATAAGCTTTTTGATGTGCTGCTGGATTTGGTTTGCCAGTATTTTATTGAGGATTTTTGCATCAATGTTCATCAAGGATATTGGTCTAAAATTCTCTTTTTTGGTTGTGTCTCTGCCCGGCTTTGGTATCAGAATGATGCTGGCCTCATAAAATTAGTTAGGGAGGATTCCCTCTTTTTCTATTGATTGGAGTAGTTTCAGAAGGAATGGTACCAGTTCCTCCTTGTACCTCTGGTAGAATTTGGCTGTGAATCCATCTGGTCCTGGACTCTTTTTGGTTGGTAAACTATTGATTATTGCCACAATTTCAGAGTCTGTTATTGGTCTATTCAGAGATTCAGCATCTTCCTGGTTTAGTCTTGGGAGAGTGTATGTGTCGAGGAATGTATCCATTTCTTCTAGATTTTCTAGTTTATTTGTGTAGAGGTGTTTGTAGTATTCTCTGATGGTAGTTTATATTTCTGTGGGATTGGTGGTGATATCCCCTTTATCATTTTTTATTGTGTCTATTTGATTCTTCTCTCTTTTTTTCTTTATTAGTCTTGCTAGCGGTCTATCAATTTTGTTGATCCTTTCAAAAACCAGCTCCTGGATTCATTGATTTTTTGAAGGGTTTTTTGTGTCTCTATTTCCTTCAGTTCTGCTCTGATTTTAGTTATTTCTTGCCTTCTGCTAGCTTTTGAATGTGTTTGATCTTGCTTTTCTAGTTCTTTTAATTGTGATGTTAGGGTGTCCATTTTGGATCTTTCCTGCTTTCGCTTGTGGGCATTTAGTGCTATAAATTTCCCTCTACACACTGCTTTGAATGTGTCCCAGAGATTCTGGTATGTTGTGTCTTTGTTCTCGTTGGTTTCAAAGAACATCTTTATTTCTGCCTTCATTTCGTTATGTACCCAGTAGTCATTCAGGAGCAGGTTGTTCAGTTTCCATGTAGTTGAGCGGCTTTGAGTGAGATTACTAATCCTGAGTTCTAGTTTGATTGCACTGTGGTCTGAGAGGTAGTTTGTTATAATTTCTGTTCTTTTACATTTGCTGAGGAGAGTTTTACTTCCAACTGTGTGGTCAATTTTGGAATAGGTGTGGTGTGGTGCTGAAAAAAATGTATATTCTGTTGATTTGGGGTGGAGAGTTCTGTAGATGTCTATTAGGTCACTTGGTGCAGAGCTGAGTTCAATTCCTGGGTATCCTTGTTGACTTTCTGTCTCGTTGATCTGTCTAATGTTGACAGTGGGGTGTTAAAGTCTCCCATTATTAATGTGTGGGAGTCTAAGTCTCTTTGTAGGTCACTCAGGACTTGCTTTATGAATCTGGGTGCTCCTGTATTGGGTGCATATATATTTAGGATAGTTAGCGCCTCTTGTTGAATTGAACCCTTTACCATTATGTAATGGCCTTCTTTGTCTCTTTTGATCTTTGTTGGTTTAAAGTCTGTTTTATCAGAGACTAGGATTGTAACCCCTGCCTTTTTTTGTTTTCCATTTGCTTGGTAGATCTTCCTCCATCCTTTTATTTTGAGCCTATGTGTGTCTCTGCATGTGAGATGGGTTTCCTGAATACAGCACACTGATGGGTCTTGACTCTTTATCCAACTTGCCAGTCTGTGTCTTTTAATTGGAGAATTTAGTCCATTTACATTTAAAGTTAATATTGTTATGTGTGAATTTGATCCTGTCATTATGATGTTAGCTGGTGATTTTGCTTGTTAGTTGATGCAGTTTCTTCCTAGTCTCGATGGTCTTTACATTTTGGCATGATTTTGCAGCGGCTGGTACCGGTTGTTCCTTTCCATGTTTAGCGCTTCCTTCAGGAGCATTTTTAGGGCAGGCCTGGTGGTGAGAAAATCTCTCAGCATTTGCTTGTCTGTAAAGCATTTTATTTCTCCTTCACTTATGAAGCTTAGTTTGGCTGGATATGAAATTCTGGGTTGAAAATTCTTTTCTTTAAGAATGTTGAATATTGGCCCCCACTCTCTTCTGGCTTCTGGGTTTCTGCTGAGAGATCTGCTGTTAGTCTGATGGGCTTCCCTTTGAGGGTAACCTGACCTTTCTCTCTGGCTGCCCTTAACATTTTTTCCTTCATTTCAACTTTGGTGAATCTGACAATTATGTGTCTTGGAGTTGCTCTTCTCAAGGAGTATCTTTGTGGCATTCTCTGTATTTCCTGAATCTGAACGTTGGCCTGCCTTGCTAGATTGGGGAAGTTCTCCTGTATAATATCCTGCAGAGTGTTTTCCAACTTGGTTCCATTCTCCGCATCACTTTCAGGTACACCAATCAGACGTAGATTTGGTCTTTTCACATAGTCCCATATTTCTTGGAGGCTTTGCTCATTTCTTTTTATTCTTTTTTCTCTAAACTTCCCTTCTTGCTTCATTTCATTCCTTTCATCTTCCATTGCTGATACCCTTTCTTCCAGTTGATCGCATCAGCTCCTGAGGCTTCTGCATTCTTCACGTAGTTCTCGAGCCTTGGTTTTCAGCTCCATCAGCTCCTTTAAGCATTTCTCTGTATTGGTTATTCTAGTTATACATTCTTCTAAATTTTTTTCAAAGTTTTCAACTTCTTTGCCTTTGGTTTGAATGTCCTCCCGTAGCTCAGAGTAATTTGATCGTCTGAAGCCTTCTTCTCTCAGCTCGTCAAAATCATTCTCCATCCAGCTTTGTTCCGTTGCTGGTGAGGAACTGCATTCCTTTGGAGGAGGAGAGGTGCTCTGCTTTTTAGAGTTTCCAGTTTTTCTGTTCTGTTTTTTCCCCATCTTTGTGGTTTTATCTACTTTTGGTCTTTGATGATGGTGATGTACAGATGGGTTTTCGGTGTGGATGTCCTTTCTGTTTGTTAGTTTTCCTTCTAACAGACAGGACCCTCAGCTGCAGGTCTGTTGGAATACCCTGCAGTGTGAGGTGTCAGTGTGCCCCTGCTGGGGGTGCCTCCCAGTTAGGCTGCTCGGGGGTCAGGGGTCAGGGACCCACTTGAGGAGGCAGTCTGCCCCTTCTCAGATCTCCAGCTGCGTGCCGGGAGAACCACTGCTCTCTTCAAAGCTGTCAGACAGGGACATTTAAGTCTGCAGAGGTTACTGCTGTCTTTTTGTTTGTCTGTGCCCTGCCCCCAGAGGTGGAGCCTACAGAGGCAGGCAGGCCTCCTTGAGCTGTGGTGGGCTCCACCCAGTTCGAGCTTCCAGGCTGCTTTGTTTACCTAAGCAAGCCTGGGCAATGGCGGGCGCCCCTCTGCCAGCCTCGCTGCCGCCTTGCAGTTTGATCTCAGACTGCTGTGCTAGCAATCAGCGAGACTCCGTGGGCGTCGGACCCTCTGAGCCAGGTGTGGGATATAGTCTCCTGGTGCGCCGTTTTTTTAAGCCGGTCTGAAAAGCGCAATATTCGGGTAGGAGTGACCCGATTTTCCAGGTGTGTCCGTCACCCCTTTCTTTGACTCGGAAGGGGAACTCCCTGACCCCTTGCGCTTCCCAGGTGAGGCAATGCCTCGCCCTGCTTCGGCTCGCGCACGGTGCGCGCACCCACTGTCCTGCGCCCACTGTCTGGCACTCCCTAGTGAGATGAACCCGGTACCTCAGATGGAAATGCAGAAATCACCCGTCTCCTGCATCGCTCACGCTGGGAGCTGTAGACTGGAGCTGTTCCTATTCGGCCATCTTGGCTCCTCCCCCTGGCCCACCTGTTTATTTATTCACTTATTTTTTTGAGACAGAGCCTCACTCTGTCTCCCAGGCTGGAGTGCAATGGTGCAATCTCACCTCACTGCAATCTCTGCCTCTTGAGTTCAAGCAATTCTCCTGCCTCAGCCTCCTGAGTAGCTGGGATTACAACCACACATCACCACGCCCAGCTAATTTTTATAGAGATGGGTTTTCACCATGTTGGCCAGGCTGGTCTCGAACTCCTGACCTCGTGATCCGCCCACCTCAGCCTCCCAAAGTGCTGGGATTACAGGTGTGAGCCACTGCACCCGGCCAACCACTTCTTTCTCAATGCAACATTCTCCGACACCAAGACTGCTCAAAACTGTTATGGGCGTCTGCTGTACCACATTCATCCCCCTCAGAGTTCATAACCAAGTTGCAATTTTTTATTTACTTTATTTCATGTCGACATATTACTGAAATCTAAGCTCTGTTAATATTTATATATATGTTGAATGAATAAAGAGGACACAATAATAATTATTTGTACTAATTAGAATACAGGCTAAACTATTATACAAAGACACTCAAATATGGGCTGACTTACACGGGATAGTTTATTTTCCTCTCTCTAAATAGTACTTATGTCAGCAGTCCATAGCTGGAGAAGTGGCTGCTCCTCTCCAAGAGGTCCATCTTCTCTCCCTGTCACCTCCCCACAGGGTCATCTTGGTGGTTGTGACTAAAGCCTGGGTGCCCACTCTCCAGCCTGTGGGAAGTGGGAAAGAAGTCCTGGGAAGCAGCTGCATCTTCAAGGAGGTGGTCCAAAGTCACACTCATCACTTGCCAACCCCTCTAGTTCCTCCAAACTTGATCACATGGCCATTTCTAGCTGCAAAAGATGCTTTAGTTGGGTAGCTATGTGTTCAGTTAAAGCCCAGCGTTCTCTAATTCAAAGGAAAAAGGGAAAATGAACATCATGTTTCAGTTAGCAACAACTGCTATAAGCCCTTGTCACTATACATGGTCTGTTCTATTTCCCAAGAAGTTCCCATTGTTAACCAACTTCAGCAATTTCTTATATACAACACGGTTGCAGCACAGCATGTGTCTGCACATATACACGCATGCACACGCTCATCAATATATACAAATATTTTTTGTTGTTTCCTTCTCTTTGCTGTATTTTCTTCCATACGAATTATTGCCCCATTATACAGACTATTATGTATCTCACTTTTTTCACTATATAAGTCTTGGAATTATTTTCATATCTTACCACCTTTTTTGTTTTTTAACCAGTATATTTTGTATCATATGTTTGATAATTCATGGGTCTCTCATTGATGGATATGCAGATTGCTTCCATTTGCTGTTGTTGATTTTGCTGTTACCAGTTTGGCCACAATGACTATCCTAGCACAGTGAGAATAGGGGTTATGAGGATGGGCTCTGAAGTCAGACTGTCTTTGTTTCATATCTGCTTCTAACACTTCCCAGCATTTTAACTGTGAGAAAGTTATGTAAATTCTCTGTGATCCCATTTCTGAAAATGGGCAAAACTATAGTTATTTTTAATTTTTAATTTTTTTTAAAGACAGTATCTCACTCTGTTGCCCAGGCTGAAGTGCAGTGACATGATCATAGTTCATTGCAGCCTTAAACTCCTGATCTCAACTGATCCTCCCACTTCAGCTTCCCATGTAGCTAGGACTAGAGGCACACACTATCTTATCTCTTTATGTTATAAAGATTAAATAAACTTGTAGACTTAATAATACCTGTATATCGAAAACCTTCATAAACATTAGCTATAATTGCTAGTTTGTATTTTAATTTTTTATTTTGAAATAATTTTAGACTGACATTGAAGCTTCAAAAATAGTATACAGAAATTCCAAGTACCCTTCACTCAGCTTCCTTCAGTGATAACATCTCACAAAAGAGAATAACTATCAAAACCAAAAATTGACTAAATAATTTTGGCAGTTTTCCTGCCATTTTCTTGGTGAACACTTCCATGAAATTTTCTCAAATGTGTAGATTTGTGTAACCACCACTAAAATTAGGGTATGGAACTGTTATAATATCATCCCTCAAAAATTCCCTCACACTACAATTTTATATCACACATTTCACACAACTCTGTTGACAACAATGGTTGTGTTTTCCATCATCACAGTTTGGCCATTTACAGAAAGTTTTTAAAATGGAGTAATACAGTATATGATCTTTTGAGAATGGCTTGTTTCACTAGGCATAATGTCATTGAGATTTATCCAATGTATTGCGCATTTCGATTGTTTGTTCCTTTTGATTGCTGAATAATATTCCATTGAATAGATGTGCCACAGTTTATTTATTCATCCAGTGTATTAGTTACCTGTGGCTGCTATAAGAAATTAGCACAAATTTTATGATTTAAAACTGCAGAAATGCATTCTCTCACAGTTCTAGCTGCCAGCAGTCCAAAATCAGTACCAGTGGGCAGAAGTCAAGGTGTTGGCCGAGATATGGTGCCGTGATCCCTCTGGATATTCTGGTGGAGAATCTATCTCTTGCTTCTTCCCACTTCTGGAGGCTGCTGGCATTTGTTAACTTGTGGATACATCAATCCAATTTCTGCCTTTGACTTCACATCACCCTCTCCTCTTATGTCTATCTGTCCAATCTACCTCTAGCTCCTCGTTATCATGAAGTGTGATCTCCTTTAAGATCCACCTGGGTAATCCAGGATAATCTTCCAGCTCAAGATTCTTAATTTAATCACATGTACACACAAACCCTTTTTTTTCCACATAAGGTGACATTTACAGATTCCAGAGTTTAGTATCTAATATCCTCTGGGGTCATTATTCAGCCAACTCTGCCTTGGGGAAGATATTTCAGTTGTTTCCAGTTTGGGTATATTACAAAATAAAGCTGCTAAGAATATTGATGTGCGGATTCTTGTGTGAACATAAGTTTTCATTTCTCCAGTGAATACCCAGGCAATTGCTGGGCCATATGGGAAGTGTACATTTAATTTTATAAGAAAACTACTAAGCAGTTTTCCACAGTGGCTATGCCATTTAACCTTCCCACTTGGCAATGTATGAGAGATGCATTTTCTCTGCCTTCTCTCCAGCATGTGGTACAATGTTACCAGTATGTTATTCTAGCCAGTCTAATATGTGAGCAGTAGTATCTCCTCATGGCTTTACTTTGCACTTCCCTAATGACTAATAATATTGAGATCTAGTCATGTAATTAATTGCCATCCTTTTATCTTCCATGAAATATCTTTTTAAATCTTTTGCCTGATTTCTAATTTGATTGTTTTCTTACTACTGAGTTCAGAGAGTTGCTTATTCTGGAAATAAGTCATTTGCTGGTTATTGCAAATATTATCTCCCAATATGTGGCTTATCTTCTTGTTCTCTTAAGAATGACTTTTACATAACAAAAGTGCTTAATTTTGATGCAGTCCCATTTAATGATTTTTTATGTTTAAGGATTCTGGTTTTGGTGTCATGTCCAAGAATCTGTCACTAGCCCCTTTGTGGTAGATTTTCTGTAATGTTTTCTTCTAAAAGTCTTAGAGTTTTATATTTAAACTTAGATCTATGGTACATTTTGAATTAATCATTGTAGAGAATATGAAGTCTAGGTTGAGGCTAACATTTTCACCAACTGATATCCATGTTCTCTAACAACATACGTTGAAAAAACTATCCTTTTTACATTAAATTGTTTTTGCAACTTTGTATAAAATCAGAAGGCTGTGATTATATGGGGTCTATTTATAGCTCTCTATTCTTTTCCCTTGATCTATGTGTCTCTCCTTCCTAATGCCACTGTCTCTCTTGATTGCTGTAGATATACAGAATGTTTTAAATATAGGTAGTCTTTTTTCAATTTTTTTGTATCTATTTTACTTCCTTTGTCTTATGTGTATATTTTAGATTCAGCTTCACAGTACAGAAAAAACTCATGCTGAAATGTAGATATGAATTGTGTTAAATCAACAGACAAATTTAGGGTGAATTGACATTTTACTATATGGAGTCTTCAAAATCATGACTACAGTATGTCAATTTATTTAGTTATCCTTTGTTTCATTTCATTAGCATTTGTAGTTTTCAGCATACCGTGGCTGTAAATAATTTGACAGATATACATAGATGGATTTTATTATTTTTGGAGCTATTGTAAAATGTATGTTTTTTATTTTTGTGTTTTTATGTTCATTGGTAATATACAGAAATAAAACTGATTTTTGTATGTTGATGTCATATCCTGTGACCTTGCTGAACTTACTAGTTCTAGGAGTTATTTTTTCATTAGATTCCTTATGACTTTCTATATAGAAAAAAATAATGTCTTCTTCAAGTAAAGACAGTTTGATCTCTTCCAATTTAATCTGCATGGGTCTGCCTGTCTTTCCTTGCCTTATTGCCCTTGCTTGGGTTCTCAGTACAATGTTGAATAGGAGTGGTGAGGATGAACATCTTTGCTCTGTTTCTGATGTCTGGGGGAATGCACTCAATTTTTCACTGTCAAGTGAAATATTAACTATTGGTTTTCAAGATCCTCTTTATGAAGTTGAAGAAGTTCTCTATTCATACTATGTGAGACTTTTTGTCATGTATGGTTGTTAGTTCAGTCTTTTGTCTGCATCGAGATGATTATGATTTTTCTTCTTTAAACTCTTCGTAGGGTTGTATACTTGATTGATTTTTCAAATAATAAACCAGCCTTGCATTTCTGAAATAAACAACTCTTGACACTGTGCACAACACAAAAAAACTCTTGGTTGTCATGCATTATTCTTTTTATGTGTTGTTGGATTTAATTTGCTTATATTTTGTTGAAAATTTTGTATCTACATTCACGTGGGATATTGGTTTATGATTTCCTTTTTGATTTTTTTCTTCTTTTAAAAACCTTTATTTTAAATTCAGGGGTACAAGTGCAGGTTTGTTACACAGGTAAACTTGTGTCCTGGAGGTGTGTTGTACAGATTATTTCATCACTCAGGTATTAAGCCTAGTACTGATTAGTTATTTTTCCTGATCCTTTCCCTTCTCTCACCCTCCACCCTCCAAAAGGCCCAAGTATGTATTGTTCTCTTCTACGTATTTATGTGTTCTCATATTTTAGCTCTTATCTATAAGTGAGAACATGCAGTATTTGGTTTTCTGTTCCTTTATTAGTTTGTTAAGGATAATGGCCTCCAGCTCCATCCATGTCCCTGCAAAGGACATGAACTCATTTTTTTTTATGGCTGCATAGTACCAACAATCGTATGAAAAAAGTTCAGCATAACTGATCATTAGAGAAATGCAAATCAAAACCACAGTGAAATACCATCTAACACCAGTCAGAATGGCTACTATTAAAAAGTCAAAAAACAACAGATGTTGGTGGATTGTGGAGGAAAAGGAGTGCTTTTACACTGTGGGTGGGACTATAAATTAGTTCAGCCATTGTGGAAGACAATGTGGCAATTCCTCAAAGACCTAAGGACAGAAATATCATCCAACCCAGCAATCCCATTACTGGGTATATATACAAAGGAATATAAATCATTCTATATAAAGACACATATTTTTTACTTTTCTTTCTTTCTTTCTTGTACTGTCTTTTTCTGGCTTAAGTATCAAGGTAATGCTGGCCCTATAAAATGAGTTGAGATTTATATTCTATTATTCTTTGACAATACTGTGTAGAATTAATGTTTTCTCTCCTTTAAATATTTGGTGACATTTACAAGTGAAATCATCTGGGCCAGAAGATTTCTTATTTGGAAGGTTGTTGATAAATTCAATTACTTTATTAGTCATAGGAGTATTTCATGTTGGTTGAATTATAATAATTTATGGTTTTTCAGGAATCTATCCATGTCATATAAGTTTTCTCATTCATATGCATGGAATTGTTACCATAATCTCTTACCCTGTTAATGTCTTAGGTTCTGTGATGATATCCGATATTTCCTTCCAGATATTTGTCATATGTGTATTCCTTCTCTTTTTCTTAGTCATACTTGCCAGAAATTAA
The DNA here is from genome assembly GCF_000001405.40 of Homo sapiens. NCBI lineage: Eukaryota > Metazoa > Chordata > Mammalia > Primates > Hominidae > Homo > Homo sapiens. Next base: position 97,277,620 of record NC_000015.10, read on the forward strand.
TTATTTTACTGATATTTTGAGTTATCAGCTTTTTGTTTAATTTATTTTCTCTATTATTTTTCTATTTTGAATTTTATTGATTTCTAATACAATCTAATTTTTTAATTCTATTTACTTGACATGTATATCTACCTTTTTTTAGTTTCTTGAAGTGGAAGCTCCTATTATTGGTTTTAGACTTTTCTTCGGTTCTAACATAAACAGTTTATTCTATCAATTTCCCTCACAGCCCTGCTTTCACTGCAGCCCATGGATTTTAATATGTAAATCTTTTAATTTTTGTCACACATCTATATAATATATATATATGTATATAATATGGCTTAGTGTTAATTGCAAAAATAATACTTAGAGATCACTGAATCCTTTCTCCATTTTCACCTAATGGTAAAATTTACAAAATATTTTTCTTGTACAATATCAATACAGAAAATTATAGCAGCACGACATTGTCAATTATATTACAGACTTTATTCTAATTTCATAAATATTTACTGCATTCACTTGGGTGTTGGTGTGTGTAGTTCTATGTAATTTGATTCCATTTAAATATTTAATATTATATATTTTCTAATTTTACTGCTGTTTCTCTTTTGCCTGTGAGTTATTGTTACAGGTGTTGTTCAGTTATGAAATGAATGGAGATTGTCTCATTTACTTTGTTACAATTGTTTTCTAGTTTATTCTATTATGGTCAGAGAAAATACTTTGCTACTTGGTATAAGTTTAGTTCTTTTTAGTATTACTTTTGATGGGCTTCATATGGGTTATCTTGATAAATATTTCATATAAAATTAAAAATACCTTGTATTTATCTGTTGTTAGATGCAGTGTTCTAAAAATACAGGTAGATTTTACTGAACGATAGTGCTATTCAGTTTCTCTATATCCTTACTAATTTTCTGTCTAGTGGACTTGTCTATTATTTCCTTCAGTTATGTTACTTCTTGCTTCATGTACATGGAAACACTCCTGATTATATATTAAGGACTATTATGTCTGCATGATGAATTGGCCATTTTATCTTTAAGTAATAATGTTCTTTGTTCCTAGTTTTCTTAGATATAAAGTGTATTCTTCCTGATATTAATATTGTAATTCCAGGTTTTTTTAAATTATCATTATACTTTTAAGTTCTGGGGTACAGGTGCAGAACATGCAGGTTTGTTACATAGGTATACATGTGCCATGATGGTTTGCTGCACCCATGAACCCGTCATCTACATTAGGTATTTCTCCGAATGCTATCCCTCCCCTACCCGCCCCCCACCCCCTGATAGGCCCCAGTGTGTAATGTTCCCCCTCCCTGTGTCCATGTGTTCTCACTGTTCAGCTCCCACTTATGAGTGAGAACATGCGGTGTTTGGTTTTCTGTTCTTGCATTAGTTTGCTGAGAATGATGGTTTCCAGCTTCATCCATGTGCCTGCAAAGGACATGAACTCATCCTTTTAAATGAGTGCATAGTATTTCATGGTGTATATGTACCACATTTTGTTTATCCAGTCTATCAATGATGGGCATTTGTGTTGGTTCCAAGTCTTTGCTATTGTGAATAGTGCTGCAATAAACATACGTGTGCATGTGTCCTTATAATAGAATGATTTATGATGCTTTGGGTATATACCCAGTAATGAGATTGCTGGGTCAAATGGTATTTCTGGTTCTAGATCCTTGAGGAATCTCCACACTGTCTTCCACAATGGTTGAACTAATTTATACTCCCACCAACAGTGTAAAAGTGTTCCTATTTCTCCATATCCTCTCCAGCATCTGTTGTTTCCTGACTTTTTGATGATTACATTCTAACTGGCGTGAGATGGTATATCATTGTGGTTTTGATTTGCATTTCTCTAATGACTAGTGATAATGAGCTTTTTTCCATATGTTTGTTGGCTGCGTAAGTATCTTCTTTTGAGAAGTGTCTGTTCATATCCTTTGCCCACTTTTTGATGGGGTTGTGTGTTTTTTTCTTGAAATTTGTTTAAGTTCTTTGTAGATTCTGGATATTAGCTCCTTGCCAGATGGGTAGATTGCAAAAATTTTCTCCCATTCTGTAAGTTGCCTATTCACTCTGATGATAGCTTCTTTTGCTGTGCAGAAACTCTTTAGTTTAATTAGATCCCATTTGTCAATTTTGGCTTTTGTTGCCATTGCTTTTTGTGTTTTAGTCATAAAGTCTTTGCCTATGCCTATGTCCTGATGAATATTGCCAAGGTTTTCTTCCAGGGTTTTTATGGCTTTAGGTCTTACATTTAAGTCTTTAATCCATTTTGAGTTAATTTTTGCATAAGGTGTAAGGAAGAGGTTCAGTTTCAGTTTTCTGCATATGGCTAGCCAGTTTTCCCAACACCATTTGTTAAATAGGGAATCCTTTCCCCATTGCTTCTTTTTGTCAGGTTTGTCAAAGATCAGGTGGTTGTAGATGTGTGGTGTTATTTCTGAGGTCTCTGTTTTGTTCAATTGGTCTATATATTTATTTTGGTACCAGTACCATGCTGCTTTGGTTACTGTAGCCTTGTAGTATTTTTTGAAGACAGGTACCGTGATGCCTTCCGCTTTGTTCTTTTTGCTTAGGATTGTCTTGGCTTTGTGGGCTCTTTTTTGGTTCCATATGGAATTTAAAGTAGTTTGTTCTAATTCTGTGAAGAAAGTCAATGATAGCTTGATGGGGATAGCATTGCATCTATAAATTACTTGGGGCAGTATGGCCATTTTGATGATATTGATTCTTCCTATCCATAAGCATGGAATGTTTTCCCATTTGTTTGTGTCCTCTCTTATTTCCTTGAGCAGTGGTTTGTAGTTCTCCTTGAAGAGGTGCTGCACATCCCTTGTAAGCTGTATTCCTAGGTATTTTATTCTCTTTGTAGCAATTGCGAATGGGAGTCCACTCATGATTTGGCTCTCTGTTTGTCTATCATTGGTGTATAGAAATGCATGTGATTTTTGCACATTGATTTTGTATCCTGAGACTTTGCTGAAATTGCTTATCAGCTTAAGGAGTTTTGGACTGAGACAATGGGGTTTTCTAAATATACAATCATGTCATCTGCAAACAGAGACAATTTGACTTCCTCTTTTCTTATTTGAATACCCTTTATTTCTTTCCCTTGCTTGATTGCCCTGGCCAGAACTTCCAATACTATATTGAATAGGTGTGATGAGAGATGGCACCCTTGTCTTGTGCAGGTTTTCAAAGGGAATGTTTCCAGTTTTTGCCCATTCAGTATAATTAGAGTCTGTATGGTATATCTTTCTTCATCCTTTTACATTTAAAATTTTGTTTACATTGGAAGTAAGTTTCTTATAGATTGCATATAGTTGGATCATTTTTTGGGTAACAAGTTTGACAGTCTTTATCTTTTAATTGTTGTGACATGATCATTTACATTTAATGTAATTATAGATATGCTAGAATTTAAATTTGTTATGATATTGTTTTTTATTTGTTTACCTCTGTTTTTCTTTTCTCTTTTTTCTTTCCTGACTACCTCTGGGTTGCTTGAACATATTTTAGTATTCTGTTTTGATTTTTCTGTACTTTGCTTTGTGTCTATATGCTCTAGGATTACAAAATCCATACTTAAAATGTCTGTCTGTTTTTAGAAACATTTCACCCCTTCATGTGTAATATAGAAAGCTTTAGTTTCTTTTCCCCACATCCCTTTACAATATAAACATCTTAAATGTTACTTTTATATACATTTTATAAAACCACCAATATTATGGCTTTTTGCTTTCAACCTTTAAACAAAATTTAAAACACTAAAGAAGAGATGAATAATCTGTATTTTTTAGTTAGTCATATTTATTATATCTACTCCTTTGTATACATTAGGAAAGATCAGTGGAAAGTGTATGGGCATGTGTTTCCTTAATCGTTCTTAATATATACATTGATCTTTTTTCCACTGCTTTTTCTTGATTACTGATGTTCCAAATTTTCCTTTATTTTTTTTTCTGCCAGAAAAATTTGGTTTAATTTATTCTCTCAGAGAAAGTCTGCTGCTGACAAATACTTTTAATTTACCTCATTTTTTTAAATCTGTGAACATATTTATTTTACTCATATTTCTAAAGGATAATTTTAGAGGTTTAAAATTTTGTATCAACTGTCCTGTTTTTATTAAACTTGAAAAAATTTTGTGCCACTTTTTTCTGGTCTGCGTCCTGATGAGTAATCTGCCTTGTTTGAATTGTTGTTTCCTACAGGTAAGGTGTTATTTTTCTCTAGCTGTTTTTAAGTATTTTCCTTATTTTAGGTTTATAAAATTTGGTTATAATGTGTCTGGCCATACACTTTCTTAGGCTTATCCTGTTTAGGATTCACTTGGCTACTTGAATCTGTAAGTTTTTGTTTTTCATCACATTTTGGAAGTTATTATTGCTTCTAATATTCTTCATCTGTATGCTTCCCTCTCTTTCTTGGACTCTGTTGACATAAATGTTAGATCTTTGTTAGTTCCTCACTGAGACTGTGTCTTTGTTAATTTTCTGTATATTTTCTGATGTTTTTAAATAGACTTTGTTTTCTAGTTTTTAAAAATAAATTTTATCATGTCTATTTGAGGTCTACAACATGATGTTATGAAATACAAATAGATAATAAAATGGTTACTATAGTGAAATAGATGAACATATCTATTATCTCACATACATTTTGCAACAAGAGCAGCTAAAATCTACTTATTTAAGAAAAATCCCAAATACAGTACAATTTTATTGACTTTAGTCTTTATAGATTTTATTTTTAGACCCATTTCAGGTTTACAAACTGAGGAGAAAGTACAGAGGGTTTCCATATATCTTCTCTCACACATGCACAATCTCTCCCACTATCAACATCCTGCACCTAAGTGTTACATTCATTATAATCTATGAACCTATTTTTTACATGTTATTATCACCCAAGGTCTATAGTTTATATTCGGGTTCACTCTTGGACGTGTATATTCTATGTTGTTTTTTTTTTTTTTTTTGACAAAGTTATATTGACTTGTATCCACCATTATAGTATCATGTAGAATAGTCCCAGTGCCCTAAAAACTCTGTGTTTGTGCTAGACATATCATAGAATCATATTTTCAATCCTCAAACCTCTTGAGATTGGGTATGGCCATGTGACTTGATTTGGCCAGAGAAATGTAAGCAAAAGTGAAATGTGTCATTTGTGGGCAAAACTTAAACAGCTGGTGGTTTCCTGCTCTCTCTTTCTGCCCTGGCTATTGGCTGGGTTCTGAGTAGTAGATGCTATATCAACCTGTTTCCTGATAAGGATGGCATGAACAAACACCTTAACCTACACATAAACATGTGATGTACTTGTGCTGTGTGTAAGAAATAACCCTAGTTGTTTGAGGCCACTGTGGTTTTTAATTTATGGATTACTACGATATAACTTTAACCAATTGTGAGTGATACAAAGAGTTTGTGCATGTGAGCATATGTTCTCAGGGTTTCTGTGACATAAAAGTGCTCAAAAATTAACTCTATGAGGGCTAATATTAATACTAGGCACCTAAGGGAATAGAATTTTAAAAGCATATATCACTTTTCCTTGTGTAGTATTTTTACTCCTGGTGACAGAATCTCATTCTCTCTTCAAAACATATGCTCTTCCTTTCCATTGTGGGCCTGCTGATATTGAAGATAAAAGTGCTCATGCATGCATCCTAATCAGAGTAGTAGGCATTTAAACTGGACTGAGTCGATCATAGAAAATTATCTTACCTGGCAGAGACACATGTGTGGGTAAGCATCTTACCCAACCTAGGCCAATTAGACTCTTGCAGAAACGTGAACCTTGTGCAGTGTTCAGGAGGTGGCTAACACCAAGCCAGAGCCCTGGCAGCTCTCTTCAATTTCTGTATTGAGATTACTCTTGTTGTCTTCTCTCCTATTCTCCCTAAGTCATATTTGCTTAACTTTAATTTTGTAACTAGTCAGTGCCCTTTAAAAATGTTTCCTTTCTCTATCTGCTTAAAATAATCAGCATTAGTTTCTGTTGCTTATTTATAAAGACCCACATTTCATAGAAGTAGACAATGATTTGTCTTTTATTGATTAGTTTAAAGATTAGTCCTTGGAATTACCCATCTCTTCTAATTAATTTCTACACGTATGAATACCAAATTTTCCTGATACTTTCCCTTTGTTTACTTTATTATATTTTCTCACCCTCTGAAGCAAATGCTTATTAATAATACTTTCTTTTGCTTGTCTAGAATTGCACACTTTAATGATTATGAAATTTCTTCTGAGTACTTTTGGATTTGCCATATACTTGTATATTTTAGTGTTTATATTATATTTCTTTCTGAATATTCTTTAATTTTGAATTTTATTTCCAATTTATCAAAAACTTGAGAATTTAATATTTTTTATTTGTGTAAATTTAATAGGTAGAAGTCCAGTTTTGTAACATGGATATATTGCATGGCAGTGAAGTCTGGACTTTAAGTGTAATCATCACCTGAATGTAGGCCCTACCCGTTAAGTAACTTCTCCCTTTTGCCCCAATGTCCTGACACCCTTTCAAGTCTTCAGTGTCTGTTATTTCACACTCTATGTCCATGTGTACACTTTATTTACTTTCTAATTATAAATGATAACACGCAGCATTTGACTTTGTTTCTGAGTTGTTTCACTTAAGTTTATGCCCCCCAATTCCATCCATGTTGTGGCAAAATATATGATTTCATTCTTTTTTATGCCTGAATAGTATTCCATTGTGTATATATACCATAGTTTCCTTATCCATTCAACTGTTGGTGGACACTTTGATTGATTCCAAATCTTTACTATTGTGAATAGTACTGTGATGAACATGAGAATATAAATGTCTTTTTGATATAATTATTTATTTTTCCTTTGGGAAGATACCCAGTAGTGGTATTTTATTGCTGGATGGAATGGTAGCTCTATTGTAGTTATTTGAGTAATCTCCATACTGTCTTTGATAGAGGTTGTGCTAACTCAGATTCCCACCAACAATATATAAGTGTTTCCTTTTCTCTGCATCCTTGCCAACACCTGTTGATTTTTACTTTTTAATAACAGCCTTTCTGACTGGTGTAGGATGGTATCTGACTGTGATTTTAATTTGCACTTCTCTGGTTATTATGTTGAGCACTTTTTCATATGCTTTTTGGCCATTCACGTTTTCTTTTGAAAAATATCTATTCATGTTTTTTGCTTACATATTAGTGAGGCTATTTGAGGGTTTTTTGTTGTTGTTGTTGAGTTGTTTGAGTTCCTTGTAAGTTCGTAATATCAGTCCCCTGTCAGATCATAGTTTGCAAATATTTTCTCCCATTCTGCAATTGGTTTACTTCCTTTTCCAGTTTTGTTTTTGTTTTCATTTTTGTTTTATTGTGATCTGAATATTGACTTATACCATTTTTACCTTTTATAATTTATTGAAGTTATCTTCAGTGTAATATATTAGTAAAATCAGATGATATTTTATTCCATGGACATTTTAGAAGAAGGTGTATTGTAGTTTTAGGCTATGAATGGCATCCATTTTATTTTTCTCATAAATGATTCTTTAATTCCCTATGGCTATAATCTTTTGTGTGCTTGCACTAAGTCCAACATGGACAGAGGCAGATTAGTTCTTTTTCTACTAAGATTTTTATTATTTATTGTTCTATGCCTTTGGATTATAAATATTTGGTGATTTTTTTAATGCAGAAAAAAATGTATGCATACATGTCCTAACTTCAGTGTGAATTGTATATTTTGTGTTATAAAGTTCTCTTGCATGTCACGATTTATGAATGTGGTTCTATTCTGTGAAGGGCAAAGCTGCTCAGTGACCGATGACAAGAAATTTTAGGTCATTCTCCTCAGTCAGGAATTTATAGTAGAAATTACTGATAAAATAAAATTTGTAACAGTATTAGGTAAAAACAGAATAAATGGAATAATCATAATGTTTGTTCCTTATAACAAAATAAATTCTAGGAGAGATGAATAAATCTTAATAAGTAATTTAGAAAACATTATATAATTCTAAAACGAAGAAAGACTTTCTAATTATGATGTGAAACCCAGAAACTCTTAACAGGGAAGATTGTCAAATGTGCATATATTATAGGTCAATTATGAATCCTAAAAAATAAAAAGATTTTAATGTTAAAAAATCACAAATAAAGTTCAATTACATAGGCCAAAATGTATGAATATATACTACAAGAGAAGGAAAAATAATCTATGAATGTTTCCTGTCAAGATATGTGAAAGGACAAATAACCCAAAAGAAAAATGGCCAAGAGTCTAAATAGATATTTCACAACAGAAAAAAAATACAAATAGCCAAAAACATGTAAGAAGAATGTACAACATAATTAGTAATAATGCAAATGCTAAAAAAATAGCAGCATGTAATATTTTCTATAATGATTCCTATAATAATTTCACACTGTAATGGGTGAAGTGTTGGGTAATTGATACTTACTTTTACTAACGATGGGTGTGTCAGTTAGTACATTTCTATTTCAAGCAACCAAATTTTAAAATATGTATACCCTTCTCCACCTAGAAATTAATCTTGATTTTAAAAAACTCACAAGATTTGTTTACATATTTATAATGAAAACATCTTGGAGGCTATCTGAAGGACTTAACAATAAAAGAATATGTCAAATCAATATAATGAAATGTTAGGCAAATGATTTAGACATGAGATTAATGTATATATTCATGGTATCAAAAATTGTCCCAGATATATTGCTTAAAGATGAAAGATATATAGAATATTATGCAAATTGTAAGTTAATTGTTTTTGAAATAAGGCGTGTATGCAGTTCAGGAAAACATTTCAAATGTTTGTCTGTAAAGCATTAATAATAGTTCCTCCTGGGATGGGTCTATGACTAAAAATAAAATAAATTGCAGGAATGTGTGGTTAAGAATGATGAATTAAAGGGGTTTTTAATCCCGCACTCTTCTCTGAAGCCAACTGGAAAAAATAAAAGCATAGTGGAATTACTCATGGTAAATGAAACTAGAAAGGAGTTCCCACAAGCCATGGAGTAAAAGAAATAGCTGCCAAATATAGTGAGGTCAGAATCAAAACAAAGGAAGACACAGCCATTTTTACATGATTAAATAAATAAATAAATAAATAAATTGGGATAAAGAGACAAATCTCTAGTGCAGTAAATTCCAAATAAATTCTGTAGCTATTGGCCCCTCAGGTATGTGGTAGGTATCTTCCTATCCCTTAATTGTGGGCTCCACATCCAACATTTTTTCCAAAGAGTACACATCAAAAGAGAGAAAGAAGTAATTTACCCTACAGAATCTTGAAAAACCTCAGCCATGTGACCAAGGTCAACACCAACTATTATTATAAGTCATGTTGATAGCATGGATCTTTATATGGTATGATAAAAATGTCACCTTACCTCTTTAGTCTTCCTCCCCAAAAGCATACAACTCCACTCTAACCATGAAAAAGTTATCAGAGAAGCCCACACTGATGGGCATTCTATAAGATGCTTGACCAGTACTTCTCAAAGTGGTTAATGTCATCCAAAACAAGGAATGTCTGAGAAATGATCACAACCCAGGGAAAACTGAGAAGAGGCATGATGCCAACATGTGATGTGGTACCTAATGCAGTTTCCTAATGATCTTTTTCCAGGATAGGTTCCTGGGGTAGAAAAAGGTCATTAGGAAAAAAATATTTATAATCTGAATAAAATATGAACTTTAGTTAATATATTAATATTAGTCTATTAGTTCAACAGGAGGAACTCGTGTCGGGTATATGGAAGCTCTCTGTAGTATCTATCACATCTTTCATATATTAGATATACATTTGATACTTACAAAATATCACTAAATGAAAAAAATAGACTTTTTTTCTGTCATTTAAAGAGAAAACGTGGAAACAATTGGCATAAGCTTGTAGGAGGCACATTTTAGTTCTATAAAATTTGTATTTTTTAATAATCTGAGCTGCGTGCAGGGGTAATGCAGCAGTGGAGGTAATCAAATTATAGTTGGGGAAACATTTGTTAGAGATTTGGAGAAGTAGATTAAAGCATCTGATAAGGTTTAAACTGTATAATAATAAAGATAACACCCATTGAACAATATAATGTTCTTCGCACGATACAATCCTCACAACACACCACTTTAGAGACAGGAAACTGAGACCCATGAGGGCCCAGACAGTACACAGCCCATACAGAAACCATCTCTGTCCCAAGCCAAAGCCCATGGCCTTTCCACTCAGATGACTGCCTTCTGAGGTAGGTCTTCAAGATGTGTCTAAGAAAAAAGGTTGATTCAAGAAGAAAGAATTTCACTGAAAGAAAAAAATGGCAAAGTGGCAAACTGAAGAGCTAGGAAAAATGCTTAGAACCAGAACAGAAACTAGAAGAGTTATTAATTGTGGGCTCCAGGTTATATGTGAAACAAAAAATAAAATAAAATAAAATTCATCTGAAGATACTTAATCCCCTTTAAATTATTTTTTTCCCTCCACTATGAAATATCACCAGTTGACAGGAGATACAGATATTTAACCAAGTAAAACTCTAAAACGTTGGCTTTCAATCCACTCTTTCATACGATGGACACAACCAGGTGTGTTTATTGAACGCTGCAGGATACTCTAGATCTAGCAATGAGCAGAAGCAAGGTTCACATTGGAGGCATTCTGTGCTATGATAAAACATATTTATCATGAGGGAGAAAAGGAATGTATTGTGGTCAGCCAATTGTGTGGAAAAGAATATATGTAATAGACTTCATAGGATTTTGCAGTGTATATGTGTAGTTATTTGAGAAAATTGCCTGGGGCTTGTTTTCATTCACACTTATCTTCACCTCTTCTACCACCATGCTTTCCTCCAAGTAATCAGTAAGCAGAAATGAAATAGTTGGAATCAGCAGCATTCCGAGTTAAAGATGTGAGCATTTTATGTGTAAAGGGTCAGTTGTATTAAAAATCTTGAAATCTGTTCTGGGTGACTGTGGGCTATTGATCTCCCCATTGTGGAATGCATCCTAGTTGAAGGTTAGCCAGAGATCTTCACAATAGTGTTTCTGCAGGCAAAGCCGCCTTCCTCTGTTCGCGAGGAAACTGTTTAATTCATAAAGCTTTGATGCTTAAACTGTTTCTGACCTTCTGTGAGCACTTCAAAGGGGAAAATTAGCTGCCTGGAAAAATATAATGACCTAAATCCAGCAATTTGGGACACACATGTTTTAGTCTGTTGAACTCATGTTGACTATTTATACTGTGTTTCTTTTTGGAACAGATTGCCTTGCAGGCCTATAATTGGATAAAGGTGCTAATTTGGAGAGTTTGAAAATGATTAGGTATCGATTTCTCATTTAAGTGCCATTCCTATTAGAATCTTAGCTCAGAAGCAAGATGTAAGAATCTGTGCTTAAAGTTTCTTTCTCTCTATTTACGCTTTTTTTATTATTTGCATTTCTTAAAGTAAAATTATATTCATGATAAATATATAAAGAAGCAGCAATACATTTTTTCTTTTCGATTATTAACTTGATTTTTTAAAAGAAATTTTGTGTTCACAGAAAAATTGAGCAGAAAGTATAAAGTTTCCATATGCCCCTTGTCCCTACACATGACAACCCTCTTCATTATTGACATCCCTTACCACAGTGGTACATTTATTACAATTGATGAACTTACATTGACATATCACTACCACTCAGAGCCCATAGTATACATTAGGGTTTACTCTGGATGTTGTACGTTCTGTGGGTTTGGACAACCTTATAATGACATATATCCATTGCAATATCATACAGAATGATTTTACTGCCCTAAACATCCTCCAGTTTCCGCCTGTTTTCTCCTTTTGATCAATCCATGAGAACTGACAATCGTATTACTGTCCCTGTAATTTTGCCTTTTCTAGAATGTCATAGAGTAGTTGGAATCATACAGTATTGGATTATTTCACTTAGTGATATACATTTAAGATTCCTTTATATCTTTTCATGGCTTGATAGCCAATTTCTTTTTAGAGCTCAATCTACTGTCAGATGTACCACAGTTTATCCATTCACCTACTAAAGAACATCTTGTTTCTTCCAAGTTTTGGCAACTATAGATAAAGCTGTGTGCCGGTTTTTGTGTGAGCATGAGTTTTCAACTCATTTGAGTAAATACCAAAGAGCACGATTGCTGGATCATAAGGTAAGAGTATGTTTAGTTTGGTTAAAAAAAAATTGTCTTTCAAAGTAGTGATACCATTTTGAATTCTTACCAGAAATAACTGTGTGTTCCTCACCAGCATTTGGTACCTTCAGTATTTTGTAATTCTGTGAAGAATGTTGTTGGTATTGTGATAGGATACACTGAATCTGTAGATCACTTTGGGTAGTATGGGTAGTATGTACATTTTAACAATACTATCTCTACCAACCCATGAACATGGGATATCTTTCCATGCACTTGTGTTCTTTTCAATGTCCTTTATCAGTGTTTTATAGTTTTCAGTGGAGAGATTTTTCACCTTCTTGGTCACATTTATTTTTAGGTATCTTATTTTTTTTATTTTATTATTATTACACTTTAAGTTTTAGGGTACATGTGCACAATGTGCAGGTTAGTACATATGTATACATGTGCCATGCTGGTGTGCTGCACCCATTAACTCGTCATTTAGCATTAGGTATATCTCCTAATGCTATCCCTCCCCCCTCCCCCCACCCCACAACAGTCCCCAGAGTGTGATGTTCCTCTTCCTGTGTCCATGTGTTCTCATTGTTCAATTGCCACCTATGAGTGAGAACACGTGGTGCATGGTTTTTTGTCCTTGTGATAGTTTACTGAGAATGATGATTTCTGATTTCATCCATGTCCCTACAAAGGACATGAACTCATCATTTTTTATGGCTGCATAGTATTCCATGGTGTATATGTGCCACATTTTCTTAATCCAGTCTATCATTGTTGGACATTTGGGTTGGTTCCAAGTCTTTGCTATTATGAATAGTGCTGCAATAAACATACATGTGCATGTGTCTTTACAGCAGCATGATTTATAGTCATTTGGGTATATGCCCAGTAATGGGATGACTGGGTCAAATGGTATTTCTAGTTCTAGATCCCTGAGGAATCGCCACACTGACTTCCACAATGGTTGAACTAGTTTACAGTCCCACCAACAGTGTAAAAGTGTTGCTATTTCTCCACATCCTCTCCAGCACCTGTTGTTTCCTGACTTTTTAATGATTGCCATTCTAACTGGTGTGAGATGGTATCTCATTGTGGTTTTGATTTGCATTTCTCTGATGGCCAGTGATGGTGAGCATTTCTTCATGTGTTTTTTGGCTGCATAAATGTCTTCTTTTGAGAAGTGTCTGTTCATGTCCTTCGCCCACTTTTTGATGGGGTTGTTTTTTTCTTGTAAATTTGTTTGAGTTCATTGTAGATTCTGGATATTAGCCCTCTGTCAGATGAGTAGGTTGTGAAAATTTTCTCCCATTTTGTAGGTTGCCTGTTCACTCTGATGGTAGTTTCTTTGCTGTGCAGAAGCTCTTTAGTTTACTTAGATCCCATTTGTCAATTTTGGCTTTTATTGCCATTGCTTTTGGTGTTTTAGCCATGAAGTCCTTGCCCATGCCTATGTCCTGAATGATAATGCCTAGGTTTTCTTCTAGGGTTTTTATGGTTTTAGGTCTAACGTTTAAGTCTTTAATCCATCTTGAATTAATTTTTGTATAAGGTGTACGAAAGGGATCCAGTTTCAGCTTTCTACATATCCTAGCCAGTTTTCCCAGCACCATTTATTAAATAGGGAATATTTTCCCCATTGCTTGTTTTTGTCAGGTTTGTCAAAGATCAGATAGTTGTAGATATGCGGCGTTATTTCTGAGGCCTCTGTTCTGTTCCATTGATCTATATCTCTGTTTTGGTACCAGTACCATGCTGTTTTGGTTACTGTAGCCTTGTAGTATAGTTTGAAGTCAGGTAGCTTGATGCCTCCAGCTTTGTTCTTTTGGCTTAGGATTGACTTGGTGATGCGGGCTCTTTTTTGCTTCCATATGAACTTTAGTTTTTTCCAATTCTGTGAAGAAAGTCCTTGGTAGCTTGATGGGGATGGCATTGAATCTATAAATTACCTTGGGCAGTATGGCCATTTTCATGATATTAATACTTCCTACCCATGAGCATGGAATGTTCTTCCATTTGTTTGTATCCTCTTTTATTTCATTGAGCAGTGGTTTGTAGTTCTCCTTGAAGAGGTCCTTCACGTCCCTTGTAAGTTGGATTCCTAGGTATTTTATTCTCTTTGAAGCAATTGTGAATGGGAGTTCACTCATAATTTGGCTCTCTGTTTGTCTGTTATTGGTGTATAAGAATGCTTGTGATTTTTGTATATTGATTTTGTATCCTGAGACTTTGCTGAAGTTGCTTATCAGCTTAAGGAGATTTTGGGCTGAGACAATGGGGTTTTCTAGATATACAATCTTATCATCTGCAAACAGGGACAATTTGACTTCCTCTTTTCCTAATTGAATACCCTTTATTTCCTTTTCCTGCCCCACTGCCCTGGCCAGAACTTCCAACACTATGTTGAATAGGAGTGGTGAGAGAGGGCATCCCTGTCTTGTGACAGTTTTCAGAGGGAATGCTTCCAGTTTTTACCCATTCAGTATGATATTGGCTGTGGGTTTGTCATAGATATCTCTTATTATTTTGAGATATGTCCCATCAATACCTAATTTATTGAGAGTTTTTAGCATGAAGGGTTGTTGAATTTTGTCAAAGGCCTTTTCTGCATCTATTGAGATAATCATGTGGTTTTTGTCTTTGGCTCTGTTTATATGCTGGATTACATTTATTGATTTGCGTATATTGAACCAGCCTTGCATCCCAGGGATGAAGCCCACTTGATCATGGTGGATAAGCTTTTTGATGTGCTGCTGGATTTGGTTTGCCAGTATTTTATTGAGGATTTTTGCATCAATGTTCATCAAGGATATTGTTCTAAAATTCTCTTTTTTGGTTGTGTCTCTGCCCGGCTTTGGTATCAGGATGATGCTGGCCTCATAAAATGAGTTAGGGAGGATTCCCTCTTTTTCTATGGATTGGAATAGTTTCAGAAGGAATGGTACCAGTTCCTCCTTGTACCTCTAGTAGAATTCGGCTGTGAATCCATCTGGTCCTGGACTCTTTTTGGTTGGTAAGCTATTGATTATTGCCACAATTTCAGAGTCTGTTATTGGTCTATTCAGAGATTCAACTTCTTCCTGGTTTAGTCTTGGGAGGGTGTATGTGTCGAGGAACGTATCCATTTCTTCTAGATTTTCTAGTTTATTTGCGTAGAGGTGTTTGTAGTATTCTCTGATGGTAGTTTGTATTTCTGTGGGATCAGTGGTGATATCCCCTTTATCATTTTGTATTGCATCTATTTGATTCTTCTCTCTTCTTTATTAGTCTTGCTAGCGGTCTATCAATTTTGTTGATCCTTTGAAAAAACCAGCTCCTGGATTGATTAATTTTTTGGAGGGTTTTTTGTGTCTCTATTTCCTTCAGTTCTGCTCTGATTTTAGTTATTTCTTGCCTTCTGCTAGCTTTTGAATGTGTTTGCTCTTGCTTTTCTAGTTCTTTTAATTGTGATGTTAGGGTGTCCATTTTGGATCTTTCCTGCTTTCTCTTGTGGGCATTTAGTGCTATAAATTTCCCTCTACACACTGCTTTGAATGTGTCCCAGAGATTGTGGTATGTTGTGTCTTTGCTCTCGTTGGTTTCAAAGAACATCTTTATTTCTGCCTTCATTTCATTATGTACCCAGTAGTCATTCAGGAGCAGGTTGATCAGTTTCCCTGTAGTTCAGTTTCCATGTAGTTGAGCGGTTTTGAGTGAGTTTCTTAATCCTGAGTTCTAGTTTGATTGCACTGTGGTCTGAGAGACAGTTTGTTATAATTTCTGTTCTTTTACATTTGCTGAAGAGAGCTTTAGTTCCAACTATGTGGTCAATTTTGGAATAGGTGTGGTGTGGTGCTGAAAAAAATGTATATTCTGTTGATTTGGGATGGAGAGTTCTGTAGATGTCTGTTAGGTCCACTTGGTGCAGAGCTGAGTTCAATTCCTGGGTATCCTTGTTAACTTTCTGTCTCGTTGATCTGTCTAATGTTGACAGTGGGGTTAAAGTCTCCCATTATTATTGTGTGGGAGTCTAAGTCTCTTTGTAGGTCACTCAGGACTTGGTTTATGAATCTGGGTGCTCCTGTATTGGGTGCATATATATTTAGGATAGTTAGCTCTTCTTGTTGAATTGATCCCTTTACCATTAGGTAATGGCCTTCTTTGTCTCTTTTGATCTTTGTTGGTTTAAAGTCTGTTTTATCAGAGACTAGGATTGCAACCCCTGCCTTTTTTTGTTTTCCATTTGCTTGGTAGATCTTCCTCCATCCTTTTATTTTGAGCCTATGTGTGTCTCTGCACATGAGATGGGTTTCCTGGATACAGCACTCTGATGGGTCTTGACTCTTTATCCAATTTGCCAGTCTGTGCCTTTTAATTGGAGCATTTAGCCCATTTACATTTAAGGTTAGTATTGTTATGTGTGAATTTGGTCCTGTCATTATGATATTAGCTGGTTATTTTGCTCGTTAGTTGATGCAGTTTCTTCCTAGCCTTGATGGTCTTTACAACTTGGCATGATTTTGCAGTGGCTGGTACCGGTTGTTCCTTTCCATGTTTAGTGCTTCCTTCAGGAGCTCTTTTAGGGCAGGCCTGGTGGTGACAAAATCTCTCAGCATTTGCTTGTCTGTAAAGTATTTTATTTCTCCTTCACTTATGAAGCTTAGTTTGGCTGGATATGAAATTCTGGGTTGAAAATTCTTTTCTTTAAGAATGTTGAATATTGGCCCCCACTCTCTTCTGGCTTGTAGAGTTTCTGACAAGAGATCCGCTGTTAGTCTGATGGGCTTCCCTTTGTGGGTAACCCGACCTTTCTCTCTGGCTCCCCTTAACATTTTTTCCTTCATTTCAACTTTGGTGAATCTGACAATTATGTGTCTTGGAGTTGCTCTTCTCGAGGAGTATCTTTGTGGCGTTCTCTGTACTTCCTGAATCTGAATGTTGGCCTGCCTTGCTAGATTGGGGAAGTTCTCCTGCATAATATCCTGCAGAGTGTTTTCCAACTTGGTTCCATTCTCCCCATCACTTTCAGGTACACCTATCAGACGTAGATTTGGTCTTTTCACATAGTCCCATATTTCTTGGAGACTTTGTTCGTTTCTTTTTATTCTTTTTTCTCTAAACTTCTGTTCTCACTTCATTTCATTCATTTCATCTTCCATCACTGATACCGTTTCTTCCAGTTGATGGCATCGTTTCCTGAGGCTTCTGCATTCTTCACGGTGTTCTCGAGCCTTGGCTTTCAGCTCCATCAGCTCCTTTAAGCACTTCTCTGTATTGGTTATTCTAGTTATACATTCGTCTAAATTTTTTTCAAAGTTTTTAACTTCTTTGCCTTTGGTTTGAATTTCCTCCTGTAGCTCAGAGTAGTTTGATCATCTGAAGCCTTCTTCTCTCAACTCATCAAAGTCATTCTCTGTCCAGCTTTGTTCCGTTGCTGGTGAGGAACTACATTCCTGTGGAGGAGGAGAGGCGCTCTGCTTTTTAGAGTTTCCAGTTTTGCTGCTCTGTTTTTTCCCCATCTTTGTGGTTTTATCTACTTTTGGTCTTTGATGATGGTGATGTACAGATGGGTTTTTGGTGTGGATGTCCTGTTTGTTAGTTTTCCTTCTAACAGACAGGACCCTCAGCTGCAGGTCTGTTGGCGTTTGCTAGAGGTTCACTCCAGACCCTGTTTGCCTGGGTACCAGCAGTGGTGTCTGCAGTACAGTGGATTTTTCTGAACCGCGAATGTTGCTGTCTGATCATTCCTCTGGAAGTTTTGTCTCAGAGGAGTACCGGGCCGTGTGAGGTGTCAGTGTGCCCCTGCTGGGGGGTGCCTCCCAGTTAGGCTGCTCGGGGGTCAGGGGTCAGGGACCCACTTGAGGAGGCAGTCTGCCGGTTCTCAGATCTCCAGCTGCGTGCTGGGAGAACCACTGCTCTCTTCAAAGCTGTCAGACAGGGACATTTAAGTCTGCAGAGGTTACTGCTGTCTTTTTGTTTGTCTGTGCCCTGCCCCCAGAGGTGGAGCCTACAGAGGCAGGCAGGCCTCCTTGAGCTGTGGTGGGCTCCACCCAGTTTGAGCTTCCAGGCTGCTTTGTTTACCTAAGCAAGCCTGGGCAATGGCGGGCGCCCCTCCCCCAGCCTCGCTGCCGCCTTGCAGTTTGATCTCAGACTGCTGTGCTAGCAATTAGCAAGACTCCGTGGGCGTAGGACCCTCCGAGCCAGGTGCGGGTTATAATCTACTGGTGCGCCGTGTTTTAAGCCCGTGGAAAAGCACAGTATTAGGGTGGGAGTGACCCGATTTTCCAGGTGCCGTCGGTCACCCCTTTCTTTGACTAGGAAAGGGAACTCCCTGACCCCTTGCGCTTCCCGAGTGAGGCAATGTCTCGCCCTGCTTTGGCTCGCGCATGGTGCGCTGCACCCACTGTCCTGCGCCCACTGTCTGGCACTCCCTAGTGAGATGAACGCGGTACCTCAGATGGAAATGCAGAAATCACCTGTCTTCTGCGTCACTCATGCTGGGAGCTGTAGACCCGAGCTGTTCCTGTTCGTCCATCTTGGCTGTAATCCCAGGTATCTTATTTTGTTGTTGTTGTTGTAGCTACTGCTAATGGGATTGTTTTCCTGATTTATTTTTCAGATAGTTTACTATTAGCATATAGAAATACTACTGATTTGTGTGTGTTGATTTCATATCCTGCAGCTTTATTGAATTTATTCATTTTTTTCATGGAGTAATTAGAAATCTAATTTCTTTTGCTTGCTGAATTGCTCTGGGTAAGACTTCCACTACAGTATTGTGTAGAAGTGGTGAAAGTGGGCATCCTTCTCTAGTTCCAGACCTTATAGAAAAAGCTTTCAACTTTTCTCTGTCCAGTATAATGTTAGCTGTGAATTTGTTATATACGGCCTTTATTGTGGTGAGATACATTCCTTCTATACCTAATTTGTTGAGGGTTTTTCATGAATGTTGTTGAATTTTGTCAAATGCTTTTTCTGCCTCTATGAAAATTATCATATGGTTTTTGTCCTTAATTCCATTAATGTCATGCAAATGTTTTTTGATTTGTGTATGTTGAGCCATCCTTGCATCCGTGGGGTGAATCCCACTTTGTCCTAGTGAATGATTTATTAAAATGTGCTATTGAATTTAGTTTGCCAGTATTTTGTAGAGGATTTCTGCATCTGTTAATCAGGGATATTGACCTGTAGTGTTGTTGCTGTTGTGTCCTTGTCTAGGTATCACAGTAGTGCTTGCTTCTAAGATGAGTTTGGAAGAATTTTCTCCTCTTTATTTTTCTAGGAGTAGTTTGAGAAGAATTGGTATTAGTTGTTCTCAAAATGTTTGATGGAATTCAGCAGGGAAGCCATCAGGCCCTCAGCTTTCCTTTAATGGAAGACTTTTTATTACTGAGTCAATCTAATTACTCATTAATAGTCTGGTCATGTTTCCTAATTATTTTCATGATTCAATATTAATAGGTTGTGTATGTCCAGGGATTTATTCATTTTGTCCAGGTTTTACAATTTGTTAGCATATTGGTGTTCATAATATTTTTGTATTAGTCTTCGTATTTCTGTGGTATATTATTGTTTCCTTTTGTGTTTGTGATTTCGTTTAGTTTTCCCTTTTTTGTAGTTACTTTGGCTAAAGGATTTATAGTTCTAGATTTTATTTTTTAAAAAAACAAATCTTTGTCATGTTGATCTTTTCTATTAGTTTAGTCTTTATTTCATTTATTTCTGCTCTGATCTTTATTATTATGTTTTCCTTCTCTTAATTTTGGGATTACTTTGTTCTTGTTTTATAGTTCTTTGAAGTGAAACTTTAGGTTTATTTTTTTAGATCTTTTTCTTTTTTGATGTGGGCATTTATTGCTATAAAGTTTTCTCTGAGTTCTGAGTATGCTGGGTCCCACAGGTTTTGGTATGTTGTGTTTTTATTTTTAATTATCTCTAGAAATTTTTAAATTTTACTTTTAATTGCTTTATTGAACTAATGGGTGTTCAGAAACATGATGTGGAATTTCCATATATTTGCATATTTTCTAAAGCCTTTCCTGTTATTTATTTCTAGTTTCATACAATAGTGGTCAGAAAGAACACTTGATATGATTTTGATTTTTAAAAATGTGTTAAGACTTATTTTGTGGACTGTTATATGGTCTATTCTGGGGAGAGTTGCATGTGTACATCAAGGAAGAATGTGTATTCTGCTGCTGTTGGATGGACATTCTGTATATATCTCATAGTTCTATTTTGTCTCTAGTGCAATTCAATTCCACTCTTCCTTTATTAATTTTCTCTCTTGTTGATGGGTACATTGTTGAGGATGAGGTACTGATCTCACCTATTATTATTGTATTTCTATCTATTTCTCTCTTCATGTCCATTAAGATTTATTTTTTATTTATTTAGATTTATTTAGGAGCTTTGATCTTGGGTGTGTATGTAGTTACAATTGTTATGTCTTCTTAATGAATTGAGCCCTTTATAATTAAATAATGACCTTCTTTGTTTCCTGTAACAGGTTTTCACCTGATGTATATTTTATCTGTTAAAAGTATAACAACTCTTGCTTTATTTTGGTTACTATTTGCATGAAATATCTTCTTCTATCCCTTTATTTTCAGCCTATGTGTGTCCTTAGGGCTAAAGTGCATCTCTCATAGGAAGCACATAATTGGATATTGTCCGTTTTAAACCCATTCAGTCACTCTATTTCTTTTGACTGGATAATTTAATTCATTTATTTTCAGTCATTATTGATACATAAGGACTACTACTGCCATTTTGTTAATTGTTTTCTGGTTGTTTTGTAAATCCTTTATTTCATCCTCCCTCTCTTGTTGTTTATCTTTTTCACTTGTTTTTTTTTAGTACTGAGTTTTGATTCCTTCTTTCCTTGAATACAGTTTTTTGCTTCGGTGTTACCATAAGGTTTGCATAAAATACCTTATAGTTATAATAGACTATTTTATGCTGCTAACAACTTAACTTCATTTGTATACAAAAACTCTAGACTTTTACCCTCCTCGTTGTAATTTATTTTTTTGATGTCCCAATATATACCTTTTTATATTATGGTTTTCTTAACAACTTAATGTAGCCATCATTATTTTTTACTGTTTTGACTTTTAACCTTCATACTAGAGAAAAATGTGAACGAAAGCACCATAACAGTATTGGGATATTTGAAATTTGACTATATATTTATCTTGACTTGTAAGTTTTATACTTTTATATGTTTTTATGTTAGTAATTATCATCTTTTTGTTTTGACTTAAATAATTTCTTTAAGCATTTTGTGTAATACGAGTATAGTGGTGACAAATTTTCTTTTGCTTGTCTGAGAAAAACTTTATTTCTCCTGCGTTTCTGAAGAACGGCTTTGTATTTCTATTTGTTTTCTTGTACAGCAGTTGTTGTTGTTGTTTCTTTTGCCTGTTTGAAAATATTATCCCATTATCTCCTAGACTGTAGGGGTTTCTGTTACAAAATTTACTGATAGTCTAACAGAAATTCCCTTATATATGATCTGATACTTTTCGCTTGCTGCTTTAAAAATTTTCTTTTTATCTTTGGCTTTTGACAGCTTAATAATAATGTGCCTTGGTGATGATCTCTTTTTTTGGTTGAATATGTTTGGGGACTTCTGCAGTTCGTGTGTTTGGATGTCCATTTCACTTTCAAGCCTTGGGAAGTTTTCAGGAATTATTTTATTAAATCAGCTGTTTTTATCTTCGTGTCTAAGTCTTTTAAAATTTCCCTAATGCAAAAGGTTGATTGTTTAATGGTGTCCTATAAGTCTTGCAGTTGTCTTTGCTCTTTTTCATTCTTTTTTTCTTTTTTTTTCTCTTCAACTGGGTAATTTATTTTGTTGTTGGTATCTTAGTTTATTCAATTCAATAAACATTTCTTGAATATATAATGTACTTTGATAAGTCCTGCAGTTACCAAGATGAAGGATGGGATAATTTCAAAAGACCTATCTTCAAGTTCAGAGATTCTTTCTTCTGTTTAATCTAGTCTGCTGTTGAAGCTCATTATTGCATTTTTATTTCAATCATTAAATTTTGCATCTCCAAGTGTTTTGTTTCCTTCTAATAATATCTCTTTGTTAAATTTATCATTCAGATCATGAATTTTTTTCCTGATGTTCTTGAATTGTGCATTTGTATTTTCTTGTATCTCACTGAGTTATCTTAAGATCATTATTCTGAATTCCTTTTCAGGCAATTTGTAAACTTCCTTTTCTTTGTGGAGAATCATTGTGTTCCTTTGATAGTGTCATAATCTCTTGCTTTTTCATAGTTGTCCTGTCCCTGCAATGATTTATGTGCATCTCATGAAAAAAATTACTTCTTCCAAACTTTACCAAGTAGCTTTTGTACAGAAGGACTTTAACCTGCAGTTGGGTCTTCATGCGCCAATGGGGAAAAGTATGGTGGCTCTCGTTCCAAGTAGATACAGGAGAATAGCTTCTATGCAGCATCTTCAGCTGTGATCAATGTCAGTGATGACTGTGAATGCCTCTGTGGCCTAGGCTGTATGAGTTTGTGGCAGCAGCAGCATAGGTTTTTAGGGTCCTAGATGGCAAAGATGTTTGAGGTCTTCTTATTCTCAATTTCCCTCCCTATAAGGAGACTTAGCCAAAGGCATCCCTCCGGTGTTGGGTCTGACACTGCCATAAGCAGCTGTAGTAGCTCTGGGTTTTAGAGTACAGGTGCTAGAGTGGCGTGGAGCCAGGGACCAAGGCTCAGAATCTTGTGAACCAATTGTGGCACCTGAGTCTTGGAGTTCAGGTTAACTCTGTGAGTAACAAGTGGATGTAGATTGCCCACAGAACTTGGGTATCTGTGACTCTGAGGCACCCCTTAGCAGCTTGGGCCTAGAAACCCAGGTAGTAGCTGTGACTGTAATCATGAGAGGCAGGGGAACAAGTTATAGCATTGGCCAAGCTTTGGAGAAAAAGGAATGTTCTGGAGGTTTGGGCCCAGGGGGCAGAGTACAGTTGTAATTTGGCAACCAGAGCCAATAGGGCACAGTGGCAACTCAGTCTCTGGCAATGAGGCATCATGTCATGGTGACTCTGAACCCTGGGACGACAGAATACATCAATATCCCAGACTCTGTGAGGCCAGGTGGAGTGGCAACACTGAATGGGGGAATATAGCTGTCTCTTGTGACCTAGAGGGTAAGGAGCAGCACAGTGATTACTCCAGTCTCTATAAAGGAGGTATCACAGCAGTTCAGACACTAGGGAGTTAGTCCAGTTCTAGAAAAACAGAGCACTAAGGTTGTTTGGTCTGTATGGCAGAGTGTCTCAACTCAGCCGATGCTGTTTCCCTAGGTTACAGATTATTACATCTGACCGTCCCTAGGATGCAGAGCTGCTTGGCTTAGCCAAGGCATTAATTACCCAGGAGGTGATGTGCTGATTCAGCTCAAACCCAGGGGATGTGACTGCTCTGGGTGGCCAAGCCAGTTTTTCCCTAAGATGCAAGGCACTGCTTCCGCTAAAGCGCAGGGGAGCATGGCTGCTCTAGATGGCCAAGGCACCATTTCTCAGGAGGCAGGGTACAGATTCAACTCACACACTGGAGGAGCATGACTGCTCTGGGTGGCCAAGGTACTGTTTTTCCAGGAGGCAGGTTGCCACTTCAGCTCAGCCACAAGGGGCAGGGTGTGACCAGGTGTTTAATTCTGTTCTCTGTGGCCGTCCTGGGTTTCTGTGCTTTGCAGGATTTCTGCTACTCCTTTAATGTACTCAAGTGCTCTCCTTTGGTTACTTTAATCAAAATGTAGTTGTTTATTGTTTTGACTGTCTTTCTGAGGTAAGGAGACCAGAACTAAAAACCCTAGAAGAAAACCTAGGCAATACCATTGCCTAGGTAGATGGAGTGGCTCTGCCAGGGCACCATTTTCCCAGGAGGCATTGCATGCTTCAGCCCTGGTCCCGAGGGGCAGGTCACAGCTGTAACTGGGAGAGGTACATGTGGTGGCTCCATTGCAACTTGGCCCCATGGAAGAGGATGTAGCAGCAGTTTGGCTCATTGATGGTGGTCCACTAGGCAGGGGTGGTTGAGCACTGGAATGGAAGGGTACTGCAGCCACTCATCCCTGGAGCAGGACACTCTCTAGCAGTAGTTCCAGTTCCAAGAAGGCATAGCACAGTAGCTGTGTTGACCACAGTGGGTGAGGTACAGTGTCAGCTCCTGTTGTGGGGGAAGCACAGCTGTGTAGACTCAACTGGCTTACTGCCTGTGAGGACATTTTCTCACATGGGGAAGTCCCTCCTGGTTCCAGCTGCTCCTGGATGGGAAATGGGGTGGTGGAGGCCAGGTGTTTACTTCTGTTCTCTGTGGCCATCCTGGGTTTCTGTGCTTTACAGGGTTCCTGCTACTCCTTTGAGGTACTCAAGTGTTCTCCTTTGGTTACTTTAATCAAAATGTAGTTGTTTATTGTTTTGACTGTCTTTCTGGGGTGAGAAGACCAGAACTAAGCGCTTCTAGTTGGCTGTCTTGCTAACATTACTCTCGAATTGCAGTATTTTGAATTTGGGCCATTCTAATAGGTGAGTAGTGATGTCTCATTTTTATTTAAATTTTCAATTGCATAATGGCCTGTGGTATTGAACATCTTTTCATATCCTTACTTGCCATCTGTGTATCTTGGGTGAGATGTATGTTCATGTATTTATTTTATTTTATTTTTTACCACTTTTTTATTATTATACTTTAAGTTCTGGGATACATGTATTTCTCCTAATGCTATCCCTCCCTCAGCCTCCCCACCCCCGACAGGCCCCAGTGTGTGATGTTCCCCTCCCTGTGTCCATGTGTTCTCATTGTTCAGCTCCCACTTATGAGTGAGAACATGCAGTGTTTGGTTTTCTGTTCCTGTGTTAGTTTGCTGAGAATGATGGTTTCCAGCTTCATCCATGTCCCTGCAAAGGACATGAACTCATTTTTTTATGCCTGCATACTATTCCATGTTGTATATGTGCCACATTTTCTTTATCCAGTCTATCATTGATGGGCATTTGGGTTGGTTCCAAATCTTTGCTATTGTGAACAGTGCTGCAAAAAACATACGTGTGCATGTGTCTTTATAGTAGAATGATTTATAATCTTTTGGGTATATACCCAGTAATGGGATGACTGGGTCAAATGGTATTTCTGGTTCTAAATCCTTGAGGAATCGCCACACTGTCTTCCACAATGGTGAACTAATTTATACTCCCACCAACAGTATAAAAGCATTCCTATTTCTCCACATCCTCTCCAGTACCTATTATTTCCTGACTTCTTTTTAATGATTGCCATTCTAACTGGCATGAGATGGTATCTCATTGTGGTTTTGGTTTGCATTTCTCTAATGACCAGTGATGATGAGCTTTTTTTTTTGTCATATGTCTGTTGGCCGCATAAATGTCTTCTTTTGAGAAGTGTCTGTTCATATCCTTTGCCCACTTTTTGATGGGGTTGTTTGTTTTTTTTTCTTGTCAATTTGTTAAAGTTCCTTGTAGATTCTGGATAACAGAAATCCAGGATGGCCACAGAGAACAGAAGTAAACACCTGGCCTCCACCACCCCATTTCCCATCCAGGAGCAGCTAGAACCAGGAGGGACTTCCCCATGCAGGAAAATGTCCTCACAGGCAGTAAGCCCAGTTGAGTCCACACAGCTGTGCTTCCCCCAGAATAGGAGCTGACACTGTACCTCACCCACTGTGGTCAAACAGCTACTGTATTATGCCTTCTTGGAACTGGAACTACTGCTAGAGGGTGTCCTGCTCCAGGGATGAGTGGCTGCAGTACCCTTCCATTCCAGTGCTCAAGCACCCCTGCCTGGTGGACCACCATCAATGAGCCAAACTGCTGCTACATCCTCTTCCATGGGGCCAAGTTGCAATGGAGCCATCACCTTTTTTTTTTTTTTTAATTTAGATGTTCAATTGTCCCACCATTTGTTGAAATGACTATTGCATTGCTTTTGCTCCTTGGTCAATTATCATTTCCATGTCCATGGGATCAATGATCTGTTGAATATATTGATGTGGATGTACTTCTGGGCTTTCTGTTTTGTTCCATTGATCTATTTGTCTGTTGTTTCACCAACACTTCACCATCTCGATTAATAAAGATTTATAGTAAGCCTTGAATTCAGGTAGCATTTCAACAGGGAGTCTACCTCTCCCAGTTATAGCTGTGCCCTACCCCTCGGGACCTGGGCTGAAGCAAGCAATGCCTCCTGGGAAGATGGTACCAAAACAGATATATAGACCAATAGAACAGAACAGAGGCCTCAGAAATAACACCACACATCTACAACCATCTGATCTTTGACAAACCTGACAAAAACAAGCAATGGGGAAAGGATTTCCTATTTAATAAATGGTGTTAGGAAAACTGGCTAGCCATATGCAGAAAACTGAAACTGGGCCCCTTCTTACACCTTATACAAAAATTCACTCAAGTTGTATTAAAGACTAAAATGTAAGACCTAAAACTACAAAAACCCTAGAAGAAAATCTAGGCAATACCATTCAGGACATAGGCATGGGCAAAGACTTCATGACTAAAACACCAAAAGCAATGGTAACAATAGCCAAAATTGACAAAAGGGATCTAATTAAACTGAAGAGCTTCTGCACAGCAAAAGAAACTATCATCAGAGTGAACAGACAACCTACAGAATGGGAGAAAATTTTTTGTTCAGGTCTTTTCCCATTTTGAAATTGGGTTGTTTGCTTTCTTACTGTTGAATTTTAAGAGTTCTTTGTATATTTTGGACAACTGTCCTTTATTATATACATATTTTGTAAGTATTTTATCCCCGTCTTTGCCTTTTCTTCTCATTCTCTTCACTTATTTCACAGAGCAGAAGTTTTTAATTTTTATTAAGTTCAGCCTATCAGTTTTCTTTCTTGTGTCATGGCTTTAATGTTGTACCTAAAACGTCATTCCCCTACCCAACATCACCTTGATTTTCTCCTATACTTTCTTATAGGAATTCTACAGTTTTGCATTTTACTTTAGTTATGATCCATTATGAGCTAATTATTGTGAAGGGTGTGGAGGTGTGGGTTTGTCCCCACACCTTTTTTTTTTTTAATTTAGATGTTCATTTGTCCCACCATTTGTTGAAATGACTGTTGCATTGCTTTTATTCCTTGGTCAATTATCATTTCCATGTCCATGGAATCAATGATCATTTGAATATATTGATGTGGATGTACTTCTGGGCTTTCTGTTTTGTTCCATTGATCTATTTGTCTGTTGTTTCACCAATACTTCACTGTCTTAATTAATAAAGATTTATACTAAGTCTTGAAGTGAGGTAGTGTCAGTAATCCAACTTTATTCTCCTTCACTTTTGAGTTGGCTATACTGTTTTATTTATTTATTTATTTGTTGCCTTTCTCTATGAACTTTGAGATCACTTTGTGGATATTCAGAAAATTACTTGAAGAGATTTTGGTGGCAATTAGGTTGAATCTATAGACCTAGTTTGGAAAAAATGGTATCTTGACTATTTGCTCTATTGATAAATGTGGACTCTCTCTCCATTTATTTAGTCTTTGACAGCTTTCATCAGAGTTTTGTATTATTTCTCATATTGTATATATATCTTGTTAGATTTATACCTAAGTATTTAATTTTGAGGATGGTAATGTAAATAATATTGTGTTTTAATTTCAAGTTCCATTTGTTTATTGCTGATTTATAAAAAAGCAGTTGACTTTTGGAGTATGAACATTGTATTCTGCAACCTTGCTATAATTGCCTATTAGTTCCAGGTGTTTTTTAATAGATCCTTCTAGACTATCTACATAGAAAATAATGTTATCTGCAAACAGTTTATTTCTTTCTAATGCTTTTTCTTCATCTATTTATATAATCATGTGCTTCTTTTTTCTTTTTTAGCTTTTTGATATAATTAATTATAATAATCGATTCTCTAGTGATGAACCAGCCTTGCATACTTGGGAAAAATCGTATCTGGTTGTGGGTATAATTCCTTTTATACTTTGTTGGATTTAATTTGCTTACATTTTACTGAGGATTTTTGAATCTATGTTTATGAGAGATATTAGCCTGTTATTTTCTTTTCTTAAAATATCTTTGGCTGGTTTTGATATTATGTAATGTTTAATTCATAGAGTGATTTAGGAAGTATTCCATCTTCTTCTGTCTTCTTGAAGTAATTATAGAGAATTGGTACAATTTTCTTCTGAAGTATATAATGGAATTTACCAGTGAACTTATCTGAATACAATGCTTTCTGTTTGGGAAGTTTATTAATGTTTAATAAATTTCTTTAATAGATATTGGTTTATTCAGATTGTTTCTTTTTGTATGAATTGGTCTATTTCATCTAGTTTTTCAAATTTGTGAAATTCTAAATTTGTGCAATTAGATTTGTTTATAGTATTCCTTTATTATCCTTTCCATGTCCATTGGATCTGTAGTAATGACTTATCTTTTATTTCTGATATTAGTAATTTGTGTTTTCTCTCTCTTACCCTTCAACCCCACAGTTATCATGGCTAAAAGTTTATAACTTTTATTGATCTACTCAAATAAACAGCTTTTGGTTTTATTGATTTTCTGTTGTTTCATTAATTTCTGGTTTAATTTTTATTATTTCCTTTCTGCTGCTTACTTTGGACTTAATTACTCTTCTTTTTCTAATTTCCTAAGGTAGAAACTTGGAGTATTGATCTAAGATCTTTCTCATTTTCTGGTAAAAGTATTCAATGCTATAAATTTCTAAGCACTGCTTTCACTGTATCCCACAAATGTTGATTAGTTGCATTTTCATTTTCATTTAGTTCAAAATATTTAAAAAATTTTCCCAGCTTTACTGACATATGTCATCTTTTTTATGTTGCTATAACAGTACACCAGAGACTGGGTAATTTATAAATAAAATATATGTATTTGGCACACAATTCTGATGGTTCAGATTTCAAGATTGGGCATCTGTATTTGGTGAGGGCCTCTTGCTGCTTCAGCTTATAGCAGAAAGTGGAAAGGGAGTGGGCACGTGCAAAGAGATCACATGGCAGATGAGAGAGGAAGCCAAACTCACTTTTATAACGATGCACTTTCTAGTAACTTATTCAGTCCTATGAGAATGACAACTCACTCCTAGAAAAGGGCACTAATCTATGTATAAGGAATCTGCCTCTATGATCCAAACATCTACCACTGGGCCCCATCTCCCAACGTACCACACTGGGGATCAAATTCCAACATATGTTTTTGGTAGGGTCAAACTATACCCAAACCTTTAGCAACATATAATTGAACATTATTGTATAAGTTCAGAGTGTATAACATGACATTTTTGGATGTGTATACACAGAAAATGATTATCAAAATCAAGCTAATTGATATATCCATCACCTTAAATAGCTATCTTTTTCGTATTTGTGAGTCTGGTGAGAATACCTAAGATCTACCCTCTTAGTAAGATATAAGTATACAATATATTATTATTAACTATTGTCACCATGACAGATACTTGGTCTCTTTTATTCAACTTATATTAATAACCAAAGTTTGTCCTCTTCGACCAACATCTACCCATTTTCCAACCCCCAACCTCTGGTAACCACCCTTCTGCTCTCTGTTTCTATGAATTTAATTTTTATAGAAAGTTTTAAAAAATATTTTAATATCCCTTAAGATTTCTTCATTGACCCATGTGGTATTTAGAAGTGGGTTGTTTACTCTCAAAATATTTGAGGATTTTCTAGCTGTCTTTCTATTACTGATTTCTAGCTTAATTTCATTGTGGTCTGAAATAAGACAATGTGTGATTTTTATTCTTTTAAAATTGTTAAGGTGTGTTTTATTGCCCAGAATGTGGCCTGTGTTGATGAATGCTCGGTGCAAGCTTGAGAAGTACATGTGATCTGCTGCTATTGGATATAGCAGAGCATAAATGACAATTATATCTAGTTGACTGATGGTAGTGTTGATTCTAACTATGTCTTTACTATTAATAATATTCTGCTTTCTGGATCTGTCCATTTTGAATAGAGGAGGTTTAAAGTCTCCAACTATAATAGTGGGTTTAACTTTTTCTCCTTATAGTTCTATCAGTTTTTATTTTATATTTTTGATGCTCTGTTTTTAAGTGCCTAAACATTAAGGATGGTTATACCTTCTTACTATATTGACCTTTTTACCATTATGTAATACCCCCACTTATCCCGAATAAATTTCCTTGCTCTTAATTCATATGTTTGTTGGCTGCATAAATGTCTTCTTTTGCAAAGTGTCTGTTCATATCCTTCGCTCACTTTCTGGTATTTTTGAAATTAATAGAGGTATTCCTGTTTGCTTTCTGTTTTGTTTGCTTGTTTGTTTAGAGACAGAGCCTTGCTTTGTCACACAGTGTGGAGTACAGTGGTTCCATCATAGCTTACTGATGCCTCAAACTTTTGGTCTCAAGCAATACTCTCACCTCAGCCTCTGGAGAAGCTGTGACTACAGGTGTACACCACCATGCCTAGTTAATTCTGTTGTACTTGTTGAGATAAGGGTCTCCCTGTTTTGCCCAGGCTAGTCTTGAACACCTGGCCTCAAGCAATCCTCCTGCCTTGGCCTGACAACTTTTTCGGATTACAGGCATAAGCCACTGCACTTTGCCTTTTTTCTTTTAAATAGTTGAGCATGGTATATCTTTCTTCAACCTTTACTTTCAATGCATATGTGTATTATTTAACATAGGTTTCTTGTAGAAAACATATAGCTGAGACTTCTTTTTGATTCTCAGTCATTACTACTTCAAATATTGCTACTATTCTTTTCTCTATTTATTCTCCTGATAGTCTTATTACACATATGTTACACTTTTTGTAACTGTCTTACAGTTTCTAGTCTGTTTTTTCAAAAAAAATTTTTTCAGTTTTGAAAATTTCTATTACAATATCCCCAAGCTCATAAATTCTTTCAACTGTGTCCAGTCTACTAATGAGCCCATCAAAGAGATTCTTTATGTTTGTCACAGTGTGCTGTTGTTTAAATGTTTGTTTCCACCAAAGCTCATGGTGAAACTTAATCTCTATTGTAATAGAATTAAGGGGTGGGAAATACGACTATGGTATTCACTAAGTGGGACCTTTGGGAGGTAATTAGGATTAGAGGAGGTCATGAGGAGGGGTGGTATTAGTGGCTTTATAGGACTAGAAAGAGAAACCTGAGCCAGCACACTCAGCCTCCTCACCACATGTTGCCCTGTACCACCTCAGCCCTCTGCATTGTGTCCCCATCAGCAAGAAGGCCCTCGCCAAATGTGCCCCACTTGACCTTGGACTTCCCAGCCCCCAGAACTGTAAGAAATATATGACTTTTCTTTGTAAATTTGCCAGTCTCTCCAAGTATTCAGTTATAGCAACAAAAAACTAGTAGACACGACGTCTTTGATCTCTTGCATTTCTTTTGGATTTTTGATTATTTCTTAAAATTTTCGTGTCTCTGCTTACATTATGCATCTGTTCTTGCATGTTGTCTATTTTTTAAATAAAAAGCCTGAGCCCATTATTCATAGTTTTGTTTGTTTGTTTAAATTTCTGGTTGGTTAATGCTAACATTCCTTCCATATCTGATCCTGGTTCTGATGCTTGTTCAATCTCTTCAAACTATCTATTTTTCCTTTTAGTCTGCATTGCAATTTTTTGTTGAGAAGTGAACATGGTGTTTTAGGAAAAAAAGGAGCTGCAGTAAACATGTCTTTTTTAAAGTAGTAGTAAGATGTGTGGAAAAGAAAGTATATTATAGTCCTATGATTTGGTTTCAGCCTTTAGATGAGTTTATGTCCCTGGTTGTGAATTTCACTAGTAAATAGCAAGATTTGTCCCCTCTTAGGTGGGGCCAAATGGCTAGAGTGAGCTAAAATTGGGTATCTTTCTTCCTCCACGTGGAAAGATGTAGCAGGCTGGAACTGGATATTTTTCTTCTCCGAGGTAGGGTAGTCTCTGAGAAAGTCACAGCAGCTTAGAGTCTAATAATAGTTTATCTTGGAGGGCAGGCCTTGACTAGAAGAACAGGATGCTCTGGCATATTTCAAAGTGGTTCCTTTCCCCTCCTCCTGCTGGAAGCATAAGGGGATTTTTCTCTGATATTTACTGTGTGGGGTTCCTCCTATGACTGAGTCCATCCCCTGATTTTTAACCCTCAGAGTTATTCACACTGAGTTTCCAAAAATCCACCAATCACAGTTTAGGTTTTCCTACCCAGGCACATGTTCCCATGGAGGTTTCTGTTCATGGATTTCTCCTCTAATAAATTACAATTCTCTTTACTTGCCTGTCTGCCTTTCTAATTTGTACAGGCAGCAATATTCCCTGTGATCTTACTCTCTGATGTATTTAAGAAGAGTTGAACATTTTTAAAGTTTGTTTATTTTTAACTTATTGTTAGCATAGTGTGGCAAATTTCAAGCATCTAATATGCAGGTCCAGAAAGTCCAGCCATAAAACTTTAAGTTAAAGGTCTCTTTGCTTTCGGTAACATTTGAAAGCAGTTATGCTCAATAATCTTTATACATAAGTTACTTTTAAATTAAATTAACTTCATATATATTTCACTTTTGACATTAATTAGTGAATAATATCTTCATAATCACCACAATCAGACTAATACACAGTTACCAATTGCAAATATTAAGACACAGTTTACAAAATGCTAATTGAAGCCCTAGAGTTCTGGGATTAAAACCAAAAAGATGCTATTAAAAAGGGACAAGAGGAGTATGTATCTGGAAAGAAATGCAGTTTGCAGAGATGAGCAAAATTGAATTCCTATTATCCAAGTTAATGATGGCATGCATGGATCTTCTAGAATGATAAAGGGTTATAAAAAAATTGATGGACAATAATTAGCATAATCCTATGTTTCAGTGTGTCAGGAACAGTCCCAGTCTGCACCTGTTTCTTAAGCATATTTATTAATAGCATCCCTGATTTGATTTATACTTTAAATTTTAGGATTACCTTAGTAACAGTTGACACCTATAAAATAATAACCTAGTGTCATGAAACCCATTTTTATGAAAGACTACAGAAGAAAGTAAGTGTTGATATATTAGAGAAACTATTAATTCTGTAGGTTAATGGAGCATGTTTTGGGGTGATTTCAGTATCTTCCATCCGTTTCAGTAACATCAGCTGCTGCTGATGAACAAAGATACATCATCTATTATTTTTGAGCTATCGATCCAGTTTTCTAGTTGCTTCCTGGACATTTTCACTTTGATGTTTTACAGCATCACTGATACTAAGTCCCAAAGGAGTATTTTTTTCCCATATTTGCCTTCATTATTACTGTTAATGTCATTATCATTCATTACCCACTTAAACTATTGTGTGGCACGTGAACTTCTCCCTGTCTCTCTCCCTTAGAACAAAAGGATCACTATGCCTTTACTCTAAAATGTCTCAGAACTGCTTTTGTTTAGACCCTCGTTTTTTTGTCCCAAAACGTAGATTTTTTTCTACATCTTCCTAACTCTACCACCAATTCCATATATTACATAACTTTCTAAAATAGATCATATCATACTCCTACTGGAAATCTTGAATATTTTCCCATTGCTTTTAGCATCTTAAGCCATACTCCTGGGAACAGCATAGCAGGTCCTTCATAATATGGCCCAAACCCATTTTCATCTTGTACCTCTTCCCACTGCCCACAGCTCTCACAAAACAGAGCTGCAATTATTCTCAAGAAAAGATTCACATTTTCATGTCTATGCTTCTATCCACATGGAAATTGATCCTGGATATGACACCCGTTTCTCCAACTAACAATGTTATTTCATCCACCAAATATATTCTTGTTTAGGAAGAATTTCCCTAACACTGCCAGCTGACTTTGTCTCTTCCTTGTGCATGGTCTCCTAGTACAGTATTCATAATTTTGCCATCGTTGTTAGCTCACTGTATTGTATTTATTTACTTACTCATTCTGCTTCCTCAGAGACAAAGGCAGCCTCACAAGTGATGTGAGCTTCATTTTTGTCTTCAGCAATTGACATAGTGTCTAACCATAAGCAGGTTGTCAATGAAGTTCTTTATTATTAAAATAAATTAATCTTCATTGTTTTATTGTTTACATAATAACATAAAATTGAAAGGCTAGGACAGTTGCTGGAAGGTTAACTGGAGGTTCATAATGACCTTTCAAAGGTTCACACTGCTTACCTTGTACAAGGAAAGAACCAGAAGAAAGTTCTACATTGTTGATAAGAAGCAAGAAATCAGGATTCTTTCTAATCTCCTACTGTGGATAAGAATTACAAAAGGTTCGTGTAGCATGATATCCAGGACATAAAGGATACTCACTACATGGCAGCCAAGAGAAACTTTTAAAAACTAGAGCCTAGGTTAAATCATTGATTATTGGCAGATATGATTTCAAATTATATTTTTAGGCAACAGATGCAACTTATTAATAATTTAATGCTGTAGCAAAGAACTACTGAAAATGAATCAAACAGAAACTCACCCCCTTAGGGTATAATCTAGGGTTGGTATATATTTAGCTCAGTCTGCTTTCTCTAACCACAGAATCTTTAATATTTCTATAATGCTCTATGCTAACCAAAGTGTACGCATGTTTCTTTGCAAAGGTGAACCTCTTGACAGCTTTGGAAAGTGGCTAGGACAAGTGTAACTTTCTTGGTTAGAAGGGAACTGAGTCACAACACAGGAAAAGCTCAAGATCACAGAGCAAGCGAATGACAAAATTGGGAAAAGTGCTTATCTTGTTTTTATTCCAATTTCCTTTCTTCATTTAATGTTATTTCATTCAAAATAACAAAAAAAAGAGCTTTTACAAAATGATGAGCCATTTAAAAAACTTCGCTTTTGCTTGCAGTGTCTAAGAGAGGAAACAGGATTAATACATATAAGTCATGTTTAAACTACAGATGTTTTTAAAAAGGGCATTTTGGATGACTCTCAGTTAAACTAAAAATTCAGTTAAAGTAATCTATTCTGGCTGGTTATGTTTTTACAGTAATAACAACTACAATAAGACCTGACCTTGAATTTCCACAGTGTCTTTCTTTTCCAGAGTTCGAAATGCCATCACAAAAGTGATCTGACATGCTAGTGAGGGGACTGAGAGCATTTGTTGTAGAGAATATCTATTCAGAGTAGGCTGGGCCTGCTATTGACTCTTAAAATTAAGATAATCAATGAATCTGCATTGTGGCTCATTCACTGTCATGCTCAGCAGCAACCTTCATCTGGAGGCATTTAATTCATTTAGTGTTCTAAATATATCATATGCTGTACAAGCCATTTTATAAAAGGAATTCTATGAACTCTACATTAAGCCTTATATTCCTACCAATGCAATATAAATATTAAGGATTTTCTTCCTACTTGTCATGCTAAAGCTAGTGCTAAATGCTTTAGCTAGCAAGTAATATTGAGACACCAAAACACTTAATTTACTACAGGTAACCTTATTTCCTGAGATACTAAACACAGATAAACTTTTCTTTTAACCCCTCAGCTAATTCTTTCTGCCACCCATTCTAACCAGGGAGCATATTAATTACTCTCATTCATCATAAGTTTGGCCTTATGAATAAATAATACATCTACTTTTCTCTAAAAAATGTAATAACTTTTAAGTCTTTCCAAGAAGAGGGTTCCCATCCTTCCTTTAGTTGGAGACACAACCCCATTGACTTAGACGGAAGATCCTAGTGTAACAGGCACATTGTGTTCATTGACTTGCTTGGCCAACTGAACAATCCTTCGCATTCATCAAGCAAACTTGGCCTCTACGTGAATATGGGCACCAGCAAACCTGGCCTCTGTGGAGGATTATAAGGGAATTTCAGATGATTGGTACTCTGCTTCAGTTTAATCGCATCGCTGTAGTTTGGAGGTCAGGTCCTGAGTCAATTAAATTACTTTTGCAAAGTCACAGAAACTGTAGATTTTTTTCCCAAGATTTAAAATAGTGCTGACTACAGAGTAACTAAATAGGAAATAAGTTGTAATAACAATAACAAACTGAGAATTGGAGTGAGGAATGAGTGAAAAATGCAACTAAATAATCAGGCATTCAAGCAGCAGTTTTAAAAATAAAATCGTATGGCCATTTTATATGCCCATTTCATTCTTCTTTGCAGCTATCATTACATATATTTCTGTTATATAAAATATTGGTCACATGGAAAACACGTATATACATTTAAACATATAATATGTTTGAAATAAAATTTAATGAAGTCCCAGAAAATGTTTTATCAGATTCTGAGGCTTTTGGAAGTGTATTCCCAGTGGGAAAGGAAGATGTTAGAAGGCTTTTTGTTTAAACTGTTAAAATTCCAGGATTCTTTCATGAAATGACAGCTAGAACTTTGAACAGAGCTCAGATTTCTTGGCAGAATCTTCAAACTGGAATATGCCTGGGAAGTTCCCTTGATAGCAAAAGTTGTAACCGATCTTGTGACTGAATTTCTGAGAGTTTAAAATATATTTGCTGAGTGTTATTGTCTGTACCGACAATATTATTGAGATATGGCAAGTTTATAACTAGATTAAATTCTAGAATAGAAAGACCTGCAAGTGGCAAAAATCACTGTCCATGATCAGTTTCAAAAAAAGTTTGTTTAAAATTACCTCCTGCTTTAATCATTTAAAAGAAATGAGAGGATAGCAAAGGAAAGGAAAGAGGAAAAAGTACCCATAAGCCAGAAATGTATCCATAAGTTTGATTAGCTATTTCACAGCCATATTATTGCTTCCCTTAATGCTAGTCATAAAAATGAAGAAAGTTGCTTTCCTTGTGGTGTAGTTCAATAGTCAAAATTTGTACCCTCTCAATTTAAATTTATAATTGTTATTTAATCCTAAAAACTTATCTATGGTTACAAAATTGAGGAATACTGCATCACCACTAAGAATATTTTTGATTATCATCATTAGTACCATTGTCATTATTTTCTATCTGGTGAGATGGAGGAAGTAGCACTGCATAAAATCATAAAAGGACCTCTTTATGCTTTCTATTTCTCCTAGGCAGGTATTTATTATAATAAACTGGACTTGCATATACAAACAGAAATCAACATCCTCTTAAAGATATCAATAAGAAAATCTATCATTAATCTGCTTTAGACCAATTATTCTCTATCAAATAGCATGTGAGCAATGCTGTGTTTTCATCACTTAGATTTTTTCATAGTCTGGGTTGGATCCTGTTCTAATCTTGCACAGTTAGAAGTTTTAATGGTTTCCTTATTATTGGTGCCATACATCTTTTCTCTTTTTCTTACTACCCTCCTTTAAAATAAAAAGTTACATCTGTTTATGATATTTATTGATATATAGGCACACATTTATATATAAATATATTATGAGAAATAAAAATAGTTAAACTATCCATGTGGCATAAAATTTAGAAGATACAAAAGGATATTTATTAGAAAATAAGTCTATTTTTCTCCTTGCTCACCAGGCATCCAGATTCCCAGAAACTGTCATAAGTTTCTTGGATAATTTTTTTTAAAACTTTCAATGCATTTGCAAGCATAAATGTGTATGTAGTTATAGGTGAGTTTATACATTTTTAATACTCTCAGGCATTACACAGTTTTCAGTAATGTGTATGTGTGTGTAATCATAGACACAGATTTTAGAGATGATTCCCTAAAACAATCTAAAGATTTGTCTCATTATTTTTAAAGTTGGCACAGCATTCCAATGTAACTATAACCTCAGTATTTTAAAGTGCTTTCATTTGTCTCATGATTCTTGCCCTAAATCCAGTCTTTCTTAAATTAAGACTATGATTATTTTGTTTGCCCTATCTTTATAGAGGATCTCCCTCCAAATTGAATAAACTAATAGTTGTATTTTTATTCTTAGATTTAAGGATTTACTGAGCATAAACTTTCATGTTGTTGAATATATTGTTGGTTGTCTACCCAATGGCCATCCCCTACCCCTTTTATTTCCTTTGTCTCATGATAGAAGCAGAAAATTCTGGCTACTCCTCTCTAGATTCCTGTAGGGCAGAAGTTAGCTATGTGAGCAAGCAAGTCCCAGTAAAAAGAATGTCTTCCAGGAAAGTTCTGGGAAGCACTGTTTTCAAAGCTAAATGAAATGGTGTGCATGAGGAAATCCATGATGATCTTATTTCTTTGAAAGATGCATGTGAATGAAATGCTTGGAACTACCTTGCATCCTTGATGTGACAAGGCTGCAGATAGCATGATAAGGGTGTCTGTGTGAAAAGAGGAACAAAGTTCTCTTTGAGTCACAATTCCACATTCATTTATCTCCAGATTTCTTGTTATGTGTGAAAAATAAACTTTATATGACTTTTAGTTGGACATTTTGTTACTAGCAAAGACATTTGAACTGACAATGTCTCTAACATACTGCTAAGCACTGTGCATATGCTCTTTGTATCTGTTTAAGATAGACACCATATTTTTCTGTATTACTCTTGCAGTTGTTTACTTGTTGAGTGTTGTTGTCTATTTTTTTGTTGTTGTTGTTGCTATCAAGGAATACCTGAATCTGGGTAATATATTTTTAAAAAGTGGCTTATTTGGCTTATAGTTCTGCAAGCTGTATAAAATACATGGCACCAGCCTCTGCTTGATTTCTGGTGAGGGCCTCAGGCTGCTTCCACTCATGGTAGAAGGCAAAGTGGAGCTGGCTGTGCAGAGATCACATGGTAAGAGAGGAAGCAAGCGAGATGGGGTTAGGTGCCAGACTCCTTTCAACAAACAGCTCTCTAGAGAGCACTTAGAGAACTAATAGCGGGAGAATGCACTCACCTCCAACAAGAAAGGGCATTAATCAATCTGTCACTGAGAGATCCAGTTCCATGACTCACACACCTCCCATTAGGCCTCACCTCCAATTTTGGGAATTAAATTTCAACATGAGATTCGGAGGGAATAAACATCTAAAGTATAGCATTACCTAACAGACATTTTTACTGGAATCTTGTGTTAAAAGTTACTTTGGTTATGATCGCTTATAACCATTAGTGAATAATATCTGTCTTTATACTCTGTGATAAAATAAAGATAATAGCTATTAGCAGAACTACTGATGACTTTTTAATAACAGACTTTAAAATTCAAAAAATATTTATGAATAGGAGTAAAATATTGCTACATAAAATTTCATTCTCCCTAATTCTCTTTATCTTGGCAAAAAGGCTGATTTCCTTTGTGAAATGAAAATGCCTAAGAAGCATAAAAGACCATAATGACATGGCTTTTTAAAATTGTGTTTTATGATACTAATGCATTAAGTGCAAGATAAGCTGCATTTATGGGGTTTCTTTTAGTATTTTGGAGAGACAATACTCATTAAAGGTCAATAACATTGCTTGTTTTTTAAAATAATAGAATGTATTTTATGTCAGTCTTTTTCTTAAGAAATGGAATGAAGATATTAAGAAAAAATGTGATTTCAGTAAAAGTATATCTGACTTCTGTCTCCTGAATACCTATAGACTTTGGAAGGGATACCGAGCAGTGATTTGGCCAGAAGTTCTGGCTAGGTACTCTCCAGCATGATGATATAAAACAGGAAGTGCTGACATGGCAAACCCCAGACAAGTCTTTTGGAAAAAGAAGAGTCAAGTCTCAGCCACAAAAATCAGCACATAGCATAAGGGCAGGGGCATCTGGATTTCTCCAAGAAGCCATGGCCAACCTCAGACAAGATTTGAATGGGGTATAGGTCAGAAACAAGAAAGTATGTCCTGGATGTTTACTGTGAATAATTCTATCTGCAGGCGCGTAGATGGCAAATGAACATGCTAGAGTGCAATAACAAAACACAGTCTAAGCAAAAAGGAATTCTGCATTCAGAAATTGACTTACGAAAGGATCATGCTTTATGGATAATTCTTCAGACCCTCACTTTATTCTGTTCTCTGAAATGGTAGAGATAAACAGTGAAACAAAGCAAAATACAAGGAAATATATACCATATCTTATAATAAAAGTCAAAGTGAATAGCTACTCTACAAGATCCACTTCATGAGGAGCTGGATGGTAGCCTCTCCATCTAGAAAGAGGTCAGATGTAAACAACAAGGATTGTTGGATAAAAGTGCCATTGAATAATTTTAAAGGAAGAATTAGATGGGACTAATGCAGTCACTTCGTATTTGTTTGATAGTCATGAAGCTGTAAAATTCACTGAGAAAGAATGCACAAACATTCTATTGCAGTTAATTATGTAGCAGTACTATGAAAATAACTATTAAATTTTAGAGTCATAAATATTTTTACTGCTACAATTAGACAGTGGAAAAGAATTGTTACTATTCACTGGCATTCTTCAAAGTTAATCTCCATGATTCTGTTTTATAATGCATTTATGACAGCATAATCTCATCTCCACTATGTAAATTGAGTTGGATCTTATTTTCTTCTTTCATTTGCGGCACATTTTGCTGGTGGTGGCTGGATGAATGTTTAGGGGAAAGATGGTTTTGTTGCCCTCCAGCCCTTGAATGTCTGGTATAGCACAATCAGGGAATCGGTGTCACATTAAAGCAATTCTTATAATATAATCAAAGTTCTCGTGTTGTACTCTCCTTCAGATGAAACAAACTAATGAAATATATTGACCCTGTTCACGCACTTCTGAAGCAAAATGACTAAGAGGTATCGAGACGACATGAAATACATTGACATTGATTGTGAAGTCGGCATTTCCCAGTCACATTGGGGGCTGATTAAAGTGTCACATTGACAACGTAGCCCCTTTTGAACAGGAAATTAATACCAGCTTGGTGGCAAAAAGATTCTTCTTCCAAAAGGAAACTTGCATCGTCTTTAATGCTTCTTAGTAGAAAAAAAAAAAAAAAAAGAGGTCACATATTTTACACTAGCGTGGCCTTCAGTTTTCTTGTTATGAAATAATAATCAGGAATGTCAACACTGTAGTTACGTTAAAAAAAATAGGATGCTGGCCTGTTGCGGTGGCTCATGCCTGTAATCCCAGCACTTTGGGAGGCTGAGGCAGGCAGATTGCTTGAGGTCAGGAGTTCGAGACCAGTCTGGCCAATATGGTGAAACCCCATCTCTACTAAAAATAATAAAAAATTAGTCGTGCCTGATGGCGTGTGCCTGTAATCCCAGCTACCCGGGAGGATGAGGCAGGGGAATTGCTTGAACCAGGGAGGTGCAGGTTGCAGTGAGCCGAGATCGCACCACTGCACTCCAGCCTGGGTGACAGAGCAAGACTCTGTCTCAAAAAAAAAAAAAATTAGGATGCCTATTGTGTTTAATGTTTATTTTGGTTATGAATAATACTAACAAATGAAGAGACAAAATAGAAATTTTTGAATCTTTCACTAACTCATTTGAGTGGGAATTTAGTTTAAATGCTAAAAGATTAAAACATGAATATTATGTAAATATGTAAGCTTTATTTCTTATATATAGGATAAGAAAAGAACATACGTAATAATTCTTAAATTCTGGTTGTTTGATGTTGTAGCCACACATTTAATTTCATTGGCAGTAAATTTCTGTTTGTAGAAGCTACCACTTACCACTGTTCTAGAATTCATAATGTAAAAGAATCTCCAAGATAAAGATCAAAGTGTGGACACACCTGATTTGCTAAGCGCTAACATCCTGTTCCCCCTTGTCGGGGGGAAGGAAATTATTACTCTAAGTTTCAGGTTTTCCATTGCTTCATTAATTTCCCTTCCACCCTTGTTTAATAATTCACTCAGTAGATAATACAATGTTGGCATACCTTACCTTAGTAGATGAGTAACTGTTGGTTGTGTACGAGAGGCATTTTGCTAGGTGCTCTCTGGCAGAAGTCGTATGGGAGGGATGAGACAGATGAAAAAGGTGGGATGAGGAGGCGTGTGACTAGGGCTGTCTTTCTGAAAGTCCAGCCATGGTAAAATCAAAAAGTAGGCATGCAGGCCTGAGCTCCTGTTGCCTGAATCAGAACCCAGATTCAGCATTGTTCCTACATTATTTACCTTCCCCTTTGCTGACCTTTTGTCGCCGTCACTACTGTGCTACAAAAATTGGATGGCAGTTTCCATCTGTGGTTGTTCTCTTCTCTTGCCCTTTCCCGCAAAATGGCCTCTGGTTATAATTTGATAGTTTTTGTCACTGCGTGTAATAACGAAGAGAGTAAGTATTAGGAATCAATATTTCAGTCCACCCCCAGCCCCATTACAATTGCTCTCCACTTTGAGTAGATTTTATTTGGACCTCCCTGCTTCTCTTCTTACTAATTTGCTTTAAAAGCTCACTGTCTAGCTGATAAAAATGCCTGCTCTACTTCTAAATGCACACACATAAGCACAGAGAGCTGTTTTCTTCATCTGCTAATTTGTAATACTAGAGAGAAAATGAAAAATGATAAAAAAGAAAAAAACTCAAAGGAAATACAGCTTCTTATTCTAGTTATGCCTTCAATACTTCCAGCCTTCAGAATTTAGATTCCACTAACACATAAGTTCAGGCTTCCCAGTATGAGTTGAGAGAATATAGTTTGTTTTTTTTTTTAAAGTGCAGTACAGCTGCTGTGAGGAGTGATACTAAAATATTCTGATAGTTATCCTTAGCTCTGACAGTTAAAACAAAATTTATTGTTGAGTTTCAGGAGTTCTCTATATGCTCTGAATATTAATCTATTTTCTGATGTGTGAACTGCAAATATTATTATCTCCCATTCTGTGGCTTGCCTGTTTACTCTGTTGATATTGTCTTTTGATGTATAATTTTTAAAAGTTTTCATGAAGTTCAATCTGTCTATTTTTTTCTTTGGTTGCCTGCACTTTTGGTGTCATAGCCAAGATCTCATTGTTAAATCTAATGACATGAAGCTTTCCCCCTGTGTTTTCTTCTAAGTCTTTTATAATTTAGCTCTTAGGAGCTAAATTAGGCTGTGGATCTGTTTTGTGGACAAAGGACTTGATTAGTTGTTTCTCC
Source organism: Homo sapiens (assembly GCF_000001405.40). Classification (NCBI taxonomy): domain Eukaryota; kingdom Metazoa; phylum Chordata; class Mammalia; order Primates; family Hominidae; genus Homo; species Homo sapiens. The sequence goes on from NC_000015.10 coordinate 97,320,736, forward strand.
AAACATATACAAACAGCCAGTGAAGATACAAAAAGATGCTCAAAAACCACTAATCATGGGGGAATGCAAATCAAAACTATAAGATCCTACTTCATATACATTAGGATTGCTATCATAAAAAACACATAAAATAACAAGAGTTTCTGAGAACATGGAGAACTTGCAACCCTTATGCAATGCTGTTGGGAATGAACAATGGTACAGCTGGGATGGAAAGCAGTATGGTGGTTTCTCAAAACATTTAAATTAGAATTACCACATGATCCCTAATTTTCACCCCATAACCAAAAGTATTAAAATCAGGGACACTATATTTGTACCACTGTGTTCATAGCAGCATTATTAGCAATAGCTGAAGGTAGAAGCAACCCAGGTGTCTGTCAGAAGATGAATAGATAAACAAAATGTGATCGTAGATAAAGTGGAATATTATACAGCCATAAAAAAGAAGGAAATTCTGACACATGCTACAATGTAGATGAAGCTCGAAGACATTGGGAAAAGTTAAATAAGCCAGGGACAAATGTGGATGATAGCACCAAATGAAGTATTTGGAGTAAAGTCAGAAAGAGAAAGCAGAAGGGTGGTAGCTAGGAACTAGGGGAAACGTAATAAGAATTTATTGCTTAGTGGGTACAGAGATTCAGTTTTGTGAATGCACTTCATGCCATTGAGCTGTGTACTTAAAAATGATTAAAATGGTGAATTTTGTGTAACGTGTCTTTTAACACAATTTTAGAAATAAGCTGCAATTTAGATTTTGACGAATTCTAGGGCAGGAGAAAGGTTAGCTCTTTGGTTAATTAATCAATCAATAAATTCATTCTGTACTCATTATTTATATTACTAGATACGCTAAATATAAAGAATTTAAAGTGTGAGATAAAATTGCTGTGCTCTGGGTCTTATACTCTGAAGAAGAATCAAGTAAAGAAGCAGTTACTAAATATAAAATTTGAAGATTATGGTATATACACTCCAGAGGCCCCTGTAAAAGATGATCTGTTGATATAATAGAAATCCTATCTTAATTTATTTTTAATATAATTTTTATATATAACTCATATATCATGTAATTCACCCATTCAATGTGTAATATTTTCAGTATATTCAGAGTTAAGCAACCATCACCACACTCAATTTTAGAACATTTTCACACCAAAAAGACATTTTCTACTCATTTGCAGCTGCTGTTCATTTTCCTTAACCCTACCTCCGTCCCTGGCACAGACATAGGTAACCTCCAAACAACTTTCTGCCTCTATCTACTTTCTATTTCTTTAGATTTGCTTATACTGGACATTTCACATAAATGAACTCATCCTGTATATGGTCTTTTGTGACCAGCATCTTCTACTTCGCATATTTTTAAGTTTTATCCACATTGTAACATGCATGTGTACTTTATTCCTTTTATTGCTAAATAATATTCTATTGAAAATACTACATTGGATTTATTCATTCATCAGTTGATGATCATTTGGACTTTTTCCCACTTTTTGGCTATTACTAATAATATCTCTATACACATTCATGTATAAGGCTTTTCGTATGGACATATGGTGTCAATTCTCTTATGTGTGTACTTAGGAATGATAACTGTATGCTTATCCTTTGAAGAACTGCCAGATTATATTCCAAGTGGCCTCATCATTTTACATTTCTACCAGCAAAGGATGAGGGTTCCAATTCTCTATATCTTTGATAGTACTTGCAGTTACCTGTCTTTTTTATTATTGTCATCCTAATGGGTATGAAGTGGCATCACATTGTGGTTTTGATTCGCATTTCCCTCTGATTCATTTTCATGAATCCTTTAACATTTATTTTCTTGTGGAACTTTTTAATTAAACAGAATGCTTTGACGTAGTAATACATGTGTGTTTTAGGTGTATGTGTTTGTGTGATAAAGATGCATAATCAAAACTCTTCATTGATGTGTTGTATGATTAAAAATTTGGAGAATGAGAAACTAAGCAGTGAGCGTTCAATATTAAGGAAACTGAGAGTATGGTGAAAATAGCAATAAAAGAGTTCCTAGAGGAAGTTATTCTGGGTGGATATGTACCTGTCAGGCAGTGGAGGAAGACAAGGAAACATTACAGGATAAATGGGTAACATTTAAAAATATCAACAGAAATGTGAGATAATTTGTCAGCCTTGGTGAATTTCAAATATTCTGAAATTACTTGGAAGTGCACAATGCGCTGTAGGGAGTGATAATGTGTGATTCTGCAAGGGAAAGCGGGACCTGTGTGTGAGAGTTCATTCATGTTCTGCTCTCCTCACGTGCAAAAGGGAGGCTGAAGATATTGAGGCTGAGAATGACACTATTTTATTAAAAATTATCCCCACAACTGTTTCGAAAATAATAAATGATGGTTAGTCCAAAGGCAGAGTTATCAATTCAGATGAGAAATAATTAGGACTCAAACAATGTTAGTGCTTTATTATTACTTAGGTTTTAAGTTCTCCTCCATTAAAAATCTTCATCTTGACCTTTGTTGATTTCTAAGCCATTTCTCACTTGTTTTACTATATTACTTGTAATAGGTTTTATTATTAATTTCTACATAAATATGTATCTTTTTGAAAAGTATGTTGTAATTGAAACATCAGAACTTTCCACAGTACTTATTTACAGATAAGGGATGGGGAGTTAATGGGTGGGCACCAGGGAGCCTATATATTTCCTAACATTGTATGCAAATGTGTTTATTTTTTATTTATTTATTTTTTGAGATGAAGTCTCACTTTGTCACCCAGGCTGGAGTGCAGTGGCATGATCTTGGCTCACTGCAACCAGGTTCAAGCAATTCTCCTGCCTCAGCCTCCCATGTAGCTGGGACTACAGGGGTGCGCCACCACATCCGCTAATTTTTGTAGTTTTAGTAGAGATAGGGTTTCACTACGTTGACCAGGCTGGTCTTGAACTTCTGATCTGAGGTGATACACCCATCTTGGCTTCCCAAAGTGTTGGAATTACAGGCGTGAGCCACCACGCCTAGCCACAAATGTATTTATTTTGTGTGTGGACTCGGATGCTTTTCTGAGCAAAGGGCTCATAATTTCTCTTTAGCTCTCAGAGGGATCCTTCATCACTGATAAGGATGAAAGAGCTTCACTGCCCTCATACAAATTAAGAAAAAGGGGCCCAGATTTAGACTGGAGGTAAGAATGCTGAGCACTGCTCTGTCATTTCAAAGGAGTTTATAATGTTCTCATTCTTCAGAAACTTTAAGAAAAGAACAGCTACCACCACCCATGTTCTAATTTACAATGTGTACCAATTAGCAAGATACTGAATTAAGAAATATGGGGTTTTCAACTTGCTATCTGGACTTCTATGTTGACTTTGCATAAAGTGATTAAATCTGATGCTCTCGCATGGACTCCTGGGGCTCCCTTATTGTGAAATGGACAAGCACCATAAGGATTGGCAGAGAAGTGGGATGGGAGGTGGATAAAGGATACTGGGTTCCTGTAAAACAGCAAACATCTGGGCATAGAAGGACTTCTCATTATTATATATAATGGCAGATAGTGGCTTTATAGGTTGCAGATAAAATACAACAAAATATTAGGAAGTCACAGAGATAATGCTCTTTTTTTTCCTGATGAGAATGAAATAAAGAAAAGGCATTTTTACATTTGTTGTGATAGATACTTCTTTGTATTACACTTGTAAAATATAATTTCTATCTAGGATTTTCCTTTCTGGAATGGGGTATGGGGAGGACAGGCAGATCCGTAATTTCTTAGAGGAAAATTTTCAATGAATGTTTGTTTCTTTAAGACATAATCATTGCCTTTCACTATAACACGAGTTAATTCAGTGGTCAAAGGCAATATTTGTAAAATATTTATTTTACCATGTAATGCCAAACCATTGGTCTGGTATTACAGTCATTGATCCAGATGGCTGAATTTGCCATATGGTTTCTTACTACTTACAACATTCCTGGAAAGGTGGCTATTTCATCCAAATGAGCCTTCAACTACTGCAGTGTCCAAGTTTCATGCAAGGGGCCTGCTACCATTACCTGATAGCTCTTGGAAGCAATGCTCAAATCAACAGATCTTTTGTAGTTCTCTTTAATGGAGCCTGGATGATGAATTTACATCTATCTATCAGAAACATTGTCTTCTGCCCTACATTACTAATGACAGAAAATTGTCTCTATATAATTCATCAAAGTATGTCTATAGACTCACTCCTTTATTATCTTTTCTCTTGCAAACTGTATAATTCCCCCTTCATTCCACGTCAGGGGAGACCTTTAATCTTGCTTGGGTGCATTCTGTAGGGCTTTCTACATTAAAGAGACTGAACAGGTGCCACTGGAGGCAACAAGAATGGGAGCAAACCACGATGAGGACGGTCCTAGGGTAGTGACTTAGTAAATGGCTAGACAGAAAACATTTTCTAAGAGATCACAGCCTCAGGAAAAGGAGTTTTAAATGTTTATTTGACAAAAAATAACTTATTCATATTTACATATCTCTTTACTTTTCCTGCAGAATGGTCACCCTATAATATTGATTTACCCTTGAAGAACATTTGCAATTTGATGTATCCCTGACACACATACTTTAATTCTTTGTCCTCTTTAATAACAGAGACTAAAATGAGTGAAATTCTGATAACCTAATCATGGTATTTCTATTTCAGTGTCATAATGGGATCCTTCAAAATGACTGACAATATTATATGATTCACAAACCTAAGCCTTTGATGTCTCAATGCTTTTTCTATTCCTGTCTTAGATTTTGCTCCAGTGATGTATGGTGGGGAGGTAGGACTGAAGTGAACTCTTTTCCCAAGGGCAGATGTTCCATTGGAAAATGTGTTAGAAATAATGACTTAATATAGAGAAATACAGTGAAAGGACAAAATCAAAAACTTTTAGGTAAAATAAAAGCACAGAGATTTTAAATATGGATTTAAGATCCTACAGTATGAGTTGAATACATGATGGGAAGTTTTACTCCTCGGTCTGGTATACGCTTCTGGTATATACATGAAGACCAGACTCAACATGAGTAGAGATTTTCTGACAAGGGTATAGTAGATCTGCTTTTAGCTTTGAAAAACAGTAATGAAATAAATTGTCTGAAGAATAATTGAGAAAAAGATGAGAACTATAACAGAGACTGGCTTACATTTCTCTTTATCTTCCCAACATGCAATGAAGTGCTGGACACAAAGTAGCTGTTCAATAAATTGTGCCAGGATTGAGAGGGGATGATGCAAGTTAGTGGGCTTTTCTGATTTTACTTTTTTTAATTTATAGATCAACTCTACCCTAAGCTCTGGAGTCATACAGTAGAGAGTGCCAATCCTAACTGCCCATTAACTATCTCTAAAATGCAACCAAAACGAGATTTCCCAGGATTCTTTTCCCTGTGTAGACCTGTATTAGAGATGGTCTTAAGAGATTTTGTTTCTTTTTTTTTTTATCTTCAGTGAAGTTGAGGCTGTTAAGCCCCAAAGATGTAAGATTGTTTTTTTTTAATTGTTTTGCATTGCAATTGATATTTTTAATTGATAAATAAAAATTGTATATATTTATGATATACAGCATGGTGTTTATATATATATATATATATATACACACACACACACACATACATACACACATTGTGATATGGCTAAATCAAGCAAATTAACATATACATTACCTCACATACTTAATCTTGTGTGTGTGTAGTGAGAACATTTAAAATCTATTCTCCTAGCAATTTTCAAGAATACAACGTATTGTTATTAACTACACTCACCATGATGTCATGATGTAAGTAGATCCTTTAAACTTAATGCTCCTAACTGAAATTTTGCCTTATTTGACTAACATGCCCCTAACCCCCCAGCCCACAGCCTCTTGTAACCACTTAAGAATTCTCTTAAGAGATTTTTGTATGAGATTTGGGTTGTGAAGTATCTGCTGCCATTGCACATTTCATTTAAAGTAAGGATAATGGGATTTGATTGACTTTCTAAGTGTAGTAGAGAATTTGAAGACCCACAGAGTCTACATTTATGAAAACTAACTGAAAGTCTATTTCTGTGGGTAACTTAATTATATTTGATATAGATTTCACAACCATGCAAAATCATATGAACTTTGGACACGAATTGAGAAGGAATGAGACCCTGAAACTTAAGATAGGGTCATATGGACAGGTTCCAATGAAGGTGAGGTCCGTGAATGTCTAAAGTCTGCCAATTTTTCTTTCCAATATAAGCAATATTTCCTCTCCTCAGTAGATCATTCTCCCTTCCTTGAAAAACCTATAGCTGGCTCCTTCCTGGTAGCTTTCTTGAAGGGGAGTACTAAACTCCTCAGCATCTAACTCAATCTCCTCTCATTCCTTCTGGACCTATAACCAGAGAAGTGTTGTCAGAGAACAACAAAATTGCATGATTTTCCAATTTATATTGAAATACCCTGGGATATATGAGTAGAAATGGATTCTAGGGAGGTTGCTTATGAGTTAAAAAAATAATGTCAGATCTAGTCAATTTATAGATAAGGTTGCACTAAACAGAGTGACTAAAGTGTTTAACAGTTTGCTTGCTTGGATGGTTGAAATATGGAACTATATGTGGACTGAATGAAATTGAAATACCAGCAAATTTATTCTGTGAGACCTGCTTACTAATCCCCTATGTCCTCCAAAAGAGGCTAGAGAAGCTTTTCTTCATGAAAGCTTTGAGAAATACATTTGTGAGCAGAGTGACAGCATCCTTAAAGAGCTCTCTGGTGGCTATTCCCTGCAGGCCAAAAACAAGAGTGACAAACAGGGTTCCTAGAATTCAACAAAGATGATGGAAACTTAAGGTTGCAGGGCTTAAGTGAAAGTACTTAATCACCAGAGACAAGATGTATGCGGTGACCAAAAGGGACAGCAGAGCCATCGTAGTAATCAAAAGGATTCGACCCTCAGAGATCTTTGGTATTGGCTGATTGATCAAGGCATTCTTATAAATTAAATAGTTGTGCATCGCTCTACTGTTTTACTTTATGCTTATAAGTAGAAAATCTCCATGTCTGATGAAAAGAAGTATGAATGAATCACCCACTTAAGAGACATGGCATTTCCACAAAATCCTCAGACATGAACCAGTTCACAGTCCCAGTGTAAAATTGCATAAAGGTAGGGGACAAGGGAATCAAGTACTCTTTAGGAAGGATCTGACTACACTACCAAAAAGGTATAGCATAATCCTTTCTCCCAGCATTCTCCGGAGGTACCTGAACCTCTTTACCAGGGTGAAGTCCACCAACAAGGGGTAAATAACCAGACTTTTCAGGGGTTGCTGGGCACTGAGCTGATACTAATTACAGAGACCCCAAAACACCACCATTGGTATGGGTGCTTATTGAGGTTGGGAGATCAGTGGAGTTTTGGCTTCTGTTCTTCTCACAGTGAGCTCAGTAGGACCATGGCTTCATGCTGGGGTTACTCCCCAGTTTCAGAAACCATAGTTAAAATAGGCATACTTAGAAACTAGAAAAATTTCTATATTGGGTCCCTGATCTTTGGAGTGAAGTTTATTATGATAGGAAGAGGAAAGTGGAAGGCATTAAAGCTGCCTTTAGCTACCATGGTATTAAGCAGAAATAGACATTTCTGGAGTGATTACAGAGATTCCTGACATGACCAAGAATTTGAACTATCCAAGGTGGTGATTCCCATTTCATCCCCTTCAACTCAGCTTCATGATGCCTCTGTCCTATACAGCTTCACGGTGTCTTCTGAGGCATCATCGTTGATCAGAAGCAATGCCTTGGAATATATCTGGGGTGTGTGTGTGTGTGTGTGTGTGTGTGTGTGTGTGTGTGTGTAGAAAGAGAGAGTGAAAAAAGTCATATTCATTAACTCACTAGTCTTAACCATGTTTTTCATCACACTGAAACAGGTGGCCTATTACCATAGTGAGGTGGACTTTTGAGGCAAGGTAGGCAGCATCACCAAGCCTAGGATAATGTTGTCCACAACGTGTTTGATGGTCTACATCACTGGTCAACATATAATATTGTTTCTGACATAGCAAAGGCTCATGGATTTGGGAATCAAGGGATGGAACAGGGCTCTTCTTTTACTGTCAATGATACATTTCTGGACTCAGCTCACATATTAGGAAGGATGGAAAAATCATCTTTTGAAACTTGCTAAAGATTATTGCACTTCTTAACTTGGAATCTACAGATGGAATTTAGGAGTTTAATGCGCCCTCTAAATAGTATGTAAAATGTTACATGTATATGCATATATGATTTTTTTTTTTTGAGAGGGAGTCTCACACTGTCATCCAGGCTGGAGTGCAGTGACGCGATCTTGGCTCACTGCAAGCTCCATCTCCTGGGTTCACGCCATTCTCCTGCCTCAGCCTCCCAAGTAGCTGGGACTACAGGCACCCGCCACCACGCCCAGCTAATTTTTTGTATTTTTAGTAGAGACGGGGTTTCACTGTGTTAGCCAGGATGGTCTCGATCTCCTGACCTCGTGATCTGCCCGCCTTGGCCTCCCAAAGTGCTGGGATTACAGGCGTGAGCCACCACACCCAGCCTTATGTATATATGATTTTTATGAGGAGAAGGTCTATATCATTTATCACGTTTCCAGTGGCTCATAACTTAAGAGTTTTATAACCAGGGCCCCACCTGAAACTGTATTTAACACCAGAGCAAGTAGATGAGGTGAATGACTATTTGGGGGTCACCATTTTTATCCTTAAGCTATGGCCTCCCCAAATTATTATTGCCCATTGTTCAATTATAATGACTTTAAGCATTTTAACCACCACTGTTACTAAAATGAGCTTAATTTTTATTTGTAACCCAGAAGTATACACGTAATTTAATCTTATTAGAGAACCACAAGTATTAGGACATGGTATGAAATAAAATGTATCAAGTAAAGCTTATCCCAGATTCATAGAAAAATGAAGATAAATGCAGACACATTGAATATTTTCTCATCTTGCTGTTCCCTCTAGATGATTTTATTTACCTTCATGGTTTCGGCTCCAGCTCAAATGCAAGTGACTCCAACACCTGTGGGTTCATGAGGAGTCTCCTTAAATGTCCCCTGACAGGTGAATTGCCATTGACTTTAAGACCTCTGCTGAAAGAAGTGGCCTACACACAAGCAGCTACAGTTAGAAAATAAATCAACATATATTTGTATACACATGCACACGAAGAGTAGGTAGAAATGGTCTTCCAAGGGATGCCCACCGCAGTCCTCCTGATTTAAGAAGTATAGATGTAGAGTTCATAGTAGCCATGTCATCTGCTAAAACATAACTGCCCTTCGGTGCCTTAGTGTAAGAAAACGCTGTGCCCATAGCTTGCTTGTAAGGAAATAACATTTTCTTTTCTTGCAGTGGACTGCATAGGTTTTCTTCCGTTTTCCCACTCCATTCCCTGCATTGCCTCTTCCTTGTTGCTCCACTGTTTCTGAACCACAAAGCAAGTAGGCCATTTACAAAACACCAGCTGATTAGGATGAATCTGCTCTGGGCCCATGCATAAAAAACTTGAAAGTAGAAAAAAAAATTGAAAAGGATAAGAGCTTTTCAATCAATTTGATAAAAAATTTAAGTTAATTAAAGGAAGACTCTATTTTTCCCTAGAAGGCGATGCTGATCTTTATTATTAATGCATACCAGCATTCCATAGCTGTGCATAATGATGGCCTGTAACATCAGGAGCAGTTTCATCTGGAGCCTAATTTGTCATAAAATCTTTTCTAGTATTCTTAAAGTGTGGCCTCTGCCACTGCCTCCCTCCCGCTCCAGGGTTAGTTCTGAACTCTGAGATAATGTCTTCCTTGCTGCCATCACCTGAGAATTAATTTGCAAGATTGTTTTTAGTTTTAAAGTAGTTTTCCAACCTTCCAAAAAAATCATTTATAGGATTTTCACTTTGCTTTCATTTTTTCTTTAGATTCTATTAATAGAAACCCTTGTCAAAACATCATACACATGCAATATTCTTTTCTGTAAGAACAGCCCTAGCAGAGAGGGAGGAAAGAGAAAGGAGATTAAAAGGTGCCACATTTGAATTCAGATATTGCTGTTTTAGAAGATTAAAATATTTCTCCAAACAGGAGTATCAAGTTTAATTGAGTCATTCATTCCTACATTCATTCATCTGGATACACGTGAATTGAGCACTTCCTATATGCCAGGCACTGTATTAGACATTGGGAAGACAAATATGCTTCATGTAGTTTTGCAGCTAAGGGGATTAATGTATTTCATAACCTTATACTTATTGTCCTAGATACCATGAGGGTAAAAAAAATTAAGTTACACTTCCAAGTTTCAAGGGATTACTATTTCATACAAACATACCAATTAGAGCCTAACATAAAACATTGTTCCAGCCTGTGTGTAAGTAAGAGGTGTCAGATGTGAAAGCCCATGTGGGTCACAGGGTTCGGAGGAGACTCTGTGAGGGAGGTGGATCCAAGAAGGGTGGACTGAAATCATGGCGCATTAATACTGTATAATATTGTGCAGCTAGTTTAACAAATGAGTTAGATTAATAAGTATTCATGATAAACTACTGAGTATGAAAAACAAAGTTCCAGAAAAACAGACATATTGTAATTCATTATTTGTAAAAATAAAAATAAAAAACTTCTAAAAAATTAGAATGATGGGCTGAATTTGGATAGGCAGTGAGAAGGAAGGGACATGAAAACATGACAGACAGTAAACATTTTTTACAGCCATATAGTGTCCAGGGACAGGGAAGAGAGTGGCTGTCTGTGGCATATATGGGGTAACCATTTCAAGAGAGAAATAAGACAATGTGGGAAGAGATTTATGCTCTGTTTTATAATCTGAAAACCAAGAGCTGCAATCAATGTAGCTATCTTTTCTTGAAAAAGGCCAATAGGTAGGCCCCAGCACCGATTCAGGACAGATGGTGACATGGTTTGGCTATGTCCCCGCTCAAATCTCATCTTGGATTGTAATTCCCATAATCCCCACATGTCATGGGAGGGAGTCAATGGAGGGTAATGGAATCGTGGGGACAGTTTCCCTCATGCCGTTCTCGTCATAGTGAGTTCTCAAGAGATCTGATGGTTTTATAAACGTCTGGCATTTCCTCTGCTGGCACTTTTTCTCCAGTCGCCCTGTGAAGAGGTGTCTTGTGCCATGATTGCAAGTTTACTGAGGCCTTCCAAACCATGCAGAACTGTGAGTCAATTAAACCTCTTTTCTTTATAGGTTACTTGGTCTTGGGTATTCCTTCATAGCAGTGGTGAGACTGAAATAATACAGTAAATTGGTATGGGCAGTGGGGCACTGCTGTAAAAATACCCAAAAATGTGGAAGTGACTTTGGAACTAGGTAACAGGCAGAGGTTGAAACAGTTTGGAGGGATCAGAAGAAGACAGGAAAATGTGGGAAACTTTGAAACTTCCTAGAGACTTGGAGGGCTCAGAAGACAGGAAGATATGGGAAAGTTTGGAACTTCCTAGAGACTTGTTGAATGGTTTCGACCAAAATGCTGATAGCGTTATGGACAATGAAGTCCAAGCTGAGGTGGTCTCAGATGGAGATGAGGATCGTGTTGGGAACTGGAGCAAAGGTGACACTTGCAATGTGTTAGTAAAGAGACTGGCAGCATTTTGCCCTTGCCCTAGAGATCTTTGGAACTTTGAACTTAAGAGAGATATTTAGGGTATCTGGTGGAAGAAATTTCTAAGCAAAGCATTCAAGAGGAAGCAGAGCATAAAAGTTTGAAAAATTTACAGCCTGACAATGCAATAGAAAAGAAAAACCCATTTTCTGGGAAGAAATTTAAGCCTGCTGCAAAAATTTGCATAAGTAAGAGTAGCTGAATGTTATTCACCAAGAAAATGAACAAAATGTCTCCAGGACATGTCAGAGACCTTCACAGCAGCCCCTCCAATCAGCCCTTCCCAGGGGGCTAGAAGGAACAAATGGTCCCCCTGCTGTGTGCAGCCTAGGGACTTGGAGCCCTACATCCTAGCCGCTTCAGCCATGGCTAAAAGGGACCAAGGTACAGCTCAGGCAGTGGTTTCAGAGGGTGTAAGCCCCAAACCTTGGCAGCTTCCACATGGTGTTGAGCCCATGGGTGCACAGAAGTCAAGAATTGAGGTTTGGGAACCTCCACCTGGATTTCAGAGGGTATATGGAAACACCTGGATGTTCAGGTAGAAATTTGATGCAGGGGTGGAGCCCTCATGGAGAACAGAACCTCTACTAGGGCAGCGTAGAAGGGAAATGTGGATTTGGAGTTCCCCCTGGAGCACTGCCTTGTGTAGCTGTGAGAAGAGGGCCACTGTCCTCCAGAACCAATAATTGTAGATCCACCGACAGCTTGCACTGTGTGCCTGGAGAAGCTGCAGACATTCAGTGCCAGCCCATGAAAAACAGCTAGGAAACGAGTTGTACCCTGCAAAGCCACAGGTCATGGGAGATCACCTCTTGCATCACTTTGACCTGGATATGAGACATGGAGTCAAAGGAGATTATTTCAGAGCGTTAAGATTTAATTACTGCCTCAATGGATTTCGAACTTGCATGGGACCTTTGCCCCTTTGTTTTGGCCAATTTCTCCCATTTTTAATGGGTGTATTTACCCAATGCCTGTACCTCTAGTGTATCTAATAAGTAACTAACTTGCTTTTGATTTTACAGGCTGGTAGGCCGAAGGGGCTTGCCTTGTGTCAGATGAGACTTTGGATTTGGACTTTTGGATTAATATTGGAATGACTTACGATTTGGGGAGACTGTTGGGAAGACATAATTGTGTTTTCAAATGTGAGGACATGAGATTTGTGATGGGCCGGGATGGAATTATATGGTTTGACTGTGTCCCCACCCAAATCCCATTTTGAATTGTAATTCCCATAATTCCCACATGTCATGGGAGGGACCTGGTAGTAATTGAATTATTGAGGCAGTTTCCTCATGCTGTTCTGGTGGCAGTGAGTGAGTTCTGACAAGAACTGATGGTTTTATAAGCATCTGGCATTTCCCCTGCTGACACTCATTCTCTCTTCTGCTGCCCTGTGAATAGGTGCCTTCTGCCATGATTGTAAGTTTCATGAGGCCTCCACAGCCATGCAGAACTGTGAGTCTATTAATCCTCTTTTTTTAATAAATTACCCAGTCTTGGGTATTTCTTCACAGCAGCATAAGAATGGATTAATACAGACTGGAAGTGCCCAAGCTAGAAGACTACATACCTCCTTTGTAAAAGAAATTCTAGAGAAAATACTAAGCTACTGAGAAGAAATGAATCCATGGGACAGAGGAGGTTGCTTATGGTCATAGATAACAGGAAGTTATCCAGAGATTGAATACCAAATATCTCTAAAAATATGTCAACATAGTATTCAAAATTCTAAACAGGAAATGTATTCCCATTCTCCAGTAAAAAGCAGAAAAGAGAAGAAAAAAAGATTTAGGAATTGATTTAATGCCCAGACAGAAGCAGGATAGGGGGAGAAAAGAAGAGAAAGAAAAGTGACCAACAAAACTATATCCAGTTTAGAGAAGTGGAAGCAAAAAGGATGTAAAATGAAGACCAAATGAGAATCAAAGAGAAAAACGTTTCCTGTGCTACCCGGCAAGGGAAATGGGCCCTCTTCAAGGCTGAAAGGAGGGAGAGGAGGGGGAGAGCAAACTAGAACTTCTCCCACTCCAGCTTTCTTATCCAATTTATCCTGTGGAGAGAAGATCTACTAATAAAAGAGGAAATTAAATAGCCTGAATCATTAGTTTTCCCCGTACCAGCTCATTGGTGACATAGCCCACTATCTCCAAGTTGGCCAACCCTCAGTAATTCTAACAGTGAGGGTAAGGGGAGTGGAAAGAGATGAACTACAGGTATAAGGATCATTTAGCCAGCAAACTCTTGCTAAAGACTAACAATACAGTAACATTGCACTTTGCCTGTGAATTAGTTCCTAATGTAAATGTCTAATAAGGTGAGAACTATATTAATCAAAATGAGTCCTTGTATGGCTTAGAGTGCAACAGTGTAGACTCACATGTCGTTAAAGAAAAAAAAAAGGAAATCACAATGGCCCTTTCAAGTAAGGTCAGGTGTAGAGAACAAGCTAGCTAAGCCAGCCTGGCAACTCTGTTCCCAGAAATCACTCAGGGATCCAGGTGCTTTTCCTCTTGCAGGTTTTGCATATGATCAAGGCAGGATCAGGAGGTATGGAAGAAAATAAAATTAAGGCAAGTAATATGCAATTTAATCCCTTACTTCCATTTACATATCACTGATGAGATCAGTCAGATGGCTACATTGAGGTGCAATGAATGATGGGAAATACAGCCTCAAGCTGACTGGCTATGGCCACCCTAAGGAGACTGTGGATTAGTAAGAGGGAAAGTTCTAGGTTATTGAGTTCTACTTATATGGAATAAGAGGTGATGGATTTTGAGAGAAAACCAGTCTTCTACTCCAGTCTGCCTTGCATAGCCAATCAAACCATGAATTTCTCTTTAGACATGTATTTACCTTGACCCCAAGGGGAAAACCCAAGGTCTCATTCAGTTACTGCAACCAGTTCAAAGACTCAGGCCACCTGTGGATTATTCTTCACCAAGCCCAGCTGTGATTTGTTGCAGTTTAGTGACCTATAAACTAACAGACAAATAATCTCTCCCTCCCTAATACCCAAAATATAGTGGGGGGAAAAATGAAGAAAACCCCCATTGAGAAAAATGAAAAACACACAGAAGTCAGTGATTCATTGTGATTAGCAAATCCTGCTGGGCAGCATTGCAAATACCCTTGACTTAGCAGCAAAGTTCCTTGATTGGGTCCTGATTCTACTTTCTGGGAGGAACTGTCCTTTCCATTTGGGTTGAAGAGTTCTGGCTTCACCATCTGAGAGGTTTTTCTTTTTCATTACCTTTTAGAAGCACTTCTGAATGGGATGAGGAAAAGTATCCCATTCTTGAAGTTGCAGTTTTGTAACTGTTAAAGATAGAGGATCAGATTGACTTCAGATATTGAAAAATCACACATTTGTAGACTCAGCTTGGAGTCTCTTTGGCAATATAACTTCCTCAGACTTAGTAGGCATTCAGTCTATTTACTTCCAGTGAGCATCAGGTGTAGGTAACCACACTTGAAACTCTCTTCTGGACATAACCTCTGAGGCCTCTGCATTCAGTTCTATTTTCTGGCTTCTGTGCTTGGTCTGTCTCCCTATCTTCCTGTTAATGGCGAATCCTCGAGATCATCTGAAATAGCAACCTTGAGTAAAAAGACAACATCATTTGACTTTTATTTGGACTGACTTCCATTTTCTGGCTGACAAACCTTAATGAGCAATACTTGAAAGAGATCTGGAAGCTTATCACTTGCTGTTTTGGCTACAGTAGCAGTGAGCTGTTTCATCTTAAAAGCCCCCAAAAATCTGGATTCTTATTTGATTTAAGTTTAAGGTATTCGTTAATCCCCAGAGCTCAACGTCATTCCATTTTGCCTGCATATTCTTACTCAGGCTTTCTCTAAGACTTTGCTAGAAGCGGCAAGGAGCATCCAACAGACAAAATCACTGTGAGTTTTTTTCTTTTTTCTTTCTCGTTCTTTCTTTCCCTTCCTTCCCTCCTTCCTTCCTTCCTTCCTTCCCTCTCTTTCTTTCTTTCTTTCTTTCTTTCTTTCTTTCTTTCTTTCTTTCTTTCTTTCTTTCTTTTTCTTTTTCTTTTTATGGAGTTTTGCTTTTGTTGCCCAGGATGGAGTGCAATGGCATGATCTCGGCTCACCGCAACCTCCACCTCCCAGGTTCAAGCGATTCTCCTGCCTCAGCCTCCCAAGTAGCTGGGATTACAGACGTGCACCACCACACCCAGCTAATTTTGTATTTTTAGTAGAGATGGTGTTTCTTCATGTTGGTCAGGCTGGTCTCGAACTCCCGACCTCAGGTGATCCACCCGCCTCAGCCTCCCAAAGTGCTGGGATTACAGGCGTGAGCCACAGTGCCCTGCCCCATTTTGAGTTTTTTTTTTTTAACAATTTTATTTTTAGTTGTCTTGAAAAACTTACCATCTGCCCTAGAAGTTGTAACTAAGTCGTTCGACACTAGCTTCCCAAGCTATGATATCTGTGTTTTTGCCGCTCACCACTAAACAATTAAAATTCCAAACGTTTTTAGATTTTTGTTAAGACAGCACCTTACTTCCTGGTTACAACTTCTCTATTATTTAGGTTATAGCTAATCAGCTGCAAAAAGGAGACAAGATGAAATGGCTCTAATAAGACAAAATTCATTTTTCTGTCAGTGCAGAGGATCTATTCCTTATCTCTCTCTATATAGTAATGTATATATCGTAAATATATGCTCACATATAATGTATATGGTAGTATACAGTACGCAGTTGAGTGTACAGCCCATTATATTTTTATTTTTTAAGAGAGAGAAACGGATACAAATAACAGAGTAATAGAGTGTGTATTCTAGAATTTGCATAAGTTAAATGGTAGTATATTGCTACTAGACCATTGTTTTCTTCTAGACAAATAAATTATTGATATTCCTTTATATGACCTACAATAATTAATAAATCACCAACTTCAATTCTTTTTTCTGGGTTCTTGCCCTTAATTCTGATATCAAACCCCCCCCCTTGTTGTTTTTACATCTGAGATGTCATTTAACAAACATTTTTGGGCTGTAGTTTTCTTGGCTAACAACAAGAATTTGGACTATACTGTCTCTGAATGTCTGCCAGCTATACATCTTGTGTTTTGATTTTATTGGTATCAGAGCTAGCTCTTCTTTTCCTGAGTCTCTGGTTTGTCCTTGCCTTGTAGAACCTATAGATATGGTAAGCAGTGGTGCTTCCTTCTTCCCAAAAGCATCTTATGCTCTGATAATCTGCCCCTCATTTGTTTCTCGGAATGCCTTTCCTTAACCTTTTTACCCGTGGATGCTGAGGACCTAGCAATGAACCAGATCATTTAAGTCTCTTCGTAATGTAGATTAAATTCATAGATCTGCAAGTGGCTTCTGTCAAGTGCATAAGACACCATCAATATATTATGCACAAATAAGATTTTTGTTCCAAATTATTAACCTAGCTTCATTTTCCCTTGCAACTCATTTTATGGGTTTTTAAAAATGCTACTGAATGGTAAAAACTCAGATTGTTTTTTCTCTGCTCTCACCCCACAACAATCAACATAGAAGACTTCTGTGACCAAATATATGTAGGGCTTTCCCCACCAGCAGGCAGCCCATCAGTCTGCACTGGGCACCAGGTGAGTGCCTTCTAATTTAATTCTGACACTGTCTACCTGGAGATTGTGTTAGATCCCACAGGTTGAGGGCCCAGTCCTCAAGACTGCCGCACAATCCCCTCGCTTCCAATGCCCATTGCAAGCCTCAAGTTATTTTGCCTGTGCTTCTGACTGACTGACTTATAAATCAGGATTCCCATGACCCCCTCCTTCAATTCCATTGATTTGCTAAAGTGTTTCACACAACTCAGGGAACTACTGGTTTATTATAAAGGATATAACAAAGGATACAGATGAAGAGATTCATAGGGCGAGGCATGGGAAGGGGCACAGAGCTTCCATGCCCTCTCCAGGCACCACCCTCCCAGTATCTCCACCTGTTTGTCTATCTGAAGCTCCCCAAACTCAGTTTTTTGGGGTTTTATGGAGGCTTCATTCCATAAGCATGATTGATTAAATCATTTAGCATTGATGACCAGTAGACAATGATCAATTCATTGGCCATTGACTATATATGTGGGTGTGGTTTTTTTTTTTTAGAACTTATAAGACCATATTTCAGTATTTTTCGGCCTCCATTTTTTCTAATGGAGAGTAAATTATAGTTTTTTTTCTAAATATGATGACATTTTTCTCAGTCATGTTTAAGATTGAGCCTGCAGCCCCTCTCCCCTCTTTGAAAGTTGGAGTTGAATGTCCCAATCCTCTAGCTCTGCTTAGGTCATTCATTCAGAAGACCAACCCCCATCCTGAAGCTGCCCAGGGACCGCCAGCTGTCAGTCAACTCATTACTGTAAAGAAAACACCACTTTGGAGATTCTAAGGATTTTAGAAATTGTATTGCCAGAAACAGGGTAAAAGGCCAAATATATATTTTACAATATCATAGCTATATAATATATATCTTTGAAATGTTCTTTATATTTTCTTGGGACATTTCACAGATTAATAAATGAATAACAAGCTCACAGAATAATTCAGACGTATACTCAAAAATCTTCATTGATTCCCTGCATCTTGTGTATTTACCATTTCCATTTATACATTTCCAGTGACTTCTTTTTTATTCAACTCTAAATATGCAGTTTTCTATCTGGCATAATTTCCTTTCTGCCTGAAGAGCTTTACTTTTTTTATAGCATAATTCTGCTTGTGACTAATCTCTTAATCTTCTTTGATTTGGAAGTGTATTAATTTTGTTTTTACTCTTAAAAAATATTTTCACTGCCTGTAGATTTCTGGGTTGATATATATATGTATATAAATATATATGTGTGTGTACGTATTTTTTTTTCTTCTAGAACTTTTAAGACAGTATTCCATGATTTTCTAGACTCCAATTTTTCTAATAGAGAGCCAATGATAATTTGTCTTTTTTTCTAAACATGATGACATTTCTCTCAGCCAGGTTTAGGAGTTTGTCTTTTTCTTTGGTTTTCAGCAGTCTAACGCTTATGAGAAAAGATGGGGTATTATTTGTATGTACCCTATATGAGCATCATTGAGCTTATGAAAACTATGACTTTGAGAAATTTTTGGTCATCACTTCCGCAAATACTTTTTCCTACTTAATGGTTTATTTTTGTTTTCTGGGACACCAATAATGTGTACGTTAAAGCTTTTTATATTCCCCCATAGGTTTTGTTACCAAACCAAAGTGGGTCCACTCATCCAGTGGGGTAAAACCAAATATCCACACTGAGGTTTGCCACTGCAGAAAGCAGGGCATTTATTTGCAGGGAACCAGGCAAGGAGAATGGGGCAATGCACACTTTAGACCCATCTTCTCAGTGGCTTGCAAGCAAGGGTCTTTAAAGGTATGGGTAACTTTCAAGAAGGCAGAAGTTACAGGCAAAATCATACCTCAATACATGGAGGTTAGTCATTGCTTTGGTCTAAAAAGGTGGGGTATCTTGAAGCGGAGGCTTACAGGTCATAAGTAGATTCCAAGATTTTCTGATTTGCAGTTGGTTAAGGAAGAGTAGTTTTGTTTAAAAATTTTGGGACAGCAGAAAGATATGTAAGTTCTGGCTTATAAACGTGACTTCTTCCAGGAACCTTAGGAAGACCTTTAGAAAAATTTAGTCCTCAGTTCCCCCTTATCACTCCTGTTTCTGAAAAACAAACAAAACGAAACAACAACAACAAAACAGGTGGGACATATGTTAAGATATTATTTTTAGTTTCTATCAAGAACCAAACATCTCATGACTCTAACTTCCTTGGCTTTTGTTTTAAGTTATTATTACTTTCTTGCTTATCAGGTTGCTCATTTACTTCTCAAGGCTTGCTGGGTGCCTGGAATTTCCCTTGAAGGAACTCAACATTCTCCATTATTTCTGTGCTGGGGACATGGGTTTTGGGGTAGAATGTTGGGAAGGGTGCCCAGTAGGCTCCTAAGGGGGTTCCTACTCCTTTTCAATTTCTGAAGCTTTGTTCATTTTTTTTTCAGTATCAGCTGTATCTTTAGATTGAATACCTCCCACTGATTTATCTTCACATTCACTGAATTCCTTCTGTCATCTCCATTTTTCTATTAAATCCATTCCACTCTAGTAATTTTCTTTACATATTTCAGATATTTACTTTTTTATTTCTAGGACTTATCTGCTGAGATTCACTATCGTTTAGCTTATTATAAGCATATTTTCTTTAACTTTATTCAGCATAGTTATGAAAACTGCTTTAGAATTTGTGTCTGCTAATTCCAACATCTGGGTCACCTGGGAATTGGAAACCGATCATTTTCTTTTCTATTTAAAATAGGTATTATAAGCCTATTTCTTTTTATGTGAAATATCTTATTCTGAATATATTAAATAACATGTTGTAGAGATTCTGGATTCTGTTATGTTCTTTCAAAGAATGCTGAGTATTTTTAAAGCTGTTAGTTAACTTGGCTGAACTTAAACTAGAAACTCTGTCTGCCTTGCGTTTGATAGTCTGTTCTCAGGCTTGTTCCTTAACTTTAGCTGTGCTGCTTGGAATTCACTTTGTACAGGCATAATTCAGGATTCATTCAGATATTGGGGCAGAGTTGATTCATGGAACTTGGGGATTTCTGTCTCTTGTTTTATCCTTTCCAGGATTTCTCCCCACTTTCTGTTGGCTGTAGTTGTCCTAAGCTCAATCCTCTCATTCTTCAGACTAGTAATACTGTAGGCTTCTTATTGGAGTTTTACATACTTGATGTGATATGCAGTCTGGGACTTGCCTTCTATAAAATAATCTCTGAAAATGGGATATTCATAGAGAACTATTCCCTTTTTTAAGTGACAATTCTTCTCCAGCATCTGCCTCTATTATTCACTGCCCAGTGTATTTGGGTAGTTGCTTTTCATATTTTTTTTCCAGAGTTGATGATTATTTTCTCTGAGTTTGTCTTAATAAGAGCTATTTGCTATTACTGGATGCAATTCTCACATATCCACTCCCATCATTTGCATATAAGTTAATGGCTACATTGCTCACTCTGGCATTCCATACTCTGCACAATATGGCCCTAACTTCATTTTTAACCTTCATTTTACACTTCCCCCTTATATAACTACCTCCTTACATATTGGAATCTGCTATGTCTCACTCAGTCATTGAGCAAGAGGTTTTTGAGTTCTTTCTATGTATCAGGCAGCTGAGAATAAAACCAGTATTTTCCTTGCTGCCTTGGAGCTGATAGCCTGAGACTTCCGACTGTGCTAGATGATTACTGCCCTGAACATTTTCTTATGCTCATTTACCTCCCCTCTATTTTAATTTCCTCATATTATCTTCTATCCTTTCTACCTATCAACGCTATCATCCCCAAATTCTGTTTCATCACACCCTATAGAAACTATATTTATTACATTTTCTTCTTTCAGTGTGGAAACTAAAGAATGTTATGGATTTAGTGCACTTTTATTGTGCTACAATGTTCCTCCCACTGTGGGTGTACAGAAATGCTTAGTGCATGAATTAGTTAAGCCGTTGACTGCCTCCTTATTTAATTTATAATTTATAATTTTATAATTTTTAATTTATAATTATTTAGTGAATGTTAGTTGCTGATAGAACAAGTGATTAAAGGCCATAACATTTCAATCCATAAAGGAAACTGGACTTTAAAATAACTTTCAAAACATTTTGATGTTTTCATGCATTGAAAATGTCTTACCTGCATTCTTTCCATACTAATATGAACCATCAGCACCTCAAGGATGAAATCATCAGCATTTTACATTGATGTTTCACTCTTAATTAAATTGTTTGATTCCCTCTATCATGATGATGTTTGAAATGCTTTTGCAGTAACTTTCATGTTCTTTCAACCCAGGAGTAAATAAGGAGAATCTGAAGGTCAAGGAGGAACATTCTCTTTATTTTAACTCTTTGCATGTCTCATTTTATCTCTTCTCCCACCTGCCAACCAAGAGTGGCCTCACAGGTTAGTGGGGCAGTGGAGCTATTCATGTCATGTAGAATGGTTCAAATTCAACAGAGGTCCAGAGAACAGTTTTTGATACTTGAAACCCTGTCTTTACTTAAAATTTATTGCATATGCATTAGTACCATTCTCTTAAAAAAAAAAAAAAAAAAAAGAGAAACACATATGTTCATGTTCAGATAAAAACTAAATCACTGTTATCTATCCTATGGGATTCTGTCTCCTGAGCCACAAATCTGAAAGCTGACAAAGGTTTCTATACCACTGTTGAGTGTAAAAGGATGTCTGTGAAATAGAGGTTATGTAATGAAATGCCAGAATTTCAGAATAGTCCAACGACTAACAGAGCTAGAATCAGAATCAGAACTGCCTAGAAACATCCAAAGCACGAGACCCTCGCAGATGATTCATTTTAATACAGAAGTGATGGTCTCTATCTAGTGCACTCTCAGGATTTGGAATTTCTTGATAGCAAGTTTGTATCTTATTTTGGATCTATCATTGCACATTGTGCAACCTTGAAAGCATATGGAAAGGGCTGACATTCAACTCCAATATGGCCAAAACAATGGTGTAGCTACTATCTGTTCTGATTGCCAGTGTCTATACCATAGCAATTGCTAAATATTTTTATAACATATTCTCTCTCTCTTTTTTTTTTTTAACGGAGTCTCGCACACAAAGGAGATGAGTGTTTTATATTTTAGTGTGCTGATTGATTTTGACAGATTTTCCTTTGAGGAAATAAAAACTTTACAGAAATGAGATAAGATTATATATTTTAGCACACCAAATGAATGTTTCTTCTAGATTTTATAGGGAGTTGATAGGTAGTATGTATATATGCACGCATATATACATATTGATGTATATATACATATAAGTATAAATATAAATATGTCATATACATACCAGAACAAACATATATGTATATGATACATATGTGTTCTAGAGTGTATATATACATATATCATACATATAAATGTTTATGTATACATACGGATACATACTATATATCACCTCTCTACTGGGTTTATGTGCTCTTGTTCACACAAATAATTTTCAGAATTTTTTTTCTGATACACAACCATGTGTGTACTTGTGACTCTAGTTCATTTTCATGGTTAAAAACATCCTATTCTGTGAACCCACCACAACTTTTTCAGTTTTCTGCTGATGAATGTGTATTGTTTTCAATGTTATTATTTTATAAGCAGTGCTTCACTGAGCTTTCTTTGTTATGCCTGCTATTAATAGTATATATATATGCAAAAGTTTATTTAGCATATGTACTGAGGAACAAAATTGCTAGGTGATAAAATATAGGCATCTTCAACTTTACTGGATATTGACCAATCATTTTTCAAATAGTTTAAATCAATTTATGTCACCAGCAATGGGTAACAGTTCTTTTGTTCCACATCCTTGTTAACACTTGACATTGTCTAACTTTTCATTTTTTCTTATCTTAATGGGGTAAAAATGTATCTCATTAATTTTTTATTTTATTTCTCTGATTTAAATTCATGTGGTAGAGAATATTTTCATATATTTATAGTTCATTTGCATTTTCTCTTCTATGAATTGCTTTTTCAAATCTTCTGCCCAGTTTTCTATTAGGTTTGGGTTACTCCTTAGAATATTATTTTTCTCAAAGAGCATTCCAAAAGAAAGTAATTGAAAGCATGTCTTCATCATGAATAGAACTGAGAATATATAATGTGAACTTCAATGTGGCGGCCAGACACTGCTTATTCTCTGAAAAGATAAAAACACTAAGGTAACATTCATTGCTGGACCATAATAGTACTTGGATTCCTGCTTAATTACAAATTGGGCATTGAGAAGGGCTTCTTTCCTGTCAGTAATTATACTGGAGGGGTTGCCTTGATAGTAGTGGTCTTCTGGTCTGAAAAGAAATCATGTGCAGCTATGTGAGAGTGCCCCTTATGTGTCCAGGGAACACACTGTGAAGAGTCTGAGTCCAACTCTTATTCACTTTGACTTATCTCACTGATTACAGAACAAGGCTGCCGTCCAGACCCTACGGTTCTTCCAAGCAGATGTGCACAGGTGGCCTGCAATCTCAAGTGCTCTTCTATAAATAAAGTTTATTGGGGGATTAAGTGATCACTTGTCAATCTTGAAAGGAGTGGACTGGACCCATGAGCGTGGCTGCTTTAAGATCTGAGGGATGCCCTGGCATCTCCTTGTTCAAGGAAGCTTTCTTTTCTAGGTCTTTCTGTGCCTCTGTGCCTCTGTACCTCTAGAGATTTCTGGGAATTTTTTTTACAAAATAACACAGCCCATAAGCGATGTAATGTATTAGATTATGTAGGGCATAATAAAGCATTCATGTTTTCCTTCCTCAACATATAGAAAACAGATGTGTTTCTAAAGCTGCTCAGAAAGTGAAGGTGTAAGGAAGAAAAAATCATATTTTGCAGCCAAGAAAATGAAAGAACTATATTTTCAGGCTAGGGTCATGATGTGCATATGGGCTCACCTCTACACCTGGGTATGGCCATTTGTCAACTTAAAAAGGGGTGAACGTGAATGATCCATTTCAGTGTAAGTTGTCTGTGCCTGATATTTGTGGTCATGTTGAGATGTCCATGAAAATTAATGATAATAATGAGGCAAAAAACCTTTAATAGGTTGAAATTTCATCTTGCTGGGTGTGGGTGAGATGACTGAATCCCCTTCCGTGGATTTTATAGGTCATGTTACGATGGGAAATTGAACTAATTTATTTTAGTCTCAATTTCCTGATGTGTAACATAGGGATATTGTCATACTGCTTGAGTCCAAGTACTAGTCTTAAAACTAAAACAAAGAAAAAGAATGATTTTATACTATCATTTTAGCAATAAAAATCACTAAGACCCAAGGTGTTTTCCTGACTTTGCCGTGGATACATAGCTGATAAGTGAAATCAGGTTTAACCTAGACCCTACATCCAGTGCTATTTCTGCTAATTATACGCTTTCTCTCCTCTTGACATAGTGAGATTTGTTCATCAGATAAGGTAGCAAATATGAAAAGGTTTTGAACAAACGAAGCCTGGGCAGTCAGTTATATACCTTAGGTATTAATTCTTAAAGAGAGAGAGAGAGAGAGAGAAAAGGTTTATTTAGATCCACTCTCTGTCAATCAATTATAAACAAGCTACGCAGCACTCCACCTACGTGCAAATTATTGTGCCAAATGCTAGGAGTGTAGAACAGGGTTTCCCAATCTTGGCACTAGTGATATTTTGGGCCAGATACTTCTTTGTTGTAGAGGCTGTCTTGTTCAATGTAAGATATTGAGCAGCATCCCTGGTCTCTACCCTCTAGGCACCAGTAGCACACCACCACTCCCCAGTCGTGACAACCAAAAATATCTCCAGATATTGCCAAATGTCTGCTGGAAGGAAAAGTGCCTCCCTAGCCCTCAGCTGAGAAGCATTGGTTTAGGAATATGGAAGGTGACCTCTGTTCTCTAAAGAGTATGTGCGAGGTAGGGTAGAGGGTGATGTTGGACTCATGATAATTTCTGTATGTGTGTCCACAAATGAGAAAGCTGAGCAGGTTCACACTGAACATATCATACGAGACCTTATGTGGGCTGACAAAGAGTTTTGTTTCTGGTTTTGGTTTTAGATTTTTATTCCATATATATGAATAACAATGGAAAATGCAATGACAAAAGTCTCACCACAATATTAGGAATGAAGAAACTCTAGCTTTTCCTTCTTAACAACAGTATCTCAAACAAGAAGTTAGTTTTCGATGATACTAAATTTCCAATTTTATCACAAATAAATCAATAACAAGTTACATAAAATACACTCTCTGTTGAAGTTTTATTTTTACTTATTTTTTTAGACAAGGCGTCTCGTTCTGTCTTCCAGGCTGAACTGCAGTGGTGCATGGCTCACTGCAGCCTTGAACTCCTGGGCTCAAGTGATCCTTCTGTGTCAGCCTTTGGAATAGCTGGAACTACCTGTGCAACCACATTTTTTTAAAAAATTTGAGAGACAGGATCTCACTATGTTGCTCAGGCTGGTCTGAAACTCCTGAACTCAAGTGATTGCCCCACCTCAGCATCCTGAGTAGCTGGGAATACAGGTGTGAGCCACTGTGCTCAGCTCTGTTGAAATTTTTAATAGTACAAAGATGTATTAATTAAACATATATATTTGGTTTTAATTATCTTATCTGAAAACATTTTCCCTGTATTTTCTATTCCATTGATTATCTATTTTTTACTAAATGGTCAGGTTTTTTGATTGGGTGTTAGTTAGTTCTGCTCCTTTTGTAAGTACACCAGTCATTAATCTCTGATTCTATATTATCTTTAGTTATTTTTATCTTTTTTCTTACAATTTTTTGTTTGTCTCAAGCCTGTCTTCCGAACTGATGGATATATTTGTAGCATTATCTATTTCTTGCTGCTTTCACTATGCTTTTTATTTCTGTAACAATTTGTTTATCTGCATTTTCTGAGACAATATGGGACATGTTGAAAGAAGAAATGTTGAAAATTGATGAGACGAACAAAAGAAGGAGGAAGATCCGAAGGGGAAAGCAAGGGTGAATACAGAGAAGCTATTTGATCTCTGGAACCGTGGACAAAGATCAGAGATTGAGGAAGCATGTGAAGCCGTCAGTGGAGCTCACACTGAATTTGAGCCAATCCTACAGTTTCTAAATACACATAAATGGGTTCCTGGGTGCAGATAAATGGACTTAGAGCACAAGACGGCTCATTGGAACTAAGCTGGTGGAGGGTGAAGAAAGGGAAAAGACAAAATAGGGTGACTGTATTACTTTGGGCTCTCCAGAGAAACAAAACCGTAAAGATCTCTATCTATATCTATCTCTACTGTAAGGAATTGGCTTACATAATTATGGAGGCTGAGGAGTCCAAGATATGTATTTAGCAGGCTGGAGACCTAGGAGAGCCAATGGTGTAAATTCCAGTCTCAATCTGATTTTGAAGGCAGAAGACCTAGGCACCAGCTCGAAGATAGACAGGGAGAATTTCCTTTTATGTGAGCTAACCAAGAGTTTTGCTTCTGTTTTTGTTTTTATGTTTTTCTTAGACAAAAATAACAGAAGCTGCTATAACAGGAGACAGCACATTTTAGGAATAAAGAAACTGGCTTCTCCTTCTTAACTGTAGTCTCTCAAACAAGACTTTAGTCTTTGCTGATACTACCTTTCCAATTGTATTACAAAATAAGTAAACCAATAACACATAGGTGACACAAAATACATGCTCTGTTGAAATGTATTTCATAAGTCTTTTATTATATTTAGACCTTCAATAGATTAGGTGAGGAGCCCACCCCCACTGGGGAGAGCAATCTACTTTACTCAGTCTGCCTATTCAAATATTAACCTCATTTAAAAACACTGTCACATACACCTGCAAAATACTGTTTAACCAAATATCTGGGCACCCTGTAGCCCAGTCAAGTGAACAAATAGAAATTATCATTATGTTGGCCTTCTGGGGCCACTAATCCATAGACCTGGCACGAGAGACCTTCCCTGTTGCACACATAAATGCCTCAGTTTGAGCTCCTATTCGAGGAGTGCCCATGCATCTCGGCTCATTCATACATGCCTACCATTGGCAGACACACATGATGGACAAGAAGGATGAGAAATGTTCCTAAATCCTGTACTTCAAATAGTAGAAGTACTATCATTGCTCAGCATGACTGTAATCAGGGTACAAGGAAGCACTACAAATAATCCAAGGCTAAAGAAATTGCATATTATTCTGCCTTGAGGACTGAGATGATAAAAGTATGTACATACACAGCAAGGAAGAACTAGAACACTCACTACCTTTAGTATTCTCTGCATGTCCCTAAATTCCTAATTCAGTTAATCCCTAAAATACAAAGTAGTGTCTCCATTTTAAGTCTCTACCTGTAAATAGCTCATTTACACTAAGCTAGAGGGTCACCAGGTAATTACAAGAACTACAAAACTACAAAAGCTTCAATAACAATAAAAAATTTACATTACCAAGCAGAAGACCTCCCATTTTAGAATAGTCAAAGTCATCACACTTTATTGAGGAAAGAAACTTAAAAGTGAAAGCAAATCACAGCAGCTGAGTATACAATCTGCAAATGTTTAAATTATTCTATTTACCAGGTTTTTAAATGATGAACAAAACTTCAGAGCTCAGTTTAAGTACATAATCAACAAAACCCAAACATATTATATTTTAATGAGTTCCAATCACAATTCAGTAAATCATTCTGACGTCCTGTAAGAGATGAGTGCTTGAATGCTCTAGGAAAGATGGATACAGAGCATTGTTGAGGGTATCTGCATGCTACAGGTGGAGACAGATGGAAAAACCAGTGGTAATATGGGCTCCTGAGGAGGTTGAAGAAGTTGTAATAGCTGAACCCACTGAACTATCTGAGCACTTACTATTTGCCATTATTCGGTGCATATTAATGCATTTACATAGTATATTTAAAATGACAACTCTAGGAATGAGTTACAATCATTGCTGCCATTTGGAGATGAGAAAACTGAGGCACAGAGGGATAAATCCTAGACAAGGGATGCAGTGATGGAGTTGCAGAGCTGGAATTCAAACATAGGCAACCCATCTCTAAAGCTCACTATCTTCACCACTTCTCTCCACTGCCTCTAAGGAAATGTATGAGGCTTTTCTCCGTCACTAAACCTTCATCGAGACAGGCTGGAAGTTCAGTATTCCAATCACACACACTAGCAGCAATCTCTTTGTCTTCAACATTTCAGAAATCCTCAACTTAATGTTCTCATACTCAATTTCGGGTAACGAAGAGGAGAAGTCAATAAAGGGTCAGAAAATAAGTTGTCAGAGAACTAAGTAGAGAGACAGGAAGAAATCTCAAGGGGAATTTGGTCTCAGTGAATATATTTTGAGCACTTACTATTTCTCAGGGGCTGTGGTCCATAATTCATAGACATTTTCGCTAAACACTTACAGCCCAACGACATCAAT
Organism: Homo sapiens; assembly: GCF_000001405.40. Lineage (NCBI taxonomy): Eukaryota > Metazoa > Chordata > Mammalia > Primates > Hominidae > Homo > Homo sapiens. Next base: position 97,349,425 of record NC_000015.10, read on the forward strand.
CTTATGGGGCCTGTTAATGATGAGGAGATGGAAGTCATGAACAGTTCAAGGTCTCGTTCAAAGTGCCAGACTGAGGACACAATTGAGCCAGCTCAAAGCTAGGCCCTGTGAATCTAAGACTGTGTCTTTTTCTTTCACAAATAGAAAGTTTGGGTCAGACAAGTCAACAGTAAAGCAAGATAAGGGGAAATGAACTCAGGGTATAGCTAAAGACCTGATCATAAATTCAGATACTATAAAGGTCACTGAGATTGGATATTGGAGAATGAAAGAGCCACTTGGAACCACTTACGTCTTATATGCAGCTGCCTTTTTCCTCTAAGAGTCCCTAAAGCAGATGTTTGTCATTCTAGGAAAAGCCTGTGTTCCCTCTGGGACTGGGATTTAGTGAGTGAAAATTCTGCAGTGCCTCCTAGCACTTTTTATTCTAGAGCATTGGTGCCACTAAGCATTACCTGGATGCTGGACTCCCTGCCCAGAAGGGGCTTTTCATTCTAAACTATACGGAAGGGGTGCTATCAGAAACACTGTCTTTGAGAGGATTTGTGCTTCTATGATTTTAGTATATCTCACAGGTACAAATTTTGATCCACATGGAAAGTTTAACTTTTAATTAAAGTGTGCTGTTATGGTGATGTCTTTCAGAAAAATCCTGAAAGGGAGCTCACTTTGCAGCACCCTGGGGCAGGGAACACTAGTCTGGGAGTGGAAATGACCACACCTCCTGGTGTCCCAGGACCTAGGGAGTTCCCAGGACATGGAACTTTTTGTTCTAAAACAAGGAATAGTCCTGTGCAAAATGGGAAGAGCTGGTCACTCTCGCTGTGTTTCAGAGACAGAAAGAATAACATAACCTACAGCAAGGGCCACAGGATTACCGTGTTGCTACTCTTGTGCCTTATTTTGTGAATTTAGAAGAACATATTGAATGGAGAACAATTCCACACTCATATGGTGGCATAGTACTGCAAGGTGAGAATATATTTTGGTCAAGTTTCCCCCTCTTATATTTCCATTTGTAGAAATCTGTTTTTTATTTAAAAAAAACATACTTTTTAATCTCTTCAAATTCACCGCCAAAATTTGTAGTACTCTGAAGTATCTAACATGAATAATTGAAAAAAAAATATACAGAAACCAAAACGTGAAAACAAACTCAAGTCGTCACTTTAAAATTAGTGCAGAGAGGTTTCAGATCTATTTGATCTTACCTTCTAATACAGAATAAATTAGGTATAGAAATCAGAAAAAAGCCACCCCAAATCAGTCTTCTGAGCAAGGTTTTCTTGGGGCACAGAAATAAGATGTGATCTTATCAGAGGAAGCCCCTTTCTTGGATAATTCAGCATTTTGCCAAACGCTGAAGATGTCGTTGGACCACAACTCAAATTGACTTATGTAGCAGAATTCTGTTTTGTTTGCTTGAGTTGGCAAAGTTTCTCTCTGAGGACTGGGAAATCTCTGCAGCTTCAGCATGAGGCCGGGCATCAGAGGAAGGGTGGCAGCAAGGAGCCGCTGGTTGTCAGCCTGTGAGAATGCCTTCAGGTGGCCACAGCATCCTAAACACAGCCCTGGGAGAGATGACATCTCCCTGAAAGGCTGCCAAAATAGTCCCACACCAATATGGAATTGTAAACCTTTATTAAGTAGTTTACAGTGTCTGCTTCAACAAATGCACCCACTGCTGTGAAGACACCCACCGTGCCTTGAAAGAGATGCAAAGAGATCAGCCAAGGAAGAAAATGTTTTGGGAAATCCTCACTTCGATGGAGAAGTCACCTATCCCCCATCCCAACTGGGAAATGGAGCTGGGAAAAGCAGGCAGTTGCCTTTCTTTGTGCTTATGTGTACATGTGTGTGCGTCCGTGCCAGTATGAATCCACATTCAACGCACACTGGATATTTTTAAAAAATAATACTTTCCTTGATTTAGAAAGAAAAATTTCAGTGGAATTAGCTTGTCAACATGAAACCATTACTGTTTATAATTTATTTCAGAACTGTTCAAAGCATAGGGGATAGAGAGGCACCCTTGGCCGATAATTTGTAATGTTCGGTACCCAGTTAATGACCTTTTACATATGGACTTGAGCAGACTCTGTGGATACAATATATCTCCCATATCCCAGCGGGTCGGGCCTAATTGATATCATTAGAGACCCAGTGCTTTTGCACATGGCCTTGGAGATGTCCGCGTTACCAAGAAAGCTGCTTTTGATTTATTTTGCTTTTCTTCTTCATTCTTTACCTCTTTTCTTTCTTCCTTTCTCAAGTCCCGCTCAAAGGCCAAACTTGTGACGGTTAAAAATTCACAATCCAACTGCAGGGTTGGAACACTCTGGCTTGCAAATCTGTTTCTAAAGCTGGGACATCTAACGAGTCGCCCTTGGCATGTCTAACAGGTAGTGAGAGAGCCCTTTTTTTTTTTTTTTTTTTTTTTTTTACAAAAAAGGGGCAGTCTATGTGTAAGATACACTGAAACATTTCAGTCACTTCTCAGATGTTTCTTGTTCCCTTTGGAAGAATAGTGTCTTCTTGGTCCAGCTGCAGCAGAAAACTCGAGGTCTCTAAATGATCTTATAAAACTTTTCTCTGCTCAGGTGCAAGTTCTGTGTCCCCTTAGCTCTGATATAAATTTTCATCCTCAGTCTTAAGCTCACAATAGAACTTTTATATGTGGTGATCAACTCTTATAAAAAGTCTTTAGGTTTGACTTCTGTCTATTTAAGCTAAAACAATCCAGTAAATATGTTCAAATCAATTGCGGTGAGTAAGCTTATGTGTTTTAAACTATTTTCAAATCTCTCCATCTGTCAAGAAAAAAGATTCTGAAATCCGTCAGCCAGAGATCATGAATTTCAGTTGATTCTGGCAGTAACCAATGTTCAAGTGTGCCATCTAATAGTACCAATTCAATTATTTAGAGTATCTATTTGTATCCATTTGATTGCATTCAAAACAACTAAATGCATTGTTTTTTGATATTTACTTAAAATGTAAATTTAAAAATAATAACTTGCAGAAAAGTATAGGTATAGCCATAAGATTTTAGGGGGCAGGGTTAACCTTTTATGCTTAGGGAGTACAGGGTAGATTAGAACGCTTCCATAAGCTCTTACTTAATTGATACACAAAACCATGTAAGGCATACAGAGTATTCCTGTGCTACAGATGTGGAGGCTGATGCTTAAACAGGGGGAAATGGTCTGCTTAAGTCTCCACATTTGGGATAGAACAGGGACTAGTACCTAGACCCTACAACTTCTAGTTCAGGGCTGTGTCCATTTCTAAGTGAAGCCTGTTTTTAGAGATGGGTCCAGCTCACAACATGACTTGCAAAGCTCTGCAAAGTTTACATATCGAGGCCAGACCTCTTCCCTACTCCGCTTAGGATTTATGTCACTTCAGATTCTGGCTAGGTAGAACTTACTATGTCAAGTTTTCTTTGTTTGTTTCTGCTTTTCTAGGCCTTCTTTGACATTCTTCTCTCTGTCTGGAATATTCTGCTCTGTGTATCAATATTTGTGCTATGAAGGAAAACAAGTTTACATTCTCAAATTCGTAAACAGGGTTTTGTATTGTAGAACTCCTCAGGGTCTTTAATATGCAACTGAGTGTTGCAAAAACCTCCATGGGACTGACAGACTGCAATGTTTGCCTAATTTACATAATCACAGGAGGTAAGTGGTTTGCCCAAGATCATGAAGCCAAATAGTGACTCTACCATGACTACTGTCTGGGCCTCTAGGTTCTTGGCCATCATATCACTCTGTCTGCCTGCTTTCTATAGCAGACATTAGTCTCTGAACTTGGGTCAAAATATTGTATAATTGTTTGAGAGGAAGAAAGAGGAGAAAGCTGGCTTTGCAAATAATTAAGATTGTAAATAGAAATATAGTTTTTCCCTGGCATCTATGTCCAGTGGGGAATTGCAAGTAAGAGCCCTCTGATGCAGAGAGGGCTTAAGAACATCTCTTCAGTTTAGTAGCATCTTCCTCAGACACAAGGGATCAATGTAAGTGTTCTCCAAATTAGTAGCAATGAGCAACTCTGATTTTCCAATGACTTTTCCGCCAGATGCGGTGGTGCGGTAGTCCCAGCTACTTGGGAGGCTGAGGCAAGAGGATCACTTGAGCCCAGGAGTTCTGGGCTGTAGTGTGCTATGCTATGCCGACTGGGTATCTGCACTAAGTTATTCATCAATATGGTGACCTCTTGGGAGTGGGGTCCACCAGGTTGCCTAAGGAGGGATGAACCGGCCCAGGTCAGAAACAGAACAGATCAAAACTCCCGTGCTGATCAAATGATTTTCCACATAAAATATTATGGTCTATAAGATGAAAATGAAGCAGACACATGCTGCTTGAGCCACTATTTTAGGAATTGCCTCTGCCTCCTGGGTCTATTCAAATTTTGAGCATTTCATTGTTCCTTTATGACACGTGCTTTAAAAAGCGTTGGTTCCCCCTGAGCCTTATAAATCATCAGAGTCTGACCACTGGTGAATTCTAGAGAGAAAAAATAAATAGGGCAGGGGGGAACCTGGTACAGCAAAAGAATACAGGAAAGATGAATTTTATTTTCAAACATAATCTTACTGACACTTCTGGGTTCCTTAGGCTGCAGGCAGGGCAGACCCAATCCACACTACAAACTTATGAAAATTAGAAAAAGGTGCATCCTCAGGGCAAAAATAATCGCTTTCAGGGCCGACAGCTTTGGTGATGAAACTCAGGTTGCACTCCAGGCCCCATTTGCCCTCTCAAATGGTTGTCTTAGTATAGGGAGCTCTCTGCGTAACTGCACAGGGAGCAGTGAGTATAGAGAACCCGCTCCTCCATGTCTCTCTCCTGCCTGCCTCAAAACATGACGTGTCATGCTCGGTCAGAGAACACAGCACCATAAGGAACCATTACCACCTAATACATTTTTGTGGGCAAGAAGTGTTCTTGTATATACTTCCTCCTTGGGTACAGATCATATAACTATAATTTCTCCTGGAGTTTTCTATTCCTTTGTTACAATGCCGCATCCCCTCTTCACCCCACAGAGCCTACTCATTCTCTGGAATTTTCCTCTTTATTCATCAGGCTTCGCTCTGTCCTCCCTCTTTTTTGACATATGCACACCGACCTTCACAATCCTACACATATGTAAGGTTCAAAGAGTTCCCCAGCCATGATCAACGGTAAATAAATCCCAGAGGCAGCATGGAGTTACAACAGTTTTATTTCCACCATCATTCTCTTGCCTTTACCGTCCGTCTCTAAGAAAAAAAAAAAAAAAAATCCTGGTGTTGTTGGGAAACCAGATGATTGGGTTTGGTTAGCGGAGATATAATGCTTGTGGTGTTTCTTAGGGGAACCTGAGGGTGAAAGTGCAAAGTAGGCTCTTGTCTAGGTCAGGGAGGGGGACATTCATTATTTACTTTAAAAGGTATTGTTGAGAATTCATCAAAATGAAACACAGGTGTTCCTTCTCTTATGGAAAGGGCAGAGTCTGAAGTCTAGCAAACTTAAGACTGAATCTTGGTTTGGCTACACATGATCCCAGTGAACTTGGGCACGGTAATTTACACTGGGACTCAGTTTCCCCATCTGCAAACTGGGATTGATAGTGCCTCCTTCTTGCCTTGCACTAAGAAGAAATGGACAGAATGTCTCTTCATACAATTAGTTAGATCACTTTCCCTGCCATTTCCTGAGCCTCTGGCTTTTCTCTTTATTTCCTTCTCTCTGTCTCTCCCTCATTCTCCAACATGCCTCTCTGTTGTGCTCACTCCTTCTCTTCTCCTCCCGCCTTTCCACGAGAAAGTGGTATCTTCTTTCCATCTTTTGCCTTTTCCACCTTCTTTTGGAGGATGATGGCACAGCCCTTCCCCTCCTGTGAACAGAACCATTTTAATCAAGATAAAACCACCATGGGATCCTCGAAAAGGTCACGTGGAGCCATGGTGTGTAGTACCAGTCCCACAAAGAGATCGTCCTCCATGAAGTTTCAAATTGAAAAGAACATTTCTGTTCACCACATCTTTCCACCTTAACAAGGGGAAGTTAAAAGACCTGCTCCTGAATTCAAGGAGCATCAAACTTTACATAGTTTGCTTCACCATAACCCTACAAGAGTGAACTATTCCCAGGAAAAGGCTTTCATGGCCATTTCAAGGAAAATACCTTGCAACTGATCAAGGACCTGACCCAGCCATAAAGGAGGGGAGGGACCTTATTTAGGTGATATTTCCCCCTGAGGTTATTGTTCCTGGGTCAGTAAGGAGACATTTATGTCTAATAACTTTATTCTGATTAAAAGAAAATAAGCTTCTACCCCTCCACCCCAGCCTCCATCTAAAACGCTTTTGGGACCAACTCAAACCTTTTAAGTGAATAAATTCAGTATTTTTTCTCCAGCATTTTAAAGAAATACTCCTTTGCTTTCAATTAAATACATACATTAAATATATAAATACGTATATATGTATTTAATTATATATATTATGTATTAAATCTATTAATTATATATTTATATATAATATATATTTATACTCCTTTGCTTGCAATCAAATATAAATATATACACATGTGTATATATACGCATATATATACACATGTGTATATGTGTATATATACACGTGTATATATGTGTATATATATACACGTGTATATATATGTGTATATATACACGTGTATATATATGTGTATGTATATACACGTGTATATATACGTGTATGTATACACACGTGTATATATACGTGTATGTATATACATGTGTATATATATGTGTATGTATATACACGTGTATATACACATTTGTGTATGTGGGGTATATGTATGTGTATACATACATATATCGATATATATGTTTATACATACATATATCGATATATATGTATTGTACATATATATCGATATATATGTATAATACATATATATCGATATATATGTACAATACATATATATCGATATATATGTATAAACATATATATCGATATATGTATTATACATATATATCGATATATGTATTATACATATCTCGATATATGTATTATACATATCTCGATATATGTATAGATATATGTATAATACATATATCGATGTATATGTATTATACATATATCGATGTATATGTATTATACAGATATCGATGTATATGTATTATACAGATATCGATGTATATGTATTATACAGATATACGTATACGTATATATATATAAACACAACGTACACAAATGTATTTATATATACACACTTACACAAATATATATGTATCCCTGATTAAGTATCTGAACATTGTTACTTAGATCTCTGAGAGAAATGAGACTGAGTCAGGGTTGAGTTGGGAGAGATTATTTATCATTTCCATTTCTGCCTCACTCCTGGTTTCTCTTCTCTTTCTGCAGTAGACTCCTCCTCCTTTTTGACTGCACCAGGTACTCTGAATTGTGGCGTGCACGTCTGACAAAGCCATGGCAAAGCACAACTGTCTTTCCAGGAATTAAGCCCTTCCTGTGAATTCATATGTCAATCCAGTTAAATTGTTAAATTCCAACCACTTTACTCAAAAGCCATTTATTCAAATATATTTATAAAGCAAGCAACAAAACCACCCACTGTCAGATGCTCACACATATGCATACTTGGACACCTCACCAGCCCGTGCTGACCTGACAGTAGGCAAGGCTGCTATATTTTACATTACTTGAAATGCAATAATTAATGCCTGTTAAAAGAGGGAAAAAAAGACATCACTACCGTGCAACAAATTACTGAAATCAGTATGTCTAATTTTTCAAGACTCAGTGCTGAAAGGAAGATCCCTGCTATAAGTTAATATGATGTGGCTGTCGCTACTTACACTTGCCAGCACCATGATATCAACAAATGGCTTTTTGTCTTTCTAACAAGGAGACAGTCTTCACTGGAATTCCTAGACAGAGGTGAGCTAGATAATTCTAGTGGAGATTTTAATCACTTATGTCCTAGTTTTTGAGATTTGCATGTCTTTTTCTAGTTGAATTTAGTTGTTTGGTTTTGGTTTTGAATTCAGGATGAAATGCACTCACATATCAGGATTAAGTCCCCTTTTTTTCTCTTTCTGCATAGATCTTCACTTCTGTCTACCCTGGTCGACTATGCAAACTTTAATCCTTTCCCATGTCTACTGTGATATAAGTAGTATTCTCTTTATTTTTCACTTGAAGGAAAGGGTGTTCCGAGTGGCTGACATTTCCAAATGCAGAAAGTGATTTAAGGGAGAGGCCAGGCTTGATTCCCTAGCCTCTACCCAATTTCTCCCTCTGGACTCACAATGTGGTTTTATAAAAATAAAAATGTATTAAAAGAATATACTCTTGGCAGACAGTGAACCCAGTCCTGGAGTTCTAACTGCACAATTTAAATTGACAGCAGTGGGAATTCTTTATACACAAGAGTCAATTAAAATTATGAAATTGGGCCCAGGGTAGGTTCAGGGACATTAACATTCAAAAACACTTTGACATTTGCAATAGAAGTGGGCCAGGCATTCCCTTCAGGATGCCTCTGAGTTCATCATTTAAACTTGCCCCTCTTTTCTCCTGATTTCAAAATAAGGATCTCAATGCCCTCACTTCATCTTCCAGGGCTGATTAGCTAGCTAATGGACCGTCTTTCCATGTTTTCAGTTTTCTCATATTTCAGTAAATGTACCAGACTTGTATTGCCAGTTGCTCTGCAGAAAACTCTGGTTTCTGAGTTTTTTCCTTAAAACACAAAAATATTCATCTCTCTTCACTATTTTTTTTAGTAATTGCATGCCCATGTTAATCTTCTAATCACTGACAAAGTTCTAGTCCATTAAAACCGGTACTGCACTTTGCTTCCAAATTCCTCCAGCTTCTCAGCTGGAGCCACCTCAGTATCAGGGGCCAGTGAGAAATTGTGTCTCTGAAGCCACAGGTCTCTCCCTGGTCTGTAGGCACTGATTCCTCTGCCTTGCCAAAGAGAGGAACATCATTTTACCAGCTGCACAGAGACTTTCCACCTGTTGCCTTCTCTTTTCTCTTGTACAGATGCTTCTTCACCATCTGTACAAATCACTCCATGTGACATGGGGTATGTATTTGAAGTAAGAGGGAAGGACACAGCAGTTCTCCTTCTTGTCTGTTCTAATCTTCAACACTAATTGGTTAACTATGTTTATTATATTATTATGATATCATACACAGAGAAGTGGAAAGTTTTGAGATGTCAGAAAATGAGTATCGATGAAAATGTCAAGACCAACCAGAAACACTTGTGAGTGCGCCTGTGTGTGCGCACCCACACAAGTGTGTGTGATTTACTCATCAGCAACTATTTATTGAGCATTGATAACTTTTGTCAGTCATATTGGAGAGCATCACATAAGGATGTATAAAATATGGCCGTGACCTCCAGGACTTTAGAATTAATTTGCAATTAGGAATCCCATCTGGTTGCAAAGCAATGAGTAATATATCGCCCAGATTTAGGAAAACTTAATTTCATCAAAGATGAAAAAGCAACTTAGGGCTGTTTCTTGTGAAATGACTCTTTGCCCTCTCAAGGCAAATAGCAATAAGGCCAAAATTTGCAATAAGAATGCAGTAAATAAAAATCTAGTCCTCTTAAAGCCATCAAAGTTGTGGAAAAGTCATTGAGTTAGGTACAAATTCTAATCTGACTGCTGCTAAGAGCTGCATGCATCCCAGTGAGTAACAGAAAAGACGTCCCTATCTCTCTCCCTTTCTGTGTATATGTACACACATATGTACATATATAGTATAGATTAAAATATTACATAATTTATATTTAAATTATATATAATTATACATAATTATAGGTAACAATAAAATTCTATATGTACAATTGTAAATATAATATTTGTTGCTAGTAGAAATTTTAAAAGCTAATTCACTTCTGAAGAAAATCAACTAAATTACCTGGTCTTTTCACTATATATTGATTAACAAACAAACAAGCCAAAATGACCCTGGCAGCTAATAGCTAGGTTGTAATGTTCCCTACTGAACATAATTTTTTTTTTTTTTTTTTGGAGACAGAGTCTCAATCTGTTGCCCAGGCTGGAGTTCAGTGGCACGATCTCGGCTCACCACAACCTTCGCCTCCTGGGTTCAAGCAATTCTCCTGCCTTAGCCTCCCAAGTAGATGGGACTGCAGGCACGCGCCACCATGCCTGGATAATTTTTGTATTTTTAGTGGAGACGGGATTTCACTATGTTTGTTAGGCAGGTCTCGAACTCCTGACCTCTTTATCTGCCTGCCTCAGCCTCCCAAAGTGTTGGGATTACAGGTGTGAGCCACCGTGCCTGGCCTGAACATAAACTTTTTCACAGAATGTCCCAAATAATTAAATGAGCTGACTCTGTGACTGTGGTAAAATAGGATGAAAACAAGGCCACACTGGAATCATGCCTGACCAGAAGGCAAAGACAAGGATGTCACACAACCACAAAAACAACCAAATGTCTTCCTCTGTTGGCCAACATCAGTAATTAGCTCATCATTGACCATTCTAGCTCAGCTTCATTTCTTCTGACTTTTAGATAAAAATCTTTAAAATATCCAATCTCCAAATGCCACTCTTTCAAGAAAGCACCTAAAATTATTGTCAACCTCTCACTTCCTTAAACCCCTCACCAAAAACACCCAGTAGAAGCTTGAATCCCACAACAAGCCTGTCCCAAGAGCCTCTTGCTGAGATATACCTTGGGCGTGCTTCCCCTTACTACAGAAAGTTTATAAACCTAACTTAAACTGCAGATATATTTCTGGTGAGCATTGGCTGGAGTATTCAACAATATATGCAGTATACAAAACTATTTTTTAACAAAATAAGGATTATAAGTACCTTTTTTTTTTTAACAATTCTTAATTTGCTAGTCTTTGAAAAGCTTTTTGTTTGTTTGTTTTTGGTTTGTTTTTGTTTTTGTTTTTTTGAGACGAGATCTCCCTCTATCACCCAGGCTGGAGTGCCGTGGCATGATCACGGCTGACTGCAACCTCCGCCTCTCTGGCTCAAGAGAACAGATGATTTTTAATGCCTGCTTAGTATTGTATTGTACAAATGTTATTCCCTTTAAAAATATATAAAATGCCTAAATTAAACAAAAATTTCGTGCTTGACAATTTACATAGTATACCACAAAATTGTCTTACTGTAATTTTTATTCATGCAACAGACATTCCACAAGTTATATAGTATTTTGCTGATTATAAACATGAGAGAACAAAATTCAGAAGGATTACAGCACAGCACTAATTGACAATACTAGAAATTCATTCCATGTATTTAGTTTTGTTTATGCTATGCGGTCTGATATCTCTTTTAGCATTGAAGTTCTTTAGGGTCTAGCTTGTCTTTTTATATACAGTATATATTAAAATCCAGTTTTTATATTATAATTTTGCTAATAAATATATCCATGTTTCCTAAATCTCACGTCAAATTAAAAATTCCTCTGCAGTGGTTTAGGACTGCAAGTGTGGCAAGATAATTTATTGTATTATGATATTGTATTATGATAACAGTATAAAATGTAAGACAATATAGACTTGGGTGCCAGGCAGCCTGGGTTAGAATCCTGGCTCCACCACTTAATTGTTTGGGTGGACATAGGCATTTTAATGAATGTATTTGTTCCTCAGTTTCTCGTCGTGAAAATACAGAAGGTGGCATTTTTCACAATATTGTTGCCATATTAATTAAACATATGTAAAGTGTTACAAATGGTGCCTGGGGCTCAGTGATGGATGCGCTAGCAGTTAGTATTTTTCCTCTTTCCCTATTTAAATCAAATAGCCAGAATTTGTTCTCCTTTGTTGCTTAGTAGATGCATGCAGTCAATGGAATTTCCCAATCTTTCAGAAAATCTCTACTGATTGAAGATATTAAGTTAGATGGTCCAAAGAGAGAGGAGACAGGGGGATTCCTTGGAGGGCTTCAGGAAGGGAGAAGAGAGCTGGGCAAACTCTTTTTTGTTGTGGGAACAATTCTCATACTTGGGCATTGTACTGGGAAAACACCTAGGTGGAATAAAGAAAGAAATGCCCCACATGTTCTAAGACAGCGGGACCTTTGCAACATCCTGGAACATTGAGGAGAACCAGTCCCCTCTGAGGTTGAATTTCCCACCAACTGAATGCGAAGGGACTCTGAAACATACTTAATTGGATTTAAAGACAATTTTAAAAATCACATTTTCCACACTAGAGATTTGGTTTAGAAATTCCTACTTGCTAAATAAGCTAAAACTTTCATATTTGGCAACAAACTCAATTTCTAAAGACATTGCAAATTGTCTCATGTCTAACACACAGGTGAGTGCAGTGGTTTGAACACTGGAGCTAGAATTATACACCTCGCGCGTGATGCTGATTCCTTCCGTGACCTCCAGGGAATGACCTGGCTGCTCCCTGGTTCCTTTCTCCATCCACTGACCGAATACAAATGTCCACTTCCCACAGGATAGGAATCACCTTGTCTCTGGGACCTCACATAAAGAGTCCTGTGCATATCCGAAATGGAATTGTCTAAATAAGGGTGTCTAAAATGAATTCAGGTTCTTCCACATGGAATTACCACAGGGATTCCCTCATGAATTTGGATAAAGAGAGAAAGACAAAAGGCAGTGAACAACTTTGTAGGCTCAAGTAGTGTCCTAGGGCCGGCTGAGGAAATATACTGGTACAATCATCAGGCTTCCTCTTGACTTCAGGATTTATTATTTGTTATTCAATAAATTTTAAACATATAAGAAGTGCTGCTAAGTGTCACACAATGCAGTGGCTTACTTTCAATGTCACGTTAAAAGAAATACATGAAGAATATGAGCCTTAGGAAATAATAACAGGATAACACCTATGTATTTACCCCAAAGTGAATCTGCCCATGAAGTGGTGCCCGTTAAATTCAGTTCAGAGAAATAAAAGCAGTGGAATCAAGATTTTTATAGTTGTCACTCCCTGTAAAACATAATTTCTGGGATTTTGATATCATCTATTAAAGACAAAGTCAAGCAAAAACATGTAAAAAGAGTTTCATTTAAATCGATGGCAGCAAATTGTACCTTCATGATTATTGTTATGGTTAATTCATTTTGTTGCCAATAAAGCTTGGCCTCTGGCCTCAAAAGCCCACACTACCCCACTTCCAATCTCCAGATCAAGGGCCGAGGGTCTCAGGCGCATGCTGGTCCAGGGAGTTTCAGTTCTGATGGAGTGGAGGCATTAACGCTGCAGGTTTTTTTTTTTTTAATTATTATTATACTTTAAGTTTTAGGGTACATGTACAAATGTGCAGGTTAGTTACACATGTATACATGTGCCATGCTGGTGTGCTGCACCCATTAACTCGTCATTTAGCACTAGGTATATCTCCTAATGCTATCCCTCCCCCCTCCCCCCACGCCACAACAGTCCCCAGAGAGTGATGTTCCCCTTCCTGTGTCCATGTGTTCTCATTGTTCAATTCCCACCTATGAGTGAGAACATGCGGTGTTTGGTTTTTTGTCCTTGCAATGCTTTACTGAGAATGATGATTTCCAATTTCATCCATGTCCCTACAAAGGACATGAACTCATCATTTTTTATGGCTGCATGGTATTCCATGGTGTATATGTGCCACATTTTCTTAATCCAGTCTATCATTGTTGGACATTTGGGTTGGTTCTGAGTCTTTGCTGTTGTGAATAGTGCCGCAATAAACATACGTGTGCATATGTCTTTATAGCAGCATGATTTATAGCCCTTTGGGTATATACCCAGTAATGGGATGGCTGGGTCAAATGGTATTTCTAGTTCTAGATCCCTGAGGAATCGCCACACTGACTTCCACAATGGTTGAACTAGTTTACAGTCCCACCAACAGTGTAAAAGTCTTCCTATTTCTCCACATCCTCTCCAGCACCTGTTGTTTCCTGACGTTTTAATGATTGCCATTCTAACTGGTGTGAGATGGTATCTCGTTGTGGTTTTGATTTGCATTTCTCTGATGGCCAGTGATGGTGAGCATTTTTTCATGTTTTTTAGCTGCATAAATGTCTTCTTTTGAGAAGTGTCTTTTCATGTGCTTCACCCACTTTTTGATGGGGTTGTTTGTTTTTTTCTTGTAAATTTGTTTGAGTTCATTGTAGATTCTGGATATTAGCCCTTGGTCAGATGAGTAGGTTGCAAAAATTTTCTCCCATTTTGTAGGTTGCCTGTTCACTCTGATGGTAGTTTCTTTTGCTGTGCAGAAGCTCTTTAGTTTAATTAGATCCCATTTGTCAATTTTGGCTTTTGTTGCCATTGCTTTTGGTGTTTTAGCCATGAAGTCCTTGCCCATGCCTATGTCCTGAATGGTAATGCCTAGGTTTTCTTCTAGGGTTTTTATGGTTTTAGGTCTAACGTTTAAGTCTTTAATCCATCTTGAATTAATTTTTGTATAAGGTGTAAGGAAGGGATCCAGTTTCAGCTTTCTACATATGGCTAGCCAGTTGTCCTAGCACCATTTATTAAATAGGGAATCCTTTCCCCATTGCTTGTTTTTGTCAGGTTTGTCAAAGATCAGATAGTTGTAGATATGTGGCGTTATTTCTGAGGGCTCTGTTCTGTTCCATTGATCTATATCTCTGTTTTGGTACCAGTACCATGCTGTTTTGGTTACTGTAGCCTTGTAGTATAGTTTGAAGTCAGGTAGCATGATGCCTCCAGCTTTGTTCTTTTGGCTTAGGATTGACTTGGCGATGCAGGCTCCACCGATCCCACAGAAATACAAACTACCATCAGAGAATACTACAAACACCTCTACGCAAATAAACTAGAAAATCTAGAAGAAATGGATAAATTCCTTGACACATACACCCTCCCAAGACTAAACTAGGAAGAAGTTGAATCTCTGAATAGACCAATAACAGGCTGTGAAATTGTGGCAATAATCAATAGCTTATCAACAAAAACAGTCCAGGACCAGATGGATTCACAGCTGAATTCTACCAGAGGTTCAAGGAGGAACTGGTATGATTCCTTCTGAAACTATTCCAATCAATAGAAAAAGAGGGAATCCTCCCTAACTCATTTGATGAGGGCAGCATCATCCTGATACCAAAGCCTGGCAGAGACACAACCAAAAAAGAGAAATTTAGACCAATATCCTTGATGAACATTGATGCAAAAATCCTCAATAAAATACTGGCAAACCGAATCCAGCAGCACATGAAAAAGCTTATCCACCATGATCAAGTAGGCTTCATCCCTGGGATGCAAGGCTGGTTCAATATACGCAAATCAATAAATGTAATCCAGCATATAAACAGAACCAAAGACAAAAACCACATGATTATCTCAACAGATGCAGAAAAGGCCTTTGACAAAATTCAACAACCCTTCATGCTAAAAACTCTCAATAAATTAGGTATTGATGGGACGTATCTCAAAATAATAAGAGCTATCTATGACAAACCCACAGCCAATATCATACTGAATGGGCAAAAACTGGAAGCATTCCCTTTGAAAACTGGCACAAGACAGGGATGCCCTCTCTCACCACTCCTATTCAACATAGTGTTGGAAGTTCTGGCCAGGGCAATTAGGCAAGTGAAGGAAATAAAGGGTATTCAATTAGGAAAACAGGAAGTCAAATTATCCCTGTTTGCAGATGATAAGATTGTATATCTAGAAAACCCCATTGTCTCAGCCCAAAATCTCCTTAAGCTGATAAGCAACTTCAGCAAAGTCTCAGGATACAAAATCAACGTACAAAAATCACAAGCATTCTTATACACCAGTAACAGACAAACAGAGAGCCAAATCATGAGTGAACTCCCATTCACAATTGCTTCAAAGAGAATAAAATACCTAGGAATCCAACTTACAAGGGACATGAAGGACCTCTTCAAGGAGAACTACAAACCACTGCTCAATGAAATAAAAGAGGATACAAACAAATGGAAGAACATCCCATGCTCATGGGTAGGAAGAATCAATATCGTGAAAATGGACATACTGCCCAAGGTAATTTATAGATTCAATGCCATCCCCATCAAGCTAGCAATGACTTTCTTCACAGAATTGGAAAAAACTACTTTAAAGTTCATATGCAGTTGTTAATATGGCAATTTTGTTACAACAGTGCCTCCACTCCAAATATATATGTTCCTCTTTTTTAACCAGAGCTTTTTAAAATTTTATTTATTTATTTATTTTAGATATGGAGTCTCTGTCACCCAGGCTGGAGTGCAGTTCCCTGATCATAGCTCACAGCAGCCTCAAACTCTGGGGTTCAAGCAATCCTCCCACTTCAGCCTCCCAAGTAGCTGAGACTACAGGCAAGCACCATCATGTGCAGCTAATTTTTAAAAACTTTTATAGAGACAGGGTCTCTCTATATTGCCCAGCCTGGTCTCAAACTCCTGGCCTCATGTGAGATCCTCCTGCCTCGGCCTCCCAAAGCATTGGGATTACAGGCATGAGCCACAGTGCTCAGCCCCTTCCTTGTTTTACTCAAGGGAAATGATTGGGGTGAGAAAATGTATTTCAGTGAATCCTTGCGTATTTGAAGAATATTTTTCTTTATAAGGTCTATACATTCTGAAAAAAAACCCACTTTATTAAAAGTAAATATTTTGAAAGATACAAACTACAACAATTGTTAAAAATGAAGGATTCTGATGAGCTGTATACTCTGCTTCACCGAGAAGCATGTGCTGCATGAGATGGACGCAGATAGAGATGCAGGCCGAGGAGCGCGGGGGATTTTATTCCCCTCAGAGCCTGCTGACGATATCATCCCTGCCCACCCCTTGATCTTGAACTTCTGGCCCTAGAAGTATGAGAGAATACAGTTCTGTTATTTTAGGCCACCAAGTTTGTGGTATTTATTATAGCAGTCCTAGGCAATGAATATTCTAAATACTCTCAGGTGAGATATTATCATGTTTTTTTCTTATTCATTATGAAAAAAAAAGTTGAAATGTGAACATGTCAATTGGCCCCTCAATTTCTTTTTGGAATGAGGTGGGTTATTTCTAATAAATAAAATTCAATGGGCTGTGTGTCTCTGTCCTAAAAAATTGTGTTTAATTTTGTGTACCTATTTTATTAAGTATAATTAAAGAGTAATTTGTGCATTTCAACAAGCTACATTTCCATTTCCTAAGTCTAGGTGTCTCTCAGCAATTTGGAAATTATCAGCAAATCAATTAAATCATAAGTCTATAAATTTAGAGTTATAATTCAGAGAGCAGCAGGGTTTAAAATGAAATATCTAAGGCTATGAATCTAGCATTTTATGTCAAAGACAGTTAAGCAGTTCAGTTGAGGAGACTTCTACACAGCGTAACTGTTAAGATGGGGGAACTCAGAGGACTCTAGAATCATTCTGTCTGAATCAAAATTCGGGCTCCATTATTTTTAGCTGTGAGAACATAGACAAGTCAATTAACCTCTCTGCTTCAATTCCCATTTTGGTAAATATGGAAATAGTGCCTATTTCATTGGGCTATTGTAAGGATTAAATGTGTGAGTACATGTAAAGCACTTCATAACAGCACCCAGCATGAATTAAGCACTGGATAAATATTAAGTATTATTAGGTTGACTATGTAATTTACCTTGCACACCTGGAGAATTATGAGTGTGCATAACACACTACTATCATTGGCCCTGAAATCATCTAGGGAAGCCCGAACCATGCGATAACCGGCATTTTAGTAGATGTACGGACTGAAAGAGTTCGTCTTAAAGGGTCTAACATAATTATGGGTACAGTTTCATTTACTCTTTTAGAAAGTCCTTATGGAATTCTAAATCTGCTGTCCCTTACCTGTAATTCTGAAATTCAAAATTCGTTGAACTCCAAAAGTTTTGCTATCTTTTGTTTGTTTATTTGTTTTGTTTTTCATAAAACTGTTAAACAGTAAACTGGGACAACTTAATATTCTCTGTTTTATTTGCTAAGACTATTGTTGTGCTCCACAGCCTGCAATATTAATGTATTTAACTCAGGGGGCAGCCTGAAGCCCAGTTAGGTACACTTTAATACCCTTCATATATATATACACACATATATATACACATTTTAGAGTGTGTTATAAGTTTAGAATACACACACACACGTGCACACACACACACATACACACATATATATATATTCTAAACTTATAACACACTCTAAAGAAGGTTTCTGTTAAGGAAATGTGAACTTGTACTTGGGTTTATTTACATGTGACAAACAACAATTTTTGTTATATTTCTATTATATAAATTTGCCTATTTACGGGACATTTTAATAATTAAAAATAAGTTAGACCAAGTCTGCATCAAAAAACTTAAATTAGTGCAGGAGATAGGCACATGAGTTCTTACCTGTGATATAAAACATATTGCACAGCTGTTCAATGGAAATGCAAATACTGAGCTTTGGGCATGGGAACATATGAGGGAGGACTGAATGAAAGAGGAGCCATCTCACCCATGTTGAAATTCACCTAAGTCTTGAAATGGACTTAATTAGGATTTTATTGGTTCCATAAAAAGTTGGTGGTGGGGAAATTTTGGGTTTAGGAGACTGAAAACACATGATATATCCATGTCCTGGCAAGTGGTATGACGGAAGCAAAAGACAATGGCTGGTGGTTAACATCTACTGGAAAGATTAATTTCTGATGCTGGGGAGAAAAACATTATTTCAACTCTCTTAGAAGACAATTCCTTCCTCTTTTAATTGAGAGATAAAAAGGGATTAGTAGACATTGTGTGTGAAATATTTATTTTCTAGTAAAATCACACATTTTGAATGGCAGACTGTGGTGTCTCAGATTTGATCCCTTGGGACTGCAGAGAGATAAATAACACAAGTGTAAAACATTAAGAGCCTGGGGCCACCATCATTTCTTGGAAGATATGGGGAATTTAATGAGCAACATTGCTTCTCAGGATGGAGAGAGCGTAAGGTAACCTCCTCATCTGTTACAGTGACCCAGTGAGAGCCGAAGTCTTCGGGGGTGAAGGGGTGGCTTTCTGTTTTTGGAAACATTAAAGCATCCCAGTTCCTGCCTAGTAAATACAGTATATAAGAGGATGCTTTATCTATTGTACCAAGGATATCTATGTGCTCGAAGCCCAGATTGCCTTACAGTCACTGATATTGGTCCACATATGTCATGCATTGTAATCTGAGTTGAGAAAGAAGAAAGAAAAGAAAGAAAGAAAGAAAGAAAGAAAGAGAAAGAAGAAAGAAAGAAAGAAAGAAGGAAGGAAGGAAGGAAAGAAAGAAAGAAAGAAAGAAAGAAAGAAAGAAAGAAAGAAAGAAAGAAAGAAAGAAAGAAAGAGAAAACGGGCTAGGTGTAGTGGCTCATGACTGTAACCCCAGCACTTTGGGAGGCCAAGGCAAGGCATGTGGCTCACAAGGTCAGGAGTTCGAGACCCGCCTGGCCAATATGGTGAAACCCTGTCTCTACTAAAAATACAAAAGTTAGCGGGGTGTGGTGATGGTCACCTGTAATCTCAGCTACTCACGAGGCTGAGGCAGGAAAATTGCTCAAACCCGGGAGGTGGAGGTTGCAGTGAGCCAAGATCACGCCACTGCACTACAGCCTGGGCGACAGAGTGAGGCTCTGCCTCAAAACAAAAAAACAAAACAAAACAAAAACAAACAAAAAACAAATATATGCATTAGCTGAACCTTTTTCAATTTGAAGGGTTTTCATTTAACTTAAAAAGTATTAATAAGATTAATAAGGTCATGGGTATGATAATTGAGTATTCAGTATTGAAATCAAGGTGTCTTAAAGAATCCTGAAGATGCATGCAGCATGATCTCAAAAGGAGTTGCCACTGGGAATTAGAAAACCCAGACTCTTTCTTGTCTGCATCAACTTCTTTCTTTTGTCTGGGCAAACTGGCTGTCTTTGCCTCTCAGTCCTCATGGTGAAAGATAGCTAACCTATGTGTCCAAATTGCATCAGTCTTTCACCATCAGCTACACTCAAGATGTTAGTTTGGCTCTGTGTCCCCACTCAAATCTCATTTCAAATTGTAATCCCCACATGTTGAAAGAGAGATCTGGTGCAAGGTGATTGGATCATGGGGGCCGTTTCCCCCATGCCGTTCTTGTGATAGTGAGCAAATTCTCACGAGAGCTGATGGTTTTAAAGTGTGGCACTTCTCACTGTCTCATGCCTGCTGTCATGTAAGATGTGCTTTGCTTCCCCTTCGCCTTCCGCTATGATTGTAAGTTTCCTGAGGCCTCCCTGGTCATGCGGAACTGTATGTCAATTAAACCTCTTTTTCTTTACAAATTACCCAGTCTCAAGTAGTATCTTTATAGCAGTGTGAAAATGGACTAATACACAAGATTAACTAGTTTTCTCTGAATACCATTCTCAAAATCTGGAGAGAGCTCATCCAGCTGCTTCAGTTAGGTTGACACTAGTGGAAGCCCTGAAACTAGTCAGCTTTGCCAGAGGCATGGAGGGCAGGATAGTATCATGTAAATATGTCTATTCATCTGCTTACAGATATATGGAAGGCAGAGAAGATGTTTGAGGCGGCTAGACATCTGAATAGTACCTTGCAAAGTATTAACTAAAAGTATATTTTAAAATTATTTGCTTATTTGCTTATTAGGAGGTGTGATACTAAAAGTACATTTTATCTTTTGCAGAATCCTCACGGTGTTTCTAAGTCGATTTATTGTGAATTGTTGCTGGTGACCTCAGGTTTTGGTGGCGGACAAACCTGAATGCCATTCTGGCTCTGTTATTGTGGGCTGTGTATTTTTGACCAAAGTCTTTAATCCATTATAGTCTCAGTTTCCTCATCTGTAAAATGATAAAAACTGCATCCACCATATAGGGTTCTAACATGAATAAAATGAGAAAATGCAAATAATCCACCAAACTAAAATACTCGACACGTACGTGGCAAAATGTAAGCACACAATAAACAGTAATTATTAAAAATATTATTTATTTTACATACATTTTATGATTGCAATAAATTATTGCACCCAAGAGTACTAGCATTGGCGTTGTACATCATGATCACCTTATGGGGGTTGCTTATGCTAGTAGGATCTGATTGGCTCACACTAATTCTATTCCCTGTCTATGTCTATTGTAGAACTCATCCTAGAAATAAAGGAAAATAAACGATAATAAAATGGAAGAGTCACTTTGGCAGGCAAGCACAGGCTGCAATCCATATTTTCCTGTTAAATATTGCAAGAAAAGCAGATCGTCAAAATTCAGATAGAAACCGAAATCCCCAATCCACTCTATTGACTCACTGACATTATCACAAAGGGAGTGTGTGATGACCCTTCACCAAATGAGCTCGACCCAGAGCGTGAAGGAGATAACATCGAGTAAGCATTTTTTAAAGGGAAAATGTCTTTTACACTCAATAAGCTTTGAGCTATGACCAAAAAAAAAAAAAAAAAAGAAAGAAAGAATAAAAGATAGAAAGGACAGGCATAACCACTGGTTTCTGTTGCTTTGTGCTACAGGATGCAGTGCCAAGACAAATCATCAGGTCTTGGGGTGAATGTTTAGTTATCATGGATGATGCGTGCCGTCGGCCACAGTGACAGATTGTTGCTAGTACTGGTCCTGAGTGTGACTAATAAGGCTGCTCGTCTATGACAGAGTGGGAATGGCACCACTAAGAGTGAAAGGAGGCGATTCTACTAAAATCCATTAAGGTTGTTCCTTGGTGGGAAAAAATGGTATAAGTAAGTACCAGGAGTAGAAGAGTCAGTTCACAAGCTTTAGCCACATTGATCAAAGATGGCCAGGTTCCACTCAGCAGAAGGGTCCTCTTAACAATGAACAAGCCCGGATTTCTCCTCTCCTTCCACAATGACATATGTTCATTAAGCAGCACTATGTATGCACAAGTGCATATGCTTGCATGTATTTTTATCTATATGAATAAAAGAAAAAATTAATATGATAATAAATTTGCCATTGAGTACATGTTTGTTTTAAAATTTGTCAAATCTCAGGTTCAAAAAGAAAAAAGGAGAGAGAGGGTCAATCTCTGGCCTATTAACAGATGTGTCTAACATTTAGATACTAGAGCCAGAGTTTTATATGACACAGAATGAAAATATATTCTCCTATGACAGTATATCACTCATCACCATTAAAATGCAATAAAACTGTACAACGGGAAAAAGGAAACACTTGAAAAGTTGGATGAGGCTGGGCCATATATTAAGAGTTAGGATCTGAGAGTTATGTTTCTGATTAAGCAAGTATCAGAAGACTTAACGAGGGTAAGATATATCCTTTTCCATCTTTCAGAGGTTCAGATATTGGAATGTGTCCTTCTAAAATCACACAACTCTTGTTATTGATACCCGATTCAGACACACTGACAGCACAGAACTTGCTACTCTATTAGAAGGCAAAATAGTAGGTACTTGCAAGGTGCTGTTACTGATCAGTTGCCTTGTGTAATCGATGTGGACTTTTCAATACTATCTTGAGAAATGTCAATACTATCTTAACGCAATTGCCTCTCAAGGGTGGTAAAGTCTTGTAAAACAAAACCTTTAGTGACAACATTATCATTCATGAGGATCTATCTACAAGATGCTAGTTGAGTATCTATTTGTTCCAGATAAGATTCTCTGCCTAGAGTAAATAGAAACCTATTGGTCCAGACCTTTAATTTTATGCTGATACTGTGGAATCATTTCCTTTAGAAATAATTATTATTTTACTATATTTACTTGTCTCTCTTTTTTTCTAGGTTCAGTTAGGATAATTTTGCAATGGAAATAATAATCTACACCTCTATGACAATTTACAGTTTGCAAAGTATTGTTTGGTTTCATTTGAGCATTACAGGTTTTAAAATACATTGGACTCTTCCAATACTTTTCCCTTTTCTTTTTATCCAAGAGGTAATTAACGTCTGGGAGAAAGGATGGAGAAACATAGAGGATCCCCATGCTCAACGAATAGAGTGAGTGGTCTGAGGTTTAGGATTTGCTCCCTGTTAGGGTAAATGCTGGGGCACGTAAAGTGTTAATTGCATGTATTTCTACTTTTCTTTTTTTTATTTTATTATTATTATACTTTAAGTTTTAGGGTACATGTGCACAATGTGCAGGTTAGTTACATATGTATACATGAGCCATGCTGGTGTGCTGCACCCATTAACTCGTCACTTAGCATTAGGTATATCTCCTAATGCTATCCCTCCCCCCTACCCCCACCCCACAACAGTCCCCAGAGTGTGATGTTCCCCTTCCTGTGTCCATGTGTTCTCATTGTTCAATTCCCACCTATGAGTGAGAATATGCGGTGTTTGGTTTTTTGTTCTTGCGATAGTTTACTGAGAATGATGATTTCCAATTTCATCCATGTCCCTACAAAAGGACATGAACTCATCATTTTTTATGGCTGCATAGTATTCCATGGTGTATATGTGCCACATTTTCTTAATCCAGTCTATCATTGTTGGACATTTGGGTTGATTCCAAGTCTTTGCTATTGTGAATAGTGCCGCAATAAACATATGTGTGCATGTGTCTTTCTAGCAGCATGATTTATAGTCCTTTGGGTATATACCCAGTAACGGGATGGCTGGGTCAAATGGTATTTCTAGTTCTAGATCCCTGAGGAATTGCCACACTAACTTCCACAATGGTTGAACTAGTTTACAGTCCCACCAACAGTGTAAAGGTGTTCCTATTTCTCCACATCCTCTCCAGCACCTGTTGTTTCTTGACTTTTTAATGATTACCATTCTAACTGGTGTGAGATGATATCTCATTGTGGTTTTGATTTGCATTTCTCTGATGGCCAGTGATGGTGAGCATTTTTTCATGTGTTTTTTGGCTGCATAAATGTCCTCTTTTGGGAAGTGTCTGTTCACATCCTTCGCCCACTTTTTGATGGGGTTGTTTGTTTTTTTCTTGTAAATTTGTTTGAGTTCATTGTAGATTCTGGATATTAGCCCTTTGTCAGATGAGTAGGTTGCGAAAATTTTCTCCCGTTTTGTAGGTTGCCTGTTGACTCTGATGGTAGTTTCTTTTGCTGTGCAGAAACTCTTTAGTTTAATTAGACCCCATTTGTCAATTTTGGCTTTTGTTGCCATTGCTTTCTGTGTTTTAGCCATGAAGTCCTTGCCCATGCCTATGTCCTGAATGGTAATGCCTAGGTTTTCTTCTAGGGTTTTTATGGTTTTAGGTCTAACGTTTAAGTCTTTAATCCATCTTGAATTAATTTTTGTATAAGGCGTAAGGAAGGGATCCAGTTTCAGCTTTCTACATATGGCTAGCCAGTTTTCCCAGCACCATTTATTAAATAGGGAATCCTTTCCCCATTGCTTGTTTTTGTCAGGTTTGTCAAAGATCAGATAGTTGTAGATATGTGGCGTTATTTCTGAGGGCTCTGTTCTGTTCCATTGATCTATGTCTCTGTTTTGGTACCAGTACCATGCTGTTTTGGTTACTGTAGCCTTGTAGTATAGTTTGAAGTCAGGTAGCGTGATGCCTCCAGCTTTGTTCTTTTGGCTTAGGATTGACTTGGCGATGTGGGCTCTTTTTTGCTTCCATATGAACTTTAAAGTAGTTTTTTCCAATTCTGTGAAGAAATTCATTGCTAGCTTGATGGGGATGGCATTGAATCTATAAATTACCTTGGGCAGTATGGCCATTTTCACGGTATTGATTCTTCCTACCCATGAGCATGGGATGTTCTTCCATTTGTTTGTATCCTCTTTTATTTCATTGAGCAGTGGTTTGTAGTTCTCCTTGAAGAGGTCCTTCACATCCCTTGTAAGTTGGATTCCTAGGTATTTTATTCTCTTTGAAGCAATTGTGAATGGGAGTTCACTCATGATTTGGCTCTCTGTTTGTCTGTTATTGGTGTATAAGAATGCTTGTGATTTTTGTACGTTGATTTTGTATCCTGAGACTTTGCTGAAGTTGCTTATCAGCTTAAGGAGATTTTGGGCTGAGACGGTGGGGTTTTCTAGATATACAATCATGTCATCTGCAAACAGGGACAATTTGACTTCCTCTTTTCCTGATTGAATACCCTTTATTTCCTTCTCCTGCCTAATTGCCCTGGCCAGAACTTCCAACACTATGTTGAATAGGAGTGGTGAGAGAGGGCATCCCTGTCTTGTGCCAGTTTTCAAAGGGAATGCTTCCAGTTTTTGCCCATTCAGTATGATATTGGCTGTGGGTTTGTCATAGATAGTTCTTACTATTTTGAGATACGTCCCTTCAATACCTAATTTATTGAGAATTTTTAGCATGAAGGGTTGAATTTTGTCAAAGGCCTTTTCTGCATCTGTTGAGATAATCATGTGGTTTTTGTCTTTGGTTCTGTTTATATGCTGGATTACATTTATTGATTTGCGTATATTGAACCAGCCTTGCATACCAGGGATGAAGCCCACTTGATCATGGTGGATAAGCTTTTTGATGTGCTGCTGGATTCGGTTTGCCAGTATTTTATTGAGGATTTTTGCATCAATGTTCATCAAGGATATTGGTTTAAAATTCTCTTTTTTGGTTGTGTCTCTGCCTGGCTTTGGTATCAGGATGATGCTGGCCTCATCAAATGAGTTAGGGAGGATTCCCTCTTTTTCTATTGACTGGAATAGTTTCAGAAGGAATGGTACCAGTTCCTCCTTGAACCTCTGGTAGAATTCGGCTGTGAATCCGTCTGCTCCTGGACTCTTTTTGGTTGGTAAGCTATTGATTATTGCCACAATTTCAGAGTCTGTTATTGGTCTATTCAGAGATTCAGCATCTTCCTGGTTTAGTCTTGGGAGAGTGTATGTGTCGAGGAATTTTTCCATTTCCTCTAGTTTTTCTAGTTTATTTGTGTAGAGGTGTTTGTAGTATTCTCTGATGGTAGTTTGTATTTCTGTGGGATAAGTGGTGATATCCCCTGTATCACTTTGTATTGAGTGTATTTGATTCTTCTCTCTTTTCTTCTTTATTAGTCTTGCTAGCGGTCTATCAATTTTGCTGATCCTTTCAAAAAACCAGCTCCTGGATTCATTAATTTTTTGAAGGGTTTTTTGTGTCTCTATTTCCTTCAGTTCTGCTCTGATTTTAGTTATTTCTTGCCTTCTGCTAGCTTTTGAATGTGTTTGTTCTTGCTTTTGTAGTTCTTTTAATTGTGATGTTAGGGTGTCCATTTTGGATCTTTCCTGCTTTCTCTTGTGGGCATTTAGTGCTATAAATTTCCCTCTACACACTGCTTTGAATGTGTCCCAGAGATTGTGGTATGTTGTCTCTTTGTTCTCATTGGTTTCAAAGAACATCTTTATTTCTGCCTTCATTTCGTTATGTACCCAGTAGTCATTCAGGAGCAGGTTGATCAGTTTCCATGTAGTTGAGCGGTTTTGAGTGAGTTTCTTAATCCTGAGTTCTAGTTTGATTGCACTGTGGTCTGAGAGATAGTTTGTTATAATTTCTGTTCTTTTACATTTGCTGAGGAGAGCTTTAGTTCCAACTATGTGGTCAATTTTGGAATAGGTGTGGTGTGGTGCTGAAAAAAATGTATATTCTGTTGATTTGGGGTGGAGAGTTCTGTAGATGTCTATTAGGTCCGCTTGGTGCAGAGCTGAGTTCAATTCCTGGGTATCCTTGTTAACTTTCTGTCTTGTTGATCTGTCTAATATTGACAGTGGGGTGTTAAAGTCTCCCATTATTATTGTGTGGGAGTCTAAGTCTCTTTGTAGGTCACTCAGGACTTGCTTTATGAATCTGGGTGCTGCTGTATTGGGTGCATATATATTTAGGATAGTTAGCTCTTCTTGTTGAATTGATCCCTTTACCATTATGTAATGGCCTTCTTTGTCTCTTTTGATCTTTGTTGGTTTAAAGTCTGTTTTATCAGAGACTAGGATTGCAACCCCTGCCTTTTTTTGTTTTCCATTTGCTTGGTAGATCTTCCTCCATCCTTTTATTTTGAGCCTATGTGTGTCTCTGCATGTGAGATGGGTTTCCTGAATACAGCACACTGATGTGTCCTGACTCTTTATCCAATTTGCCAGTCTGTGTCTTTTAATTGGAACATTTAGTCCATTTACATTTAAAGTTAATATTGTTATGTGTGAAATTGATCCTGTCATTATGATGTTAGCTGATTATTTTGCTCGTTAGTTGATGCAGTTTATTCCTAGCCTCGATGGTTTTTACAATTTGGCATGATTTTTCAGTGGCTGGTACCGGTTGTTCCTTTCCATGTTTAGTGCTTCCTTCAGGAGCTCTTTTATGGCAGGCCTGGTGGTGACAAAATCTCTCAGCATTTGCTTGTCTGTAAAGTATTTTATTTCTCCTTCACTTATGAAGCTTAGTTTGGCTGGATATGAAATTCTGGGTTGAAAATTCTTTTCTTTAAGAATGTTGAATATTGGCCTCCACTCTCTTCTGGCTTGTAGAGTTTCTGCCAAGGGATCCGCTGTTAGTCTGATGGGCTTCCCTTTGTGGGTAACCTGACCTTTCTCTCTGGCTGCCTTTAACATTTTTTCCTTTATTTCAACTTTGGTGAATCTGACAATTATGTGTCTTGGAGTTGCTCTTCTCGAGGAGTATCTTTGTGGCGTTCTCTGTATTTCCTGAATCTGAATGTTGGCCTGCCTTGCTAGATTGGGGAAGTTCTCCTGGATAATATCCTGCAGAGTGTTTTCCAACTTGGTTCCATTCTCCCCGTCACTTTCAGGTACACCAATCAGACGTAGATTTGGTCTTTTCACATAGTCCCATATTTCTTGGAAGCTTTGTTCGTTTCTTTTTATTCTTTTTTCTCTAAACTTCCCTTCTAGCTTCATTTCATTCATTTCATCTTCCATCACTGATAGCCTTCCTTCCAGTCGATGGCATCGGCTCCTGAGGCTTCTGCATTCTTCACATAGTTCTCGAGCCTTGGCTTTCAGCTCCATCAGCTCCTTTAAGCCCTTCTCTGTATTGGTTATTCTAGTTATACAATCGTCTAAATTTTTTTTTAAGTTTTTAACTTCTTTGCCTTTGGTTTGAATTTCCTCCTGTAGCTCGGAGTAGTTTGATCGTCTGAAGCCTTCTTCTCTCAATTCGTCAAAGTCATTCTCCGTCCAGCTTTGTTCCGTTGCTGGTGAGGAACTGCGTTCCTTTGGAGGAGGAGAGGCGCTCTGCTTTTTAGAGTTTCCAGTTTTTCTGCTCTGTTTTTTCCCCATCTTTGTGGTTTTATCTACTTTTGTTCTTTGATGATGGTGATGTACAGATTAGGCCAGCATCTAATAGATGAAGTTTGTATTTTGCCTAACTGATTGGTATGTGATGCTCACTTGTACCTACAGTAATATCAGTTTTCTTGCAGATCCGAAGTGTGATTAATAAAATACTAACACACATTATTAATTTGTTTGTACATTTCTTTATAAATACAGTGATAAACCTCATTCTTGTCAGATGCAGCCTTTTGTAACTGTAAGATAAGGTTATTTCGTTAAGCAAGCAATATGCAGGTGTCTTTTATTAAATACTAGTTTCTAAAGGTAGTATTTTGCCTAAAACTGTTTCTGTGGTAAACTGAGGAACATACTCAATTCTTATAAGCACATTTATCCAGTTTATTAAGCTCAAAATAATTGACATGTATTTAATATTTCAAGTGATAGAAGTATAAATATTTAGTTAAAATTTAAATAAATATAGGTTCATGAATGCACATGATTCTAAAAACCAGTATCTTATACAGAGTAATTACCAATCAATCAGTATCTAAACTGATAAATTAAATGGCCTGATTTCCATGTAATCACTAGATGCTGATTCATTCTTATGCTGTAGTTACCATGAAAGACAGTCACCCCCACTAAACCTTGTGGAAGCACACCTCAGGAGTTTAACATACATAGAAGCAGAAGATAGAAGGCGGACTGCAGAGAATGCCGGGCAATCTCATCTTGACCCTTTTCCATGCACTCACCATGGGTGGTCCAGGCATGAAAATGTGGAGGTTCTGGGTTGGAGTTATGGGTCAAAGATGGGACTTAACTCAAGTGTTGAAGATGGTCAGTGTGTCCATTTCAGTGTACATATATCTGTCTGGACTGTCTAGGCTGGTCATATGCATTGGCTATTCATTTATCTGGCGTCATTCTTAAACAAACTGCTAATCTTCAAACAAGAAGTGGGATTATAAATAATCCCACTAATCTTCAAACAAGGAGCAGGCTTTGGCCTTCTTGGAGGTAAGGCTGGTAGTGAGAGAGAGGCTTTCAGAGACCTCTTTTGAAACTTGGGCTCCAATTGCCTAGTGGTTTTCTACCTCCAAGTAACTTGCACCTTAGAGGAGGAGTCACCCCAGCATGGGACATATACCCCCACCAAATCCCTGACCAAAGTTCATTTTACAACTTTTAACTTAGGTTCCCCAGTCAGCCTCATCTTAGAGGTCTCCTCTGCCCTTCCCTCAGTGTTCCACGTGCTGCTAACATCGCCCTCTCTGTCTTTGGCCTGTTGGGCAGTGAGAGCTCCTATGAAGTAGCTCAGGGGCTAGTTACTCATCAGCCTGTGCAAAATTGTCATTAGAATTTTGTCACTGATTGAGTGACCTTGGGCAAATCCTGTAGACACTCTGAAACCCAGTTTCCTCATCAGTAAAGCAGAGAAAATAATAACACAGATGTTATTTTGTTGAAGGAAATAAGGACAGTGTTTAACACAAGTAAACTCTCAATAAATGGCATTTATTAACTTACTAAGTTATTAACATGACTCTATAAAATGTTGTAAATATATTTCTCCAAAGGTGAGTGTAGTGATTTTATTTTATTTTTATTAGATGCTTGGCATTTATTGAATAGAGCTAACACTTTTTAAATACGCATAAATAAATGTTGGGGAGAAAATCCCCAGTTGAACCAAAAAACTACCTAACAATTAATTTTATTAATTATAATTCAGTCACCTGCATTTAGAAAGCTTTAGATCATACAATAAATAGTAGAACCAATAATTATTTTCATTAAGTCTAATTTTTTACTGTTTTATTTTTTTCTTATGGAGTTATATAATTCAATTAATTATGCTTGGTTTTATTGGGCATACAGTTTGTTAGATTTCTTAAAGTCTTTGTTTTGCTGTTGAGACATGAGAGCCACTCTATAATATGAAGTGCTCTGTTTGTAAGATGCTATTTTTACAATACTTAGGAATAATTTCTTAGCTCCCTTGAAAGTCTATGACAATCCTGTTACTAGTGTTCAGAATCCCATATGTCATGGCCCTCTTCGACAATGTTTGCAATAGATTGATCAGACTGGGTCTTTTTAAACTGGCCAGCCTGGGGCACAAGCAGGGTTAGGATATAAAAGTCTTGGTTATTTAGTCTCTTAAACTCATGTAGCTGTTTTAACCATAACAGTTAAGAGGGTTTTCAGGAAGAGCCACAATGAGTTCACAGTAACTCATTTCAAATTTCATATATGACTATGTGGCACACCACGGAATTGATTCTCTTCTATAAGAGTTACTATTAGTTTTCCTCTTTGCAAACTCAAGCCTTGTTAAGTTTTTATTTGAAGTGGTAATAGTACTCTTTTCAAAGCCTCATTGGACAGGAATGTTCACAATCAACAATACATGACCTTATTGCTAAGACCATAGAATGTATTTGTAAAGTGTCCAAAGGGCTCACTTTTTTCAAAGAAAAGAGATCACTTTTAATCTGCTCTGAGAAGATCAGGTCATCATTCACTTTGAACCAACCTTGTTGTTCATTCTTGATGTTGTTACCCAGTATCAGGGATTTTTAGCCAAAGAAAAAACCATAAATGAAAACTCTAACACTGACTCAAAAAATATCTGTCAAAATGGACATTAATCATTCCTGAAGGATTAGCTAGGGTGAGATTAGAGACAAGGGAATTAAATTTAAAAGAGAGGAAAAAATTACTTAAAGGTCCAGACTTAGGATAAGACAGAGATGTGTAGGAAAAGAGGGAAAATCAAAACAAAACAAAATACCTTTTGCATTTAAGGGCTGCAGATAGTCTAGCTGAGCAAGAAGAGACAATTACTATTAAGCTTTCTCAGGTATGATGATAGATTGCCAAAAAACTTTTATGGAATAATTCCCTGAGAAGATGAACACCAAAAGATACTTTAAAAAGCCTGTTAACTGGGCAAAATCTGGAAGCATTCCCCTTAAAAACCAGCTCCAAACAAGGATACCCTCTTTCACCACTCCTATTCAACATAGCATTAGAAGTTCTGGCCCAGCCAATCAGGCAAGAGAAAGATATAAAGGGCATCCAAATAGGAGGCAAGAAAGTCAGACTATCTCTGTTTGCAGATGACATGATCCTGTATCTAGAAAACTCCATGGTCTCAGCCCAAAAGCTTCTTAAGCCGATAAACAACTTTAGCAAAGTCTCAGGACACAGAATCAATATGCAAAAATAGCTAGCATTCCGGTACACCAACAACAGGCAAGCCAAGGGCCAAATCAGGAACGAACTCCCATTCACAATTGGCACAAAAAGAATAAAATACCTAAGAATACAGCTAACTAGGGAGGTGAAAGATTTCCATAAGGAGAACTGCAAACCCTTGCTGAAAGAAATCGGGGAAGACACAAACAAATGGAAAAACATTCCATGCTCATGGATAGGAAGAATTGAATTTATCCATTCATCTATTTGAAGGACATATTGGTTGCTTCCAGTTTCTGGCAATTATAAATGATGCCACTATAAAAGAACTGCTTTTTACCTAGTTGATCTGTGATCCACATTATCAAGTTTTTGTCAAAGCATCCTGAATGTGTGTATATGGATACATAAAAAACCATCAACATATGCTATCTACTAAGTACATAATTTCAGAATCCATACTATGATGCAGTATTCAAGATGTCTCAGCCTCAGATATGAGAAACTGAACTGACATATGCAGAAAATTAGATGGTCAAATAAAAACATTTAACTAATTATTATGTTTTCAGAAAATATATGGAAGTTGAAGGAACATGGAGGATTATCTTTAGATAATGAAGAAAACTTATGTTAAAAATAGTAAAACATGAGCATTCATATTTAGAATATGAACCAGGGGAAATAGTCATCACTTTTCAAAGGCATAGTTAATTATTAATGGAGATGTAATATGATGAATTTGGAAAAAGATGAAAAAAATGAGGTAGAAGAAAAAGGTGTTATGTATATACACAAAATAATTCCTGTTTATAATATCAGAATTGTTCTAACAGTCATACTTATCTGTGTGTGGCATCTTTAATGTATTAGCCTTAGACACTTCACTTTAGGTAAGGAGGCAAGGATTCATCATATTAATTAAAGCTAAACAGGTGCATGGTGGGTGGTGAGTTGCATGATTTGTCCAAGAAAAAAAAATCCTTTCAGATGATGCAGATATTGGGGCGCTCAAAAACCAAAACTGAACCAACAAAACAAAACCAATCACACAAACACCTACAGAAAATAAAAAGGGGGGAGAATGGGAACACAATATTTTTGTAAAATGGTTATAGGTTACACAAAAAATATCTGGAAAGGTTTTTCTTTTAGTGATCTACTTTATATGATAGAAATAACTGGTTTCTAATGCTTTTAAAAATAATAAAAGAATGTATGGATACAAGACCCAAAATATAGTCAAAAGGATAAAAGTATTAAGCTAAGTCTAACTATACTCAGAGCAGTTCCCTCACATACAAGTAAAATCAAAGTGATCATTTGAAGATAGCAGTCAAATCAAGTTCACATACAGTTAAGAGTACAATCTTATTTGCACCTTCTTCCCCTCTACTGGAAAAAACTATGTTTGTCTGCTTGGCCTCTCACCATATTCCATGTGCCTAGGTGAGAGCCTGGCATGAAATAGATTCTCAGTCAATTACTAACTGCTGGTTGTTTCTTCACTAGTACAATAAAGCATATGTTCAGGCTGTATTATAAGTCAAATCTCAGAATCATAGAAGAAAAGAGGTGTCTACCAATCCTAGTCACCACCCAGCAGCCTGTCCTTTTTGTTGCCTTCAAATTAGGAGTAACATATAACTTTACAAAGAGTGTTAGTTTGCAAAGTCATTGGTAAATATTCAGTCTGCCCAAGCTATCTAAAATGTGAATAAGTGATGCGCAGTCTGTCTAAGCTGGTTAAAAAGATTATCCAAAATTGTAGACTGATAACGGATATTGTCTTTGTTGCTCACTTGCTTTCCAAATGCAGATCTTGGCTAAAGCTCATGTGTACATATGATAATCATATGCCCAGGCAGAAATGACATCCAATTTCCAGTATAAGCACTCACACAGGAGCATCTGTCATTAGAGGAGATGGCGTCAGGGGAGGGAGGAAACACAATGTAGCTGCCCCAGAGTGGATAGGGACCTTCGACCCAGTGTCCTATGGCAGTGTTATCATACTCTCCCCATCTCTCTCTCTCTCTCTTACACTCACTGTCTCTGGAGATCAAGACCAATTCTTAGAGTGATATTGGCTTTGGGAAAAAAAAAAATCAATGACCTATTCTCCTGGTCAGAGCATGGAGTGTTGAGATGGCAGTCAGCACAGCAGGAGGTGGAGAGGAAAATGAAATAAAAGGGTGCAATATCAAGGGATGGGGGACATAATTATGCTTGCAGAAAAGTATGTTCAATAAGCAGATTGCTGGGGAGTGGCAGACACTAGCTTTTCATAAATATGAAATTGGAATTGGGTTGAAAAAATTAGGGCACTAGAGCTTTTTCCCTGAGTCAGGAAGGCATGATAATAGAGGTTATTTCCATCTGCATTGCTACCTGCCATTTGTCAATCACCTAATTATATTTGGTAGAAGGGGCTACAGCAAATGTTCTCCGCTATGCAGAAATCCTGGGTGAGATTTCTGTGGGACTTGCTTTGCTTTATCTTTGTTTTTGAAGTCAAACTGTTTTTTAGGGAACTGAGGGAGAAAGGAAGGAAGGGAGAGAGGGATGGAGGGCAGGAGGGGAGGTAGAGAGGAGTGAGGAAGGAAGAAGGAAAGGAAGGAAGGAAAGAAGAAAGGAAGGAAGAAGGGAGAAAGGAATGGAGGGAGGGAAAATGAATGAAGGAAGGGAAGAAAAGAGGGAGGAAGAAAAGAAAGGAGAGATGAAAAGGAAGGGGGAAAAGATAAGAGGAAACAAGGAAAGGAGAGAAGGACAAGAAGGAGAAAAAGAGTGAGACCAGAACAGGCTGTTCATGTCTATGAGGAAAAGTGCATCTGGCTGAGCTCAGGCTTTGGGAACTCGCCACTCCCCTTTAGCTATTACAGAAAGAGACCTGCCAAGATGAGAAATTACCACAGGAGGGGTTGGATATTAGGATTAATTGTCTTGAACCAGAGCAGTGGAGCAGGTATGCGAGTCATATGGAGGTGGACACAATGACGCCAATGAACAGTCCTTACTGCTTTTCCTCCCTAAAGAAAAGTAGAAATTTAAGTAATAATACCAACATTTTCACCATAATATTACAAATTTCAGAAACTTTAAGAAAGACAAGATAACGGCTTTTCAGTGTTTTAATGATTTGTATTAAAGGCAGGTGCATTACTGAGCAGTTTGAAATGTCTGAGGTTTTACTATAGCCTGCCTTTCTTTCTTTTTCCCCTCCTTACCCCCAGTGATACTGATTTTATTTGTTTTGGTATTGACATTGACCACTGACCCAATCCTTTACAAATGTAGTTTCCTTAAATGATTCTAACCAACAGTTTCAGGAAGTTACTTATGGACCTTCAGAGTCACTGATGTTAAGCTTGAGACATGAGCCTCGATGTGTTCTTCTCTAAATTGTCACTTATTTTGAAATCATTAGTTTCCAAATTATATACTTCTTCCCTGTAACTGAACTGATAAAAAAAAAAAAGAGTTCAGATAATGTGTATATTTTGTTAATGTCTCTACTTTCATAAAGAATTATTACAAAATTCTATGTAACCATCATATTAATGAGCATCTGCTCCCAGGAATCCCTTTGTTGTTTTTCCTGATTGTGCTTGTCCAGAGTCAAGTGTAACACTAAGATCATAAAGCACTGTGCTGTTTTCCATCTATTTTATTCACATTATTTGTGAATCACCTGAACACATCAAATTCAGATGAGCTGTAGATTTTCTTCTCCATATGAATTATCAGCAACGTTTTCCAATTTAACACATACAGATAATTTCTTCCTGGAAGTCCAATGGAAATGAAATATTCGTTGATTTAATGCCTTATATGCCTATGCTAGTTTCCTATTGCTGCTGAAATTACCACAAGCTTAGTGGCTTAACACAACAGAAGTTTTCAGTTTTATCTCCTTGTAGTTCTGAGAATCAGAAATCTGAAATGAGTTGGCAGGGCTGTGACCCTTTGGAGGCTCGAGGGAAGAATCTGATCCTTGCTTTTCCAGCTTTTGAGGAATAAGCCTGCCCTTACTCCCTGGCTCATGACCCATCACTGCAACCTCTGGTTCTATTCCTCCATCTCCTTCTCTCTCTGACCCTTCTGTTTCTCTGCATGTGAACCCTGTGTTGACATTGGGCCAACCCAGATGACCCAGGTTAATCTTCTTATCCAAATATATTTAATTTAATTATATCTGCAAAATTTATTTTGCCAGAACACATTCACGGGTTCTGGGGATTAGGGTGTAGGCATCCTTGAGGGGCCACTATCCTGCCTAGCATAGCACCAAACATTCAAATAAATAAATGAGTCTCTTTCTAATTCTAGTGCCTTTTGTTAAAGGAGAGATTCTGCTTTCCTTTCAAGTGTACATTATAACATAGTTTAGTTTGATTAAGTTTGTTAATCAAACTTCGGAAGATGTAATTTTCTGTACATCAGAAGTCATTCATTCAGGGTCTCTGATGCACCCTGAGAATCTGAAGGTGACTGATGAACAGAGATATAAAGGTTCTCAAGGAGGGCGCTAAGCCTGGTTTGCTCCCCAAGTGTATTTGTGCATTCTCACGGCTTTGATGTATTTTTGTTTTTGTATTGTTTTGTTGTATTTTCTGGCTTATTTGGGCTTATCTTATTAACATTTAAATATATGCAAAGAAAAATTCAGCTTCATCTTATTCTAGGGGCTCTGACTCTTTAAGAAACTGACTGCCTATATATATTTGCAGTGTTTAGTATGGTCCCTGTTATATGGTAGATTTCCAACCAATATTTCATTAAGATATTAATGATTAAATCATTTGTGTCCTGGCTCAGTTCCCTATGGTTATCCCCAAATTCCATTTTCACTATTGAGTGAAGAGAAAACTAGCAAGGTCTTAGTGTTATTGATATCCTTTGGTGGATCCCTGATGGGGCAGAGTCCTGCAGTGGAAGTGCCAACGATTTGTCAGAGGTAGGATTTGCGAGTGGACACTCACAAAGACAAATAGCCACTGCCAGTTGGTGGGCCCGTTCAAAAGAGGAACTGAGCCATTACGTACAGCTGGAGCCCAAGAGGAAGGAGCTACCAAATCAGGATGGCAACCAAATGTATTGGGCTCTAGCTTCAGCACAGAACTACATGGTGAAGAAGAAAGCAGTGTTGGAGCTCAATGGAGTTGATGGAAACAATACTGGGAAGGGAAGATGGTCTCTCAGTAAGCAGCAGGTAGCAACAAAGATCTTACATCCTCCTTGGATGAGGGCTTACAAGGCAAAGTGGGCACTGGAGGTCAAGGCAAGATTAAGATTGCATGCTGAGTCATCTTATAAAACTCAGATCAACCAGAGAAGGCAGCCATAGAGATGACTGTTTTGGGAAGTATTTGTACATTGCAACTATGACCCTCAAAGAAATGATGTCTTTACCTTATTGGAAAAGGTAACTT
The DNA here is from genome assembly GCF_000001405.40 of Homo sapiens. Lineage (NCBI taxonomy): Eukaryota > Metazoa > Chordata > Mammalia > Primates > Hominidae > Homo > Homo sapiens. The sequence continues at coordinate 97,386,245 of NC_000015.10, forward strand.
AGAATAGATCCCCTTCATAAAATAACCTGGAAACAATTGATGCTGGATATTCATATCATCATCAACCAACAGACAGTCAGAATGCAATGGCTGCAAGCATGCATATGCAATGCTTTCAAAGCCTTTGTTTTACTAGAGGGGGAGAAAAGCTGGAAAAAGTATGCATTTGTGTCCTCAAAGTCTGTGTCCTGGATCTTAACAAAAATCGCTGTTTCTTTAAACAGGCAATGTGGGCTTGGGTTGTACCCGACAGAGAGCAGAGGCCCTGTCTAATTTAGAGGAGTGCAGGCGTCCTTGTCAAAGCCAGGAGAAGCTCCAATCGGATTCTCAGTCGGAGCCTGACCCCATCAATCAGAGTAGCTTGTGGTTACAATTTTCTGGGAAATGTGGAAAATCATCATCTACAGTAAATCTGCTGCCTGAAATGCCTCGTGTCATCTATATTTTATTTAAAATTTTGGTGTAGATCTTCTATTGTTTTTGTGTATCCAAACTTTGGTAGAACAATATCTCACTAAAGACTAGCCAACATGACTACAGCTGAAAATGCCTGCAAAAATCCCATAACTTTCTTTAAGTTTTAATTTTTATTTATTTTAAGGAAAAATGCTTCTGGTAAATCAATATCTTTTAACATCGAAAAGACCTCACATTGACAAGACATTGTTGAGACAATGGCAAACATGGAGGTATGGTCCTGGCCTCGGGGCTGTCTTGGTATTGTTAAAGAAACAGTCATGATCCTAAAACCGCAGCTAGGGTTTGACAAGAAGAGAAATTGTTAGGACCAAGGGAGGAGAGGAGGTTTTCTAGGTATATGGCGTGCGTGGACAGAGGCATGGAGGCTAGAGAAGTCATGGCTTCCATTTGCATGAATAAGCAGCCTGGGTGTGGTTACAGCTAGGAATGCCAGTTAGCAGAAAGCAGCCTGTGAGACTGGGAACATATATTAGGACCAGATGGCAGAGGGCCTAGATTGACTTGGTGGCAGAGGAGAGGGTTTAAGTGAAAAATGGAAAGAGGATGATTAAAGAAGGAGGAGGTGACCGTGTCTGGTGGTTTCTACCTCACTGGACTTGGTGAATACTACTTTTTGAAATTGACCACTAAATTGTCATTGTAAGTTATGTAATTCACATGGAATTGAAATAAACTCTTAGGATCAGACATCTTCTTAATACCAAATAGTACAATTCACTTTACTATTACTCAGCCCGCCTGTAGAGACTACTGACCAAATAGTTAGCCAGCCTCTGTCTGGACAGATGTACATCTTGTGTCAGCTATTGGATTATGACCAAGTTCTCCTTTCTATTGCTACAACTTTGCTTACTTGAAGTTTCTACACTCCAGTCTCAGTCCTGCTCCCTGGGATCATGTGAATAGTTCTACATTTTCTCACACATTATATATCTGCAATTATTTTACAAAACTTCCTACCCATTCCACACAGTCTCTCCTCCATGCCATCGCTCACAGAACAAAATCTTGATTCTCTATACTGTTCTGGTGCATTTGCTCATTCATAAAAACCCCTTTTCCTTAAAGGTGGACTCCAGAAATAAAGAAAAAATCTCCAGGTGTGACCTGAGGGAAGAGAGCAGAATGTAACTAATTCTTCACCCTCTAGAGGATTGTATTTCCAGAAAAACTCAATAGCTATAAATTACTGAGCTGATACCCCAGAACAGGCCCATAACTGGTCATTTACACTTATGAATATCTCTGTTTTACAGATGAGGAAGCTGAATGCCAGAGAGGCCATATAACTGGCTTGAGGTCATCCACATAGCTGTGATAGAGTCACAATTTAAGTGTAGGCCAGCCTCACTTCAAGGTCTACTTCTTTCTCTTATCCCATGATGCCTTTTATTTACTGGCCAAGCTGTATCAGCACGTCCCTGTGAAATGAGTGTGAACACATCAAAGAGTGCACTTTTTAACAACAAATACAAAGGAAGAATCAGAGTATATCAACCTGGTTTGTCTTCTAACTACAGCTTGCGTTTATAAATAGTCCAAGGATATAGATAGTCCCGACAAATACAAGTTAGGCTAATGGTTTTCAGGACATGGGAATGTCAGGAAAAGCAATGGGCTTAAGCAGATTAAGTTGGAAGTTTGCAAAAGAAAATGGGGCTATAGGAGACGTGCTTTTGCCAATTACTGAACTAAAGTGTTTCTATCTAGATAATATAGGCAATTGTTTTCCCATGGTATTTTCCTTGTGTGACCATGGTCCCAGGTAGCAACTGGTGTCCTTTGACAAGGCCAACATGATTCACAATAAGTCCAGGTATCCTTAACATCCTGCCAGCCACTTCACATTTTGCTCTTATAAATTTGACCTCATAGGCTATTGTCAGCATATAAGGAGAAGATGGCACTTTTATTATTTAGTAGTGACATAGGTAACCTATTTCTTAATATGCTAAGAGAATTTTAAAACTCGAAAATTGTTCGATTATTGGTATGACATAGCGGAGAAACTGCCAATATTTTAAGTTAAATTTTGTGACTATTTTATGAAACATGTTTGCTTCAGGCATATGGGAGAGCATCCTTTGACCTGTCACCTTTCCAAATCTTTAGGGTAATAAGTTGTGCTATGATGCACTGTACTCAAACAACAAGTATTTTTCATATCTACTTGGCATAGAAAGATCAACACAAACTAGTAAAAATCTTTTTTTCAACTTCTATATGTAATTTTAGAAAACTTATTTTCTCTCATCCTCAATATTGCACATAATTTTTATTGTAGTCTATATTTTGGTGAATATCCATGGGAAAAAATAATTATTTTCATTAACTTGTCTTGACCAAAAAACACTAACATAATTGATTGTAGCAGGAAAAATATTCAGCTACTAGATACCATACCTTTATAATATGTAGGAGATTCCAGTATTCCTGCCAACTACCCACTACCACTGATACAAAACTAAATTAAAAATAAATTTTCAAAAATTCAAAAAAGTTAGCATATAATTTTTACATTCATTCAGAGTATCACTTTGAAGAATGATGCCTAGGAAATATGGTAAGTCTTTAGACTAAGCCATTAAGGAAACCTGAGAGTGAGTTAGAATTTTGCTAAATTGGGTATGAATCTTTTACTTAACTTTCAACTGGTGTATGAAATAGAGATAAAGCCTATCTTAAAGTTCTAAGATAGGCTTTTTATTATCTTATATTATACATATAAATATTTAATCCTAATATATGCCAGCACATTTTAATTGAGAAATGGCTATTTCATGTGGTAGGATTTCCTTGCTACTTTTAACTGATAATGTGTTTATAATCAACAACATCTTTATATAGTTGCTCAAGTGAGGAACAGAAGTACTGACTCAACAAACTGCAGAATTCTATAGCACTGTAGGATAAATATAGTTTAAAAAATTAGTCGGGTGTGGCGATGGGCACCTGTAATCCCAGCTACTCAAAAGGCCGAGGCAGGAGAATCGCTTGAACCCAGGAGGCGGAGGTTGCAGTGAGCCAAGATCATCCCACTGCACTCCAGCCTGGGTGACAGAGTGAGACTCCGTCTCAAAAAAAAAAAAAAAAAAAAAAAAAGACATATTAGATAGTTTCAAATAGCTAGAAGGAGGATACTGAATATTCCCAACACAGGGAAATGATAAATGTTCAAAATGATGGACATGCTAATTATTCTGATCTGCTCACTATACATTAAATGTATAGAAACATCACTATATACTCCGTAAATATGTACAATATATATGTCAATTAAAGAAGAAAAGAAAAGAAGTACTAACTTTACTGTGAGCAAGGCAGATATGCAAATTAAGAGGCTCTTTGGAAATGTTTTCTTTTTATGCATTTAAACTACATGTGAACATTAATAATTACCCTTATAAGAGGCCTGTTTGTGTATGTTTCTAACAGTTACTGGCTGTGAGTTGAAGGAACAAGGAGGTGTGTGCTTAGCTTCTCCTGGTGAGAAGACCTTGAAGGAATGTGATTGAGTCCACCACCATGGGACATTATCAGACTTGGGGGAAAGGCATTGTTTGTGCCAGTGCAGTAAGTCCTCAGGAAAGACCCAATCTTAGGAAAACAATAGCAAAAGCATCTGCCTTGGAAGCAGGATGAGAGCAATTCATGCCTGTGATATTTGTAGAGGTCATCTCAAAGTAGGTTGTCCAAGGGCACATTCTGACTCTTGCTTTAAAAAGTCACATGAGTTCCAGTGGCCTCAGCATGGGCAGATTTGTTCCTGAAATGACTCCTGCCGCACAAGAAGGACAAGACCACTATTGAGCCTTCAGTAATATCATCATTCAAGTCCCTGGGGAGAAACATTGTTCAACCATGAATATTTCAGACAAAAAAATAAGAAAGGGTGAGTATGCAGTTTTGTTTAGTTCACCAGAGTGATCCAACTCTGACATATCTCTGAGTACTTGCTAGAAGAGAGCTGATGTTGGAAAACTGTGTGGGTACCAATGACCCCTGACACTAATCTTTTAAAGAAAGTTCACTTTTCAGAGAAAGAAAGATCTAGCATGCATCTTCCATCATTCCCCAAAAAGGCACCCTGCATCCCAGCCTTTCTGAACTACATCTGGTTTTACGAATTTCTCATATTTAACTTCCTGTAATTTCACACATAGTCTTCTCCATAATATATTTTCCCTGGATTTTGTTTGGCCAAGTTTTAATGGTTTTTCCAAGTTTTACTTAAATGTCATCTCCTCTATGATCATTTTCCAAACTCCTAAAAAAGAAACACCTTCATCTGTGCTCCTCCTAAAGAACCTCTGCCCTTTCTAATCTCACTATAATCTGTAATATAGTTATGTCTTTATATGTATATCCTCTCCTGATATCATTAGTGAACAAACCATAAGGTAATAATCTTTGCATCCCCAAAGCCCATATTTGTAGTTGCCATTGCCATTCACTAAATGTTTATGAATAAAATAAATACCCACATCCCTTAAAGGATGAAGGTCACCTTCATTGTGGAAGAGAAAGTAGGATGGTATGCATGGATGTAGCCTCTTTGGAAAACACAAACTGCCACTGCTTCAAGTTCTTAAGGTGAATAATGAGTAACTTCCTTTTCTTCCTTTTTTCAAATAATTTCTTTTCAAATCTTCATGAAATATTCTATATCAGGCACTGAGTTAGAGAGTAAGAATAAAAGGAGGATTTAGAAATATTATCGTAGAGTAACTACAATTTAGTAAGATTGACCTGTCCTGTGAAGAGATAATTATAAAATGCTACTGTAAGCACAGAGTGCTGGAGAACATACAGGATGGACATCTACTCAGCAATAGTGTGGAGGTGACAGATAATGAGAATATATTGCCATGGAAGATATGACATGTGCAATGTGCCTTAAGAAATGAATAAGCAGGCCGGGCGCAGTGGTTCACGCCTGTAATCCCAGCACTTTGGGAGGCCGAGGAGGGTGGATCACGAGGTCAGGAGATCGAAACCATCCTGGCTAACACAATGAAACCCCGTCTCTACTAAAAATACAAAAAATTAGCCGGGCGTGGTGGCGGGCGCCTGTAGTCCCAGCTACTGGGGAGGCTGAGGCAGGAGAATGGCGTGGACCTGGGAGGCAGAGATTGCAGTGAGCCGAGATCATGCCACTGCACTCCAGCCTGGGCAACAGAGCGAGACTCTGTCTCAAAAAAAAAAAAAAAAAAAAAAAAAAAAAGCAGCTGGGCCCAGTGGCTCATGCCTGTAATCCCAGCACTTTAGGAGGCCGAGGCGGGTGGATCACCTGAGGTCAGGAGTTTGAGACCAGCCTGGCCAATATGATGAAACCCCATCTCTAATAAAAATACAGAAAATTAGCCGGGCATGGTGGTGTGTGCCTGTAATCCCAGCTACTCAGGAGGCTGAGGCAGGAGAATGGCTTGAACCCGGGAGGCAGAGATTGCAGTGAGACGAGATCGTGCCACTGAACTCCAGCCTGGGCAACAAGAGCTAAACTCCATCTCAAAAAAAAAAAAAAAAAAAAAAAAAGAGAGAGAGAGATGAATAAGCATGAATTTGAGTAAACCACTGAAGAAAAACAACCAGGCAGATAGGAAAGCATAAGTGAAAACGTGAAGGTTAAAAAAAACGATGACCACAACAAATAAGCAAAAAGTATTGTGTGTGCAAAAGAAAATAAAAGTTGTTCATTGTGGTAAAATGTAAGTGGTGAGTCATAAAATGATCAAATATAATGCTGGCAAAGCCAATGGAAACTATTATACAAGATATTATATGCCATGTTGAAGACTTTGGCTTTATTCTCTCATTAAGTAACTTGTAAGTCTCATCATAGTCAAATTGTGTTTGCTCTATGAATGATTAAATTGAGATGGAGGATAATAAGCAGTTATTAATGCCCATGAGGGAACTTAGGGTTTAAAGCAGAGTAAAATAATTAGGAAATATAATTTCAACAGGAAATATTCAGAAAATGAATGTTTGAGGACATATTTTATTAGATAAAAGGATAGAGAAAGAAGAATCCAGCATGATCCTCAATGTTTTAGTTTGAATTGACAGATTTTGTTGGTGCCATAACTAAGTTAAGAAAAGAAGAAATGGCTGACCTTAAGCAGGTGACATGTTAAATTTGGGCATCCTGAATTTGACGGTCTCTGCTCTATATAAGTGTTTGAAACTCAGAAGCACAGAGATGTATAGGTCTGATGATTAGAGGAAGAGTTTAGACTATAGTGATAAGAGAAATCAGCATATAAGGGTAATTGAACACATAAGAGTGGATAAAATTAACTACAAAATGCATGGTCGTAAAGAACATTGGAAAAACTAAGAACTCTAGAGAATACTAACACTTCAGGCTAATACACAAGGATGGGATAGGGAATGATTTGTTAAAGTGATGCAAATGGTACATGAAGCAATTAACGAGATCCAGAAAGTCAAGAAAAATAAATAATCATTACATTTGACAATATAATATTATGTAAGCTCTGAAAAAATTATTAGTCTCTTCTTAAATATATTGTTTCTTACTGTGTCCTGCACCTAGAATAAAACCAGGTATATAACAAGCTCTGAATATTTGCTATGAAGTCACTGATGGCCTTAGAAATTTAAATTTCAATACATCAATGAAATCAAATGCCAGATGGATTTGAGAGAAGATATATGTAAATCAGTACAGGATCTAGAAGTATAGACTCTACTTCTAAGAATTTTATATGATAATTGGGAGAGAGAGAGATTGAGGAGGCATGAAATGAAGGAAACATTTTTATTCTAGAGAGAAAGAGAGCCTTGGGTTTGTTTATGACTGAGATAAATTATAGGTTCTGGAGCAAGAAAGCATGAGTACAGGAGCACAATTCCAGAAGAAAAGGCAGAATATGAAATCAAGATCTCAAGTGAATTTTTAACAAAGAAAGAAGAACATATTGTCATTTAAGAAGACAAAAGTGAAGAACATAGAAAAGGGCATATTTTTGGTGCCCGAGGCAATAGAATATTGAGAATTCTTCTGAGGGCCTCTCTCTTTCCAATAAGAAGGCAGTAAGAACATTGGCTGAGAAAAAGGGGAACAAAGTCAGGGCCAATGCTTGAGAAGAGTGAAGAAGCTTCATGGGAGACTTTGAGTGAGTTGTCCATAAATTAGGAAAATTAGTGAGGCCAGTTGACTTAACAGGCCGTAGAGTCAAAGATTTGCTTTAATAACCTAGTGTATTTTGTGAAATCACTACATATTTGAGGTTTGGCTGGTTGCATTGGACATAAAGATATACAGAAATAGAGGGTTTTGACCAGTTCCATGAGCCAGACAAGGAAAGTATAGAGGCAAAACACACTGAGGCCAATAAAGAAATTCAGTAGAATTGAGGTTATGAGAAAGAAAGATACTCATCTTTTATCATGCAATTGGCAATTGAAATTAAATGTCCAAGGTAGGGCTGCTTTACGAGGTGACAAAGTTTTTTTTTTCAATTTTTTTATTATACTTTAAGTTTTAGGGTACATGTGCACAATGTGCAGGTTAGTTACATATGTATACATGTGCCATGCTGGTGTGCTGCACCCATTAACTCGTCATTTACCATTAGGTATATCTCCTAAAGCTATCCCTCCCCCCTCCCCCAACCCCACAACAGTCCCCAGAGTGTGATGTTCCCCTTCCTGTGTCCATGTGTTCTCATTGTTCAATTGCCACCTATGAGTGAGAACATGCGGTGTTTGGTTTTTTGTCTTTGCGATAGTTTGCTGAGAATGATGATTTCCAGTTTCATCCATGTCCCTACAAAGGACATGAACTCATCATTTTTTATGGCTGCATAGTATTCCATGGTGTATACGTGCCACATTTTCTTAATCCAGTCTATCATTGTTGGACATTTGGGTTGATTCCAAGTCTTTGCTATTGTGAATAGTGCCGCAATAAACATATGTGTGCATGTGTCTTTCTAGCAGCATGATTTATAGTCCTTTGGGTATATACCCAGTAATGGGATGGCTGGGTCAAATGGTATTTCTAGTTCTAGATCCCTGAGGAATTGCCACACTAACTTTCACAATGGTTGAACTAGTTTACAGTCCCACCAACAGTGTAAAGGTGTTCCTATTTCTCCACATCCTCTCCAGCACCTGTTGTTTCCTGACTTTTTAATGATTACCATTCTAACTGGTATGAGATGATATCTCATTGTGGTTTTGATTTGCATTTCTCTGATGGCCAGTGATGATGAGCATTTTTTCATGTGTTTTTTGGCTGCATAAATGTCCTCTTTTGGGAAGTGTCTGTTCACGTCCTTCGCCCACTTTTTGATGGGGTTGTTTGTTTTTTTCTTGTAAATTTGTTTGAGTTCATTGTAGATTCTGGATATTAGCCCTTTGTCAGATGAGTAGGTTGCGAAAATTTTCTCCCGTTTTGTAGGTTGCCTGTTGACTCTGATGGTAGTTTCTTTTGCTGTGCAGAAACTCTTTAGTTTAATTAGATCCCATTTGTCAATTTTGGCTTTTGTTGCCATTGCTTTCTGTGTTTTAGCCATGAAGTCCTTGCCCATGCCTATGTCCTGAATGGTAGTGCCTAGGTTTTCTTCTAGGGTTTTTATGGTTTTAGGTCTAACGTTTAAGTCTTTAATCCATCTTGAATTAATTTTTGTACAAGGCGTAAGGAAGGGATCCAGTTTCAGCTTTCTACATACGGCTAGCCAGTTTTCCCAGCACCATTTATTAAATAGGGAATCCTTTCCCCATTGCTTGTTTTTGTCGGGTTTGTCAAAAGATCAGATAGTTTTAGATACGCAGCGCTATTTCTGAGGCCTCTGTTCTCTTCCATTGATCTATATCTCTGTTTTGGTACCAGACAAAGTTTAGAATATGGCCTATTTACGGGGGTAGAGGAAAATTGGAGGTGAAATAAAATGTTGGTAAAAGTATTTGGAGTTAGAAAACCCAATAAAACAAGCCATTAGGCAAATCACAAATATACCTACATAAACGTATTTTGCTACTTTGGTGGATTATTGAGATACACCAACCAAGCAGGGAGGGTGACTAGAGGGCTAAATTTGAGAGAAGAACAAAGTAACCAGTTTTCTCCAGCAGGCCAGAAGTGAGTCCCCCGCTCTTTGTGTACACACATGTTGATCAAAATATTTAGTGACTGTGTCTGAGTATCATAAGCCATCATACAGAGAGTGTTTGCCTGCAAGTAAAGTTGTCCCTTCAAAGGAGATCTTACAATCTCATCAGTTACCCTCTTGTACAGTTGCAGATGGGGCCATGTACACATGTGGATTTAAGAAAATGTTGCCTCTTGTATTTGAAGATATTATCTAACCTCTAGAGTCCTTAATACTTCTGCAGGATGACGGGAGTATTACTGGTTTCCCTCAGGTTCATCTTTCCGAGGCAGTTTATATGGAGCAACCTCTTAGCATTAGGAATCATTCCAGGTTTCTTCTTCAGGCACTGGGGTCTATGAAGCATTCAAAATTAGTCTGTGATGGGAGCTATTTTAGCCTCATAAGATATGCCCTCAGATTACACTTAACATTTTTTTCTCTTTAAAGAAACACTGGCCATAAAAATGTTTAATTGGCCAGAAGTATCTCTGGAGGCATGCTGTTTCATTAACTCAAGGAGACATCAGAGACATTTTAAGAGATAAATCTGACCCGCTGAACACTAACATTTTGTAAGATTAGAAGCCTAGACTATAAAAGCAGTTTGCCAAGACGTACATTTATGGATTTTACTTGATGGACTTCTGTGTTCCACTTCTATAGCTTAAGTCTCTTCCTGTTATAATATGAGCAACGTAAAAAAAGGTAAATAATTAGGGCTTGAGAGAGATCTCAGCTTATGTTGCTCAAAAATCAGCTGAAGGAGTTTTATGCGACATTAGCCATTTTTATCTTAAGGATGCCCTGAAATCTAAAGCTGTCTTAATGTCAGCCGCATGTAAGGGTCTCTGTAGAAAGGTGATCAAAAGGACTCTCCTGGCTTAGGTGCCCTTTGTCTCAGAGGAAGGTGATCCATGGCATCTGGAGATGATGGAACGCATGATTAACATTACCACAGAGAATGATTAATATCTTCTTAAGGCACCTACTTCCAGATTATCCATCATTTCATTAGAGTGAAAAAAGTTCCCTGTAAAAAGGGGCTGGCCCTCTGAACCATGAATAACTCACCCACCCCTTGACATGTTTACTAATTGAGTAGCAGAGTGGGCTTAATACTTTAATATATTTATACTAAGCAAATTATGACTTTTTTTTAATGCTCAGGGTGAGTTCAGGATTGTAGTGAAATAACAAATTGCTTTTGTTTGGCAATTAAAGGTCATTTTATGATTAATACTAAACTTAACCCTTATTCTTGACAGAAAGCATTAATTTTTTTGTCATAAACCATTGACCAGATTTCTTGTGAGAGATTTTTGCTATGCAATATTGGTTAATTTGCACTGTAGATGTCACATTTAAAAGATTCCTCATTAACCAGGGCCTTTGAAAGCATCTAGTTTTAGCCTGAGTCTTGAGTCCATGAATTTATTTAGTGTTTTACTTAAAGAGAGATTATGTATTCAGGAGAAGAAAGTGCAAGGATGATGTCAGTTTTCTGTATTTTCTTCATCTCCACTATAGAATGAAATTCTCCTTAATGTGGTGGTGATGTCTCCACATACTAAGCCTTCCCCATCCCCCAGAGTCCTAAAATGTAATTTCCAAACTATACTAAAAACTATTTCAATATGTGTGGCTACTTACATAATAAATCAAGAAAATGATTTGTACAAGTCAATTAACAGACCACCTTTTTATTTCTTAAACTCAAAATACTTTTCGTTTCAATACCTTGTCCTCAGAATTTTTCACTTTATTTTGTTTATGTAAAATTTTGGGAAAATGTCAAATTTATATTTACCTTCAGGAACGATCTCTATCCTGCTCCATTCCCAACACGATGAATTGATTTAAGATCTTAGTTTTCAACCAGTCCTTTTGAAACCTAAGAACACATGAAATTAGAGGAGGAAATGGCCTTAGTAAGACCCCTTCGAGGAGCTTCCTGAGGCTCCTGAGGCAGAGTCGAGTTCTTGGTGCCTAAAGATAAGGAAGGGTTTCTGTCCACATTACTCAGCTCACCAGCTGTGTGACTTTGAGTGTGTCATTTCTAGTCTTTGGACACCTGGGAACTGAAAGGCTAGGTTAGATGATCGCTCCAAACCTGTGACATTAATGAGATGAATTCAATGAACAGTTCTGATAATATTTACATAATTTTCTCATATGATACCTTGTATCATGATAAATAAATTCTTCTTACATTTCTAAAAATGGTAACTCATCTTTGGTGTCATGTTAATCATGTATGGTGTCATGTTAATCATGTATTGTGTCATTTGTGTGATGTGCATGTGATGCACGTATCAGGCTAAATTCTGAGAAAAAAAATTACCTTACACTTTATTTAAAGTCTCTTGAACATCGTACGTATTTTTTCTTTCCTTTTTTTTTTGGTGAAAGGAAGCAACTGATTAGAAACACACTTATTTCAGGGAATGTCCAAAATAGAAAATGTGAAAGGATACAATTTATCTCACACTTCTACAAATAAAATGTTTCATTGTTGCAACGATCTAAAAGATTGCAGTTGATCAAAACCAAATTCAAGTGTGTCTACTGTATTATACTACATATACCATAAACCAGAAATAGACTCATTGATACAAGATTCATTTCCTGAGGAAGGGTCTACAGAGCACTATTCTGTGAGCCTTTTATAAACAGGAAGTAAAAACAAACAAACAAAACTTAAATACTTGTTAGAAATGCAAAACTAAATAATGTTAAATAAATTTCTTTACCATAAGAGTTTTCACATTGTTTTGATTTTTTAAGAAGGTATAAAGCATACTTCCCAAACTAATTTGGCAACAAAACCACTCATTTATTTATTTTATTCTTTTTTCATACTAAAACTGAGTGGAAAATAATTGTACGTACACAAACATGCATAAATGTGTATTTATATTTTACTACATATTATTATATATCTGTTTATGCATATGTAGTAATAGATACATAATTTTTTATCACATTTCAAGATTGTGGCTTAGGCTGGAGAATTAAGAAATATTTGTGGTAAGCATGAAAAAATGAATAATCTAATGATAGATATAAAATCTAGCAAGAATTGCTGTGATACAAAGTGTGAAACAGTAGAAATAATTTATGATCAGATAATGTATTACTTATATTTCCATCCTTTGGCTGTTTGCAATATGCAGACATGTCTGACTAAGTCCAGAACAAGAAGATGACACGAAATGGTGGCCATTGGCTTTACCTTTAATGAATGTATTGCAGTTACCTTGGTGGCCTTGGTGGAGTGGTGGCTTTAGGGTCACGTCAGCATAACCTTCATTTCCTGTTTTGGTAAAGCTTTAAAAGATTGTGGGGGAGCGTGGTGTGAAACCAACTTTAGAAATGTAGGGTGCATGAAGATCTCCACCATGGCCAGATTAGGGGCGCTTGGGCAAGCTCTTGCCCTCTAGACTGTGTCGATAAACACTTTGACTCTAAACAACTATGAGTGTGTCCAGGAGGAACTACTCTGCTCTGTAGTGGTGGTCCTACCTGGCTATCTCTATAGCAGGGAATTTGTTTAAACATCTCTTCAGAGGGCACAAAGAGGCACAACATCAAAGAGATGTTGGAGACCTTACAAAGAGGTCACTCTGACCTGAGATGAACATTGTCACTTCAGAAACTTAATTTCCTATTTCCTACTGCTTTTGCAACTGAGGTCAAAACTCTTTTGGAACTGAGTGACATACCGTCATCTGAGGGGCAGTGATATGCCAGGGAGGTATGAGTTTTCTGGTCAAGCATCTCTGAGTTCAAATTCTGGCTCTGCTACCTACTACTACTTGTGTGTTTGCTCAGTTTTACCATCCAAGAGGTATGATGGAGCCTTGATACTCAAAATGTATTACATGTGACATCCACATGCCTTGGGAGCTTTTAAGAAATGCAGAATCTCAGGCCCCACTAATAAATAAGAATCAGCATTTAACAAAGTACCACTTTGTACATGACAGTATGGAAAGCCGTATTGGATATGAAACCAATAAAGATATACTGGAAGTCACTTGTGGAGGGACCTTGAAAAATATAAACTATGACACATGATAAATACATTATCATAACAATTCTGATTACTGAGATCAAATCATTGAAACCCTTTGGATTATTGGATAATGTTTTCCCTCCAACATCTTTCCATTTCCTCAGAAACAGATACACAGTGATCACTGTCTATTAGATTGTATTGTCAACTTGATACCTCAGCTTTTCTGTTACTCCTTCTCACCTTCTGATGTTTCACCCATTTCTTTGGGATTCATCCCACACTTATAAAGTGTAATATAAGACCAATTCTTGATTAGAGTTAACTTGGATTGGACTTCAAATATTTGTCTTTATTTTTTTCATTTCTGGAATTTCAATATTAAGTTTTGTAGAACTCTGCTTTCAGTTCACTACATTTAAGAACAGCAGGCAGTAAACCAATAATTCCAGGTTTAAGTAGACCTCCCTTCTGTGTTCCTGTTGTCTCACACCATCCTGGTGTTGTAGTGCGCCAGGACAAGTTTTGTGTTGGCCTTATTAACATTGTAGTATCTTGACCACTCAGGAGGAATTACCTGAGGAGGAAAATATGGCAGTCATAGTTGCCCCAGAGCAGAAAGTTCTCCTGTCTTCTGCCAGTGAAATAGGAGAACATATCGATTTGCTTGTCACTACCATCGTGTGATTGTGTGTGTGTAACAAACTAAGTGACCATAGAGCTAAAAACTTTAGAAAATCCTTTGTTGACATCCTTGTCTATAAAGAAACAGAAAATCAGAAAAAAAGTCTGACCAAAACCCTTTAAAGGAAGGGGCAGAAGAGATGATAAGAGGAAACTGCAGTAAATGGCCAAAGATGAACTCTGATCAAAGGGTTTTTTGATTTTGTTTTGTTTTCAAATCTCTGGGGAGTCAGCTTGGTTTGGCGAGAAAGTTTGTGAGTTCTGGATCCCTGTCCCACCTACTGAAGACATGGCTTTGAACAAGTTACTTCACTTCTCTGGACCTCAGTCTCTCCACCTGAAGAAGAGGAGTTCTCTCTCCCATTACCTCACACTAATCTGTGAGAATTAAATAGTTTGAAGACAGCGTGTTGCTCACACAGCACTTATATCATAAATATCACAGTTCTTCAAGATCATTGTTTATTCCACAAACATTCAACTCCAGCTTGTCTTTTTCCCTCAATGCAATGGCCTCTGGGGCTCAGGCACACAGGCATGACAGGGCCCTAAGCATTACTTAAGCCACAGCCTGCAAAGACCTTTGGCCAGTGAAGACCCCGCCCCACCCTCCAGGCCTCAGCATCCCCAGTCAGGTGGCTGTTTGTCCTCCTCTTTGCCCTCTCTGCTCTGTTGCGATCATCCTGGATTTTCCCTCTATGCAACTGCTGTCCAGACCAGCTGCACCCACTGCATCTTCAGCAGTGGACCGAGTAGGGTATTAATCATATTTTTGAGGAGGACACTCTGCTATTTATCTCCCTGACACCTCCAGCGATGGGCTGCCCAGGCCTGCCCACAGTCCATTGACTGGTGAGATTACACATTACCTTGCTCCATTGCCTCTCCCTGCCCTCTCCATTGACTGGCTGTTCAACAGTGGGGTTGTGTTTGTTCAATCAGACATAATTTATACCTTTTTTGTTCTTACTGGAGAGTGCACGTTAATATTTAGTTGAAGTGCAGCATTTTCAGCTGAATTTCAGGCTAAACAAAACTGAGATCAAAGATGCTAAAAAATTCTGTGACCCCTCCCCTACTGCCACCAACTACCATGGAAATTATGGGGACATGTGGGCTTTAGCCAGCAGCTGCGCTTGCTCCCAGGTTTTGTTATAAATTATGTACAGATGTGCATTTATACATAGTCTCTACCTCAAAGTTTAGAAGTCCCTACAGAGAAATAGTCCATCCTTCACTCAGCTTCCATGTAATTCCTTTTCGCCTTTATGTGTAATCTCTCATTACAAGTCACTCTGGTTTGTTTGGCGTCTCATAGCCTCATTTGTCACTTATCTTCTCTCTTCTTAACCCTTTTTTAAATTTTAAAATTCAAAGCAAGGGGAGGGTAGCAGGGTTTGCTCAATGATAGCAAAAATCCAAATATGTAAATAGCATTAATAATTAAATTAATTGCTGATTAGCTAATCAGCAAGCTTAATAGTAAACTGCCTGCAGAGGGACAAAAGGCTCAGGCTTCACCACTACACACCAAAGTGACTTGGTTCTTTGTGTTCAAAAGCATTGTTCCCTTAAACGCGTTTCCAACATTAATAATTGGCTCAAAATCTGTGGGATTATGCTGAATAGGCAAGTTAAAGAAAAGAAACATTCAGTCAAGAGTTCTCTGAATTGTTCATGCATTTATTCAGCAAGTAATTATTATGTCCCTACTATGTGCCAAGTGCTCTGCAAGCAGCTGAATTTATTTTGGTTTTACACACACTTTATTTTATTTAGTTAGTTAAGGTAGAAGGGCATGATGTTTTTTATGTTAATGAAAACCTAGAAATGCAAAACTTTCATACTGACTCCTTATTACATTGCATGGCTTATGCACCATACAATAGAAGGTGGAAATGTCTGTCATCTGTCTAGTGCCTAGTAGCAGTGATAATAATTGAGGAATAGTAGAAAGAGCACTAGATTGGAAGTCAGGTCTGATGATGCTGGAACCCTGTCTCTATGTGTAATAGTTACATGCTTTTAGAGAAGTTCTCCAACCACTATGAGTTTTAGTTGTTGCTTCTAAAAATAGGGATACTAGCAATCCTGATGAGAATAAATTACAATAAATGTTTGAAGAGGTTGGCACATAGATAACATTCAACACCTGTCAATCTGGTCATTATAATTTGTATTAGTGAATGGAAACAGACTTATACTCAAAGAAACATTTTATTATAAATATACCATTTTATTAATCAATTCTCGCACTCCTGAGACTGGGTAATTTACAAAGAAAAGATGTTTAACTGGCTCATGGTTCTGCAGGCTGTATAGGAAGCACAGTGGCTTCTGCTTCTGAGGAGGTCTCGGGAAACTTACAGTCATGGTGCAAGGTGAAGGGAAAGCGAGCACATCTTCCACAGCTGGAGCAGGAGGAAGAGAGACAGGGGGGAGGCTCTACACACTTTCATACTTTTAAACAACCAGATCTCAGGAGAACTCACTGACTATCTTGAGGACACTACCAAGGGGCATGGTGGTAAACCATTCAGGAGAAACCACCACCCCCCGCCCCATCATGATTCCATCACCTCCCACTAGGCCCCGCTTCCAACACTAGGTATTACAGTTTGACATGAGATTTGGTGGGGACACAGATCCAAACCCTATCAGCTATCAGATTTACCCATTCCTCAGAAAACCTAGGGAAATATACAATAATGTGTAGAAGTGATGAGCACATTGTACATTAGCACGTGCTGCCTTTGTCATCTCAGTATCATTCTGGGAGTCCTGCTAGTCCACTGGCTGCTTGTGTGTTGCAGTGTCCGCTGGGTGGGCACAGTCCATGGCTTCCTCCATTGTTTTGGGCATCCATGCTCTTCCATTGTTTCCAGACTCCATAAGTGTTTTGAATGTGTCTGTGTTATGATGGCTCCCTCCAAACTCACATTTTGTTTGTACCTACATCTACATTGTTCACTCTATATTTGTTCAAGGTACGCATGCATCTATAATTGTTCTGTTGTTCTGGCATGGATGCTTCTCCAGGACCAAGCCACAGTTTAGTGGAAGCTGATGTATAGCAGTCAATTTGGCTTAGCATAAATCTTGGCTCCACCCTTTGCTATGTAATTTTCATGACTTTTCTTAGCTTCAGTTTTCTCATATATAAAAATACAAATGTCAGTTCTGTTCTACATGTTGTCGTGAAGACTGAATTAAGTAACATGTAAAGCATCCTGCATGTAGTAAGGACTCAGTCAGTGCTTGTTTCTCTCCTTCTGTCTTTCCTTCCTTTTTTTTTCTTTCTCTCTTCTTTTTGCATTTACCTTGTTATTGTAGTTAAGTGACATTGCATAATGAAAATACTGTGAGATTTAAAATTGGAAAAAAATTGTTTAAATCTTGGACTCTTCAATTACTTTGGACAGATAATTTAACATTTCGAATCTCAGTTTCCTCACATCAAATAGGGGCATGTTCTTCACCTATACCACCCTGAACACACCCAATCTCACCTAGTAGGGGTATAATTGCACCCCCGTTCTAAGGTTGTGTGAGAAGTAAATTTGATTATGGCACCACATGCATCGTGTTCCCAACAGGAAATCCATACCTTGTCTTCATTTTTTTCTTCCCTGTTTCTCAGCAGAAAATGAGGACAGGACCTCTACTCCTACCTTGTGTCTCAGTGTCCCAGTTAAATAGTCAAACATTTTAAAAATAGTTCAGTTGAGTAAGCTCAGCTAAGAAGGATAGAGTATTATACAAGCTTCTTCCACATTGGTTCCGTAAAGATCATATTGAATGGAAAGACATGAAATAAACAACCGGTAGAACTTCTACACAATATAATCAGAAAGAGAAGAGCTGTGGCTATTCTCTGGGTCTCTCACGGTTATTCACAGTTCTGATTTTCTCCCCACAAGTGTCTATTCTTTTCTTTCTCTTGCATATATATGTATGGCCAGCACCTTTAATTCTGCATGGGGATCTCTCACCTCCCCCCACTACCATCTAGTTCCTTTGCATCTTCTAATTCAAACTTCCAAGAAAGAAAATCTAATTGAAGTCACTCCTCCCTTTCAGGAGGAGTAGTATGTATCCTGGGCCCTTTATGAGCTTATTAATTGGTTCCCATTGGTAATAGGCAATCCCATCAAATCCATCTGCTGTAGACAACAGCCCAAAAGACTATCTGCTTAGGGGTGAAGTGGAAGCTGAGCTTGGCAGATACATTGACACATGTAGAACATGAAACTAGTTAATTTTTACAAATGAGTGAAATTGGTCTCTGTTCTGTGGTAGGACATTTGAAAAATCTCATAGAGGAAGAATCAAGATAAATAGAGAGAGTCGAGACCAAAAAAAAAAAAAGAAGAAGAAAGCAAGCTAAGAAAAAAAATATTTTATTATCCCATTGTAAACCCAAAGGAAACCTCCTGACAGTGTCCCACAATTATCTCTAGAACACCAGAGGATTCTCTGCCAATTAGCTTTAGTTTACAAGAAGTTTTACAGGCTATGTTGCAGAAAATTTCTCTGCCAGCAGAGATAACATCTAAATAACCCGGTGAGGCTTTTCCAGTCTAATTGTAATAAGGTTTTGAACTCAACAAAAGCTCTTGACAGGGGTGAGAAGATACCCTCTGCAAGCATACTCTGAGATGACCACGCAGACAAGGCACTTTCTTAGAGGCTGGGATGTCAGTGCTACTCTCATTAGGGGCCTTCGGCTACCAAAGCAAGCCCTGGCCCCGAGATTCTCCAGGGAGAGGCAGAGACCTCAGGAGGACACAATAGGAAGGGAGAGAGAAAGCCCAAGAAGGCAGTAGGGATATTTGTAGGAGTAAGAATTAGAGGCTGCTGTAAAGCCAAAGCCAAGAGCAAAAAAAAAAAAAAAAAGTGTATTCTGTAGTTGAATTCAGAGTGGAAATAACCAAATCTCTCCATTAGGCAGGTGATTCTAAAATCGGCTTCTTTAAATAGAATGCATTAGCAGCACTCAGAAAATTCTTATATTTAAGGAAGACATTTCACTCTGATGGCATTCTCAGTAGATTTCTTTATACTTTTCTCGATGATGAAGCATTGTAAAAATACTGGTAGAAATATCTATTCCTGGTTTTAGTTTTTCTGCAGGAAACAAACAAAAAATAACACTTTCATTGGTGTGATGAGAATTTTGCCTGGTTAAATTCAAAACTACTAGTATTGGGCTCCTTCGGTGTGTACAAAGTCTATGTGTGATTCCGTTTAATAATCCTTTGCTAATGTTTGTCCATAACTTCTCTTTAATAAAGGGAATTTATTTTCATCTCTTGGCAAATTTGGAGATCAGAATTTGCCTGGCTCGGGTGGGTATAAAGTCAGTTGCAGATAAATGGCCTTAAAATATTTCTGCCACATGATTGTATAGGATACTTTCTCCTGAACCACTCTCAGTTCTGTAATTTTGCACTGTGATTGTAGGCCAACCACTGGGGCATTCAGTCTTCTAGACCAGGCCAGATAGGAAAATAGCCGTGCATTGATGACTTTCTCTTGGTTTGTTTGACAGTGTCTGTATCTGTGATTAGGATCTCACCACAGGTTCAATGTGTCTACTTGCCCAGGCTTTGAACTCAGTGTTTGCAAACAGGTAACAGAAAGATAGAAAGATAGGAGTTGAGTCCTGTTACTTCACCGCTTGATTTGAGACATTATATGTAGGAATTAGAATAAACTTACTTTCTTAAGACTAGCTCTGTCTTTTGGAAGAAGACTCAGCAAAGACGAAATTGTGTAGCTACACTGGTAGATATAATTTAAAAAGCAGCACTTGAGATTTCATTTGAGAAAAACAAACGTAAAACTTACACACAGGACTGGCTATATGATTTGTGGGGTCCATTGCAAAATGAAAAGGCAGAACCCCCTTGTTCCAAAATTATTAGGAATTTCCAAATGATGCCCACAGAGCATTGGACTGAGCTGGGGTTCCTTCTGAGTGTGGGACACTGTGCTCTTGTCTAGCTTTGAAGTAAACTGGTGATTTGACTCAGTGTAGTCATTTTTTCCTCAGTGTTTTCTGCAGGACCAACTAAGAGTGATTATGAGACTTATTAATTGAAATAACAGAGATTTGTTTCCAGTGTACTTTCAAAATTCCAGAATTCACTAACTACGTAGACCCCATCTTGCTATTTCTGTATCCACAATCATTAGATAAATGCTTCTGTTGCCTTGTGGGGGCATGCAGATAGTATTATGAACTCTTGCCTGTAGGATTAAGACTGACTGTTCTTGTTCTCCATTGTAGGTGAATGGTCTCACTGGAGACCCTGTGCAATGTTACAGTGTCACACAGCTTATGCCAGGAAGCCCAGTGGAGGCACTTGTTGAATAGCCATTTAGTCATCTGAACGGGGGCACTCAGTTTAAGGAAAGCAGAGAGACCTCTAGAAGCCCAGCATTGAATTAAAACTGCACCATCACAGGGGCAAGCCTGTCACAGATACAAGAGCAAACGGTCTTCCCATCTGGGGGCAATCAGAGTCTCTACTGTGGAGGATGTTGAACAGCTTCCAAGAGCTAATCCATGAAAAGAGTTTCACATGGAGCTAGTATATAATAAAGGCTCAGTGGATGCTAGCTCTTATTATTACTCTAAAATGGAGGTCCTGAATCTTTAGCTCCATTTACATTTCCATTACTAATGTGTAGGAGAATGTTAAAGCTGCATCATTGACAGTGATTTTTGTTTGGACGGGTCTGTTTCTAAAGTCCTTGAACAGAAAAGGGATTATTTTCTTGTTTAAGGGTTTGGCCATTCACGGGTCCCCTGGAATTTGAGATAATTTTATGACCAGAATTCTGGGGCAGAGAGGGGTATTTTATAAATAAATTAAAATTTTAAAATAGTTTCGGATTTATAGAAATACTGCTAAGATAGCACAAGGAATTCCTATATATCCCACACTATTTCTATTGGCAAAATCTTAAATTATTATAGCCACATTTGTCAAAATGAATGAACCAATACTGATGCAGTATTAACTAACTAAATAAACTCAGATGAAATCTATATTTAGATTTGCTTAGTTTCTACCTCCTTCTTTGTTTGATTTATTTTGTCCTTTTGTTCCATTCCAAGTCCCATGCAAGATTCTTATCATTCATATCACATTTAGCTATCATGTCTCCTTAGGCTCCTTTTGGCTGTGACGATTTCTCAGGTTTTGTGTTTGATGACCTTGACAGTTTAAAGAGTAGCAGTGGCCAGGCGCAGTGGCTCAAGCCTGTAATCCCAGCACTTTGGGAGTCCAAGATGGGCTAATCACGAGGTGAAGAGATTGACACCGTCCTGAACAACATGGTGAAATCCCGTCTCCACTAAAAGTAGAAAAATTAGATAGGTGTAGTGGTGTGCACCTGTAGTACCAGCTACTTGGGAGGCTGAGACAGGAGAATCGCTTGAATCAGAAGGCGGAGGTTGCAGTGAGCCGAGATCACAGCACTGTATTCCAGCCTGGGCAACAGAGTGAGACTCCTTCTCAAAAAAAAAAAAAAAAAAAAAAAAAAAAGTAGCAGTGAGGCATTTTGTGGAGTGTCCCTCAATACGGATTTGTTTGATGATTTTCCCATGATTTGATTGTGGTGATGGGTTTTGGGGAGAAAACCACAGGTGTAAAATGTGATTCTCATCACATAACAAGAATGCATGCTATCTACATTGCTTATAATGGATGATGTTAACCTTGATCACATGGCTAAGGTACTTTTTGTCAGGCTTTATCACTGTAAAGTTATTCTTTGTTGTTGAGAGGGGGCAGTATAAGAATTTAGAGTTCCAGATCCCAGAAGAAGAGCATGACGTAACAGTATCCTTGAGCATAGGCTCCTGCTAGTCTGTGTGTGTGGTCCATCTGACGTGGAATCCAGCATGCAGAAGGCACTCAATACATATCTGATGGACGCAGGAAGGGGAAGTGGTCCGGGAATGTCACTATCTGGAGAACCCTATAGCTAACTGCATTAATTTGACATGGTTATCATGCTGTGTTAACAATTTGCTTGACACTGTTCTAGATATTTTAGATATAGTGTTCATTGAACTCTCATAGCAACTCTCTGAGGCAGCAACTATGATCATCGTAATTTTACAGCTGTGGAAATGGAGGCACATAGAAGTTCAATAACTCACTCAAGCTTGCACAGTGATTAAGTGGTCAGGATTCAAATCCAGGCAATCTGGCTTCAGAGATCATGCTCTTAAACACTGTGGCCTATTGCTTTTTGAAAGGTAGGAAGACATAGTCTGAGTTGGTCTCCTAAGGAAAGACTACAAATCTCAAATCATATTAAGAGAAGCCCTTTAATAGGTGTGTGGTCTATACTCCATAAAATATGTGAAAAACGTAAAAATAAAATCTGGGTTTTTTTTGTAAGTGCTAATACCCTCTCAACTGCTTGATAATCATATGAGCGCATGTTAAATGAAAGGATTTAGTGGGGAGGGGATGTGGTTCTTCATTAAAGCCTAGACTTCTGTCTATGTTTAACAAAGAGTTTGGGATTCACTGGGATTTGACAAAAGTGGAAGCAAGTAAGCCTAAAAGAAAAAAAAAAAAAAAGGAAAAAGTCCCTAGTAAGAACATTAAGGAATATCATTTCAAGTCATAAAAATTTGAGGAATTTGTACTTTTCTAGTTCAAATTTTCATTTATAGAATGTCTTCTTAATTCTGTGACAGCACTAATAAATGTTTTAGGGTTTTTGGAGCACATATTTTGTTATACCTACAGTCACGTATTTATATCTGTAAATTATAATTTTTTTGGAGCAACACAAATTCTATCAGTGAATAGTAACAACTAAGCTTTTTATAAAAAACTATTCTACAGATAATCAGAGCATGAAGCACATTTTAATTATGCTATACTATACCACATCACACACTCGCATATTCAAATATAACACATATATGCATAATAACAACAGTCATGCAACGAGAAGCCCTGAGTCACCCTAGCTCCAGGTAATACTGATACTCCCCTCCATGATGTTGACAGGTTCTTTATTAGGACGTTTTGATACCCTCCTTCTTCAACTGTGTGAGTCAATCAATTAGTATAAAATTATAATCTGGAATTATTCTTTATTTTCAAGCTTATGAAGCTCAAACACAAATATCTGCATTTACCTATCCTATTTGAAGAACAGATTCTGCTTTCACACCTTGGAGTATCATTTATGCACAGAATGACTTGCAAGAAGTAATTTTTACCCCTGGGGCTAACTAATAGCATTGTCTTAGCCTTAGTCTCTATACATGTATGCAGTGTGCATTGTAGGAAATCTCATGCAAACCTGTACCTTTCACATGTGTGAGTACCAACACAAGGCAAGAAGTACCAGTGTTTAGGTGCTGTTCCACTTGGTGTTCAAGCTGCCCTCCCAAATTACTCACTTATAAAAAAGACTAAAAGGAAAAATCAAGCAAACAGTCATCTTGTTTTTGTAAAATTAGACCAAGTTACATGTCTTTATGGCAAACCTTTCTGGTTTTTTTTTTTTTTTTTTTTTTTTTTGAGACGGAGTCTTGCTCTGTCGCCCAGGCTGGAGTGCAGTGGCGGGATCTCAGCTCACTGCAAGCTCCGCCTCCCAGGTTCACGCCATTCTCCTGCCTCAGCCTCCCAAGTAGCTGGGACTACAGGCGCCCGCCACCACGCCCGGCTAATTTTTTGTATTTTTAGTAGAGACGGGGTTTCACCGTTTTAGCCGGGATGGTCTCGATCTCCTGACCTCGTGATCCGCCCGCCTCGGCCTCCCAAAGTGCTGGGATTACAGGCGTGAGCCACCGCGCCCGGCCTCTGGTTATTTTTAACATAACATCTAGTATGTTTTCTTATTTTGGTCAGCATTTAATGTTTGTCCTCTGATTATTTTAGCCATGATGTTTTGCAAATGTAAATCAACCTTTGAAGAATCAACTTTAAAGGCAGGAAGTAGGGGCCAGGCACGGTGGCTCACGCCTGTAATCCCAGAACTTTGGGAGCCCGAAGAGGGAAGATCACCTGAGGTCAGGAGTTCGAGACCAGCCTGGCCAACATGGTGAAACCCCATCTCTAGTAAAAATACAAAAATATTAGTTATAGTGTGTGCAGTACTATGTTAATCATCTGTGATGTATTAACGGTAATTAAAATTTTCTTGAAATTGTTGCAATAAGGAAGAATAATGTCAACATTTTCAGTGTACAAAATATTACTATACACACAGATATAACTATTTCATCTAATTACTTTGATTATGTAAGAGTTGAGCATATTTACATAGAGTGTGTATACAGTCACACGTTTCCTATATACCAGTGAATGTGTGCATACATATATAGAGTGTGTGTACATATACATGTAATACAGTATGTTATTGTGTTCTTGAATCCCACCATCATTCAGTGTCTTGCCAAATAGCATTACAGGCATAGTGCCAGATCTTTTCACTTCCCCACTGAAGTCACTTGGAACATATCTGAACGTGGCAAAATGCATTTGCCAAGTTATGTGCATAAAAACATCCTTTGATCTTTCAGAGTCATAAATATGTAATAAACTACATGATTGCCCTACTGATCTGTCCAACATCAATCTTATCTTCGTTTTTTATAGGTTCATCAAAATAAGATATGATCAAGGTACAAAAGAGTTAAAGAAGCTATTTATTTTAATGTTTCCTTGGAGAGCACACTTGTTATTGTAAGTACAAATTATATATATAATATTTCATGAATGATGTTGAAGCATTAAAAATCACCTCTGCTCTTGAAGTTAACACAAAACGCTGGCCCACTGCCAGTACTGCGCTTGTCCCCTTCTGGCTTCCTACTAGATACAGTGTCATTTTTTCCAGAATAATAGTGGAATAGCTGCACAAAATTTTGTTTTTAAGTCATAGACTCGATTCTGAACATAATCTGTATTTCAAATGTTCAGATATTTATGCCCTTAACTATTTCTTTTGAGCCAAAGAGTACTAACCAAAGTTAGGGATTATCCACATTTTAAGACATCAAAATAAGGTTTATAGAGAGGAAAACAAGGGTGGTGGAGATAATAGGAAGGAATTATGTTAGCAAAGGACAACATATTTTACTGTTGCTATTTTATTCTATAAGAAGTGCATATCACTGACTTCTATTCCAACTTGTGGTTTATTGAGTGTTTTTAACAACAAGCTGTAAGAATGGGCTACATCAGCTGATGAGATCTTTAAATTGACTATTGTGAAATATTGTAAGACAGCAGAAACATTATGCAAGCCGTAAATTCAGTGAGGGATGTTGTGAGTAGTAAATTCTACATTTTTTTCACAAGGGACAAATAAGATTGAACTAAGCATTTCAGTTGTGAAAAGTTGTGAAAAGGACACAACTTTTACCTTATAGCAGAAAAAAAATCATCCAAGTTTAATCTGATATATTTAGGGCAGTATAAAATGGTGATTAATGTCAATGGGTACATTTTCACAAGTGTGAGCTGTGACTTCCTTCACGGTAGCATAGAATGGACTGAGTTAGTGTAGAATCAGTAATAAACCAGGAAATTTTCTCCAGTGTACACAATTATTCTATCAGGGAAGGCAGAAAGGACCCTAAAACAGTTCAATTAAATTCAGTAATATGGAAACATAATAACAAGATTTTAATCTTCGCCAGCGGGGTGGCTCATGCCTGTAACCCCAGAACTTTGGGAGGCTGAGGTGGGTGGATCACCCGAGATCAGGAGTTCGAGATCGGCCTGGCCTACATGGTGAAATTCCATTTCTACTAAAAATTCAAAAATTAGCTGGGCATGGTGCTATTCTAGAGGCTGAGGCAGGAGAATCACTTTAATTTAGGAGACAGGGGTTGCGGTGAACCAAGATTGTGCCACAGCACTCCAGCCTGTACAACAGAGCAAGACTGTTTCAAAAAAAAATTAATCTTACTATAAATTGTGAGACTGATTCATCATATGAATTTGGTTTTAAAAAAACAAAAATGGTAAATACATTATCTGAGGCAGGTAAAAATGTAAACCACTGAAAGTTTAGAGAAATTTCTGAAATAAATAGTACTATTTTGCCTATTGACATAAAAAGAACACTAGTCTTTATTAGGTCTCATTGATAACTTTGCATCTAAAAGATCATGAACAGTTGTAATTTCTATTTCATATAAATCTGTGGTTACAGTGGTCTTAACTCTGATTTCCTATTAAAAAAAAATTCAGGCTTCTACTTTGCAACAGACAATTATAGCTGTGCCTTAGTATGGGAAGAGAAAGCTTCCTGTAATCCTGTATGCACACTCTGAATGGTTATGACCAGGTGAAAGAAAATCGAGCCAGCTCTCCACAGAGAACACTGCCTGACTTTGTAAAGGCATTTGAAGACCAAAGATGTATCTACGTTTTGTGCACAGAGATGAAGGAAGCCCACACTTAGGTTTCTGGCTAGGGATATCTCTAGTCTGACCATGTTTCATTCAATTGAAAATTACTCTAAGCTATGTCCAGAGCTCTGTGAGGGCACCCCACACAGGGCATTTCTGCTTTTCTCTCTTCTCTTACTCCCATCTCTAATCTCTCACCCAAACCTGGTTTTCTCTCAGCCTTCAACCTCGGCTGCTTTAAATACCCTTAATCCTTAAGCCCCCATCCCTCCTATCCCATGCTCACTTAGAACTAATGAAGTAATCATTTTTCTAAGGAAATCAAGACTACGTATCTTGAATTTCTTTCTTTTTTATTTTTTTTTTTAATTTTTTTATTATTATTACACTTTAAGTTTTAGGGTACATGTGCAGGTTTCTTACATATGTATACATGTGCCATGTTGGTGTGCTGTACCCATTAACTCATCATTTAACATTAGGTATATCTCCTAATGCTATCCCTCCCCCCCTCCCCCCACCCCACAACAGGCCCCAGAGTGTGATGTTCCCCTTCCTGTGTCCATGTGTTCTCATTGTTCAATTCCCACCTATGAGTGAGAACATGAGGTGTTTGGTTTTTTGTCCTTGCCATAGTTTGCTGAGAATGATGGTTTCCAGTTTCATCCATGTCCCTACAAAGGACATGAACTCATCATTTTTTATAGCTGCATAGTATTCCATGGTGTATATGTGCCACATTTTCTTAATCCAGTCTATCATTGTTGGACATTTGGGTTGGTTCCAAGTCTTTGCTATTGTGAATAGTGCCGCAATAAACATATGTGTGCATGTGTCTTTCTAGCAGCATGATTTATAATCCTTTGGGTATATACCCAGTAATGGGATGGCTGGGTCAAATGGTATTTCTAGTTCTAGATCCCTGAAGAATCACCACACTGACTTCCACAACGGTTGAACTAGTTTACAGTCCCACCAACAGTGTAAAAGTGTTCCTATTTCTCCATATCCTCTCCAGCACCTGTTGTTTCCTCACTTTTTAATGATCGCCATTCAAACTGGTGTGAGATGGTATCTCATTGTGGTTTTGATTTGCATTTCTCTGATGGCCAGTGATGATGAGCATTTTTTCATGTGTTTTTTGGCTGCATAAATGTCTTCTTTTGAGAAGTGTCTGTTCATATCCTTCGCCCACGTTTTGATGGGGTTGTTTTTTTCTTGTAAATTTGTTTGAGTTCATTGTAGATTCTGGATATTAGCCCTTTGTCATATGAGTAGGTTGTGAAAATTTTCTCCCATTTTGTAGGTTGCCTGTTCACTCTGATGGTAGTTTCTTTTGTTGTGCAGAAGCTCTTTAGTTTAATTAGATCCCATTTGTCAATTTTGGCTTTTGTTGCCATTGCTTTTGGTGTTTTAGACATGAAGTCCTTGTCCATGCCTATGTCCTGAATGGTATTGCCTAGGTTTTCTTCTAGGGTTTTTATGGTTTTAGGTCTAACGTTTAAGTCTTTAATCCATCTTGAATTAATTTTTGTGTAAGGAAGGGATCCAGTTTCAGCTTTCTACATATGGCTAGCCAGTTTTCCCAGCACCATTTATTAAATAGGGAATCCTTTCCCCATTGCTTGTTTTTGTCAGGTTTGTCAAAGATCAGATGGTTGTAGATACGCAGCATTATTTCTGAGGGCTCTGTTCTGTTCCATTGATCTATATCTCTGTTTTGGTGCCAGTACCATGCTGTTTTGGTTACTGTAGCCTTGTAGTATAGTTTGAAGCCAGGTAGCGTGATGCCTCCAGCTTTGTTCTTTTGGCTTAGGATTGACTTGGCCATGGGGGCTCTTTTTTGGTTCCATATGAACTTTAAAGTAGTTTCTTCGAATTCTGTGAAGAAAGTTCTTGGTAGCTTGATGGGGATGGCACTGAATCTATAAATTACCTTGGGCAGTATGGCCATTTTCACGATATTGATTCTTCCTACCCATGAGCATGGAATGTTCTTCGATTTGTTTGTATCCTCTTTTATTTCATTGAGCAGTGGTTTGCAGTTCTCCTTGAAGAGGTCCTTCACATCCCTTGTAAGTTGGATTCCCAGGTATTTTATTCTCTTTGAAGCGATTGTGAATGGGAGTTCACTCATGATTTGGCTCTCTGTCTGTTATTGGTGTATAAGAATGCTTGTGATTTTTGTACATTCATTTTGTATCCTGAGACTTTGCTGAAGTTGCTTATCAGCTTAAGGAGATTTTGGGCTGAGACAGTGGGGTTTTCTAGATATACAATCATGTCATCTGCAAACAGGGACAATTTGACTTCCTCTTTTCCTAATTGAATACCCTTTATTTCCTTCTCCTGCCTAATTGCCCTGGCCAGAACTTCCAACACTATGTTGAATAGGAGTGGTGAGAGAGGGCATCCCTGTCTTGTGCCAGTTTTCAAAGGGAATGCTTCCAGTTTTTGCCCATTCAGTATGATATTGGCTGTGGGCTTGTCATAGATAGCTCTTATTATTTTGAGATAACGTCCCATCAATACCTAATTTATTGAGAGTTTTTAGCATGAAGGGTTGTTGAATTTTGTCAAAGGCCTTTTCTGCATCTATTGAAATTATCATGTGGTTTTTGTCTTTGGTTCTGTTTATATGCTGGATTACATTTATTGATTTGCGTATATTGAACCAGCCTTCCATCCCAGGGATGAAGCCCACTTGAGCATGGTGGATAAGCTTTTTGATGTGCTGCTGGATTCGGTTTGCCAGTATTTTATTGAGGATTTTTGCATCAATGTTCATCAAGGATATTGGACTAAAATTCTCTTTTTTGGTTGTGTCTCTACCAGGCTTTGGTATCAGGATGATGCTGGCCTCATAAAATGAGTTAGGGAGGATTCCCTCTTTTTCTATGGATTGGAATAGTTTCAGAAGGAATGGTACCACCTCCCTCCTTGTACATCTGGTAGAATTCGGCTGTGAATCCATCTGGTCCTGGACTTTTTTTGATTGGTAAGCTATTGATTATTGCCTCAATTTCAGAGCCTGTTACTGGTCTATTCAGAGATTCAACTTCTTCCTGGTTTAGTCTTGGGAGGGTGTATGTGTCGAGGAATTTATCCATTTCTTCTAGATTTTCTAGTTTATTTGCATAGAGGTGTTTGTAGTATTCTCTGATGGTGGTTTGTATTTCTGTGGGATCAGTGGTGATATCCCCTTTATCATTTTTTATTGTGTCTATTTGATTCTTCTCTCTTTTCTTCTTTATTAGTCTTGCTAGCAGTCTATCAATTTTGTTGATCTTTTCAAAAAACCAGCTCCTGGATTGATTAATTTTTTGGAGGGTTTTTTGTGTCTATTTCCTTCAGTTCTGCTCTTAGTTATTTCTTGCCTTCTGCTAGCTTTTCAATGTGTTTGCTCTTGCTTTTCTAGTTCTTTTAATTGTGATGTTAGGGTGTCCATTTTGGATCTTTCCTGCTTTCTCTTGTGGGCGTTTAGTGCTATAAATTTCCCTCTACACACTGCTTTGAACATTCAAAGCAGTGTCCCAGAGATTCTGGTATGTTGTGTCTTTGTTCTCGTTGGTTTCAAAGAACATCTTTATTTCTGCCTTCATTTCGTTATGTACCCAATAGTCATTCAGGAGCAGGTTGATCAGTTTCCATGTAGTTGAGCGGCTTTGAGTGAGTTTCTTAATCCTGAGTTCTAGTTTGATTGCACTGTGGTCTGAGAGACAGATTGTTATAATTTCTGTTCTTTTACATTTGCTGAGGAGAGCTTTAGTTCCAACTATGTGGTCAATTTTGGAATAGGTGTGGTGTGGTGCTGAAGAAAATGTATATACTGTTGATTTGGGGTGGAGAGTTCTGTAGATGTCTGTTAGGTCTGCTTGGTGCAGAGCTGAGTTCAAGTCCTGGGTATCCTTGTTAACTTTCTGTGTCGTTGATCTGTCTAATGTTGACAGTGGGGTGTTAATGCCTCCCATTATTATTGTGTGGCAGTCTAAGTCTCTTTGTAGGTCACTCAGGACTTGCTTTATGAATCTGGGTGCTCCTGTATTGGGTGCATATATATTTAGGATAGTTAGCTCTTCTTGTTGAATTGATCCCTTTACCATTATGTAATGGCCTTCTTTGTCTCTTTTGATCTTTGTTGGTTTAAAGTCTGTTTTATCAGAGACTAGGATTGCAACCCCTGCCTTTTTTTGTTTTCCATTTGCTTGGTAGATCTTCCTCCATCCTTTTATTTTGAGCTTATGTGTGTCTCTGCATGTGAGATGGGTTTCCTGAATACAGCACACTGATGGGTCTTGACTCTTTATCCAATTTGCCAGTCTGTGTCTTTTAATTGGAGCATTTAGCCCATTTACATTTAAAGTTAACATTGTTATGTGTGAATTTGGTCCTGTCATTATGATGTTAGCTGGTTATTTTCCTCTTTAGTTGATGCAGTTTCTTCCTAGCCTCGATGGTCTTTACATTTTGGCATGATTTTGCAGTGGCTGGTACCGGTTGTTCCTTTCCATGTTTAGTGCTTCCTTCAGGAGCTCTTTTAGGGCAGGCCTGGTGGTGACAAAATCTCTCAGCATTTGCTTGTCTGTAAAGTATTTTATTTCTCCTTCACTTATGAAGCTTAGTTTGGCTGGATATGAAATTCTGGGTTGAAAATTCTTTTCTTTAAGAATGTTGACTGTTGGCCCCCACTCTCTTCTGGCTTGTAGAGTTTCTGCCGAGAGATCCGCTGTTAATCTGATGGGCTTCCCTTTGTGGGTAACCCGACCTTTCTCTCTGGCTGCCCTTAACATTTTTTCCTTCATTTCAACTTTGGTGATTCTGACAATTATGTGTCTTGGAGTTGCTCGTCTCGAGGAGTATCTTCGTTGCATTCTCTGTATTTCTTGAAGCTGAATGTTGCCCTGCCTTGCTAGATTGGGGAAGTTCTCCTGCATAATATCCTGCAGAATGTTTTCCAACTTGGTTCCATTCTCCCCGTCACTTTCAGGTACACCAATCAGACGTAGATTTGGTCTTTTCACATAGTCCCATATTTCTTGGAGACTTTGTTCATTTCTTTTTATTCTTTTTTCTCTAAACTTCCCTTCTTGCTTCATTTCATTCATTTCGTCTTCCATCACTGATACCCTTTCTTCCAGTTGATGGCATCGACTCCTGAGGCTTCTCCATTCTTCACATAGTTCTCGAGCCTTGGCTTTCAGCTCCATCAGCTCCTTTAAGGACTTTTCTGCATTGGTTATTCTAGTTATCCATTCGTCTAATTTTTTTTCAAGGTTTCTAACTTCTTTGCCATTGGTTTGAATTTCCTTCTGTAGCTCGGAGTTGTTTGATCGTCTGTAGCCTTCTTCTCTCAACTTGTCAGTATCGTTCTCCATCCAGCTTTGTTCCGTTGCTGGTGAGGAGCTGCGTTCCTTTGGAGGAGGAGAGGCGCTCTGCTTTTTAGAGTTTCCAGTTTTTCTGCTCTGTTTTTTCCCCATCTTTGTGGTTTTACCTACTTTTGGTCTTTGATGATGGTGACGTACAGATGGGTTTTGGTGTTGATGTCCTTTCTGTTTGTTAGTTCTCCTTCTAACAGACAGGACCCTCAGCTGCAGGTCTGTTAGAGTTTGCTAGAGGTCCACTCTAGACCCTGTTTGCCTGGGTATCAGCAGCAGTGGCTGCAGAACAGCGGTGGCTGTAGAACAGCAGATTTTGGTGACCCACAAATGCTGCTGCCTGATTGTTCCTCTGGAAGTTTTGTCTCAGAGGAGTACCCGGCCGTGTGAGGTGTCAGTCTGCCCCTACTAGGGGGTGCCTCCCAGTTAAGCTGCTCAGGGGTCAGGGACCCACTTGAGGAGGCAGTCTGCCTGTTCTCAGATCTCCAGCTGCATGCTGTGAGAACCACTGCTCTCTTCAAAGCTGTCAGACAGGGACATTTAAGTCTGCAGAGGTTACTGCTGTCTTTTTGTTTGTCTGTGCCCTGCCCCCAGAGGTGGAGCCCACAGAGGCAGGCAGGCCTCCTTGAGCTGTGGTGGGCTCCACCCAGTTGGAGCTTCCCTGCTGCTTTGTTTACCTAAGGGAGCCTGGGCAATGGCGGGCGCCCCTCCCCCAGCCTCGCTGCCACCTTGCAGTTTGATCTCAGACTGCTGTGCTAGCAATCAGCGAGACTCCGTGGGCGTAGGACCCTCCGAGCCACGTGCGGGATATAATCTTCTGGTGCGCCGTTTTTTAAGCCTGTAGGGAAAGTGCAGTATTAGGGTGGGAGTGACCCGAATTTCCAGGTGCCGTCTGTCACCCCTTTCTTTGACTAGGAAAGGGAACTCCCTGACCCCTTGCGCTTCCCAGGTGAGGCAATGCCTCACCCTGCTTCGGCTCGTGCAGGGTGCGCTGCACCCACTGTCTTGCGCCCACTGTCTGGCACTCCCTAGTGAGATGAACCTGGTACCTCAGATGGAAATGCAGAAATCACCCGTCTTCTGCGTCGCTCACGCTGGGAGCTGTAGACCGGAGCTGTTGCTATTTGGCCATCTTGGCTCCACCGAATTTCTTTCTTAAGATCTCTTTTTTCAGCATTTCTCTTATTCTGCCTGATGCTAATTACTGTCCCTCAGAGGGAAATATATCATGTTTTTATTCCTTATTTTATGAAACAAATATTCAGTGATGCTTTTCCTGCTTAAGGATCTGAATTAGACTCATTTGAAACAAAGAAGATATATAATGCATAGCCTCTGCTTTAAAAAAGATACTATCTCACTGTGGCGGAATATACTCCGTATAAAAGTGACTAATAACAGAGTCTCTAAGAAGTGTCCATGTGGTGGAACAGAGAGTTGTCTAGGTTAGTAAGAGAAAAGGAAGCATTTTGGAGAGGAAAGGGAAATGTTGAGTAGGCTATTCCGCCAAGCCACACTCAAGGTCAGGGACAGGCTTTAAAGGCAGCCTGGGGCCAAACAAATGAGCCATGAACTTGGGCAGGAGAGTCTAGGCTTAACTTGACAGGCAATGCAGAAATTTTGTCAAGAGAACAGTTAAGATCTTTAGGCTGTATTGTATTTTTAGAAGTGTCTTTTAACAATAAAACATGTCCAGAGAGCAATTGCCCGTGTGACAGAGTGAGAAGGTCAACAAATCCTATTCCCAAAAAAGCAACGATAAATCTGGATAAGATGATAAAAAAAAAATCATTTCAGCAACCTGGTATTTAACCAAAGGCATAGAAGAGAGAAGGGTTTATTCATGAAAACTACCAAACTTCTGGTATTAAATGTGGTCATCTGAGACATTTTTGAGTAAGGCTGCTCCCATCCTCCATCCCACCTGCCAGCTCTGTCAGAGCCTTAGTTCAGTCAAGGTGTGGCTGGCTTTCAAAATAGGAAGTTACCCATCATGGGAGAAGAGGCCTCCCTTGACTTGGAATGTGGTCAAAGTAATCTCAGAGGCAAGAAAACAAGGGAGTTCAGAGGCTTCATTTGGCTGAGATTGAAGGTCGATTGGAGGTGAGATGTAGAATACAGGACTATTCAAGGATTTAACAGGGAGTTCTGGAAAATAGCCAAATCATTCTTAATAAGGTAGCCACATATCTTCTTATGATTTTTTTTAAATTACAATTTTAAACGGTTTCAGGGGTTTATCATATACAGGAAAATAACAAAAAGGAGAAGGTAGAAAAGGGACATATAGTGAAGCAGTTTCTATATTTAATGGATTTAAATTAGTATTATTTTGAAGTAGGTTTAGAGGAATATTATGCCTACAACAACTACAAAAAAAGAACCCTCAAAATAATATATTAAGAAATAACAGAAGTAAAGCCATATTTATGTAATCTAAAATAAAACAGTAAGAGAGGAATAAAAAAATAAAAAAGGTAGCATTCAAATGGAAAGCAAATTGGCAAATAAAATTTTAACTATATACAAATGATAATAGATGTAAAGACTCTTTAGTGAAAAACCAGACTGCCAGATTAGATTTTTTTTAAAACCTGATTCTATAATTTCTACCAAAAACACTTTGCATTCAAAGACATAGATTGACTGAATTTTTTTTAGTGCCTAAATATGTAGGGGGCAATTTGTAGAGGGAAATTTAAGTACATCAGAAATACATAACAACTATAATGTGTATACACATCTAGCAAGAGAATCCCAAACACATGAAACAACAAACTAGCAAATTGAAATGATATATCAACCATTCAACAATAACTGGTGAAAGAATTCAGTGAATTACTTTCAATGATTAATAAGAAAGATAGAAATTCAGCAAGTTTAAAGACTTGACTTGAACAGGACTATAAAACAATTTGACCTAATTGTCAGTCATATATAAACCCTTTCGTGTAACTACTGAAGATAGATATTATTTTCAGGCACATATAGGGAATTCGCCAAGATAGAGCATATTCTGGGTCACAAAATAAGCTTCAAAACATTTTAAAAGTATTTTTGTCCTATAAATATGTTATCTTACCACAATGGAATTAGAGATAATCAAGAAACAGAAATCGTAGAAATAGCCACTTTTTCAAATATTTGGAAATTTAACAACATACTTTTAAATAATCCAGAAGGGAATTTTAGGAAAATCCTGAAATTAACAAAAATGAAAGTAGTGTCTAGCAGAATTTATGGGGGTCAGTTAAGCAATGGTTAGAAGGACATTAATAGCAAAAAACAACTAAAGAAAATCAGAAAGTTCTAGAATCAATGATTTAAGTTTCCACCTTAAGGAACTAATAAAACAAGTGGAAATGGAACCAAACAAAACTAGAAGAAAGAAAATATTAAACATTAGAAGGATAACAAAAGAAATAAACAGGAAAGTGGTAACAGTAGTAAAAGAAACCAAGTTGCTTTTTTGAGATCAAAAATAAAATTGAGTCACCCTTAGCTATACTGACAAAAAGTAAACAAAAGGAACACATTACCAATATCAGGAATAAAAAAGGAACATTATTAACAAATACAAAGAAATTAAAAGAATTAAGTATAATATTGTGCAAAACTATATGCCATAAAATTAGATAATTTACATAAAATAAAACTTAGACGTAAATTATCAAAACTGATTCAAAAGGAACTAGAAAACCCGAGTTAACTATAATAAGACATTACCATAGTAATTAAAAATTTTTCCATAAAAGAAGACAGGCATATAAGCCTTCACTGGTGTGATCTATCAAATATTTAAAGTAGAGATAATAAAAATCCTTCATAAACTCTTTCAAAAAATAGAGGAAGGGGCACTTCCCAACTCATTCTATAAAACCAGTACTACTCTATCACCAACACCAGAGAAAAGCATCATAAGAAAATAAAACTTCACACCAATATTTATCATGAATATAAATACAAACATTCTTATTAAATTTTTGGCAAACTGAATTCAGCAACACCTAAAAATATTGTATGTCATTATTATATGGCATTTCTATAATATTAATAGAATGAAGAAAAAAATTTAACCTCATCATTTTGTAGATATAGAAAAACTTTTTGAGAAAATGTAATACCTAACAATGATAATAAGTCTCAAGAAACTACAAATGGAAAGAATTTTCTTCAACCTGATATAAACAATCTATAAGAACTTACAGTTTATATCAAACTTAATTGTGAAAGACTAAATGCTTCTTCCTAAAAATGGGTACAAGGCAAGGATGCCCACTCTCACACTTCTATTCAACAAAGTTGAATAGAATGGATGTTCTACACACTGCTGTGAGAAAAATAAAATTACTGAAAAGAAGGCAGACTTGTAAGGAGGAAGCAAAACTGTCTTTTTATAAATGACATGATTCTGTATTTAGAAAATCCTGAGGAATACACAATTCAATTAGTAGAGCTAATGAATGAGTTTAACAAAGCCAAAAGATACCAAAAAGTCATTGAACTTTTATATACTAGCAATGAACAATTTGAAATTTTGAAATTGAAATGTAAAATTTGAATTTGAAATAGAAAAGTAAAAAATTTCAGGCTTGGCACTGTGGTTCACGCCTGTCATCTCAACACTGGGAGGCCAAGGCAAGAGAATTACTTGAGCCCAGGAGTTTGAGACTAGCCTGAGCAGCATACTGAGATGTCATCTCTACAAAAAATCAAAAAATTAGTGAGGCTTGGTTGTTTGCACCTGTAGTCCCAGCTACGCAAGAGGCTGAGGTGGGAGGATCACTTGAGCCTGGGAGGTGGAGGCTGCAGTGAGCTGGGATTGTGCCACTGCACCCCAGCCTGGGTGACAGAGTGAGACCGTCTCTCTCTCTCTCTCTCACACACACACACGCACACACAGAAGGAGAGAGAGAGTAAAATATTTGTATCTTCAATAGGATAAAAAAGTTAAAGTACTTAGGAATAAACTTAGCAAAATAATGCATCATTGCTTAGAGAAATTGAAGAGGATCAAAATAAATGGAGAGATACTTTATGTTCATTGATAGAAGAGTAAATATTGGTTGAATGGTAATTCTTTCTAAATACTTCTATGAATTCACAATCACTATCAAAATTCTAGGAGAATTTTTTTTGGCAGAAATTCTTAATCTGATCCTAAAGTTTATATGAGAGTTCAAAAAACTTAAGAGATCAAACACAATTTTGAAAAAGAAGAAAATGTGGAAGGGCAGATACCATCCGGTTTTGAAACTTACCGTGGAGCTGCAATTAAAAAATCAAGAGACTGTAGTTTTGGCAGAAAAATGGCAATATGGGAAAATGGAAAACAATTGAGAGACCAGAAATTAACATTTATGTTTATAGTCAACTGCTTTTGGAAATAAAAATGCTATGACAGTTCATCAGTGAGAGGATAGTTTTTTTTACTAAGTAGTGCCAGAATAAATACCTCAATACAGGAAGTAAAAATACTTTCTACCTAGAGCTCTGGATTTTTGAGCATATGCTTCCTAAACTAATTAATGGCATAAGTCTAGTGCATTGCCACTGTGCACCAAAATATATCACAAATTGATCAAAGATTGAAGCAAAAATGAATGAATCATAAAAACACTAGAAGAAAACATTGAAGAGTTTTTTTATAAATATATCCATCTGGGCAAGCATCATAATCCAGCATAAATTAGTCTATAATTAATGATTGTAGAATTGTAGAATAAATAAGTCAAGAATGTACATGTGAAAGTACTTAACTAAACATGGAGAAACTACATTACCTATCTAAAGTGCAGAAGAACTTAATGATGACTCAAAATCCAGAAGCCATAAAATAGATTGATCAATTTGGTTAGGTAGAAAATATAAATCTTCTGCATGGAAGGATGTCAGTCATTTCATTTCATAGACAAAAAAAAAAAAAAAGCTAATCTTCTATAAGATAAACATCCACAACCCAATAATAAACTATCAAAGATACGAAATAAGTAAATAAAAAGAAAGACATACAAAGGACCCTTAAACGTATTTAAAAGTATTCAACCTTCTCATAAGAAGAGAAATACTCGTTTCTTTTATATGAAATACAGGAGCCGGCAACTCTAAGGCTTTAGGTAGCAGAAACTAATGAAGAAGTTCTCTAGGGCTTCACTGTCAAAATGTTTCTTTTCAGTGTACTCCAGTTACTTTCTAAAAGTAATAGAAACTCCCTAAAAAAGCAGTTTGACTCCCCTCATTTAGAGGATGGGTCAATAGGTGCAGCAAACCACCATGGCACACGTATACTTATGTAACAAACCCACATGTTCTGCACATGCATCCCATTTATTTTTTTAGAAGAAATAAGGAAAAATAAAAATTAAAGAAAAAAGAAAAAAAAGCAGTTTGACAATCTGTACTAGAATCTTAACAATTTTTATATGTCACCCAGCCATCTCATTTCAGAGAATCTACCCTAAAGAATAATAATTAGACTTACATACCAGGATACGTGTGACAAGGATGTTTATTAACAATGAGCCTGACTGGATTTGACTTAGATCAAGTGCCACTTCTTGGCCAAGGGAGTGCAGAGAATCTCATGGGGACAGAATGCAAGAGAGAAGATTTGTCTATTTATCTAACAGATAATTTGTAGGGCTTATGATGTGTCAGGCACTGTTCTAATTGCTTTTGTGATTAATTGCTCAGTTCATCCTCATAATATCCCCATTTTACAGATGACTAGCAGTATGCACAGAGATGTTAAGTAACTTGTCTGTGATCTCACAGAGTTGAGATTCAAACATGGCAGTGTAGTTTGAAAGTCCATGCATTCAATAATGGGCCCAAAGAGAATCAAGGTGCTATTTTCAGAAGAAGGAAACCATTTGTATTCAGGCAGAACCACAGCGTCCATTACTGTCAGTGGTGTCTGCTGCCCAGAGCAGACACTCTTCTCAAGTATTTCCATAAGACACATGGGCTACGCTGATGGTAGCACGTGGAGCACAGCTTTATAGCTGACTTGAATGTGTCTGTCTGCTCTGAAAGACCCTACGGCACAATGTCTCTGGGGCTCACTGGAAACTTAATAAGCACTGTCAAATAATATCGAAGATATTTAGAAGGAAAGCATTCCTCCTTGATTTTCACCTCAAAGTTTGTGGAGACAGGGTCCTTGGAGGAAAAGGGAAATCCATGAAAAAATATGGTTTGAATAATATGCAAGGCTTCAAACTTGGGTTTCATTAATTTCTATTGCATTATAATTCTAATACCAGCCTGACACGAACTAATCTCAGAGTGTATTAGTAGCACAGACTAAGGCATTTTAATGTTGGAAGTACTTGCTTAAAAGTCAAAATAGCAAAAAATGTGATAAGAATTTGATAGACATTAATAAATTATTAAAACATTGATTCAAGAACTATCCGTGAGGACCTAGTATGAGTCAGCGACAACGGTAGGCTCTGTGCACCATTCTAAGAGCCATATTGCTTCCTGTAATTTGATCACTTGAAAAAAAGCAGTCATATGTGGTGATTCTTGTTGATTTAACCATTCTAGTCAAATAGCTCGCCATCTATTTTGTAAGGAAATGTGGTAAATTTTTGTTGCTTGACTTTCATATGAATTAGTTCCATTAAAAACAGTTAAACCAGTGGCCTGGGTGTACTGTATCAATATCTATTTCATTTACATACAAATGCTCTGAGTACTAAAGCTAACTCTTGTGTCGCAGTGAGCATCTGGTGGTTATTATGTAGGTGTAAATAATTAGAGAGTCACACACCAGATTTGATTCATGCTAGTTGACAATTGGTATGATTCTGACATTAAAACAAGCATTTTGTGTGTCTGAGCTCTCAGTAAATGAATCATCTAGTCATTTTCCTTTTATTTTGGGAATACACAGGATACATAAATGTTATACCAAACTTTTCTATTCATAAGAGATAGATATGAAAAAGTGTGTAAACTTTAGAAATTAGAAAAACATTTAAGAAAGCAAAAAATATTGTATCGTTCTATTAATACATAGAATTCTGTATCCCATTTCCTAGGGTATTCCATTTTTAAAAAATAATTGACATAATAGTCATTATCCTGACATTTTTCATTGTTAATCATCGTCACTCACATAATTATTTTGTTATATATTTGATTATTGTTTTCTAAGCTAGATTCCTTGAAATGAGATTGCCAGGAAAAAGGATATAGCATCTTTTTAGATGTTGGTACATATTGTCAAACTGATTTTTAGAGTTTCTGTTAACTCTTAAAGTGTAACTGAAGAGAATAGAAGTGTCCCAGTTTATAGCCTTGCATTGACTCTCATTGCCCCCTTTTAAATCATTACTATGCTTAACTCAATAAAGAAAAAAATGAAAGCTGCTTGTTTTAACTTTCATGCTTTTTTTTTTTTTTTTTTGAGAGAGAGAGAGAGACAGTTTCACTATGTTGCCCAGGTTGGAGTGCAGTGGTGCAATCATAGCTCACTGCAACCCGGGACGCCTAGCCTCAAGTCATCCTCCCACTTCAGCTACCCAGCTAGTACCCACCACCGCACCCAGCTCTTTTTTAAAAAATTTTTTATAGAGATGGGGTCTTGCTATGAGTTGCCCAGGCTGGACTCAAACTCCTGACCTCAGAAGATCTTCCTGCCTCAGCTTTCCAAGTTGCATCTGGCTATTTACAGGCTTTCAAAAAGTGTTTGTTGTATCTCTACCTTGTCCCATCATTGTGTTAGATACACTCACATTACAAATGTTGTCAAAAATGCTCACATCATAAAGAGGAGAATTAATATGTGAAATCTGAAGGCAGAGAACAAGAATAAGAGATTCACCAAGTAAAACAAAAAACATGGGTTTGAAATAATGGAATATGTATTATTAAAACAAAAACATTAACCTAAAGGCTAGTTCATGGTTTTTATTTAATTTTGATTTTTATATATTTGCCACATGAGCTTTTCCCCAAATAGGTTACTGAGATACATAGCCACAGGATGCACCTGCCTAAATGCCCTGCAAAACACAGTCATTTAATATTATTCTGTGGTTCTTGCGGCATTCATCATACTGAGCCTTATGATGCAACTGGAAGAGTTAGGACCCAAGACTCTACCTTTCCATTTTACCTATTGTGTTGTTTCCCATCACTGCTGTAACAAATCACCACACACAGTGACGTAAAGCAATGCATATTGTTAGCTTACAATTCTGGAAGTCAGAAGTCAGCAATGAGTTTCACTAGGTATGAAGAATTCCAGGTGATGGTCTGCAAACCTGAGTTCCTTCTAGAGGCTCTTAGGGGAAAAATCTATTTCCTTACCTTTTCCAACTTCTAGGGGCTGCTTGTGTTCCTTGCCTCCTGGCCATTCTCTCCAAAGACAGCAGCATCTTCAAATCTGTCTTTGATTCCGCTTCCATTATCGCATCTTCTCTAGCTCTTCTAGGGAAACTTTTGATCACATTGGGCCCAACAGACAATCCAGAATCATTCGTCTCAATGGCCTTAACTTACCGACATCTGTGAAGTCCCTTTTGCAATGTGGGACAACCTGTTCATAGGTTCCATGGAATAGGACCTGGACATTTGGTTGGCGGGGTGGTCCTCTCTTCTGTTTAAATCACCTGTACTCAAAAAAAAACATAAGGCTTTGTGACAAATTGTATTTAAGATGTTATAAATGCCAGTGTGTTCACTTTGTAAACATTCAATATTGAATGTTGTTATGGCTTATAATATCATCAATATTTATTGTATTTTTTGTGATGAACTGTAGGAAAAAAATACTTTTTCCCTTCTTCAGTCAGTCATTAGTCTCATTTGTCTCATTCTAGACTAAGGTTAGCACTCAAACAAAAACTATTTATTAGCTAATGAGAATAATGAAAGCAGGCTATTTTGTATATTAATAGCTTTGCATTAGGCATAATGAATTTTATTCCACAGGGCAAAAGGGATTTCACAAATGAAAAAACTAGGAACCAATGTTCAACATATATCCCAGAAATTAGATGGCTAGGATTGGCTATGTACAAGAAAACACACATTTTAATTATCTCATTTTCCCCTCCTATTATGTGACTTTCATAATAGAAACATGGCATAATGGAGGTAGCCCAAGGCTTTGGAATTAGACCAACCAG
The DNA here is from genome assembly GCF_000001405.40 of Homo sapiens. Taxonomy (NCBI): domain Eukaryota; kingdom Metazoa; phylum Chordata; class Mammalia; order Primates; family Hominidae; genus Homo; species Homo sapiens. The sequence continues at coordinate 97,428,472 of NC_000015.10, forward strand.
AGTTCAAATTCTGGTTGTTCTACCTATCAGATATTTTCATTAAGGTAATTTTTTAAATGCTTCTCAGCTTTTGCAAAATGGATATTATAATATTCACCACACTGAGATATTATAAAGATTAAGTAAAATAATGTATGAAGATGACTTTACATAAATAAACTGTTAATTTGCTTTGCTCTATTGTCTTTGCTTTTAAAATAGTTGTATCTACTTATATAGATTTGTCTTCATGCTTATAGCTGAAATAGTTGAAAATATTTTATTCTATGAATTGAAAAAATAAAGACTACTGGCTTTTATCTTTCACTAAAATGTAAGTTTCTTGCATTTTAGGAAAATAAATATGGCACCAAATTTGTCTGCAGGCACAGAGATTACATTCCTCGAATGTTAATATCTACCTATCTATATATCCTATTTGCCGTCAGGTTCTTTTGAGGGATAATGATTTGTTTTAGATTATATTCTCAATAAGTGATGAAATTTATAGACTCTCCTTCATAGTCACTCAGCAATGAAACAGAGCAAACAATCATTAATAAATGATGGACGTTCTACGTAGGATTCTGTGTTCTAGGTATGTATGCAAAAGATGATCTTACTCTTGAGAGCCACTAGAACTCTTTGAAGAAAAAAAAATGCTATTTGCTATAGGGAAATCTTTCTGGAAAAGTAATAATTTCACCTTTGAGTCAGCTTCCCTGGACTCTTGCCTCATACATCTTCAGCCAAGGTCAGTCCATTATGAAAATCCACTCTCCCTTCCCCATGAAAGAACATTCGAGGCATACTTATTATATTAACTGAATTGTTACATATGTATTAAAAGTTTATAGTATGTGTTAGCATTTATTTATTTTTTGTAAGATGTCTTTCCAGGAATATATAACCCTGGTTCATAATATTGTGCCCTTTGTATCCAAGATTTGATATATGTGAGTAAACATACAACTGTCTATCTGGGGGCAAGTAAATCGAAAACCAAGAATCATCTCAAGTGTTGGAAATCATATGGTATAGAATTCATTACCATTTGTGAACTGGAATGGGCAGCAAGATATTTGAATAAAAATTAAACTAGTTCTATAATTGGTGATTTGAAATTTTTTGAAAAAGCCACGGCAGTGAAATAGTTTGGATGTCCCCTCAAAATCTCATGCTGAATTGTAATCCCCAGTGTTGGAGGTGGGGACTGGTGGGAGGTGTTTGGGTCACTATAGTGCGTTTTCATGAGATCTGGTCATTTAAAATCTGTAGCACCTCCCTCCCCTTCTTGCTCCTGTTTTTTCCATGTGAAGATGCCTGCCCCAGCTTTGCCTTCCACCATGAGTAAAAGCTTCCCAAGTCCTCCCCAGAAGCAGATGCTGGCGCTATGCTTCTGGTACAGCCTGAAAAACCTTGAGCCAATTAAACCTCAGGTAAGTCTTTACAGCAATGCAAGAATTGCCTAATATAGGCAGGAACATACATGTTCCATGTTCTATCCTAAACATGGAAATGCAGGTATGTCATAAAATAAAACGATCGGTTAAAACTGAAGAGATGAAAAGTAACACCTATAAATACATTTCCACTTTTCCACTTTTTCATTTTGACTTGTCTGAATGAATATTTTTCTTCATCTAATGAATCTAAATGCATCTAATTTGGAATAAATTATCTATATTCCCAATAAATTCCATTTAATTTCATCTGTTTTTAAATTTTGTCAAAAGAAGAAAAACAGAAATCAAGGCCAAGAAAAGAAAAATTACACACTTAATATCATCATCCATTATTAAAACCTAGGTTGCCAGGCAGAATACCATGCCTTAGAGATTACACTGAGAGTAAAAGATGATTATAGATTTACACTCAATATCTCATTTAAAGTTTGCTCATGTTTAGCTATCCAAATCTGATTCCATAAGACTATTTTTGTCGCAAGTAACTATGGTGGCTATCCTCAAAAGATCTGTAAGAAAAGCATTGCATAGAATCAGAGAAAAGGTTGAACAATTTAATAAATTGGAAAGCCAAATCCAACCTAGGAATCTCAGCAACAGTTATACATGGATGTTCCTTCTGCCTCCCAGAGATGGCTGCCTGATACTCAGATCCCTAATACTTCTGGGATCTGATTGGCTCAGATTTAAGTTAGGTGTCTAGGTGTCTACCCAAATTTTCCAGGAGTCTTGCAACAGCAATTGGCTTCTAAAGCCCACTTTGTTGGTGGAGCTTGGATTATCAGAGCAATTATGTTGGAAAGCAATCCCAGTAGATGTCATCTAATTGGTACCATTTGGACTAGAGGCAATTAGACGGTTTGCATATATTTTAAATTATTATTGTAGACATGAATCTATTACTGTATTTTCCACATTTTGAGTTACTAAAAGGATTATATTCCACAGGCTTTAATAAATAGGTGGATGGATGATGATGATAACTTTAGTGATAATTGATAATTGCTTTAGGTTCCAGATGATATTAGAGTAAATATAGTATGCTGTCATCAGACATAGAAAAAAATAGAAAGAAACAGAGCAGATGAGAGAAGGAGAGAAAGGGAGAGAGCTGAAGCAATGGAGATAGAGAGCTAGAAGGAGATAATTTTTCTAAAATTTGTGAATGGGGCCGGGTGCAGTGGCTCATGCGTGTAATCCCAGCACTTTGGGAGATTGAGGCAGGTGGATCACCTGAGGTCAGGAGTTCGAGACCAGCCTGGCCAATGTGCTGAAACCCTGTCTCTACTAAAAATACAAAAATTAGCCAGATGTGGTGGTGGGCACCTGTAATCCCAGGTACTCGGGAGGCTGAGGCAGGAGAATCGCTTGAACCTGGGAGGTGGAAGTTGCAGTAAGCCAAGATCACACCACTGCACTCCAGCCTGAGTGACAAAGCAACACTCCATCTCGAAAAAATAAAATTTGTTAATGGTTTAAAAATAATTAGACTTGGAAGATTATCATGTAAGTTCCAATTAAACTTATTTCTATATAAGCTGAGCTGAGAACTACAAACATTATCAATACATAATAGTAGTTGCCTTTTCGTTGCATGCTAAGGCTCCCCCGTAATATCGGAAGTACTTGAACAGACACATTTTGTGTAAGGACATTAAGGGCTCCCAGTAGTTCCTGGCTCCAAAGGCTTGTTTTAAACAAAGGTCATTAATGAGTCTCCTGCTCATGCCACATATCATTCATATGTGGCATGGTTGTAGAACTTCCTAATCTTTACAAGAACCAAAGAAGCCTGGAAATGCCCCATTCAGAAAAATATGTTTGAGACTTTGCAAAGCTCCTTTCTCTAATCCTTATGATTTCTTCTTTCACAGTGAGCTCAAGATGTCTTTGTTGAAACAGAACCTCCCGAAGTTACAGTATTGGTTTTGGGGCTCCACACAGAGAACACATCACGGAAGCTATAATTGAGGAAGACAAAGCTGTCAGGACGACACCAAGAGAGTTAGAAAGCCCAAGAGTGGAGCATTCTTCACCATGATTCCACCTGACACTTGGCTGAAAGCATTTTGCACTAATTTGCTTTGTGCCCGTTCAGACAATCTAAAAAGAAAGGATGGGGGGACAACAAGTGTCTATTACACAGAATAAACAGCCTCTGGCAAATGAATACATTTTACACACTTGTGCTTTTGGAGGGATGGGGTAGTGATGAGGGGAAGGGGAATGGAGGAGGAGAAGTCAAGGATTAGAGGTCTCTTCAGCATCTCAGGACTGCCTCTCTCTCTCTGTGGTCACAGGGGTAGGTTTGGTCCACATGGCAGACATGAAACTCAAGATACAGCCCTGGCGTATACGGGTTGGGAGGCCAGTGCTGCCTCTGGTGGTCCCCCCAGACCTGCAATTCATATTTTGAATGGGTTTAAAGCCTACTTGGCAATTACTTTTATCCTCTAATGAAATAGATTTGAACCACTTTCCCTTGATTATATTTTAAATGTTTACCCCCATATAAATATAACTGCTCTGAGGTGGGAGGGGTTAAGCCTCTCCTATGAATCAATTAAAGACAAAAAAAAAAAAAAGGCCTTGAGCTTTTCGTCCAGATAGCATGCAAGAAACACCAGGGTAAAGACAAAGGGAGCCAAAGAATCCATTCTAGCCTCTGTAATTGGCTCCTATGTTGAACTGTGAAGAGTTGGGACAAAAGCACAGGACAGAGAAGATGGTCTAGCAAGAAATACATGGTCTTTTAAAAGTGAAACACAGCATTTTTTGAGGGCAGCCAAGATGGCCGAATAGGAACAGCTCTGGTCTACAGCTCCCAGCGTGAGCGACGCAGAAGACGGGTGATTTCTGCATTTCCATCTGAGGTACCAGGTTCATCTCACTAGGGAGTGCCAGACAGTGGGCGCAGGACAGTGGGTGCAGCACACCATGCACAAGCCGAAGCAGGGCGAGGCATTGCCTCACTCGGGAAGTGCAAGGGGTCAGGGAGTTCCCTTTCCTAGTCAAAGAAAGGGGTGACAGACGGCACCTGGAAATTCGGGTCACTCCCACCCTAATACTGCACTTTTCCGATGGGCTTAAAAAAAGGTGCACCAGGAGGTTGTATCCTGCACCTGGCTCAGAGGGTCCTACACTCACAGAGTCACACTGATTGCTAGCACGGCAGTCTGAGATCAAACTGCAAGGTGGCAGCGAGGCTCGGGGAGGGGTGCCTGCCATTGCCCAGGCTTGCTTAGGTAAACAGAGCAGCAGGGAAGCTCCAACTGGTTGGAGCCCACCACAGCTCAAGGAGGCCTGCCTGCCTCTGTGGGCTCCACCTCTGGGGGCAGGGCACAGACAAACAAAAAGACAGCAGTAACCTCTGCGGACTTAAATGTCCCTGTCTGACAGCTTTGAACAGAGCAGTGGTTCTCCCAGCACGCAGCTGGAGATCTGAGAATGGGCAGACTGCCTCCTCAGGTGGGTCCCTGACCCCTGACCCCCGAGCAGCCTAACTGGGAGGCACCCCCCAGTAGGGGCAGACTGACACCTCACACGGCCAGGTACTCCTCTGAGACAAAACTTCCAGAGGAACGATCAGACAGCAGCATTCGCGATTCATGAAAATCCGCTGTTCTGCAGCCACTGCCGCTGATGCCCAGGCAAACAGGGTCTGGAGTGGACCTCTAGCAAACGCCAACAGACCTGCAGCTGAGGGTCCTGTTGGTTAGAAGGAAAACTAACAAACAGAAAGGACATCCACACCAAAAGCCCATCTGTACATCACCATCATCAAAGACAAAAAGTAGATAAAACCACAAAGATGGGGAAAAAACAGAGCAGAAAAACTGGAAACTCCCCTAAGAAGCAGAGTGCCTCTCCTCCTCCAAAGGAACGCAGTTCCTCACCAGCAAAGGAACAAAGCTGGATGGAGAATGACTTTGACGAGTTGAGAGAAGAAGGCTTCAGACGATCAAACTACTCTGAGCTACAGGAGGAAATTCAAACCAAAGGCAAAGAAGTTAAAAACTTTTTGAAAAAAATTTAGACGAATGTATAACTAGAATAACCAATACAGAGAAGTGCTTAAAGGAGCTGATGGAGCTGAAAGCCAAGGTTCGAAGAACTATGTGAAGAATGCAGAAGCCTCAGGAGCTGATGCCATCAACTGGAAGAAAGGCTATCAGTGATGGAAGATGAAATGAATGAAATGAAGTCAGAAGGGAAGTTTAGAGAAAAAAGAATAAAAGGAAACGAACAAAGCCTCCAAGAAATGTGGGACTATGTGAAAAGACCAAATCTACATCTGATTGGTGTACCAGAAAGTGACGGGGAGAATGGAACCAAGTTGGAAAACACTCTGCAGGATATTATGCAGGAGAACTTCCCCAATCTAGCAAGGCAGGCCAACATTCAGATTCAGGAAATACAGAGAATGCCACAAAGATACTCCTTGAGAAGAGCAACTCCAAGAAACATAATTGTCAGATTCACCAAAGTTGAAATGAAGGAAAAAATGTTAAGGGCAGCCAGAGAGAAAGGTCGGGTTACCCACAAAGGAAAGCCGGTCAGACTAACAGCAGATCTCTCGGCAGAAATTCTACAAGTCAGAAGAGAGTGGGGGCCGATATTCAACATTCTTAAAGAAACGAATTTTCAACCCAGAATTTCATATCCAGCCAAACTAAGCTTCATAAGTGAAGGAGAAATAAAATACTTTACAGACAAGCAAATGCTGAGAGATTCTGTCACCACCAGGCTTGCCATAAAAGAGCTCCTGAAGGAAGCACTAAACATGGAAAGGAACAACCGGTACCAGCCACTGAAAAATCATGCCAACATGTAAAGACCATCGAGACTAGGAAGAAACTGCATCAACTAACGAGGAAAATAACCAGCTAACATCATAATGACAGGATCAAATTCACACATAACAATATTAACTTTAAATATAAATGGACTAAATGCTCCAATTAAAAGACACAGACTGGCAAATTGGATAAAAAGAGTCAAGACCCATCAGTGTGCTGTATTCAGGAAACCCATCTCACATGCAGAGACACACATTGGCTCAAAATAAGGATGGAGGAAGATCTACCAAGCAAATGGAAAACAAAAAAAAGGCAGGGGTTGCAATCCTTGTCTCTGATGAAACAGACTTTAAACCAGAAAGATCAAAAGAGACAAAGAAGGCCATTACATAATGGTAAAAGGATCAATTCAACAAGAAGAGCTAACTATCCTAAATATATATGCACCCAATACAGGAGCACCCAGATTCATAAAGCAAGTCCTGAGTGACCTACAAAGAGACTTAGACTCCCACACAATAATAATGGGAGGCATTAACACCCCACTGTCAACATTAGACAGATCAACAAGACAGAAAGTTAACAAGATACCCAGGACTTGAACTCAGCTCTGCACCAAGCGGACCTAACAGACATCTACAGAACTCTCCACCCCACATCAACAGAATATACATTTTCTTCAGCACCACACCACACCTATTCCAAAACTGACCACATAGTTGGAACTAAAGCTCTCCTCAGCAAATGTAAAACATCAGACATTATAACAAACTGTCTCTCAGACCACAGTGCAATCAAACTAGAACTCAGGATTAAGAAACTCACTCAAAACTGCTCAACTACATGGAAACTGAACAACCTACTTCTGAATGACTACTGGGTACATAACGAAATGAAGGCAGAAATAAAGATGTTCTTTGAAACCAACGAGAACAAAGACACAACATACCAGAATCTCTGGGACACATTCAAAGCAGTGTGTAGAGGGAAATTTATAGCACTAAATGCCCACAAGAGAAAGCAGGAAAGATCCAAAATGGACACCCTAACATCACAATTAAAAGAACTAGAAAAGCAAGAGCAAACACATTCAAAAGCTAGCAGAAGGCAAGAAATAACTAAAATCAGAGCAGAACTGAAGGAAATAGAGACACAAAAAACCCTTCAAAAAATTAATGAATCCAGGAGCTGGTTTTTTGAAAGGATCAACAAAATTGATAGACCACTAGCAAGACTAATACAGAATAAAAGAGAGAAGAATCAAGTAGACGCAATAAAAAATGGTAAAGGGGACATCACCACTGATCCCACAGAAATACAAACTACCATCAGAGAATACTACAAACACCTCTACGCAAATAAACTAGAAAATCTAGAAGAAATGGATAAATTCCTCGACACATACACTCTCCCAAGACTAAACCAGGAAGAAGTTGAATCTCTGAATAGACCAATAACAGGCTCTGAAATTGAGGCAATAATCAATAGCTTACCAACCAAAAAGAGTCCAGGACCAGTTGGATTCACAGTCGAATTCTACCAGAGGTACAAGGAGGAACTGGTACCATTCCTTCTGAAACTATTCCAATCCACAGAAAAAGAGGGAATCCTCCCTAACTCATTTTATGAGGCCAGCCTCATCCTGATACCAAAGCCTGGCAGAGAGACAGCCAAAAAAGAGAAATGTAGTCCAATATCCTTGATGAACATTGATGCAAAAATCCTCAATAAAATACTGGCAAACCGAATCCAGCAGCACATCAAAAAGCTTATCCACCATGGTCAAGTGGGCTTCATTCCTGGGATGCAAGGTGGATTCAATATACGCAAATCAATAAATATAATCCATCACATAAACAGAACCAAAGACAAAAACCACATGATTATCTCAATAGATGCAGAAAAGGCCTTTGACAAAATTCAACAACCCTTCATGCTAAAAACTCTCAATAAATTAGGTATTGATGGGGCATATCTCAAAATAATAAGAGCTATCTATGACAAACCCACCGCCAATATCATACTGAACAGGCAAAAACTGGAAGCATTCCCTTTGAAAACTGGCACAAGACAGGGATGCCCTCTCTCACCACTCTTATTCAACGTAGTGTTGGAAGTTCTGGCCAGGGCAATTAGGCAGGAGAAGGAAATAAAGGGTATTCAATTAGGAAAAGAGGAAGTCAAATTGTCCCTGGTTGCAGATGACATGCTTCTATATCTAGAAAACCCTATTGTCTCCGCCCAAAATCTCCTTAAGCTGATAAGCAACTTCAGCAAAGTCTCAGGATACAAAATCAATGTACAAAAATCACAAGCATTCTTATACACCAATAACAGACAAACAGAGAGCCAAATCATGAGTGAACTCCCATTCACAATTGCTTCAAAGAGAATAAAATACCTAGGAATCCAACTTACAAGGGATGTGAAGGACCTCTTCAAGGAGAACTACAAACCACTGCTCAATGAAATAAAAGAGGATACAAACAAATGGAAGAACATTCCATGCTCATGGGTAGGAAGAATCAATATCGTGAAAATGGCCATACTGCCCAAGGTAATTTATAGATTCAATGCCATCCCCATCAAGCTACCAATGACTTTCTTCACAGAATTGGAAAAAACTACTGTAAAGTTCATATGGAACCAAAAAAGAGCCCGCATCACCAAGTAAATCCTAAGCCAAAAGAACAAAGCTGGAGGCATCACGCTACCTGGCTTCAAACTATACTACAAGGCTACAGTAACCAAAACAGCATGGTACTGGTACCAAAACAGAGATATAGATCAATGGAACAGAACAGAGGCCTCAGAAATAACGCCGCATATCTACAACTATCTGATCTTTGACAAACCTGACAAAAACAAGCAATGGGGAAAGGATTCCCTATTTAATAAATGGTGCTGGGAAAACTGGCTAGCCATATGTAGAAAGCTGAAACTGGATCCCTTCCTTACACCTTATACAAAAATTAATTCAAGATGGATTAAAGACTTAAACGTTAGACCTAAAACCATAAAAATCCTAGAAGAAAACCTAGGCATTACCATTCAGGACATAGACATGGGCAAGGACTTCATGTCTAAAACACAAAAAGCAATGGCAACAAAAGCCAAAATTGACCAATGGGATCTAATTAAACTAAAGAGCTTCTGCACAGCAAAAGAAACTACCATCAGAGTGAACAGGCAACCTACAACATGGGAGAAAATTTTCACAACCTACTCATCTGACAGAGGGCTAATATCCAGAATCTACAATGAACTCAAACAAATTTACAAGAAAAAAGCAAACAACCCCATCAAAAAGTGGGCGAAGGACATGAACAGACACTTCTCAAAAGAAGACATTTATGCAGCCAAAAAACACATGAAAAAATGCTCACCATCACTGGCCATCAGAGAAATGCAAATCAAAACCACAATGAGATACCATCTCACACCAGTTAGAATGGCAATCATTAAAAAGTGAGGAAACAACAGGTGCTGGAGAGGATGTGGAGAAATAGGAACACTTTTACACTGTTGGTGGGACTGTAAACTAGTTCAACCATTGTGGAAGTCAGTGTGGCGATTCCTCAGGGATCTAGAACTAGAAATACCATTTGACCCAGCCATCCCATTACTGGGTATATACCCAAAGGACTATAAATCATGCTGCTATAAATACACATGCACACGTATGTTTATTGCAGCACTATTCACAATAGCAAAGACTTGGAACCAATGCAAATGTCCAATGATAGACTGGATTAAGAAAATGTGGCACATATACACCATGGAATACTATGCAGCCATAAAAAATGATGAGTTCATGTCCTTTGTAGGGACATGGATGAAATTGGAAATCATCATTCTCAGTAAACTATCGCAAGGACAAAAAACCAAACACCGCATGTTCTCACTCATAGGTGGCAATTGAACAATGAGAACACATGGACACAGGAAGGGGAACATCACACTCTGGGGCCTGTTGTGGGGTGGGGGTAGGGGGAAGAGATAGCATTAGGAGATATACCTAATGGTAAATGATGAGTTAATGGGTGCAGCACACTAGCATGGCACATGTATACATATGTAACTAACCTGCACATTGTGCACATGTACCCTAAAACTTAAATAATAATATAATAATTTTAAAAAATGGCACAGTATTTGCATATAACCTACACACATGCCCTTGTCTACTTCAAATCACCTCTATTAAACAGTTTACTCATAATACATAATACAATGTAAATACTATGGGAAAAAAAAAAAGTTAAACAAGCTGGGACCCAAACCGTGTTCCACTCACCGTCCCACCTCCAGGTACCTTCAGGCTCTTGCATTATCATTGTTGCTGTTTATGATTATCTGCTTGGATTATCCTTAGGAAATGTGGCAATATTCCAAAGGGAATAGATGTGAATCCAATTTCTAGGGATGTGGCTAATCATTAAAATCAATCATATTTTTCAAAGACCAAAACAATGGATTTTATTTCTGATCTTCAGTTTCTTTAGGCATACTAATTCATTGGATACTTTCTAAGCTCCTTGCAGTCTCACTTTTACTCATTTGACTTTCTAAATAACATATGAGTCAAGCTTTCTTTAATCTTATGGGAAAAAAATGGGAAGATTGTAATGCTGGATATTTAACTAGTGGTTCAATCCCTTTCCTTTTTGTCAGCAAAAGGGATATGGGATTTGAGGAGCATCCCGATGTATCTGTATTCATAAACGCCTTTCTCATTTGCTGTGTGGCCTTATTCACTTCTTTGGATGGAGTTGTTCACAAGTGTGGTGTAGAAAGTATTACATAATAGGATAACAGGTCAGATAGCAATGTCTTGGCAACCATATCTTACTAAACGGCTACAGGAAACAGCAAAAAAAAAAAAAAAAATGTTATCGGCTGGGCGTGGTGGCTCACGCCTGTAATGCCAGCACTTTGGGAGGCCAAGGTGGGTGGATCACGAGGTCAGGAGATTGAAACCATCCTGGCTAACACGGTGAAACCCCGCCTCTACTAAAAGTACAAAAAATGAGCTGGGCGTGGTGGCGGGCGCCTGTAGTCCCAGCTACTTGGGAGGCTGAGGCAGGAGAATGGCGTGAACCCGGGAGGTGGAGCTTGCAGTGAGCCGAGATGGTGTCACTGCACTCCAGCCTGGGCGACAGAGCGAGACGCCCTCTCAAAAAAAAAAAAAAAAGTTATCTTAGAGAAAGTGTGGGAAACCACAAAGTTAAGCATACTCTGCATAGTGCCCTCAATGGGATTCCTATGCTAATAGATTTTCAAAAAATCGATACCATTCACAGGTTGAGAGTCATCACATAGGAGAAAGAACGCATCCAGGACAAGTGGGCTTTGTCCACTTTATGATTTTTCATAAGCCAGATAGGTCCACTGCATTGAAAAAAAATTATTTTGCTTTCTGAAGTTCACAATGCTGTTTGTAAATGATACATTAAATCTTTCAGGAGTTTTTTATTTCACGTATATAATCCAAATGTTCTTAGGGCTTATGAATAATGAGCTAAATCATTTTTTGTTTAAATAATGAATTTACATGTCTATTATTTTAACACAAGCAATAAACATAACAAAGAAAGAAAAATAATTTTGAAAAACATGACTGCACAGAAATAGCCACTGCCAACATTAGGGAAATGTTACTTTACACATTTTAATCCATGTATATACATATACATATAAATATAACGACAAAGATAAATGTGATTATAAAACAACAGATAAAGAGAGAAACAAGGAGACTAATGGATGGAACAATGGATAAATGTGTGTGGATGAATGGATACATATAAATAAGATAAAATGCATCTGTGCAATTTTAAGTTTGAGAGCATTTAATATTATTTGTATTTTATAGGATAAATTAAAATTGTGATAAAACTAATAGAATCACTCAATTTTAGGGAACTATTTTATCCCCATGTGAACTATTTGTTCCTAAGAGATATTAAAGATTATAGAAACAGATAACCATAAAAATTGAATGCATAGGAATAATTCTGTTTTTCTGAAAAAATGGTTCTCAATTGTAGTGACCCCAAACCATAAAAATTTATAAAATTAACATATTTTCTTCCACATCTAGTTCCCTTGACTCAGCATCTCTTTTTCTGTTTCAAGGTTGATGATTTTTTAAATTATGTCCTACAACTCTATTCTGTTTGTTTCAATAATTGCCATGAATGATATCACTAGTTATTATTATGGCGAGGCTACTTCTGAGTTTGTGGTATTTATTTACATCTCTGTTGGATCTTGACTGACTAAATGCCTCTGTTGGTATCATTACTTTTTCTTTCTTTAATGATCTAAGTACTTATCTACTTGTATCAGTTTTCTGGACGGAAGGTTCCTTCATTCATACATTCTGGCATGTGTGAGAATGTGTGGTGCCTTTCAGCTAGCAAGATAACCTGTGTATAAAATATGCCTGTGTTAGCTTGTTCCTCAGTGCACTGCAAACACCACCATGCTCTCTTCTGACATTTAATGCTGCACTCATCTTTTTAGTAGGGTTCCTTCATTCCTCTTTTGAATGATTAAGCTCCATGAAGTTTTGTTTGAGTTTGCATTGGGGCAGTAAGTTCTCAGAAGATTTTGTAGGTCTTTTAGTCTATAAATTCTTCTCTGAATTAGCCTATTTATCTGTTGCCTTCATATGTGAAGAACAACTATTATATTCTTGAGTTACATTTCATCTCCCTCAGCAACTATTGGTTATTATCTCGTTACCTTCTGCCATTGAAAGTTGTCATGGCGAAGACCAGCCCGATTTTGTTTTCCCCATTATAAATGACTTGCTTTTCTTGATGAATACCCAGACACTTTAAAAGACAACTTTAAAAAGAGCCCTTTTGCTCTGTGTCAGATTTTCCTGGAATATGGTGGATTCATTCCATTCGAACATTATTTCTTCCTTTAATTCACGAAAATGTATCTACCCTGCTTCATGTTATCTACTATAGGAACAGCAGATATCATTGTCAGGACATATTTGCCTATTTCCAGCTTTTCATTAGTTTTTAAATCATTTCCCTTTTTTCTGAATTTATATTTATGTTCAAGGCTTTTGTCCATTTCCATGATTTGACTTTTTAGCCCTATCTCTTTTGTTTCCAGTTCTTTCTAATTTATTTAGTAGTCACATGAAGATGAGGGTTGCTTTGTTGTATATTGCTTTGTAAATATCCAATTATTTACTGAGCTCTATATTTATGTTCATCAATTTATGTTGGTTTATCAACTTGTCTTTGAAATGTTTCCTTAAGTTATACTCTAGTAATTTTCATGGTAGAAAGCACTATTTCCATTTTTCCTTAAGTTACGTATTATCTCAAAGTAGATTTTATGGTTGTTTCTTTTCTGTGCATGCATGTTGTGTGTGTGTGTGTGTGTGTGTGTGTGTGTGTGTGTGGCTTGCTGACACAAACACCATGCCATTTTTCTCTTTCTTATTTGTAACTTAATATATTTAATGTAGATAGCTCTATTTAGCCTTTCTGTATATTCTGTAATGCAATTAGTAAAATGTCTTTTTCACTATTGATCTTATCTGATTGTGATATTGTGTTTTGGCAAACCTAAACTCCCCACTTTCTTCTATGACAAGAATGGGCAAACTTTTTCCATAAAAAGATACACAGTAATATGTGAACTTTGTGCCACTGTGGTCTCTATTGCAACTACTCAACTCTGCTGTTTTAGCATAAAAGTAACCATAGACGATACATAAACAAGTGGGCATAGCTGTGTTCCAACAAAACTTTATTCACAAGATCAGTAGTCAGCCCACAGCCCAAAGTTTGGCAGCCCCTGGTATCCAAGAGATGGTTTAATGTCTTTCTATCAGGGTACTCTCCAACCTGTTGCGCCTGTTACATATTTAATGGAAGGAATGCCTGAAGAATTCAGTTCAATGCCCTAATTCACCACAGATTCTAGGAACACAGTGAATTCCTTCAGCTTCCATCAACATTTCTTCCACCATAGCTGGAATCATTCCTTGCTTTTCTCTAGATTCAATTGAACATCCTTAATTTGATGGTCCCAAGATTGTGGGATATGAATAAGAGCTCTCAGAAGTTTGGTGACTCATTAATGTCTGGTGCCACATCTTAGGAAGGGAGATGCAATTAAGAACTTCACTAATTTTTTTTTTAAATTTCTCTTGGTTGTATCTTTTAGAAGCATATGACAGGAGGGATAAATCTTGTTTTTTACTTAGTTTTTGCTGGCCAACTTTTTGCTTATTTGTTTTATTATTTTGTGGTATTCAGACAGAGATTTAGGGAATTGATTTTGCTCTGCAATGTTTACTCAGGACTTTCCATGTTTATTTGGCAACTCTCCTTCTCTTCAAATGTCTCCCATCTGTTTCTGAGTCCCCTAGAGGACTGTCAGGTACAAGCTCCCCAGAGCCCCTCTGCCTGGACTCTTACCATGCTAAGCTGTAGCAGCTAGTGAGATTCCCAAGATGTTGCTCCACTGGCCAGAGCTCTCTACACTTTTCTGCTGTGGTCACTAATGTGGTATGAAGGTAGAGGTATGCAGTTATGATGCTGTAAGAGAACTCTGTTCTCTAAACTTCTTTCTAGGGTAGAACAAGGCCATCAAAAGATGGAAGATAAACTAAAACTATTCTACAGGAAATGCCAGAGCAATTCCAGCTGTCATATGAGGCAAAGGTAGTCATTCACCACCAGCAGGAGAGCTTCAAGAATCTCAGTGCCTCAGAAAACAGCCCTGAATTCCCAATTCGCAGAAACAGGAGTAAATATTTTCCTTAAACCTAACTATTCATGCATCAAGTCCCAATAGATAAACACTGAGTTTTCTCACAACCTTCAGGAATAAATCTATCTACCGAAAAATGGAATCTTGCCCATGGTAGCCCCATAGTAAGGTTTCTAGGATATACACTGTCAAATAACACCAACAGAACTCCAATAAGAAGAGCAGATCACCATGTACCAGTTACCAACCCATTTTGTTTTCTGTCTATATTCCTATAGCACCTTGCTCTGAAGCTCCAGCTACACGATTCCAACAATCGTGCAACTCCGGAAATATACATATTAATTAACTCTCAAAGAACAAGTACGAAATATGATTGAAAAGCATACTTTGAAACTGTACTTGCAACAGAAATGATTTGCAGAAACCTAGGTCTGTTAAAAGATGTGCCCAATTAACTTGACTGTACAAAAAACTTCACTTTCCTTCAAAGCACAAGTATTCCAATTTACTCTGACTTCAGATATTCTTTGGGCTATACTTGTTTTTCTCATACATAACAAAAAGGACAAGCACAACCGTTTTAATCCAGCCTCAAATTTACACAGTTTTTTCTGTCCCCTCTCCCCCAAGAATCAAAGTATATTCAAATATACTTTCATATAAGATCCAAAAAAGTTAAAAAAAAAAAAAAAAAAAAAGCTTGTGAAGAGTTAAAAGGGTTTAATAGTTCCATGGAATAAGTTAGTGTTCAGTATATGCCAAGGCACGTGCTTACATGTGGTTCTTTCTCAACATCCACGTTGAAATTGATGAATGCAAATGCTATCAACAACTTCAACAATTTTTTCAACAAGGGGCAGAACCTCCCTATGACTGTATTCTGCCGTATCTGGAAAGCAAAATAGGTATCCAGAGCTGTGGCATTGTCAGGTGTTGGAGCAAAATGACTTCATGTATGGTTTGACTGCATTATGCAACTAAACTTACAAATGTTACAATCGCCTTCCACTAAAGGACAGGATTGATTGTATTGCACATTGTTCTTCTTCTTTTAATTTGTAACATCAATATATGTTTTACTTTTTCCTCTCTAGCTACGAGAAGAAAGGATTTTAGTAACATTTTTTCTTATTCACTAGCCATTTCTGACTGGAAACAGAGTTTGTTATTTGGAGTGTTGGTAGTTTAATTTGGATCTTATGTCTCCATTGTATTGAATAGGTGTATCCTTGAGTCATTGTCTTTTAAATTGATTGTATAGGGTTCTAATCTCCATTATTAATGGCAAATAAAGACTTAGTGAAAGCCATTCCTGCTTACTAAGCAAGGAGACTACAGCTACATGTATGTGCCAGGACTAGATAAATCAGAATTATTTTTATTTTTCAAGCGTCATATCAGGGCAACAAAGTCCTACATGAAAGGCTTTCCCTCACTCTCTCCACCAAGACTGTCAGAAAAATGGAGCTGAAATAGCTAATGCTGCTATTAAGAGGGTTGCAGCATCAAGAGGTGAGCAGAGGGAACTTCAAAAGCTGGAGCAGCTGTGGGCCTAGAAGCATTTGCTAGAAAACCCGGGCTCCAAGTCTCATTTTCTCTCCTTTGAAGAGTTATAATTAGGGGAAAAAATCAAGCATGTTTGATAAGACCTCTACCAAAGAAAATTATGGGAGGCAAAGATGAAAAGGAACATGTCCTGATTGTGCTGTTATTTAAAATCCCCAAACAGTAAGAATATCATTGTAATCACTGATGCTGGAAAGGTTCATCAGAGATGATTCCTGGGGGTAATTGACCGAACTTGGAGGCTGACATGGACCAAGTGTATGCTCTTCCCAAAGGAAAATGGACCAGGTACTTATGGGAGATTACATTCCAAATTTAAAGAAACAAAGTTCAAAAGTAGCTGAAGATAAGCTTGGTGTCAAATAATCTAAACAATTACAGTTTTTGTACTAGGAGATTAATACAGTAATACCAGAGTTTGTGAAATCTTTAATCTCTGAAGTCTAACAGTGTTAGTTATGTGTGCTCTACTTTTTCCTAAAATCATTTTGCCACCCCAAATGTCACTTGGTAGATTACTCTAGAAATAAGTCAGTTTAATGCCCCAAATCCCCCAGAAAACAAGAAAACAAAAAGGTAAGTATTGAATAAATAAAAGCAAATATGCAGTCAACAATTACCACACGCCCCTGTGGAGACAACCATTACTATATTGAACCTGGTCCTACACAAAATTCATAAAGTATAATATACTTTCAAATAATTACATACATCATTTTTAAAGAAGTTCTTGATTGAAAACCATTTTTGTATGTATGATACTTAATCCTTATCTTCTGTTGCAGCCAATAATATCTTTGAAGGGCAACTTGTAGAGACATAAATTGATTTGATTTGATCCAATATCTGTCCAAAAAAATCTTAAATACAAAATAAGCTTTAAAAGTGCTATTAAATTAGGGTATTTTTCCCAATAAATAGACAGAAAATTACAAATAATTAAATCACAAATTTTCTGATTTATTTCATGTTTTTTTTTTTCGAGTTTGACAAGGAGTATTTGAGAAATACTGCAGCCTTACTGAAAATAGCCTGAAGTTAAAAGCTGTTTCAAGATAAAACAAGGTGTTTTGGGTTAAATATATGTTTTCAAAATACTCTTGTGTTGAAAAATGCCCAATCCTATTAGACTGCGGTGCCTTGCTAGATAAATGTGTATTAATTGTTTGACTGTCAAATATGCTCTTTTGAAGAGTTGACTATATGAGCTAGAAAACAGAGCTTTCAGAAATCTTCCTTCTCCACAGGCCTGTGAGTTCTCTCATCACCAGCTTTTCTCATCATCCCCAGTGGCCTCATAGGCCACGCCCCCTTGGGATCCTTCAGATAAGGAAAGCAGCAGGCTAAGGAGCCATGCTCACAGAAAAACGTGACCTTATTTTTGCTCATTGGAAAGATATTATAGCACTTTCAACTCTAACACTAAGCCAAATTTAGACCTCCTTTTGCCACATGACTTTAAATTAGCATCCTGGATATAATACCTTCTTCTTCTGTTAGAAAAATATTTTAGTAGCTCATAGAAAATAATAATTTGAATTAAAGCAGTAGCAACAGAGAAGGAGAAAAATGGAAAGATAGAATATATATTTTGGTAATGGAAATCAACAGTACTTTTTGGATTGAAAGTCAAGAAGATGAGAAAGGGAGGAATTAAGAATGATTAGACTTCTGGCTTGAATGAATGCTTGGATGGTGGTGCTTATGGCACATATAGTGAAGATGAGGGGACAGGAGTGATTGAGTGGTGGGATGGATGATGAGAGTTCTGTTTGTATACATATTAATGATGAGGTTTCTGTTTGTATACATATTAATGATGAGGTTTCTGACACATTCAAATGATATGGCACATGTGTGGATACACATTCAAGTGTGTAGCCCAAAGGGAAAACAGAAACTTCATATGTGGTCAAGAAAAGCTACTTTCAACATGGAAAAGGGAAAGGATAGACCATGTTCTACTTTTGATGAGGTTTTTAAGGACAGGGGGAGAGACTGTCTAATCATCCAGAGTGACAGGCAAAGGACACAGCTGCTCAGCATTTGAGAAGATCATAGGAAGAAGTTAGACCAAGTGGAACACATCCTGTACTGTGTCACAGGAAAGAAGATGGATACATGTGCAGGGAGGACTGATTGTAAGATTGAATGATGGTGATGACAGTTTCTTTTTACTCAGTACATGGTACAAAGTGGGTAGGGATATGAAGATTTGGGAATAGAGAATAAACTATGAAATAATCACACCAAAGTGGAAAAATAAGCTTACCAGGAAATCACAGAATTGCCATGCAATGTTGACCGACTTTTGAACTTGAATTTGAAGTAAAGCCAATTTGATTAGGGATGGCAGAGACATAGTGAACAGGTGAGTTTACTTGTGACACAAACATTTTAATAAATGTGTTCACGAGCAAATAGGCAATTATGAAGTCCCATCTTCTGAATTTATTTATGTCATCATTTGCAGTGTTCCATATTTCCTATAATGTGTGTGTTTCCATTCATCTACTATGACTGTTTCATTAAGGTAATTATTAGCTGATTAACTTATGAATTTATGAAGCTCATATAACATAATCGGTGTTAGGGTTACAAGAAAATATATGGTTCTCAGTAAATATATGTTGATATGCTGTGCACAGAACTTAAAAATTTTAATCATTTTGGTTCATCTGGGAAAGGTCACTTAAAACTTTAGGAATCAAATTTTGACTCTTTAAAAACATAATAACTAATAAGGATTCTATACGTACATACAAAGTCAAATGCCTGCTACATTAACTCTGTTTAAATACTAATGTTCTGCTACTTGATTGATACCTTATTTTACATGTTATGTCAGTTACATTATCAATCTGAATTTTATAGCATATTTATGCTAGTACAAATTTTAAACAAATATCTGAGATCAGGACTTTTCCCCCTTTTCTTTTAAGAAGTAACTAATATCTGCTCCTATTTCTAAATCAGACATTGGATGATTCTCTTCCATCATGCAGACTGCATGGAAAAGCCTTGAATTAATAGTAAGAATTCTTTGCTATTGAATTCTAAACACATAAATAAAGTTAGGATGTAAAGTCTTTTGTTTAATCAAAGTTAAAGGTAGAAATATCACACTGAATAACCTTGCTCTTCAGAAAAGTATGTCTCTCACATTCTGATAATAAATGAAGATCAAGAAAAACAAATCTGATTTCTGCAAACCAAAGCCAGAAATGTACTATGAGGATGAGGAAAAGGGTTATTTCTGACTTGATTTGGGAGTTTTAGAAATCTCAAGCCAACTAACTTGCAGGAAACCCCACACTTTCTAATGAGTGCCTTTGATCTACTAAGTGACATCTTTTTTTTTTTTTTTTTTTTTTAATCTTTGGAGTGATTTATTACACTGACACATAAGGAAGTCACCCTCTTTCTCCAGGTTGCCTCCTCACGTCTTCCCTATCAGGATCTCCTTCCACACTTAGTGCTCAGTGGAAGGTCCAGGTGGCTGAGGGTGGCGGTAGCTAGAGAGTAGTGATAGGGACAGGAGGCAGGGAAATTCTGGGCGGAAGAGGGCAGGTCCCCGGCAAAGGCTCCACCCTCAAACCTGGAACCGCAGCCTAAAGTGAGAACATTTAGCATTGCCTGTTTCACTGCTAGAATGTTGCGTTTTCCAAAACCACCCATGGCCCACCTTGCCCCCAATTCTGCGCATATAAAAACTCCAGGCTTCGCCTGCAGAGAAGAGGAGAAGCGGCGGGACCTCAGAGACTATGGATGGACCTTGGAGAGAAGCAGCTTGACTCCAGAGGGACAGCTTGACAGCGTTGCTTCATAGAGGAGTCTGGCCGTTCCCAGCCAGACTCTGGGGGAAGATTATCTTCCCACTCTATCCCCTTTCCAGCTCCCCTTTCATCAGCAATAAAATCATCTGTGTCACCACCCTTCAATTCATTCGTGCAACCTGATTTTTCTTGGACGCTGAACAAGAGCTCAGGTGCCACGGGTGCAGATACTAAAGGCTGTCACACTGATTCTCTGCCCTCGCTGGTGGAGAGCAACCGCCTCATGCAAAAAGGCAGAGGGCCCACTGAGGTGTTTTACACTTAAGCTGTCCATGGATGGCAAAGCTAAAAGAGCACTGTCACACACGCCCTCTGGGGCTTCCGGGCTCGCAGGTGCTCCCCCTAGCCGCACAGAGTTTTGCTCCTGCCAGTGCCCAAAAGCACTTGCCCTGGCTCCTGCACCCACTCACCCATGCTCCCCCCTCCTGCAAGGGGTTGAACGCAATGGGACAGAGTGAGTGGAGTCTTCTGCCGGCATCCAAGTGGCTGGCTACTTCTAGCACCTGTGCACTCCAGTTCCCACCTGCCAAGGGGTCAGGGAAATTTTCCTGCTTCAGTAGGAATATGAACACCGAGCCCTATCAAAAGGGTACATGAGTTGTTTTACTTTAGAAATAGATGAAAAACATGTAGATTTCACTAACTATTTTTGACTACTTGCAGAAATTGAAAGTTAAAAATATGCTCAGCATTTTAGAGGTTTTGCATTGCAATGAAGATACGTGAAGGTAGGTGCATACTGCTGGCCCTCATGGCTTTAAGCAAAGTAGATACAAGATAAGCATACTTAAAAACAAACAACCTGAAGCAGATTAACAATATTTGGCCGTGCAGAAGAGAGTGTGGGAAGCATTACCATGAGACTGTAATTTCGTAGCTTTTATCTGACCAGATAGACAGCTCTGCTGGTTGAAAATTTGGTGCTCATAAGTCCACAAACCAACCTTACCCTGCCTAGGTCTTTGAAGTAGAGCATTGCTCATGTTTTGCAGATTATGTTTTTATCACTGTTAAAACTCAGGTTAAGTCCCAAATCCTTTGACCAATAATAATGTATTCTAATTATTAAGCACCTATACCAGGTACCCTGCAAAGTGTTTCCCAGTCATTGCTATTACTTTTTGAAACTAATCTGAAATAGAGTTATCATCATCTATTAGAAATGAGACAAATAACTTTCAAGGAGAATGAGTAACTAGCCTAATATCATATGGTTAGTGAGCTGCAACTTAAATCTGGATCTATGGTACCCCATTATCACTCTTCTCAGACCCCATAACCCCTTCTTCATAGGGAGATGAGGATGACATAAATTTGTTTATCTGAAGAGATTCTGCTAGGGAAAAGCAAGAAATGTGACTATTAAGCTCTTTGTTCTTGCCATCTAAACTCTTCTCAGGGCCCTGTAGAAAGTTAATGGCTATTCCATGGGAAACCAAGAATATATTTGTGGCAGGCAATTTGTTGCCTATTTAGTAGCTACTTCTTATCTTCTATGAGAACTTAAAATCCTGTTGGTCTAAGCATGGTAACCCCATTTCTCTTTACTGTGATTGATTTAAGGACGGGCATGTGACAGAGTTCTGGCCAACAGGATTTCAGGAACAGAGAAGTTGCTTTGGGGAAGGATTCTGCTTCCTAATAAACGAAGGTGCTGGCAAAGATATTGACATCTAGCTTCCTTGAACGTGGGAGAATGTGACGTTTGGAGCTGCATCAATCATCTTGTGACCTTAAAGAGACAAGCCTGAGGATAAGAAGACATGGAGGAGGGCAGAGCGAAGGCCAGGAGGAAGCCTGGATCCTGACCATACGGCTGAGCTACAGATCAGTTTCTAAGGCCAGACTTCTGGCTATGTTAGGGATTGATTGAGTTATCACCCAAACCAGGATCCTTTTCAGAATGGAAGTGGGTACTATCAGAAATAGCACAAATACAAACATGGCACAGTGGGACATGTGGTCAGCCCTATGTGAGGTCTCGGAGTGTTATTATTGCTGTCACAAATATTCTACTACTTGCAACCCAAATCAGTCCTAGCTTATATATATATAATATATAAATTATATATTTTAATTATCTATTTATAGCATACATATGGCTAAAATATGTATAATAAATATGCAATAAAATGTATATAATAACATAAATGCATTTATACATGTATATGTATGTGTGTGTATATGTGTGTGTGTATATGTGTATATATATATATGCCAGAAAGCAAACAGATAAGACTTTCTGTTTGCTTTCCTAACTCATTTTCCCTTCTCTCACTCTCCCATTTACCATCGCTTGTCATCTCACATACACACACGAAACTATGCTGTTTCTTCTCTTCGCCTTTGAAAAGAATTTGAGTTGGCCAAACTTTGAGTTGGTTCTTCTGCCTGCTACATTTTTCTCATTCTCTTCGCTCTTAATTCTTAAGTCATTTCTCTCCCCAGAAGACATTACTGATGCATCCCTTCCTTAAGAATTCTTCTAGTCACGGTATAGCCCTTCTCACATTGCTACATTTATTTTCCCTCTTCTTACATCATATTTTGTAGTTACCTGTTTTTCTGACTCTCTTTACCACCAGTCTATAAACTCACTAAGGACAGGGAGCAGGGAGCTTGTATTCCCCAAATCCTAGCCCAGTATTGTCTTACATCATGCACTCACTAATTATATTCCTAATTAAATCGTTAATGATTAAATGACCAGAACATAATTATAAAGGAGTGATTGTACAAATTGTTCTTTCTTATGCTCAAGAATGAAACATAAACATTGAGAGGAAACAAGATAACACACAAAATTTATATGAAAAACAAGGCTACACATATCTTCAGAGGAGTGGTACAAATCATAAATATCATGGGAAATGAGAGAAAGGGAATACCTTCAGAGAGTGGTCAATTACAAAGTTTTAAAACAATTAAGTAAAGATGGGCAGGAGGACTTCGCAAACAAGAGGCATGAGTTTTTGTGAGTGGTAGTGTGGAAGCAGGTCACTCAGGACACAGAAAACTAGGAGAGAGCCAGGTTTGCTTGACAGGTGAGTGGGGTAAGTATATAAACTTTAAGAAATAAACATAATTTTAAAATATATTCATTAGAAAGTTATTGAGTATCTCAAATATGCCAGGCACTTTTGTAGGAATGGTGGTACAGCAATGAATAAAGACAGGGAGAGAGAGAGGGAAACAGAGCCCCTATTCTCTATATTGTAGTGGGGCAGTAAATATAACTAAATCACATGGTCTGAAAAAAGTGAAAAGTGCTACAGAGAACAGCAGGATAGGGGAGATGAGGAGAGCTTTTAGGTAGGGACATAGCATGACATTTTAAGTAGGACAGAAAGCAACATTGGAGCACAGATTTGAAAAGGTGGAGGACAGAGTCACATATAGAGTACATTAGGCTGAGGAAATAATAGAATGTGCAAAGGCCCTGAGGCAGGAGCACAGCTGCCACATTTCCATTATAACAAGAAGGTCAGAGCAGTTCAGTGGATGGATGTAGAGAGAATGGTAGGAGATGAAGGCAGAAAAGTAATGAGAGGAAGACTGAGGCTTTGTGGGCCATTTTAAGGACTAAAACTTTCATCTTGAAATCATGTTAATAAGGGACAATAAGAAAAAGAAAGGAAAATTAGCACTGAGTACCTGCTATGTGTCTAAGCTCTACTAGGGTCTTTAAGTCACAAAGATGTTAGAATACAGAAACTGTACAAAAGAACCACACAATGGAGTTGAAAAGATAAGTATCCTCATGTAAGGAAATTGGAACTACAGATTTTCTACTTATATGTTACCAGCAAACCTCTCATCTTTTTATTCAAGTGGCATTTATGCATGACTTTCAAATATAGTATTAATATAAGAGGAGACGTCCTGATGAATGTGATGACCTGAGACCCAGGTATGACCAAAGTGCCTATTTACCTCTTCAGTGAAAGAGGAACATTATCTATAAAGTGAATAATAATAAACATTGACTTACAGAATGACAGTAGATAATGAAGTGCCAATTATGTGCTATGATCAGTGTAAAACACTTAGAGAAGCAAAAGAAGGAGTAAAGAAGAGTCACAGAGAAGGCGTTCGAAAGGAGGTGAATTTTTCCAGGGATCCATTGAAGGATGACCCTGCCGTGGACAGAATATCAGATAAGGAGATACTCATGAGCAATAGCTAAATGAGGTGTGTAATCTTCAAGGGTCTTTGTTGAATGAGAAGGGGCTGGGCAAAACAGAGAAGTGGTTGGTAGAGCCACACCAACAGGGAGAGTGCATTGAATTTTATACTGATGTTAGAGCTAGAAGGACAGAAAGTGAGATGGCTCACTTTGGCAGTTAGTATTAATTTCGTTTCAAGTAACAAAAACCAACCTGGCTTAGTCAACAAATAGATTTGCTTTAATTACATTACTAAAGAGTTCTAAGGAACATGTTCCAGGAATGGCTATTGTCAAGTCACCAAGAAAGCTAAGATTCCATCTCTGTCACTAGATTCTGCCTTCTTTCATGCTGGCTTCATTCTTGGTCCAGGGACCCTCCCATTGGGCAAAACCAACAGCATCAATCTGACATATTATCAAATCAGTAAGGTTATGGAAAGGGAGCCCGTTTTTTGCCCCTTGCCAATTGTTTACTCAGAAATCTAATGATTAACTTTAATTGGACCAATGATAAAGCGTCTCTAGCCCTAATCACCACGTGGCCAGGACAGAATCAAACCCTAAAATCCAGGTCAGCTGAGTAGCAAGACCAGCAAGACCAGAACCTGTCCCTCACCTCCAGGTCTGAAATTGGACTGATAAGGAGCAAAATATGAAGTGCTCTTACCCAACATTGCCCATCAAATAAATGACTTTTCTGAATTTTCAAATGGCTATTACACACCATTCCAAACAAATTACTTTATGAACCTTTTAACTTTCTTAGTAACTCATTCTGCACATCCTTCCTGTATAGTTTTTTTTTTTAAATAAAATTATAACAGCATAGGACTAAATTTTCTTTTCAAGTATAGTAATAAATGTTAAATACAATGGCCTTGGTAGCTATAGAAACATACCATCAAGGGGCAGAAGAAAGAGTAATGTTTCATCTCCTGAATTATTTAAAAGGTGGATTTTATCAAGTTTCATGCTGCCATGTTTTTAATTATATCTTTATGAACTCAACCTATCTTTTGCAAGCTCATCAGTAAAGTTCTACTAAGCTCCCCTGGCTTACCAAGTTCAAAGCTACACTCCAGGTCGATTTTGTTTAAAGTCTACTGACAGCATGCAGTGGGGAAACATTAAGTACCACTTAAATCTGTTATTGAATACCTCATCAGGAATATACTGGAAGAATCCTCTAACTCTGACCTCATTGGGATCCATTACAAACTCCCCTTTGGCAGCACCTCCACACAGGTGCCTAGCTGTAAGATTTTAAAAAATCTTTGGTATGAAAGTAGAAAGCAAGCTTCAAGGAACTTCAAGGGGACTTCTAGGACAGAATGCTGCTATGAAATGCTATTAATATTGGAGGACTGATATTTGATAAGAGGTCAGTTTTAGCAAAGATTTAAGTGCCAAAGTGGTAACTCCTCTAGATATGGTAAAGAAGAAATACTACAAGAAAAACTCTATATGGAATATTTAATGTTCATTAACAGATCCTAAGTAGGTTCCCCACTTTTAACAAGCATTCTAATACACTCAATTCTTTCCAGCAGAAGTTGTAACCAAAGACTCAAATAAGTTCCCTGTCCCATGCTGTGGTTAGGAGCTTGAGCTATGTTTATGTATATGCCTAGTCTTAAATTCCAGTTGAATCAGGGAACTTTGTTCAGCTCTCTAACTCTCACTTTTCTGATCAGCAAAATGGGATTAAAATAATGCCTAGCCTGAAGGGTGATTGCAAGCATTGAATGAGAAAATATAATTAAAACATACAGCACAGACCCTGATGTTTCTCAAGCTCTCACTAAATCAAAGTGACATTAAAGAAATGAGAAAACTACCCAAAGGATTAGAAATGGTTCTACCATAAAGACACATGCACACATATGTTTATTACAGCACTATTTACAAAGGCAAGGACTTGGAACCAATTCAAATGTCCATCAATGATAGACTGGATAAAGAAAAGGTGGTACACATACACCATGGGATACTATGCAGCCATAAAAAAGAATGAGTTCATGTCCTTTGCAGGGACATGGATGAAGCTGGAAACCATCATCCTCAGCAAGCTAACACAGGAACAGAAAACCAAACACCACATGTTCTCACTCATAAGTGGGAGTTGAATATGAGAACACATGGACACAGGGAGGGGGACATCACACACCAGGGCCTGTCAGGGGGTTGGGGGCAAGGGAAGGGAGAGCATTAGGACAAATACCTAATGCATGTGGGGCTTAAAATCTAGATGACAGATTGATAGGTGAAGCAAACCACCATGGCACACGTATACCTATGTAATAAACCTGCGCAATCAGCACATGTATCCCAGAACTTAAAGTAAAATAAAAGAAAAAAAAGAGAAATTTAAGACTGGAAATAGGTTCCAAGATTGTTATATATAAAATGTTTGCAGGTGACATTTCTTCCTTAGGAGATGTGTAGCTTACTAAATGACTTCTTGGGAGAAAGAGATTCTTGTCTCTTGGTACGTGCTGACTCAAACACAGCCAATGTAATATTTCTTCTTTATTAATGTCTCTGTTTCTTTCATTTCCCCTTCTGGATATTCAAGGATTATTTTATCTTAAGGCCTGCAAAATTTTAATTTTGATCACAACTATATACCATCTCTTATCATTTTAGTAGCTATTTTTACTCTGCAGGGAAACTGGAGCAACTTTCCTATTGGGAGGAGCATATTGGCAGTAACTAGTCTACAAATTACACTATAAAACATTATTTCCTGTGACGGCACTTGTGTGTGTAAAAGTATTGATTACCCTAAGTCAATCTATGTAACCCACATAAACAATACTGAAAACAGCAGGCAACAGGATAAGGAGCTATAGTGAATAAGGGAAAAGAAAAAAGTAGTTTCAAGATGGGCAGCTAAAAAAGAAATGGATTGATGTTTTATTTTATGCTAGTCTATTTATTTTATGCTAGTTTATTTTATGCTGTCTTTTTGAAAAATGTATAATCAATAGACCTTATGGGAGTCTTTTCAGGCTGGAGGTGTTAATATATACTTGCTCAATGTGCTTCAGACTTTTTCATCAGTACAATCCCAAAAAAACATTCACTCCATGGAGCCTGGAAGTACTGAAAAAGATGGATGTAACAATATATGGTACTTTCTTACTGAATCATCACTTTGTTTAGGAGTATCAATGTGCTTCTCATGTACTCCAGCTTTTTGGATAATATTTTATATGGGGAACCAACACTGCTTATATTATCAAGAAATTAAAGAGTTATTATGGACTATAGTGGTTTATGTCCATTATGTTTCTTACAAAGAGATATTGGGCCATTGTTATTATCAGAAAAAGAAAATATCAATTGTGATAAATACATGTAAATTATAAATCATTGATAATAATTTTAAGACTTAATACATAGATATATCTTGTGATGATGCTGTTAACAAAGTAATACCTAGCATATTTCACATTCTGGAGCCTGAGGACTTATAGACATGGGAAAGCAACTCATACCAAATTGTTTCACACGTGTGAAAATTCTGCTAGCTGAAAGCAATAGCTTCACAATCAGACAGAAGAAACAACACCCCAACATAAAACTTCTGGCCTGGAATTACTCTGTAAACCAAATTCAGCTTGTCACTATGGTCTCGTTCACAAACAGGTCTTTCCCCTAAATGGTTGATACTCAGAGGCCAGCATTTGAAATCTGCTACATGCTTTTGGCTCACACCCAAGCACACTCTTTCATCAATAGGCAGAATTCATTCCAATGAATTTTCCACATCCAAGTAAAATAAAGGTGAGAAAATACAAAAAGGCCAAGGATTGAAAGAAAAGAAACGCTATCCCAGAGAATAGTTTCATAATTATAATCGCTCGCTTTAATCACTGTGATTGTTTAATATATTATGAACACAGAGCTATACAGAAAATAATTGTCTTATCAGTCACCATCTCTTTGTTACAACCAGTGCTCATTTGGGATTTAGCATCAGATAGCTCCATTCCCCACACCTCCCTCACATATCAAGTGGCCTTAATTATGTGGGCAGTCAGACTCTCTCTGGAGACAAAGATGGGGATGACTAAACATCAGGTAAGAGGAGACATGCTCGCTCCTTCCTTCTTTGTTTCTGCTCAATCCCCTGTAGCTAAAGCCGCATATGTAGCTTTCCCCATCTTTGAACACTTTAAATGTGAAACGAGTAATTTAGCTGAAAAATTTCAGTTATTTTTTTTGCATGCTTCATATGCTGGGTTAAAACCATTAGCATATAACAAAAATCTGAGCAGATGCAATGCAACAGATTCCTTAAGGGAATCCATATTTTTACATATTTTGTAATAAGGAAACTGTCACTCCCAGATGGTATCGAGCTAATACTGGTGGTTTGCTTGCTGATAACATACTAAAAAATAAAATTAATTGTATTCTATTTGATGACAATGAAGTCATTATCATATATACCGCACTCTTAAAGGAAACAGATCCAAAAGATCCTCTTCCTAAATGATTAGCTTTATTTAGTTTCTTGGCCTGGCCAGGAAAAAAATAAATAAATAAATAAATAAATAAATAAATAAAAGGCAACCAAAAAAACCCTCTAACTTGGATCTCAGAGTTGGAATTCCCTTGCACCTGGCACCAAAATGCACTATGGTTTATAAATGTGGTGAAGTAGGAAAAAAAAATGCTATCTTGAATTGCTAACAATATTAGAGAGAAGCCTGGTGCTGTAAATACAACACATCAGACATTTCCAATTCTACCTCCAAAAAGAGATATGTGAACTGTTCAGATCATTCTTTGCTAGTTCATGTTTAAGCCATCTTTCACATTTCAAGTCCTGATCAGTAGCCTTGGCCAATGATTGCAAGTCATGCTTACCTGGAAATAAGACTTGGAATTAGAACCTGATATTGGTCCAGATTTTGGTATATTTGCGCAACTACTTTTCATAATGAAGCAGCATATTTTCTTGATGTGTCTTTTTACCTGTGATGAGTGTTAAATGGTTCCTTTCATATGTAACTTCATTATTCAGGACTTATAATAATTATACAATAACATTTATCTCTACTTAGCATTCTCCTGTATTAGCCATAGCTTTCCATTAATAGATACTACCTGGGAAGTCATTTTTATAGGTAATATGCTTTTAACTTTTATTACAGGATACATTCTTTTATCTAAAAACAAACAAAAGAGAAAAGAAAACCCAAATGACTCTACACCCTGATATCTATCTATCTATCTATGGATTTTTGTGACCTAAATTATTAGATTATGCTAGGATATTTTTGTTGGTGATGAGATAACATTATAACATTATTTACTTAAGATATTGGCTATGGGATTATTTTTCATGTCTGAATTTATTCCTTGTACAATGGCATAAAGAATGTGTTTCCCTTATTGGACTGGACTCAATCATAGCATAATGTAGAAAAATAACCAAAGAAAATGTGACTGATTCTTTAGAAGGTTTAAAAGCTTAGAAGTCAACTGAAGAGTTCTCCAGAGAGCAAAATAAAAAAAATTAAAAATCTATGAGCAGCACAAAGTATATGAATAATAGAAGAGATTTATATACATTAAATCTATATATCATAAATGTTTCAACAGAAAGGCTATATCTAACACTGGATCAATTTTTAAAAAAAAAATCAGAGGTTACTTAGTTAATAAAGAGCTGTTTAACTTGTCACAAGCTAAATTGCCTACGATGATAATGGCTGTATAAAACATCCATAGGTCTGTATGGCATATATGCATATTCAAATTTATTGAAAAATTATTTGTGGTAACACATATAGCTATGTTCTTTTTATTACATAGCTGTTAGATGATGTCTCTTAAACAAGATTCTCTGAATGAGTAATACTTGACATTATGTACACTAACTTTGTCTGTAAAATATTTGGCCATGGCTACTCTATGGTAGAAGAGTGACAGGGAAAAGTTGCAGATATGTAAAGACGAGAGAGACCTTAGAGGTCATCACTTGAACTTTTCCTTTTACAGATGAGAAACTCAAGACTCAACAACATGTTGGAACAAGGAGGGTCTAAAGATTTAATTAAAATTGTGGAAATTTATAAATGTGATTTTCAATAGTGAAAAGCAAACGTCTGATAAGACATGACTCATGAAGCAACAAATCTGCAACAAGATCAAATGCTGTTTTTAAAGTTTCAATTGAATTTGATCTGCCTAACTCATAGAAAGGTGACTCTTTCAGAGAAATGATGACTTTAAGGTAATTTCTCTCCATTTCAGGGCTACTAGAAGACTTTTTGTTTTGTTTTGTCAAAACCACTACCAGACTCAAGAGGCAAACTGGAAGTAGATAAAATAGAAATAGAGCAACAAGACGTGTGTGTGTGTGTGTGTGTGTGTGTGTGTGTGTGTGTGTGTGTGTATCCCCATAACATAAAATTATATCTGGAATTTTTTGTGATATTACAAAGATTCAGATTACACTCTAAAATCTTCTATTGTCTTTGTCCTCTACCTCAGGTCTCAAGGTATAATATACAAACTAATTCAAATTTAAAAGCAGAGGCAGTGTGATATAATGGAATGGCCCTTGATTCTAATCCCAAATTAGATTTTGGGTTTGAGTTTTAGATCAGCTTTAATAGGCAAGACTCTCAATGTCCACCAGCCTCAGTTTTTTCAGCTGTAAAGTGAAGATAAAAATATCTGCTTTGCTTACCTTCCTTGGGCCATTGGAGTGTCTCCAATGAAATAATGTATGTGAAAGTGATGAGGAACTATTCACATTCTACAGATATGTTAGGGCTTATGAAAATTGCTAGGAGATTGGTCTGATGAGAGGGCTTTGGGTCCATGCAAACAACATGAAATTGCAGCCAGGACGCAGAAGGCAGTCCCTTCTCCTCAGCCATGGGAAGCAGCTGCTCACACTCTCCAGTTTGGAATGCACAGGCTTAGGAAGCAAGATTTTAACAGACTGTTTGGCACTGAGTAGAATTCTCCCAAAGACCTGGCAGGGGAGTTAGTTTAAGTAATAGTATGTCAACTACTCATCAAGACAAATACTAATGGAAGGTTTCCACAAATTAGGTTTTGCTTGTGTAATGGTAGGAAGACAACAAGTGTGTCTTCTGAATTTAATTTACAGGTCTGCTGTGCCTTTCAGAAGCACAAAGATCATGCCTCCTCTTTTCTGAGTCCGTGCACCTGTACACAGACCTGAAAATCTCCTTCAACCCTTAAGGCATTTTGCTCAGGTAGGACCCTATTAAAAGCAAAAAAAAAAAAAAAAAAAAAAAAAATCACAAAAACACTCAAATGTCATTCCACATCATAATCAAATCAAATTCAAAGTGTTACATTCCAGTGTCACATTTGATGTTTATTCATTTTTATTTTGTGAGACAGCACCTTGCTATGCTGTCCAGGCTGGGCTTCTACTCCTGGGCTCTAATGATCCACCTGCCTCAGCCTCCTGAGTTTCTGGAAATACAATGATACCCTTGTTTAGGCACATTATTTCATATTTGTATTCATTTCTATTCATCTTTAAATCCCTCAGGACCTCCCCATGGCAATTAGTAGGCACATAAAATGCATTAAATAAAACTACAAGTAACTAAATTCATTTTTTTACATAGTAAATATTCAGTACCCTTAATGGATCAGGCACAGGATGAGTTCAGGAAGAACCCATCTTACATTTAATAATTGTATTAATTGTGTAAAGACTGAGATTCAAATGTACCTTCAATGTAATATTTCAGTTCATCTTTTGCAAAGCCTCAGCTTCTTGTGGAAAAGTAATTTTCAAGAACAGCCAGTGTATTGCAAAAAAAAAGAGGAGGGCGGGATGTTACGATTCTGGACTTGCTATTACAAAACCTGAGAATATAGCGTGGTAACCTAGCTCAGCAGGGAAACACCTGTTCTGTCACCCAGAAGGAAAACATACCTCTTTTAACTCACAATCCATATACATTCCTGGGGAGAGGGAGGAGGGGGAAGACTTGGCTCACAGTGATCAAATGGAGCCTATTGAATACCTCCACCATCTAGTAATTGTTCTTGTCTAGGCACTTATGCTTAAATAGAATTTTAGGACCCTAAATAGGTGGATGATATGTGTGGTAATGTTTTTGTGAGAGGAAGTATCAATGTTATTTATAAAATCAGCTGAGTGCCTTAGAGGTTTGACCATATATACTTCATGCTAAAAAAACTTAATTTGGAAAGGAAATTTCTTGTACCTACCAGTGAATTACACAATTTATCTAAATAAAAGCATCTTATGAATCTTTGGTTCAGCAATGTAGAGTTGGCATTGAAAAGTTTCCATGAGAATTTGCCAAGAACCTATAAATAAACATTAAACACGAGATGTCTTATGTAACCACAATCCTCAGGGCAGATTCCTTTTAAATATAAGTGCACAGCTGGAGTTCAACAGATACCACATCTTAAGAGGGTTTTGCCATAACTTGTAAGTTTAAAAAATTAACTACTTACTTTTATAAATCTTTCTGCTAGTAGATACATTTCTGTGTACAACCCATAGACTAGTTAAAAGTTTCAGATTTAGACAGGAACATGACTTAGGAAGAGAGCTCACAGATTCAAAACAATTCAGTGCTTCTGTATACTTCTTTATATGTTTCAGAGTAATTTCGTATGCATTATCACAAGCCAGTTTTCACAATAAACCTTCAAGTCGGGAGTTTCCACAAGAAGTTTAGGCTTTGCAAAGGATGTGCTGGGAAGTTACACAGAGAGTACATTTGAATCTCAGTCTTTACACAACTAATACATTTATTAAATGGAAGGTGGATTCTTCTGAATTCATCCCATTCCTGATACATTAAGAGCACTGAATATTTACATTTTTGTTCCCAGATAATAAACCTACAGCAGTAAATGGACAGATACTTGTGTCAGGTCAGATGTAGTCTTTTGGCTTTAAAATTACTGCTTTCTTAAAATACCATAGTGCTAAGCTATGCCCATGTGAACAGAGGTTTGGATTAAAAAGATCTGTCTCCTTAACTGCTCTGATATTCTGGCACTCCCCTTTAATTCTGACAATTCAAACATGACTAGTATTCTCAATTTGGAGTTTAGTTTTTCCTTTTGTGGAAGCAGATTAGCTTGACTTGTGAGTCTTTAAAAATTGTTATTAACATATGTAATATTTACTAGAAAGACATCATCACTAGCAGTTTCAGGAAGTAGAGGACGTGCTCATCCTGACTCTGCTGCTGAATCCACAACACAGACAGAGTCCTCAGCACTTAACGGTGAACAGTCAATAAACTGTTCTGAAAGAAAGGATGGGAGACTGAATACTGTACATGTTCAAAGCTCAGTGTGGAAAGGACAGTCCTCTGAGCCATCGAGTTTGCTCCTTCAAATCTTGAAGCTTTTCTTCCCTGCTTATTTACAACATTGGCACTGATTCAAGATGGTTTATCAATAAATAATTTGCATTTATCTTATTTGTCTACAGTTGACCAACTGTGTAAATCTTCTCCTCATTGGATGTTTTACTTTTGAGTGGTGATAATTCATTCTCATCAGCCTTCTGATTCTTCTAATGTTTTACAGCTACCCACATATGTGGAAAAAGACACAAGGTACTTTAGTAGACTGAACTATCCCTGATGAGTTTCCCAGGTCACATTCAAAGTAGCACATTACTTTCACTAGCCATATCCTAGTTTCTCACACTGAAATGTGAATTGCAAAAAGTGAAACACTGGGAAGGAATATTATCATCGTTTTATTCTTCAGGAGTCAATGCTGCTGCTTTAAAGGAGTGCACTATTTGAAGCACCATTTTATCATTATGAGGTTACATGTTACTTGGCTGCCTTTTAAAGATGCATTTTTAATAAATCTATTGCTTTGATTTGTGTTTCTGTTAATCACAAGATGCAATCCATTTTTCTAAGAATAATGCTAAAGTATCCTTTGTATCACCCCCGATCCACCTCTCCTCAACCACCAATCACCACTGTTCCCTCAAGAGAAGAAACCACTGTCACCAATGCAGTCTGTGTATCCTTCAAGCCTTTTGCTATTGGTATGTAATCATAGAAATGAACTGAAACAAATATGTATTATTGTTTTGTGTGTGGGTTTTATCTTTAATTTTTTTTAGCTTAAAAATGACTTGGTGATTTTGTCTGTGATAGTACCTATGGTGCAGCCTCCTTCTTCATAACATTTAATGGTATGAACATGCCGTCTATGCCATATAACCTACTGCTACTGATAAACATTGACCTTGATATAAGTTCTTCTCATTATTACCAATAATGCTGCAAGGAATGCTCATGGACATCATCTTTAAGGCTGTCAATTTAGCAAATAAAATATTGTATAGGACTTATTTATAATACAAAATTATTATTTATCTGAAATCTACATTTAATTGGCACTCCATTCTTTATCTAGAGAACCTACTCCTTATGCAGATGAATGAGTGTACTGTATAGTATATAGAGAGGAACTGAATGGCTAGGAAGAAGAGACTGGGTACTTTTTCCTTAATTTTGAAAGTTTTTGCCTTTTGTCTGCCTAGATTGTAACACCAATGTAAACTTTGTTGTACTTTTCCAAGCCTCATGAGTTGAATGCTAATTAAATTTATTTTAATTGGATGTTAGTGATATATATTACTAATATTATATATAACACATACATATCAAAAAAGCATGCACATTCTAAGTGGACAACTTGATTACCGTTCACAAACTAAACGCACCTGCGTAACCAACAAGCAGATGAAAAACTGGACTCTTGCCAAAATTCCACCTGATTTCCTATTTCAATCACTAACAACCATCCACTCCCCACCCCATCACACGCACACACCAAAGGGCAACCAGTATATTGACTTTCTAACAGCTTAGATGACTTTGATGGCTTTGTTCTTTGTGTACATGGAATCATACCATATGTAATCTTATGTGTCTGTCTTTTTTTCTGCTCAACATTTTGTTCATGAGAGTCACTGATATGCATAGTTTTCAATAACTCCTTTTATCATTTCTGTACAGTATTCATCTAACTTTGATCTTTCTGTTTTTGTAAAAAAGACATACAAAATCCTATAACTTTTCTTAAGTACTACTTTGGTCCCTTTCCACTAGCCTGTGTCAGGTAATGTTCTCATTTTTTTTTTTCTAAATCAATTCTAAATTATGTTTAAGTGGTGTCTTTAATCCATTAATTATTTAGAATTGAATTTTTTAAGTATTCATTCTAGATCATCTTTTTTTCTTTTTGTCAATAGATATCTAATTTTTATTGGTGGATTGTTCCTTTCATCCATTCAAAATATTACTACTGTACCCTTTAGATATCTTGAATTTTAATTTTTTCAGAGGCAAATATCATTAGTCGTTTTATGCTATTTTGCTTTTTTTGTATGTGTTTTCTTTTGCCTTACATTGTTTAGATGTATAAAGAATAGTTGTTTGGTGTATAGCTGGATTTTATTACTCAATTTCTGTTTCTACACAGGTGAATTTAGCTCATTCTCTCAATTAAAAAACACTAATTAGGAAATATTTTATTTCTATTTTAGCAGCCACTCAGAAAGTTAAGAAACAAATATATTTTTCACAAATTTTATAGTTAATCTAGACAAATTTTTTCCATCAATCAAGACTGTCCGCCCAATTATATATACTGAATTCGTACTTCTACTCACTCTACCCTATTGCTGCTCTCTGTCTTTTCATGCTAGATTATTACCTCTTTCCCCAAAATCAACATTTATTTATACTTAGAGTTCTTCAATATTCAATGCTTCAAAAATCATATCTTCT
Source organism: Homo sapiens (assembly GCF_000001405.40). NCBI lineage: Eukaryota > Metazoa > Chordata > Mammalia > Primates > Hominidae > Homo > Homo sapiens. The sequence continues at coordinate 97,464,862 of NC_000015.10, forward strand.
TCTGAGTTCCATTTAACATCTTATTGATTATATCTTCCAGTACTTCTTTCAGACAGGGTCTATAGATATATTGCTTATGAATGTCCATATCCCTGGTATTATTTTATTTTACTATGCACTCATATTTGATAAATATCTTGGCAGGACATAGAATAATAAGTTCCAAGTTAGGTTTATTAAGGACTCTGATAATATTTATCCATTCTTTTCTTGCATTTAGTGATTTAATTGCTGATTAAAGTCTAATGTCGAGAGAATTCTTGTTCACTTTAAGACACTTTGATTACCTTTGCATGTTGTTTTTCTGAATTTTTTTTAATTTATCTTCTCCTCCTTCTTGATTAGTGTTCTAAAATTGCATCTAAATGTATTCAGGTCCATGAACATTTTTGTTTGTTTAGAATCAAATTGTTTTTTCGTTCTGCTTGATACTAGATGTCTGTTCTCAAACTTGGGATTCATGTATTATTTCTGTTCTGGATCAACTTTTCTATCATTATTTTACCATTCCCTTACTTTAATTTTCTCTAGATTCCCTTTCTCCAATTCCTATGAGATAGATGTCAGAAATAGGAACTGTCCCCCATAACTCTTGTATTTTGTATTTTGCATCTTTTTAAAAGTTTTGCTTGCTGCTTCTTAGAATTACTTTAGCTCCATCTTGTAACTATACATTAACCCTGAAATTAATTGCCCTTTATATCAATGTTTACATTTTAATCTCTAAAATCTATTGTTGTGCTTTCCTTTTTTTTTTTTTTTTTTTTTTGTGAGATGGAGTTTCGTTCTTTTTGTCCAGGCTGGAATGCAATGGCACCATCTTGGCTCACTGCAACCTCTGCCTCTTGGGTTTAAGTGATTCTCTTGCCTCAGCCTCCCAAGTAGCTGGGATTACAGGCACGCCCCACCACACCTGGCTAATTTTGTATTTTTAGTAGAGACGGGGTTTCTCCATGTTGGCAGGCTGGTTTTGAACTCCCGACCTCAGGTGATCCACTCACCTTAGCCTCCCAAAGTGCTGGGATTACAGGCGTGAGCCACCGCACCCAGCCTATTGTTGTGCTTTTATAGGTACCAATATCATCTCATATGTCTTGATGCATTAGTACTCTAAGAGTTATTTCCTCTGCTTTCGACAACTCTGCTCTTTTATTGCCAGTTCTACCAGTTGTCAATCTCCTTCTCTTTCCTGCATTTGTGATTTAAAACAAAATAAAACAAAACAAATCTTTGATCTTCTGTTTTATTCTTTTTTCCCCGTTTTTGAAGGTGGTGTGTAAGCAGCGCAGACCTTGCTGCACTATTTCATTGCAAATTAATGATTCTGGTTCTATGATAACTCTATCACTGTTTGATGATCGTATAGTTTCAAGAACTAAGACCTGGTATGTAAAATATCCACATTTGAATGATTATCCTATCCACTAAATAGATTCCACGTTTTCACTTTTCAAAAATAATGTTAAAGATGTTCTTCCTCATCTGTAACTGTCATTTTTCTTGCTGCAATTTAAAGTCTTTTATTCTTATTGGGATTGGATACGAACAGTCTTTTCCCATTTTTGAATTAGAAGTCCTTTGACAGGGCCAGGCACCATGGCTCACGCCTGTAATCCCAGCACTTTGGGAGGCCGAGACAGGTGGATCACCTGAGGTCAGGAGTTGCAGACCAGCCTGACCAACATATTTCAACACTGTCTCTACTAAATATACAAAAATCAGCCGGCATGTTGGCAGGCACCTATAATCCCAGCTACTTGGGAGGCTGAGACAGAAGAATCACTTGAACACAGGAGACGGAGGTTGCAGTGGACTGAGATCGCGCCATTGCACTCCAGTCTGGGCAACAAGAGTGAAACTCTGTCAAAGAAAGAAAGGAAAGGAAGGGAAGGGAAGGGAAGAGGAGGGCAGGGGAGGAGAGGGGGGGAGAAGAAAGAAAGAGAGAGAGGGAGAGAGAAAGAGAAAGAAAGAAAGAAAGAGAGAGAGAAAGAAAGAAAGAAAGGAAGGAAGAAAAGAAAGAAAGAGAGAAAGAGTGAAAGAAAGAAAGGAAAGAGAGAGAGAGAAAGAAAGAAAGAAAGAAAGAAAGAAAGAAAGAAAGAAAGAAAGAAAGAAAAAGAAAGGGAGAGATCCTTGACAATGATGTTTTGAGATATGTCTCCTGAAGCTCTTGGTAAAGATACCTATTCCCAGACTGATCCCCCAGTGATTTTCATATGAGTAGTCCAGAGAGAATATGTTTATTAACAGGTGTTCCAGGCAAATCTTATAATCTGGCAAAGATGGAGTAAGCAGTACCTCTAGAAAAAGGATAAAAATCCACAGAACCCAAAGTCTCCCTCTGGGAGGGGGCGGACAATTGTCACCGGTTTGTGATGAGATTAAATTGAAGTTTCATCTCAGGTAAAATTCTAGACCCTTGTCAGGAAAACACTCAAACATCTGTTGAATGTGATATTTTAATCTGCAATTGTTGACATTGATTGTGCTTTGTGGCATTTGTTATTCAAAATCATTTTTCTGACACTTGACAGAGGAGGTGCCTTACTAAACTACTTCCACCTGCTAAGATGGGTTGCATTTTGAGCAGGGTTAACTGAGGTGCACCATTTGGAAATAGTTTGCCAAAAAAAAAATGCCTCAATTCTCTTGAGGAGGCAGCCTGTGTGCCTTGTGGTTTCTGAGTGCATCAAGGCTTAAACTTGAGCTCTGCATCAATCAACTAGGAATTAAGAAAGAAGACTAGAAAACAGTTTTGATAATCCAAACAATTTTTGAATGTTGAAGAGTTTTGTTGCCATTTGTTATTAGCAGCACACTAGTCCTAGTATGGAATCTTGTGACATATTGTGCAGTATTCTGTCATTCTCAGAGGCTGATTTCTTTGACTTCATAGCAAGCACTAATAGCTCATTTTGGCTAAAGCTGATAATGATGATGCAAAAATGGCTTGAGTCAATGTCCTTGAATACACCTGAGGTAGGAAGTTTGCTCCCCACAGCTTATTCTCATCAAGATGGGAGACAGACAAATGTCAAACAGTTTGAAGGTTTAATTTCTTTAAAGCGAGAGTCAAAACTTGATATATTCTATGCAGGTTATTTATTTATTCATTTATGTATCTGCAGGAGGGGGATGGGCAGGAAAGGGGTAGAGAAGATATGTAAATTCCCTGGATATGCATGCTGGCAATGGAAATATTCTGCTTATGCCATGTTGTGTGCAGCACATTTATTTATTTAGCATTAATTAAACTAAATTTCTAAGTGATTGAATATGGGTAACTATCTGTTAACTTTGGCTTGTGTAATATTTTCCATATTTTCTTTGTTTTATTGAAACAAAGAAAAAAGGGAGTAGTTATAAGCGAAGAGAAAATGCTAGTTTTAAAGAAAAAACATGTTTGATTAAAACTAACTTTAGTTTGCATACAAGTTTGTTCTCTCCCCAGTGACATTGTCTTTATAACCTCTGCTTATGCAGATGAGATGTGAAAACTGCAGAATGGTCCTTCAGATAACTCTGAGGCCCTGAACATAGAATTTCAGGAACAAAACTGTTGAACATTACACACACACACACACACACTCACACAAACACAGAGTCTATGTTGCCGATAAATGAAAGCTTATTAATATCATTATATTGATAATTAATAATTTTAATACATTTTAAATTAAACATGTTGATAATGAAATATTACTGAATATAGTAAGAAATGTGAGTATTAGCTAACAAACAATAAAAAAATTCAAATGTAATCATTGGTATCATGCCGGTATACTTCTTAACAGTGTATTTCCTATGCATGTTTCTGTTTGTTAGAATTATCTTCTTACAAATATTAGAAAACTCAACACTAACTGGCAATTACCTAGGCACCCCCACTCCAAGAGTAATAAGGGTTGATTCAGAACACAGCATAACCAAAACCTAGCGGACGTCTCCTGTCTCTCACTGACTTCCTTAGGAAAGTCTGAATTTTCACATCCCTTCCTGGATAAGTCAACATGGCCACCCACTCCAAAAAGCTTCCCATATTTAGGATAACTTTACAGTACCAAAATATTCGTATCTAAGTAATGTTTAGAGAAGACTTCTTTTGGAGTTGGAAAGAAAAAACAGATATAAATTCTGCTCGTGAGTAAGACATGTCTTCTCTCAGTTGACTCTTCCTTATTGCTGATAGCATTCAATAAGACCAAGAGCCACAATCATCTCAATTAACTGGTTTTTAAATTTTAGTTGTCACATCAAGATACTCGTTGGCAGGAGGGATCTTGTATTTATGGCAGCATTTGTTCCTCATCTTCTTTCAAAAGTAGTCATAATAAACGGATAATGATGATGATAAAGAACAGTTAATCATTTTTAAGTAGTTTTAAGTTTTAAATAGTTTTTTCTCTGCCTGTAAAAGCAGGAGAACACTGAGCCTTCCAACAACTGAGGGCTCTGGACTCTGAAATTCAACCTCATGTGCGTTAGTTTTTTGAATCACAAATGGGGATGAAATAGCCTGGCCAGAGCTGTAGTGGAGGATGAAACATATAACACAGTAAATATGTAAGTGCACTTGCACCAAGTGCCATAAAAATTTATGAAACCACTTTGAGTGACACTCAGACCACATATACTAATCTTAAATATAAAGCTTTTTTTAAAAAAAATTATAGGTAGCCACTTTTCAATATGAAACATTTAAGTCATTAAGTTTCTACAAAACTCCGTTGAAATTCATTACAAATGACAAAACATTATTTCCACTGGGAACCCTGGCTTGCTGCTGGTCTTTCTGGATTCATGAGAAAGGACTCAATCACGATGTAAGTTTATGTTGCCTTTCTAGAGCACAGCACAACTTGGTGTGATGGGAAGAATGCCAGGACAGAAGTCATAAGCCAGAGCCACCTGTATGATTGGGAACTATTACGAAACGTCTCTGAATAATGGGAGGGCGATACTATTGGATCACTTAGATCTTTTCTTCTGTTAGGGTTTTATTATTGTGTACAAGCACCAAATTTGGTCAAGATGAGAGGAAATTTTTAAAGACCAAAAAGGCAGATGGGACATATTGATCATTGGCTGGCAGTAGAGACCTCATTTCAACAAAGAGAATCTAAGTTTGGAAAATAAAAAATAAATTAAAAAATCATAGCACTTACCATTTGGAAATTTACATCATTGTGGCCAAGACCCAGAAGTCAAACTACTTTGCCCAAGAAACAAATTTACACCTAAATAATTGACCAGAATTAAGCATCTAATGCAAATAAAAATCATGCCATTAAGGGAGCAATTACATGAGCTCTTTTGTCAATGGTAGCCTATTATAACTTTCTCAGTCGAATAATTTACAGGGAGGTTGTTGAATTTCATTCAGCATTCAGGCTTATTGTTATGCCCATTTCTAATCAAATACATTTGAACCGAAGCCACCAGGTGATTCTTCATAAACAGCAATTAAATATTAAAGTTAAACTTTGAAGGAAATTGTGATTACAATATCCTTCACCCCTATTTAATTTCCAGCAGAGTGGTACATTTTTAAAATCTTTCTCATACTCATTATTACCATTGCTATTAATATTATTGCTCTTAGGAAACATTATTAAACACTCACTGAGTGCTATGCACCTTTCTAAGCACTGTACCTCATTTAATCTTCACAATAGCATTCAGTAGTAGATGCAATTACTAGGCTCCTTCCACAGTGCAGGAAACTGACAATTAAGGAGTTTAGATAACATACTCCAAAACCACAGAGTCATTAAACTGCTCAAGAAGAAGTCAAACCTAGTCTTGATTGACATCAGACTTGGGTTTATATTTCCAAGCTTTGAAAGTGGAAAGGAAGCAATTTAAGCTTCACTATATACCAACAATTTTGCTTCCAGTATCATTTTTAGGATAAAAATTATGTAATGCTAAGTAAAGTTTAGAGAAAGAAAACAAAGTATCAACAACTCATCAAACAGTAGAAAGACTGTTTTTACCTTTGTGTAAGCCCTAAGTCTTTATTAATGTACATGTAAGTTTATATAATTATACTGCCCATACTATTTATATATTCGTTTTCTCCTATCTTAGTGTTACATCATAAACATTTGTGTGACAACATAGTTGTAATAGTTATTATTTTTAAAAGATAAGTGTATTAAAGAATTCATGGAAACATTTTTGGTGGACATTTGATAACAAATATAGGTTTAATATAAAATATACAGAAATTTTAATTGAGTTTATTTTCACAGGTTAATGTGTAAAAGCTCTGTGAACTATTTTAATCCATAATCTTATATTATTTTCATAAAACAATGGGTAATAAAAATCAATTTAAGAACCATCACAATAATTATTTTCTATTTTAATATTTGATTGATAAGCATTTCTAAAACTTGCATTTTAAGTTGATTTTTTAAAACAGGATAATAGCCTCCAACCAATGGGAAAATATAGTTATTTGACAGACAATTCATCTATCAAATAATGGTTTATATGGATGGTTTATAAGGATGAGAGTTTAGCAAGAGAAGCCAATAACTTAGAAAGTACCAAAATTCAAAAACTTACTTTATTGTGATCAAAGTGAACTCAGCTGTGTATACAAAAGTGAGATCACTGGGTGGGAGAATTTTACTCATGAATATTATCAGCATTGCTAAAGTGTAAGAATGTTTTGTTTTATAAACTTATTGGAAGTATAATTTGCATATAGTAAGATATACCCATTCTGAACATGCAATTCAATTTTTGATGAATATATACTTTTGTATAGTTACCATGCAATCAAGATATATGTTTCCATTATCCTGAAACTTTCTCTTTTCCCCAACATACTGAAGCCCAGCTAACACTGATCTGGTGCCTGACTCTATGAATTAGATTTTCTTTTCACTGCAGTATCACGTAATTGTAATTATAGTCTGTACTTGTCATATGTCCACTAAAGTGTGTCAAGCGGTGCCCAGATTAAATATTATTAAGGGCTGAGTCCATGAGGTTGTTTCTGGATCACATCAGTATTTGAATCAGTGGACTCAATAAAGTAGATTGCTTTCTCTTGGGTAGGTGGGCATCCTTCAAGTGTTTGAGCACCTGAATAGGACAAAAAGTCATAGGAAGGAAGAAAGCACTAGTTTTGCTGTCTGCCTGCCTGTTTGAGTTAGGACATAACTCTTCTACAATTCCTTGGACCAAGATTTTACACAATGGGCACCTGTGGTCCTCAGGACTTTGGATTCAGACTAGAATTACATGACTGGCATTTCTGGGTCACCAGATTGCCGACTGAAAATAATGGCACTTGTATCCAAGTACTAACCAGGCCAGACCCTGCTTAGCTTCCAAAATCAGACAAGATCTGTTGCTTTCAGGGTGATTAGGCTGTAGATCATGATACTTCTTAACCTCCCTAATAACATGAACCAAATGCTTATTATAAAATTATTCATATAATATATATCTCCTATTGGTTTCATTTATCTGGAGAATCATGACTAATATGGCACTCTTTTGCATCCAGGCTTTTTTTTTCTCAGTATAATATATTTGAGTTTCCCCCATGATGTTGTATATATTAATATTTATTTCTTTTTATTACTAAATAATACTCTATTTTATGAATGTACCTGTATTCCCCCATTGATGGACACTTTGGTTGCTTTCAGTACTGCAGTACTATGAATAAGGCTGCTGTGAATATTGATGTTCAAGTCTTCATGTAGTTGCACATTTTCTTTCTCTTGCATAAATAGCAAGGAGTGAAATTGCTGTACCATGTAATACATTTATGTTGAACTTTAGAAAAACACTGCCAAATTGTTTGCTAAAGTGGGTTTAGCATTTTACATATCCAAGAGAAATGCATAAGAGTTTCAGCTGCTCCACATCCTCACCAACGCTTGATAATGTCAGTCTTTTTAATTTTAGCTATTTTAGTATGTATGTAATGGTATCTCATTATGGTTTTACTTTGCATTACTCTGGTGTTTAACAATAATGAGCATCTTTCCATGTCTTTATTAGCAGTTAATACATCTTCTTTTATAAAGTGTCTGTTCAATGTTTTGCTAATTTTTATTGAATTGTCTGTATTTGTATTATTTAGTTGTAAGTGTTACATATTCTGAAAACATGTATCTCATATATATATATTTTTTTCTTCCAGTCTATGGTTCATGTTTTTATTTCTTTAATTATATATTTCATAGAGCAGGTATTTTTAATTTGAAAGAAGTGTAATATCTTTTTTAATAGTTTATATTTATTCATGTCTTAAGAATCATTTGCCTATCCCAAGATCTTAAATATTTTTCCTAAGTTTTTAAAAAAATTTTATATTTTAGCATTTGCCTTTAGATCCAAGATTCATTTAGCAGTCATTTTTTAAATGATGTAAGGAGAGGATCAAAGTTAAATTTTCTTTCATATGGCTATCCAGTAGTTCTAGCACCATTTGTTTAAAAAGACTATGCTTTCCCCCATTGAATTACTCTTGGTTTCTTTGATAAAAAAAAATTGGTCACATATTTGAACCTGTTTCTAAATTCCTTTATTTCCCATTGATCTCTATGTCTACTATCATGCCATTACCATGCCTTAGAAGATTGCTTGGCAAATAGTAGCTGTATGACATATATTGATTGATGCAACAAATGAAACTTAATAGATGAATTAATTTATGTATACTTAAAATGGTAAGATCTAGAGGTTCACTCAGCCCCACTGGTCTGAGGTATTAAGGTAAACAATTTCATAATTGGCCCCTAAATCCATTGGATTAATACCTTCCAGCCATTGAGTGGCAGGACCTTATTCTTTCACTAGTTTCTAAAGAAATTTCCAAGAAAGGGGAGGAATACATGTGTGCCACTGCCTGTAGTTCTACCTCCCCTCTGTTCTAGCTGATGTCATATGCTTCTACTGCTATGAATTGCTCATAAATACCCTGGGAGTGCCTGCCTTCTCTTAACCTTTGATATTCCCAGTCCATCTATGTTTACCTCTGCTCTTCCCTGTCACCTTTGTTATGCCTGTCTGTAGATAACATGATCCTATATCTAGAAAATCCCACAGTCTCGGCCAAAAAGCTCTTTCAGCTGATAAACAACTTCAGCAAAGTCTCAGGGTACAAAAATCAATGTACAAAAATTGCTAGCATTTCTATATACCAACAGTGGTCAAGCTGAGAGCCAAATCAGGAATGCAATCCCATTTATAATTGCCATGAACAGAATAAAATACCTAGGAATACAGCTAACCATGAAGGCAAAAGATCTCTACAAGGAGAACTAAAAAACACTGCTCAAAGAAATAAGAGATGAAACAAAAATGGAAAAACATTACATGCCTATGGATAGGATGAATCGATATTGTTAAAATGCCCATACTGTCCAAAGCAATTCAGATTCAATGCTATTTCTATCAAACTACCGATGACATTCTTCACAGAACTAAAAAAAAAAAATTAAAAATTCATATGAAATCAAAAAAGAGCCTGAGTAGCTAAGGCAATCCTAAGCAAAAAGAATAAAGCTGGAGGCATCATGCTCCCTGACTTCAGACTATACTACAGGGCTACAGTAACCAAAACAGTATGGTACTAGTAAAAAACAAACAACAACAAAAACAAAACAAAAAAAAAAACAACGAAACCAGACACATAGACCACTGGAACAGAACAGAGAGCCCAGACATAAGGCCATACACCTACAACTACCTGATCTTCAACAAAGTTGACAAAAGCAAGCCATGGGGAAAGACCCCTTATTCAATAAATGGTGATGGGAAAACTAGCTAGCCATATGAAGAAGACTATAACTGGACCCCTTCCTTATACTATATACAAAAATCAACTCAAGATGGATTAAAGACTTAAATCTAAAATCCCAAACTATAAAAACCTTGGAAAACAACCTAGGCAATACCATTCAGGACATAGGAAAAGGCAAAGATTTCATGACCAAGATGCCAAAAGCAATTGCGACAAAAGTAAAAATGGACAAACAGGTTCTAATTAAAATGAAGAGCTACTGCACAGCAAAAGAAACTATCAACAGAGTAAACAGGCAACCTACAGAATGGGAGAAAATGTTTACAAACTATGCATCTGACAAAGGCCTAATATCCAGTATCTATAAGGAACTTAAACAAATTTGCAAGAAAAAAAAAACCATTAAAAAGTGAGCAAAAGGCACAGATACTTTTCAAAAGACCTTTCTTTGTATTTTATGTAAACCTTTATAGCTATAAATGTCCCTCTTACACTGTTTTCGCTATATCCCATAAGTTTTGGTGTATTCTGTTTTCATTTTCATTAATCCACCAGTATTTTCTAATTTCCTTATTATTTCTTTTTTGATCCATTGCTTAAGAGTATGCTATTCAATTTCCACAATTTTGTGAACCTTCCAACTTTACTTTTAACTTTATGTTATTAATTTTAAACTTTATCCCATTGTGGTTGGAGAAGATATTTAGTATATATTTGTCTTTTAATTCTGTTGAGACTTAATTTGTAACCAAACATATGGTCTATCCTGGAGAGTGCCCTGTGTGTCCTTGAGAAGAAGGTGTGTACACTTGGTAGTAAGTAGAATGTTCTGTATATATTTGTTAAATCTAATTGGTATATTGTACTCCATAAGTCTCCACCCCCTAGGCCATGAACTAGTACTGGTCCCTGGCCTGTTAGGAACTGGGCTGCATAGCAGGAGATGAGCAGCCAGCAAGCAAGTGAAGCTTCATCTGTATTTACAGCCATTCCTTATCACTTGCCTGAGCTCTGCCTCCTGTCAGATCAGTGGTAGCATGAGATTCTCATAGGAGTGCAAACTCTATTTTGAACTGTGCATGCAAGGGGTCTAGGCTGTATGCTCCTTATGAAAATTTAATGCCTGATGATCTATCATTGTTTCCCATCACTCCTAGATGGGACCACCTAGTTGCAGAAAAACAAGCTCAGGGTTGCCACTGATTCTACATTATGATGAGTTGTATAATTATTTCATTATATATCACTATGTAATGATAATAGAAATAAAGTGCACAATAAATATAATGCACTTGAATCATGCCAAAACCATCCCCACTGCCCATAAGTCTATGGAAATATTGTCTTTCATGAAACCAGTCCCTTATTCCAAAAAGGTTGGGGACTGCTGCTCTATTCATTACTTGTTCTCTGTCTGGATATAATATCCATTATTAATAATGGAGTATGAAAGTTTGCAATTATTATTGTAGAACTTCCCATTTTTCTCCTCAGTTCTGTCAGTTTTTGCGTAGTGTATTTTGGTGGTCTGTCATTATTTGTGTAAACATCAGTAACTCTTATAGTTTCTTGTACTGAAACTTTATTAATACTGTATATAAGTGCTTTCTCTCTTGTAATCTATTTTTGATTTAATGTCCATTTTGTATGATATTAGCATAGCCACCCATGGTCCCTTTTGGCTATAATTACCATGCAATATTTTTTCACCCTTTTACTTTAAATCTATTTGTGTCTTTCGGATCTAAAATGAGTCTGTTGTAAGCAGAATATACTTGAACCACATTTTTTAGAACAGTTCTGTCAATCTTTTAATTAAAATTTTTAATCTATTTACATTAAAAGTAAGTATTGATATAGAGTGATTTACTTCTGTCATTTTCCTATTTGTTTCCTGTGAGTCTTATGGTTTCTTTGACCCTTATTTCCTGAATTAGTCTTCTTTTGTTTAGTTGATATTTTTAGTGAAACTTTCAATTTTCTTTCTTATTTCCTTTTGTATAAATGCTATAGCTGTTTTCTTTTTCATTACCATAAGAATGACATCTAATATCCTAAAATTAAAATACTCTGATTTAAATTTATATCAGCTTAATGTCAATAATGTAGGAAATTTCAGCTTCTTTATTGCTTCTTCTCAACCCCTTTTGGTTGTTGGTGTCACAAATTACATTTTTTTAAATTCTGTGTCCCCAAACATAAACTAACAATATTTGACATATATAATATTCTTCTCATAAATTATATAATACCCAAAATGTAGAGTTTCAAACCAAATTAAACATAAAAACTAGTTTTTAGACTAATATTTGTAATGTACAAGTTTCTAAATCATGTAAACAACAAAAAGTACAATTAAAAACCATTTTTGCAAAAATACTAGTTTTTATAATTGTCTATGTATTTATTATATGGCTTAGAGTTACTGTGTTGTGTGTTTGTCATTTCATCCTGCAGGACTCCCTCGAGTGTTTTTTGCAGGGTAGGTTTAGTGGGAACAAACTTCTTCAGTTTCTATTTGTCTGAGAATATCCTAATTTCTCTCACTTTTGAAAGACAGTTTTGCTTTATATTGGATTCTTGGTTGATAGTCCTTTTTTTTCTTTCAGAACTTTGAATATATTGGCTCATCGACTCTAACTTTCAAAGTTTCCAATGAGAAATCTGCTGATATTCTTGAGGATCATTTACATGTAAAGATTCACTTCACTCTGGCTGCTTGGAAGATTTGTTCTCTGTCCTTTGTTTTTAACAGTTTGATTATGATATGTCTCAGTTTGTGTTCATCCTACTTATTGCCCATTGAACTTCCTGGATGTTGATAAAATAGTCCCCTCTTATTCTTGGAGGATACATTCAAAGGGCCCCAGTAAATGCCTGAAACCATGGATACTACTGAACCCTATATATACTATGCTGTGCTTTTTTCTATACATACATACCTACAAAAATTTAATCTACAAATTAGGCACAGTAAGAGATAAACAATAATAACTAATAATAAACTAGGACAATTATAACAATATACTGTAAGAAACTACAATTATTACAATGTACTGTAATAAAATTATATGAACATTCTCTTTCTCAAAATATCTTATCGTTTGTACTCACCTATTTTTGGTTTATGATTGAGTGCAGGTATCTGAAACTATGGAAAGTGAAACCACAAATGGGTGGATTACTGTATTCGTGTCTTCCATCAAATTTCAGGACATTTATTTTCAGCTATTATTTCTTTACACAAACATTTGCTCTTTACTTATAAGGAGTCAGCACATAGGAACTGAATGATCTCCAGCAACAATCTCTTCCCAGCTCAGTTTTCTTTATTTTTTAAAAATCTCAGTAGGGAGTGGCTGATTAATGGGTAAGGTATTTATTTTGGGGGTGCTAAAAGGTTTTGGAACTAAACACAGGTGAGAGTTGCCTAACATTTTAAATGTAGTGATTGACACTAAATTGCATACTTTAAAATGGTAAATTTTATGTATGTGAATTTTGCCTCATTCAAAAGAAATTAAAAATAAATAAATAACATTAAGTTAAATTGAATAATACAAGCAAAAGTACTTTTACCTGTTGATTTCCTTAGGTTCTTTATAGATTCTGAATATTAGACCTTTGTTGGATGCATAGTTTTTCTCTGGTTTATGTATTTACTTTCTTGATAGTTTCTTTTGCTGTGCAGAAGCTTTTTAGTTTAATTAGGTCTCACTTGACTATCTTCATTTTTGTTGCAATTGCTTTTGGAGACTCCTTTGAAATCTTTGCCAAGGCCTATGTCCACAATGGTATTTCTTAGGTTTTCTTATAGGATTTTTATAGTTTTATGTTTTCCATTTAAGTTTTTAATCCATCTTGAGTTGATTTTTTTTTATATGGTGAAAAACAGGGGTCCAGTTTCAATCTTCTGCATATGGCTAGCCAGTTTTTCTCAGCATCATTTATTCAATAGGGAGTCCTTTTACCATTGCTGGTTATTGTCAACTTTGTTGAACATCAGATGGCTGCAGGTATACAGCTTTATTTCTGGGTTTTCTATTCTGTTCCATTGGTCTGTGTGCCTGTTTTTGTATCAGTACCATGCTGTGTTGGTTACTATAGTCTTGTAGTATAGTTTAAAGATGGGTAGCATGATGCCTCTGCTTTTATTCTTTTTCCCTAGGATTGCTTAAGCCATTCAGGCACTTTTTTGGTTTTACATGGATTTTAGAATAGTTTTTTTTAATTGCAGAAAGTGACATTGGTATTTTGATAGGAATAGCATTGAATATATACATTTATTTGGGTAGTTTGGCCATCTTAACAATACTAACTCTTCATGTCCATGAGCATGGAATGTTTTTCCATTTGTGTCATCTCTGATTTCTTGCAGCAATGTTTTGTAATTCTCATTATAAAAATATTTCACTTCCTGGTTAAGTGTATTCCTAGGCATTTTATTTTTTGTCTGGCTAATGTGAATGGGATCGCATTCTTGATTTGGCTCTCATCTTGGACATTGTTGGTGTATAAAAATGCTATAGATTTTTGTACATTCATTTTGTATCCTGAAATTTTACTGAAGTTGTTTATCAGTTCTTTGAGACTTTGGGCAGAGACTATGATGTTTTCTAGGCATAGAATCATATCTTCCATGAAGAAAGATAGTTTGACTTCCTCCCTCCCTATTTGGATATCTTATATTTCTTTCTCTTGCCTGATTGCTCTGGCTAGGATGTCCAGTACTATGTTGAATAAGAATGGTGAGAATGGGCATCCTTGTCTTGTTCCATTTCTCAAGGGGAATGCTTCCAACTTTTGCCCATTTGTTATGATGTTAGCGAAAAAACAAACAACCCCATTTAAAAATGTGCAAAGGACATGAACAGACACTTCTCCAAAGAAAACTTACACATGATCAACAAGCATAGGAAAAAATGCTCAACATCACTAATCATTAGAGAAATGCAAATAAAAACAACAATGAGATACCACCTCAAACCAGTCAGAATGGCTATTATTAAAAAGTCAAGAAATAACAGATGTTGGCAAGGTTGTAGAGAAAAGGGAATGATTATACACTGCTGATGGGAACTTAAATTAGTTCAGCCACTATCGAAAGCTGTGCAGAGATTTTCTCAAAGAACTTAGAACTACCGCTGGACCCAGCAATCCCATTACTGGGTATATGCCCAAAGGAATATAAATTGGGTTAAGAACGCTTGTACGTGTATTTTCACTGCAGTACTATTCTCAATAGCAAAAACATAGAATCTACCTAGGTAGCCATCCACAGTGGACTGGATATAGAAAACGTGGTACATATAGACCATGGAATACTACACCACCCTGAAAAAGAAGTCATGTCTTTTGCAGCAACATGGATGCAGCTAGAGGCCATGATCCTAAGTCAATTAATGCAGGAACAGAAAAACCAAATATTGCATGTTCTCACTTAAAAGTGGGAACTAAACATTGGGTACTCATGGACACAAAGATGAGAATAACAGGCACTGGGGCCTACTTGAGTGGGGAGGGTAGAAGGAAGTAGAGGGTAGAGAAACTTCCTGTCAGTTACTATGCTCACTACCTGGGTGAAGAAAGCAATTGTACACCAAACCGCAGTGAGATATAGCTTACTTACGTAATAGTCTCGCACATTTACCCCCTAAACCTAAAATAAGAATTGAAATAAATGATTTTTAAACCAGTGGAAGTATCTCCACAATGTTGTTGCATTCATGCTTAAATCAGAGTTGATTTTTTTTAACTAGGTGTCACCTGATGGGAGAGCTGTGTCCTTCTCAGTATAAACATGTTTCTGCATATTCACAACCACACAAATACACACACACACACAACCACACAAATAGTACTACATAATGCTAAATTGAATAGCCTTGTGAGTGTTTGGTTTGTGTTTTGTTTTGTTTTGTTATGGCTGATGCATAGATTCTGAGAATTGGAATTACTGGGTCAAAAGGTAAATGCTCGTGGAATTTTGCTAGATGTTGCCAATGTTTCTTCACACAAGCTGAGTATTTTACATTTTCACAGTCAGGGTATGAGAGTGACTATTTACTCTCAGCCCCTTCAGCAGAGCGTATTCAAACTTTTTGATTTTTGCTAATCTGATGAGTCAAGAATATCTCAATTTAGTTTTAATATTCATTTAGTATGAACATATTTTTATATGGTTTAGGGCTATTTGCATTTCTTATTCTGTGAACTTTTTATTCATATTACTAGCCCATTCTTAGGGTAATTGGTCATTTATAGTTCCATTTATATATTTATAAATCATATACATTTAATATAATTCATATATATAACATACGAACACATATATACACACACACAGACACTACACACATATAATTTATGTATTAGTGAGGTGAACTCTGTCTGGGGTATAAATTGTAAATGTGTCATGTTTGGTATTCACTTTTCACTTTGCCGTGTGTGTGTGTGTTTATAGTAACCAAATTTATCAATCTTTCCTCATTGCTTTTGGATTTAAAGTTGCAGTTATAAAAATTTATCCCCCTTTCATGTTATAAAGAAATTCAACCATGTTTTCCTTTAGTACACTATTCACATAAAATTCACCCTAGCGTAAATTTTGAGATATTGATCTAATCCAAAAAGCTTTCTAGATACCCTAAGACATTTTGTGAAAATGTCCATCTTTCTCTACTTAATTTTGATGCCACATTTTATTTTGCAATAAATTTCTATATGTAATTAAGTTTCTGTCTCAATTTTCTATTCTCTTTCTTTGGTTGTATATTTATTAGTATAGCATTTCCATACTGCTTTAATTGTAAACCTCGCTTTATAGTATGTTTTGATGACTGTGAAGACTTGGCTTCCTTTCCATTTTTATCTTTTTGCTTTCCTATTCTTTAACACAAAATTTACAACAAATATATCACTAGAATAAAATTATGATTTTGAATTGAGATTGGCTTAAATTCCTAACTTTACCTTGGAAGAAATGACATCTTTCTGAATATCCTATCCAAAAACAGGCATTCAAATGTGCTTTTATATCTTTAAAGGAATTTTTGAAAATTTTCCCAATATACACTTTAGACATAAAAACAGACATACTTTAAATGAAAAGATCAAATTGAGAACTTTTCTAAGGTATAATAGCTCTGTTTATGGTGGTCTAAAATTGTAAAAGCCATTACAACTATTAGAATGTTAGCCCCATCATCCATATACACACAAAACAAACAAGCAGCATTATCTGTAATTTTACATTGTGAATGCAGTCTCTAAATTTTTTTTTCTCTTGTGATTACATGGGTCTTCAAACATTATTGGAACATAATTTAATAAACCCACTATGTGTATGTAATAGCCTTAGGTATCCAATGACTTTGTAAATTATTTAGTTGCTGAACAGCCTAAAATGTTTCCCTTTTGTGTAGCCAATTTTCAGGCTGTAAATCAATCAACCAATACAAGCAAACTTACTTTTAAACTTGATTTAACTGAAGAGAGATTGGGAAACACCTTAAAAACTCAGTATCTAATCAGTTGTAATGTAAACCAGCATTGGTTTATATGTTAGTATCATTAATTATCTTGTTTCAACAATAGCAAATTGGTTGGAGAATCATAGATCTTCATTTATAAGACAGAGTGATATAACAATATGATATGAAATAGCATGATTTATTGAACTTGGGAATTTCAGTAAAAGGCTGAATGGCTTTCAAATCCAGTAAGAACTGTCTCTTTGATTATCACTTTGATCTAGTGGGAAATGTCATTGTTTCCTGCCAAGAAAATATGTAATATAACTTCTGCAAAACCTCCACGACTTCCTGTCCATCACTGAGCTTTGTGAATCATTTAGTCCCACTCTCTCCTTGAAGATGTGTGCAAACTGGGATGTTTCCCAGTATTTCCCGACTGGCTGCCTTGTGATGCAAAATAAAGAAAGACTTAAACTTCACAATTGCCAATAATGAGCAATCATTACCCAAATTACTCCGAGCACTGATTAGGTTTAAAGTAATGAAGAAACCACCATAATCAATCATCATCAACCCTAAAAAAGTCAATCTGTGTGGGAGACCCTAGGAATTAGCAGAGGGCTCCACCTACAGGGTGCCAGGGGCAGGAGAATGTCAGGCCAGCTTCAGGTCTTGTCCTGCATGGTGTGCTTCTGAGGTTAAATGAATTCAGAGCCTCCTTTTTATTATTATTATTATTATTATTATTATTATTATTATTATATTTTTTGAGATGGAGTCTTGCTCTGTCGCCCAGGCTAGAGTGCAGTGGCGCAATCTCGGCTCACTGCAACCTCCAACTTCCAGGTAGGTTCACACCATTCTCCTGCCTCAGCCTCCCGAGTAGCTGGGACTACAGGCGCCTGCCACCACACCCGGCTAATTTTTTAATATTTTTAGGAGAGACAGGGTTTCACCGTGTTAGCCAGGATGGCCTCGATCTCCTGACCTCGTGATCCGCCCGCCTCGGCCTCCCCAAGTGTTGGGATTACAGGCGTGAGCCACCGCGCCCGGCCCAGAGTCTCCTTTTAAAGGAGACTCTTTACGAAAAAGTATTCAGGTTAGAAGAACAGCATGAACTGTAGTGTTCTCACACTTGCTATCCTTTAAAATAAAAAATAAGCCATAAGTATTAAGGCAATCATACACGTGTATATATATATATACGTATATATATACACGTGTATATATACATATACATATTATGTGTATATATATACGTGTATGTATATACGTACATATATACGTGTATATATATACGTGTATGTATATACCTACATATATACGTGTATATATATACGTACATATACGTATATATACCTACATATACGCGTATATATGCGTGTATATGTGCGTGTGTATGTATGCGTGTATATGTGCGTGTGTATGCGTGTATATGTGCGTGTGTATGCGTGTATATGTGTGTGTATGTATACGTGTATATGTGCGTGTGTATGTATATGTGTATATATATACATACATATACATGTGTATATATACGTACATATATGCATACATATACATGTATATATATACGTACATATATGTGTATATATGTACATATACGTATATATATACGTACATATACGTGTATATATACATATATGTATATATACACATACATATACGTGTATATACACACACACACACACACACGCATTGTAAAAACATGATAGGGAGATAGAGAGAGAGATAAAGAGACAGATAATAGAACTTCTAAGTATACTATAGGATGACCAATCACCTTGGTTTGCCTGGATTTGGGGTTTTCTGGGATAGTATGGAATTCTCCATTCTAAAAACAGTACAGTCTTGAGCAAGGCAGGTTGAGTTGGTTACTCTTCTATGTTATCAGCTTCCTAAAAGAGCAATGCCTTAAAATTCAATTTACATGAATGATAGCACATTGTGGGAGAGAGACTGAAATGTTGTGAGTAGGAAATTCTAAGGAAATCTAATTTGTCTTCCTTTACTGCAGGAGAGAACAACTTTTTGAGTGAGCACAACATTTTCTGGTGAGTACCTGTGCAATATTTTGTTATCACCAAGTGCTCAGGAAAAATGGCCAAGCCAAGAAATTCGTCATTACCATGTGATTTTAAGGTTTGCCACAATTGTCTACACATGGAGATTCCGCACAACTGAAAAAATTAGAATGGCATCTCCAAATATGAGTTCATTTCACAGGGCTCCCAAAATATTACATAAAAAGGAAATTAAAGTTACCAAGTGCACCTAAAAAATTTGGTGACCACACATGGATACACACACACCTACTGTTGGGGAAATCTTATATAATTTTGAATATAGGTATTTGTTGGTCTATATGAAGGTAACTGATTATATTCTGTCCAGTATATTCTACCAAGAGGATGTTATTCAAAAGAGAAAGCAACTGATTACCCAATATAAACATGTGTGTTTAGTTATGGTCTGATTTATAGTGCATAATGAAAATAAAATATAAATATATGCAATCGTTTCCCAGTTTGTGCAATATTAGATTTGTTAGAGAAGTGATAGAAAACCAGAGAGTTTCAAAACGATGGATTACATTTTTAAATATTCTTGAAAACATTCATGGAAGTTTAATGCTAATGGTACCCACTATTGAACTGCAATGTCATGGACTGCTGCTTAGAACTAGGTTCTCAGAGGCAATGACAGAACTAGTCTTTTCAATGAAAAGTTGCTATATTCTTCTTATTTAAAATGTGTGTGGACTGTCCATCTTTGACAACAATTATAAATTATTTCCATGGAAACCCAGGGATAGAAATAAATAGATGTCATCTCAGAATAGCAACAAAGGGGACTGCAGAGGAAGCTTCTTGTCAGTGGTTTGGTCAAGATATTGCATTGTAAACATTTTTAACCAAATTATCATGACTGTGACTCAGAGTGATCAGGTGATTAGAAAATAAGTTGTCAGAGAAGAGGTAAATTATCCTTTTGGTAAAATGAGAAATATCAAGGACAGGAAAGAAAATATAACTTATATGGGATTTGAGTAAAAGACCAGAAACTTAATTTGACTCCTAGAAGTAAATTAATAATAAAAATTAATATGACCCCTTGTCAAACTCAATGAACAGTCTGTGCAAAAGATGCTACTTAAGGCTTAGACCTGATGTCCACTTAAAGCAATCAGCAATAATATTTAGGCCAATTATGTTTGCTAATTTTGCTAATTTTGTTAACCTTGAGTTTCAGAATATTTCATTATTTTATGAATCCATTCAGTTGTATTTTCTCTTCTTAATTAAATATACCTAGTATTTACTGGGCAATAGCCAAATTATTGATCTGAAGTCCAATTATTTAAGATGTTTACCCCCAGAAGGGATTATTTAAAACTTCACAATATCTAGAGTAGCTATCCAGTCTCAGTGGTGCTATTGACATTGTTGTGTGTAACAAAACATTCTTTCTAAGGCATAAATTAATTATATTACAAATTTAGGGATTTAATTGAGTGTTAAGTAAGTAACCTAAATTACAATAGGATTGTATCTTTTAATAAATCTATGCTGAGGCTACCAAAAAGATAACACAGTTCAATAAAAACTGTGAATTTTCTAATTGCTTTTTTATTGATTGATTGTCTAGATTAATTGAATTCAAATAGTTGAATAACTGGGAATAATGAATTAGTGAGAAAAAAATGAAGTTACATTTAACACAAAGCCAAAGTCAAGATAACAACAATAGTAAACAATAATAATACTCTGACAATGGAACTAACCAAATGCTTATAATGCACTAGTTACTCTTCATAGTGCTTTGCACATATTAACTCATTTACTCTTCACAAAACCACTTAAGGGAAGTTACTAATATTATTCTCTGTGTTATAAGTGAAGATACTGAAAAATTTGGCCAAGATAAAAACAATAAATAATTCAAATGCAAACAACAGAATAGAATAATGTCTTGTGGATTATCTGAATCTGAGTTTTTGTTGATGAGCAGCAGTATCCCAGGTTGACCCACTTCTCCCATATTTCGGTGCCACTGATGAGTCATGTAGATCTTCCAGCACAAGCTCTTGTCTTCTTATGACACCACACAGAAGTGGTGATAAGGATGGTGTGAACCCGGGAGGCAGAGCTTGCAGTGAGCTGAGATTGCGCCACTGCACTCCAGCCTGGGTGACAGAGCGAGACTCCGTCTCAAAAAAAAAAAAAAAAAAGAAGTGGTGATAAGGCTGACTTTTCTGTTTAAAGTGGGGGTTACATCAATGATAGACTGGATAGAGAAAATATGGGACATATACACCATGAAATACTATGCAGTCATAAAAAAGGAACAAGGTTATGTCCTTTGCGGGGACATGGATGGAGTTGGAAGCCATTATCTTCAACAATCTAATGCAGGAACAGAAAACCAAACACCACATATTCTCACCTATGAGTGGGAGCTGATTGGTGAGAAAACATGGACACATCGGGGGAAAAACACATACTGGGCACCTGTAGGGGGCTAGGGGTAGGGAGAGCATCAGGAAGAATAGCCAATAGATTCTGGGCTTAATACCTGGGTGATGGCATGATCTGTGCGGTAAACCACTGTGGCACACGTTTACCTATGTAACAAACCTGCACACCCTGCACATGTACCCCTGAACTTAAAATAAAAGTTGGAACAAAACCATAGAAGAAATAAAGTAGGGACGGAAAATTTTGACAACACTAAGTCTTTTACCTTACTGGGGGCAGGCACAAGATGTTGATTGGCCCTTACAGACTGATAGTTAGCCAAATGCGTGGGAATCATAATGTGATGATAGCACGAGTGTAGGTTCGTTTGGGACAGGGATAGACTGGAACAGAAATAAAAATTATTTATGTATTGAATCTAGCCTCTAGTCGCTTTTTTTCTCTCAAATGCAATAAAAACTTACTAAATTCCACATCATCATATTTTGTCATTTCATTGAAATTTGATTGCAGTGTTATTATTTTAAAAAATTTGAATGAAATGAATAGTGCAGAATACATAAGAAAACAACAACAAAATAATAATTTCCAAGAATATGGAGGTATTCTCAAGAGGTCACCCTTTCTAGTACAGACACCACAAGGCCAAGATGTGCATAGATTTAATTCCTTCTCTCTGATTATTTTTTCCATTACACTATTGATGTGTTACAGTACTTGATGTTCTGTGTTACTAGCAATGAATATTAGTGGCACTTAGACCTGGTGTGTAATTCTGTATCTATATTAATTGCATCAATGTATGGTATAATAAATACTATTTTAAAAAGTGTTAGAGCTAACCTTTAGAACTTTTTTTACAAGTGAAGTTTCCAAAGAGAGGAAAAAAAATAAAAAGTAATTCAACTTCATTTAACAATCATAGAAAGTAAAATCATCTGCTGTAAAATATTTAAATATAAATTTCATATTTTGAAATGATCTTTTCAGAAATAATTTCAAAATCCACTTATATCTGTAGGAAAAAATAACAACAATTCTTCCCACCCCATCCCACCATAGAATAAAGTGCAGAGAACATGGACAGGCAATCTACAAAAATGGCTAAGAAAAACAAAAGTTGGTTTTGTACTATTAATGTAGGAAATAGATGTGAACTAAAGCAATAACAAGATAATAGTTTGAGGTTTTTTATTTGTTTTCTCTAACATTGCAAATAAAGACTATGATACTCAATGCCAATGATTAAAATTTCTTATATTTTATATATATATATATATATAGATAGATAATCTTATCTACTAATTCTAAGGATTAACCCTCATAGAAAGAATTATAAATGAGAACAAACTTTACCACAAATATATTTGATATGGTGTGTCTGTGTCCCTACCCAAGTCCTATCTCAAATTGTAGCTCCCATAATTCCCACATGTCATGGAGGGAACCAGTGAGAGGTAATTGAATCACGGGGGTGCGTCTTTCCTATGCTGTTCTCGTGATAGTGGATATAACGGAGAGTCCCTCTGCACTAGCTCGCTCTTGCCTGCTGCCACGTAAAACATCTTTTTGCTCCTCCTTTGTCTTCCACCATGATAGTGAGGCCTCCTCAGCCATGTGGAATTATGAGTCCATTAAACCTCTTTCCTTTATAAATTAAATTACCCAGTCTTAGATATGTCTTTATTAGCAGCATGAGAACAGACTAATGCAATATTCATTGTGGAATTATTTTAATAGTAAACAACTAGAAAAAAAAACACAAATTCCAGACAATAGTTAATGTTTTACAGGTAAATAAAATAATAATAAAACTATCATTTATTTACTAAATGATTGTTAGTTGTCTGGAAATTTGCCAAAGGGTTTACTTACATGACCTCAAACCTCCTAAAAAACCCTAGGAAGTAGATACTATGATATTCCTCATTTTGAAGATGAGGAAATGGAAGTTCAGAAAAATTACGTGACTTTCCTAACAAGCCTAGCAAATCCTGGCTGGTTCAGGATTCAAACCAGACACATCTTATTCCAGAGCCTGCATGCTTACCATTGCACTGTACTGCCTCCATGTAATGGACCAGTAAGTGTAACTAATCAAAATTATATTTCTAAATTGCTTTTAACAACCTGAAAATAGCATGATGGGGCAGTGAGATATAAAATAATGCATGGCATACACATTGAACCAGTGTTCACTGAATAATTATTAATGCATACATATTAAGTGTAATGTATTTATAAACTAGTTCAGAATAATACACAATGAACTCAATTGTTTTTAAAATCTGGAAGGAGGCATAAAGACATGTAAGCAATATTCTTTTCTGGGTAGCAAAAATAATGGTAGTTTTTATATTCTTCCTAATTTTTTCCCAAGGGTATGCGCAACGAGAAATAGCTATGTGGTGTCCCAATAGCATATGATAGCCCTGATGCTGCACTTCAGTCCCAAGGTGGGCTGGGTAGCCAAGGACAGAGAAACTTTCATGAAACTGAATTGTCCACTAAGTTTATTCCTTTTTGGATATTAGATGCCAGATTATTTATTTGGTTTTGGAAACTAGTAACAGGATCAGCTCAGCCAAAATGGGTGCTCCTTTTCCCATGGTCCTGCAGATTCATGGCATTTTCACACCAGATCCCCAACATTTAGTTATTTAAGTGGCGTAATTTGTCAGTGCAGGTTTCTCTCCCTTAGTGTTCCCTTGACAGGTGCACTTGTGAAAGACAATAAGCTCATTTATTAAAGCCAGTCAAAGCCTTTCCACAACAACTTCCCAGAAAACAAGCAAGTAGAGGAATACCAAGAACTCCAAATTAGTGCAAATGAATCATTATGCAGGTGCATGTCCAACTCAATGTTTTTTAAATTATTAAAGCATACAGTGATGCGCATAGTCTCTATTCTCAATACAGCAACGAGAATTCTTCATACACAGCTTAGATCAGTTTATTGACTCTGTTAAAATTCTCTACCATGATTTGTAGTTACGCTACACCTGAAATCCAGAGTTCTTTCAATAGTTCAAAAGACTGTGATGTGCTTCTCTCATTCATATTGGTCACCCCTACCTCTCTAAGCTCATCTCCTTCCTCCTTGCTCACTCCACTCCAGCTACACCTCCACAACAGGTTACTTCAATGTGCCAGGTTGGCTCCCACAGAAAGTCTCTGCCTGCCTGTTAGGCTGGCTCTTTTTCCATCTTGGGTAATTTCCTCAACTTCTTCAAGATTCCACGAGGCTTGTCCTAACTGCCTTAACTCCTTTTTAAAAATTAAAAAATTTGCCATACTCCTCCACCCACCCAACTCTGATACCTTTCACTCCACTCTTTTCTCTTTTGTCAATATAGAACATTTATAACCTTGTAACATTATATAGTTTATTCATGTATTAACTTTCCTGTTTATCATCTCTCTCTCATCTTTAGAAGGTACACTCCTAGTGGGCAGATATTCTTGTATTTCCATTGTTAACTGATGTTTACCCATGTGTACATCACATCCCAGTTATCCACATACATCAGAACATCCCTGCATTCTATCAGTACTCAGCACATATAGGTTGGGTGAATGAGTGTTACCACTGGCTGATATATAAGTGTAAGCATACCTGGGCTGCACAGGCTAAATGGCCATATCATATTTAAAGTTCAATACCAGCTCTTGCCATTTCCTTCACAGCGATATCACTAGCATGCCCCAGCTATTCTTTAAATAAGTAAATACCAATATCTCTAATCTTGTGCAATCATCTCACAAGTTATAACTGTGAAATACTAGTGGTGGCTGATTTATAGCACATCCATCTTTTACAACGTTTACAAGACCGGAAGTTTGATGAAGTGATCAGTAGTTTTTGTTTCTTATCTTAGCCTAAAGCATAGTCTTTACCTCCACCACTAGTTCTGCCTTTACTCATGGTTTTGTTTCCCTAAGCCTCTGGTCTATTTTAGCAACATTGTAATCTCAGTAAAGGAACTTCTTCATCTACCCGCCCATTGTCAATTAATGATGCCTCATTAGACAAATCACTTGGAATGCTGATGAGGTTTTCCTGAACATACGGGCCCGTCTGATCGACTGTTTTACCACCTGTGGCTCTTGTGTGAACAGCCAAAGGTTAGCCCAGTTCTTGGGGGCCTCCATCATGTCAGCAAAAATTAGCAAGAAGGTGGCCAAGTTGTCAATAGAGCACAGAGACAATTAGTTAATGATTAGGGAGCCAGCACTTGAGGAATTGATAACAAAATGAGCCATCTTGGGTACAGTTTGAATACATTTAGAAAATCTATAACGGTAAAAAGTACATTAGCACAGAAAGAAAAATGATATGCTTTGAAACAAAATTTAACAAGAGAACTTACTGGTGGGCAGAAATTTGCCCAGCCTGGTATAAGGTCACGGCTATGTCAGAATAATGCACTAGCATTGATTAAATAGATTAATTATTAACCCCAACCATGCTACTTGCTTTACTTTGCATAGACTTATCTTCTGAGTTTGGATTCATCTATTTATTGATTCTTTCATTTAGCAAATAGTTATTAAGCACCCACTATGAGCCAGACACAGTATCGGGCATCAGGGAAAATAATGACAAATGCAATAGGCTTGGTCCCTTCCCTTTAATATGGGAAATTCTGGTAAAGGGGTCAGATTTTAACACATGGACACAGAGAGGGGAACATCACACACCGGGGCCTCTCGGGAAGTGGGGGACAAGGGGAGGGAGAGCATTAGGACAGATACCTAATGCATGCGGGGCTTAAAATCTAGATGACAGGTTTGATAGGTGCAGGAAAACCACCATGGCACATGTATACCTATGTAACAAACCTGCATGTTCTGCACATGTATCCCAAAACTTAAAGTAAAATAAAAAATAAAACAAAGAAACAAAATAATTCCAAATTGTGTTTAAGTGTGTTGAAAATATCTGGAATAAACTGGGGGTGAGGGAGGAGAGAGGCCCTTCAGATAGTTAGGAGAGGAGATTAATAATTGAGATTTAAAGCAAATGTTATAATACATTTTTCTCCTTAGAATATGTCAGTTCTTGGGCACCCCTCTGCAGGTAATGTGGTGTTTCTAACAGAACAGGAACTGGAGCCAGGCTGAAGGGTCCTTAACCATTCAAAGTGTCAGAAGTGGGGAAGGTAGTCAGTTTGGGTTTATCCTGCTTTATTTAAAATTCTGTTGTGGCTTTAGCCTAAGGGTGTATCTACAGTCACTGAAAATAACTGGGGTGTCTGAGGTCATTTTCCTGACAGTTTGCAAATCACTTGAACCTGCTGTTATCATTTAAACAGCAGCAGTGGGAAATCGTGCACATTCAAAGCAACACTGCATTCATGACAGGAAAAGATTTTCAAACGTGAGAAGGCATCTTACCAAGTAAAGATGCCATAGCACTCTTGGGTCACCTTGGACAAAATGCACTTTTCCTACACCAAACATTGGGTAAATTGTCAGTAAATTCAAGTCATGCAGGCACAGAGGTGAAGAATCCTAGAGCTAGAAAGATTTTTCTAGAAACAATCATCTTGAAATCATCTACTCTTTCATGATCTCACAGGGAAGACCCCAAGGCCAGATTTCCTGGAGAAGATCCAGTCTAGAGCCCAGCTCTCCTAACTCCAGGCCTGATCAGGCTCACTCCCGAGAGTCAAAGGCTGCGTATTGTATGGATGCAGAGGATAAAAGTTCAAAGTTTCCAGCTAAATGTCTGGAGAGAGAGAGAGAGAGACAGAGAGAGACAGAGAGACAGAAAGAAACAGAAGTGTTGAAAACCTGTTACATCTATAGACTTAAGTGTGTGTAATTTCATTTCAAACCAACATTGTTTCTCTAACTCACATACCCAAACCCCTGAGTGAAATATATTTCTGCCAAATTTATTTTTACTTCCCAACAGGCCCATTTATGTACAATTAAATTGATTATCCAGCCAATTCTCTTCCATATGAAAGCAGAAAACTGCTTTAGCTGGTGGTTTTCATCTGTTAATTGGATTCTTACTTGCAAAGCCACATCTTACTTTTTATTTTTTATTTTTTGCTTTTTATTTTTCATTTGGTAGAAATATGTGAAAAAGTGATGTGATTGTTTTATTAAAATAACTCATTCTCCTAAAAATAAAGCCTTTTATAATCATTTCTCTTCAATATTTTCTAAATTTCTCAGTTGACAGTGTAAATATAGACTCAAGTAAAGTCATCTGCTATTTGGATTACTAAAAAAGATGTAATTCCATTTTGGACTCCTTCTATATAATGTCAAAGCAACTGATCCAGTCAATCTTTCACTAAAATTTGTCCATTGAATCAAAGAATAATTTGATTTTATAGAGATACAACTGTAATCTTTAAAATTACTACTTGGTGTAATTCCATCGGAATTCTTGACTCCCTTTGGGTGGTATGGGAAGAATAGAAGGGGGAGGTATATTAGAGGCTGAGAGTTTTTAATCTTATCCATTCTCCATTTTTCTGTATTTTTCTTTTACGTATCTGTTATAAAAAAACAAAACAAGCTGTTTCTAATTGGAAATATGACTCTCTGAATAAAGACTACATTTCCAAGCTTTCTTTGAAGCCATATTGAGTTCCCCAGAGAAACAGAACCTAGAGCATACACACACACACACACACACACACACGTACACACACACACACAAATATATACACATATACACATATATAGGTACATACACACATATATACACACACATACATACATGTGTATATATGTGTATATACATATACCTGTACACAAATACACATACATACCTATAGGATATATATTTATATCTACCTATCTACATATGGAGAGAGAGATTTATTATAAGGAATTGGCTCACAGGATTATGGAAACTGAAATGCCTGATGATCTACCATCTGCAAGCAGAAGATCTAGAAAAGCTGGTGTTATAGATCCAGTCTTGGGTCAAAGGCCTGAGAAACAGGAGAACTGAGTATAAATTCTAGTCCAAGACCAAAAGCCTGAAAACCAGAAAGCCAATGATGTAAGTCCCAGTTTGACGGCAGGAGAAGACCAGCATCCCAGCTCGTGTACCCAGGCAGAGAGAGTGAATTCTCCTTTCCTCCGCATTTTTGTTCTGTTCAGGGCCTCAGTGGTTGGATGCTGCCCCTCCCATTGGAGAGGGTCATCTGCTTTACTCAATCTGCCAGTTCAAGTGCCAGTTGCTTCCTGAAACACCATCACATACACACCCAGAAATAATGTTTAACCCAATATGTGGGCACTCCATGATCCAGTCAAGTTAATGCATAAAATTAACCATCACAGAAGTCTTGTTAGTAAGACTTGCCCAGTGAGATACAAGTGGACACATTGAGTCTGGATTCTAAGGAGTGTCCCTGGAGCAAGGGTATATGGTCATCCCCCAACTCTTTCCCTTCAAATATAACTGTGATAGAGAGGCCTGGAGAGCTATATTAGGACATGAGTTGGTGATCACAGAACCATCTTAGTAGCCCTGGACTGCCTATATTTTCAGAAGATAAAAATATAAATTTCTATATGGTCTAAGCTATTGTTACTTTAGGTGTTCAGCTACTTGCAGTTTAATGTAGTACTAACTCTTTTATGAAAGAAAAAGAGAAGAAGGTCAGGAGAGAAAAATACATGAATGTATAGTGAACATTTACTATTGCTTTAAGTGGGTTATTGGAATTAATGATCACAGCAAACAATATGATACTATGATTACCATATTAAGAAGGAAGAAACTAACATTCAGAAAGGTTAAATGCCTTTTCTGAATTTATATAACTAGGACATGACCGAGTTTAGTTTTGACCAAGTTCACTAACTCCAAACCATTATCTATCTCATCTAGATGGGATAGCATTGCCTACTGGAACTCTATTAAAAGTTGGTTTTTACCAAGGTGGAGGGCAGAATCATTTCACAGCGCCCAGAGTCCAAAATGTATTATACCAGTGTTTAGTGTCATCAAAAGCCTAAAAAGAAGTGAAGCTTCTTATTATAAAATATTTTTACTCCTTGAGAAATTTATTTTACACACCAATAAAAATGTATACCATGTTAATTAAAAATACTAATTTCTATATTAATAAACGTCTTTTATTTCAATATCTTTTGGGGAATAAATCGAGTGAAATTTGGAAATTTCTTCTGTACGAATTACATGTAAGAATTTGTCATCTAATTACTGCATCAAAGTGACTGATTTGTGATTGTCAGATCATTGCCTTTACCTTCTTTTTAGCTTAGAAAAGATGCTTATGTTCAGAGACTTGGTTTAGGAATATTTCAAATATTTTACTTTATAGTGTAGGGATTTGCCAAGGTTTATTTTAGGTCCTTACTTTCTCTCAAGCCTTTAAAGATGACTCCTTTCCATTCGAGAGGTCTCGTCTGAATTGTCCAGCACTATTAACATACTATAATAAGAGGCTTTGACTTCATTGGGTTACAAGAGAACACGATGTATTCCAAAAGGAGCCTTCAGAAGATAGTGATACAGAGGGATACAGGATATACAGGTTATCTTCTGACCCACTTGCCTTTCCATTGATGTTCAGATACTTGGCTTTATGCCTTGGTGCTTTGACACACAAGCATCCAATTATTTTCAATTTAGATGTAGTTGTCAGCACCTTTGCTTTTCAACTCTGATCATGGGTTTCCTAAGTTTCAAAAGGAAAGTAATGTTGAAAAGAATAAGGAGAGGTTTGCAGATGTCCCTTCTTCTTCCACAAATTATAGTAGCATAAATTCTGACCACAAGGTTGAGGGGAAAGAAAGTTCACCATAGAAGCATAGCAAAGGTGCTATAGGTTCATAGAGAATGAGACAGACAATGATGTCATCCTCAGTTCCTTCCTCTCCCTGATTTTACACACCTCTCTACCATCCAACCTTGAGGCTTCATCTGAGAAACAGATTTCTAATTTCTTTTTTACTCACCAATGCCTCAGTCTTAGTCTAGAAACTTCAATAGTAAAAATGCTTAATTTTGGTGGTCAGTCCAGTGAGTGGGCACAAGATAGCCAATATTGGTTTGTGTTAGTC
This sequence comes from Homo sapiens, assembly GCF_000001405.40. Classification (NCBI taxonomy): domain Eukaryota; kingdom Metazoa; phylum Chordata; class Mammalia; order Primates; family Hominidae; genus Homo; species Homo sapiens. The sequence continues at coordinate 97,495,653 of NC_000015.10, forward strand.
ATTCATGTCTAGCATCTGTCTATTGCCTGGCTGAATGAAATGATAGGTTCAGTTTTGCAGGGTACGGTATGAAAAAGTATTTATTTCAAGTTATCATACTTAAGTTTATTCAAGGAATAGTTCAGATTTTATTGAAACCTGTGCTTTAATGGTCCAATTAGCAAAAATTGTAATATTTTCACACGAGTGAATTGAATACCACGGTGTTGCATCTTATGAGTCTTCCCCAAGGAGTCCTGGAAAGTTCAAGTATGCTGTAGGGAGAGATTTAGTAGTCCTCTACAGAATTGTGTTACCATCTCAAAAATGCTCTTTGATTTAGAACTGGCAGTTCAAGTGTGACTATAAATTGTAGAGTAAATCATGATGGGGAAGGGGAATAAATATTATACCTGAGGGTTTGCAAGACACTCTCTAGACAGTAGAAAGCTTTAAATCAGCTAGTCTTGCTTATTTTCTCTTCTCTATAGAACGTTAGCAAAAATCATGAAGTTATGATGGAGCATAGCTAAATGACTTGATGGCAATATCCACATGGCTATGTAGGAGAACTATTTGTTGTATTTATATGAAGTCTTGGATAAGAATTAGAATCTATCACTCCTTCACCAAAAAAAAAAAAATCAATTTAAATGAGTTCAAAGTAAGTAAGATTATTTTAGATAGGCTATTTTCCCAAGCTGTTGAATTGCTAAAAATGCAAATTAATATTTTCCAGTCATTAACACTGGAAGGATGTATTGTGAAAACAAGGTGTTTTAGGTTAAGTTAGAAAGCAGAGGAGGCTGATTACTCCCCTGTGATCATCCCCTATTATGATGCCAGCATCCGCTGTTATGATGCCATAACAGATATTTGTTGCTGCTTCCTGTTGAAAAGCAGGTAACTACAACTAGATTGAACTTGGCAAGTGGAAGCCCACATAGATAAACCTATGCAAAATCACTGTTCTTCTACCCTAGTCACAAGTCCATCAGACAAGGACAGCAGTGGCTGGGGGAAGGACCTGACTGACATATACAGAAGAGACCATCTATTTAAGACAAGCTCCTCTGAAGTGGATGACTTTTCATCATAATTCAAATGGAACATAAGTATCTTTACATATTGTGCCCTGAAGAAGAAACACTTCCTAGGCTTCATTGTTACCTATTTTCCAATCATTTCCTTTTAACGCCCTGACCACACAGCCAGACCTTTAGCTACTTGAAATGAATCAGTGTAGATCTGTATCTCTGGTCACTTCTCTTTGCAGAGAAAAATAAACAAAGAGGTGTACTGCTCAATGTCGCCCACTGCTAAAATATTCCTTTACCACTGCCCTTCAGCACCTCCCCTGAGTAAGGTTACAGTGCTGCAGTTGTCATTGTTTTTGGCTGGTTCCAGCATTTTACGCAGACTCTCTGTAATGAGATCTGAATATTGTTCATACTTACTCACCAGAAACCCCCCATAATGTCATAAGAGAGGTAGAGAGAGAAGGGAATATAGCAGGAGTGGAAGCTTCAGGACATACCAATGTTGAATCCTATATATATCACTTCTGTTTAATGATGGAGTACTGCTGTGCATGGCCAATTTTATGACTGTGTGGATCAGAAAATATGCAGTTTTAAATCAGTAGCCTAGGTCACCTGGCTTGGTAATACTGTCATTCATAGTCAAGTGTTTTATCTCTGCTAGGACCTAGTAATAAACAGGAGCTGTTCCTCAAAAGAAGAGTAAATACACACAGAAGATGGCAAAGTTTTGTTTCAAAATTCTGATGATTTATGTTGCATAGTGAATTGAGGGCGTTCACCTACAAAAGCTGTCAATGGCTCTGTACGACATCCCTTCTGCCAGTGACCCTTCAAAGCACCAATAGAACTGCTTTGTCATATGGGCCAAAATCCCAGAACATTTCACCTGGCAACCTGAACTTGTTAGAGGATTATCTGTTACCCTGGGCCCCACTCAAACTGGTAGTCTTATGGATTACTTGGTAAATGGGTTGGATTAACATGCCCAAATTTGGTATATGTTGCCTCCAAAATCCAAAGAAACTCATTTTTTTTTCCATTGTGCTAAGAGGACCCAAATGCAGCAATTTTCCCTTACCTTGGAAGATATATGTTTATATGCTGAGACCATTAGATTCCTAGAAATTTCACCAAGGAATTAGGACTAAATTTTTGTGGGATGTATTTTCCATGCTCTAGCACACTTGTGCCTTCCTAAGATTTCCAGTATAATTACAACTTTCTGCTTACAAGGTCCAGTCAACATAATGTTATCAATGTAGTGGGCTAATATGGGGTCTTATGTAATACAGATATGATTGAGGTCCTGTGGATTGGATCAGGGGTTAGAAAACTATAAACCATAAACCAAACCTGGCCTGTGACTTGTTTTTATAAGGCTTATGAGTTAAAAATGGTTTTTACATTTTGAAGGGTTTTTTAAAACACAAATAATAATATGGAACAGAGACTATATGGGGACTGCAAGTGTAAAATATTTACTAGCTAGTTCTCTAGTTGCTGGATAATATTACAGAGGGCTAGGTAATTAAAATAAGACGGTGTATAAGTGCATTGTTGTTCCTTCCAGATGGAAGCAAACTGCTTCTAGTAGTCTTCATTAACAGATACAGAGGGAAAAAACACATTTTACAAATCAGTAACCACATACTAGGTACAAGAAGATACATTGATTTGCTCCAGTAAATCAAGAATAACTGCAATTTAAATTATCATTAGATTAAGTCTATGATAATTTCCTAGCTTCTCTAAAATCCATATTTTGTATGCATGGTCAAATAGGCAAATCGAAAGGGAATACAATAGCAATTCACCTCTACATTCTTCAAGTGCTTCATAGCAGTACTGAATCTCTGGAATTCCTCTATAAATAAAATAATAAAATAAAAGCAATATTGCTCTTGGATTACTGTTTTGGTAGGTAGAAGCTGTACTATGGGCTTCCGTAATAGTCCTTACTAGAAAGCTCACTGAAATAATATAAAGATTTGGTGAGTTATTAAATATGCCTGTTTATGTTATTCATTTTGGAACTGAGCAAATAACAAAAGGCCAAGTTGAAGGACCCACTTGGCCTGAATCAAAATTCTGTTAATTAATTGCCTGGTCTCTATAAATCCCTAATATGATGGGTGGACAACAGCAATATCTGAGAACTCCAGAAAGAATTTATGACAGAGCCAGTACCCAGTAATCCATGAAAAGTCTGAATAAGTCCCCTTTCCCAAAGCATAGTTACCCTATTTAAGGGCTAGACGTCCCTTATGGGAATACAAGGAAGAATATTATATAAATTGCTGGCAGACTTGCAGGTTTATCTCTCATGAGGATTGGACTTTGTATCCACTTAAAGGATGCTAGCTGAGGAACCAAGACTTTCAAAATGTGGTGATTTGAGTGAAACTTCTGTTAACAAACCTAAAACTTTGCTGATTACACAAATATGGAAGGTTTTTGAAGACTCCTCATTTATTTCAGTTTTAAAGACACTGCAGTCAATTGGCCTAACAGAAAGATCTCTGAAGGTCAAACCATTCTGATTACTACTCTTGCTCTGTTGCCTATTTAGAATCACCACTTGAACTGTCTCTGGTAGTTGTCTTCCCTTGGCCCCTGTCTCCCGAGCAACCCATCTTCAAGGGTCCAGTTCTATAGCAGCATTTCCCGCTCATAATCTTGACCTAAACAGAACAGCCACCACAGAACTCTTGAAGACAATGCTTCTCTTAGCAGTGTCTCTCTCAACGCACTGAGAAATTTGTAGAGGCAGTGTTCTCTGAACTTTCCAGGGTAGCATAGCAATCTAGCTAGAGTTAAGCGAGGAACGATTACATAGAGTACACAAAGACACCCCTATCATCCTAAGCCTTGAGGAGCCTTCTCTTCAGTATGTAAAGGAGGCTCAGGATTCTTACCTACCTACTAGTAGCCTAATAGTGTTGGCTACTATTTAGTTCAGCCTCTAGTCAAGCAATTGCACAATTGAATAGAGTCGGTCCCACCTCTTGCTCTACTGCATTGAATCCAAACTCTCTACTTATTACATCTCTGTTAGTAAATATTCTCCTGGCCAAGTGAGATGGCTCATATCTGTAATCCCAACACTTCGAGAGGCTGAGGAAGGAGGATCACTTGAGCCTAGGAGCTTGAGACCAGTCTGGGCAACACGGTAAGACCCTGTCTCTAAAAAAAAAAAAAAAAAAAAAAAAAAAAAATTAAAGAAAATTTAGCTGGACATGGTGGTCCTCAACTACTCAGGGTGCTGAGGGAGGAGGATCTCATAAGCCCAGGAATTCAAGGCTGCAGTGAGCTATGATAGCACCACTGCACTCCAGACTGGACAACAGAGTGAGACCCTGTCTCAAATTAAAATAAAATAAAATACAATTTTTTTCTGATTCAATATTATATCCCTTCTAACTTGATCCAACACTTTTATGGGCCAATATCATAACTTGTCTACAGGTTTCTGTTAATCTAAATTGGCAACAACTTACAAGTCTGTTGGTGCATGTACTTATACCTCTAGGTCCTCAGGGACTGGATTATGGTTTCAGGTCCAAAAGCAATGAGAGACAGTGGGTAAATCCTGAAGATCATCAGTACCCTGAAGACGGTGACCTAAGTAAAGGTTATTACAGGTTATTCAGGAAAAATCGTCACCTCCTTGGATGGAGACAATATGGCTGCTTCTACTGGCAAAGGAGGCTTGCCAGAATTTAAAGTGTAATGTCTTCAGCTTCACTGGAATTTCCCCACATGTTTCCATCCTAAATTTATAGGTTCTCCCTCTTCCCAATGAATGCCCCAGCTTTAAGTTGAGATTCTTAAAAGTTGTGAATTTAATTTGCATTGTTATTTAGCCACCATCAGGATTAGCTTTGAGGTTTGTTTTTCAGAAATCTTACCATTGTGGCTACGGGGATAAGAGTTTATGTTAGGGCAGCCAGAAAAGCTTCTTAGCCCTTGATCTAGAAAAGAAGCTGAGAATTAAAGCCTGAACTTTTCATTTTCTTTATTCAAGTTATCCTGTGCAACCAAGACCAAGAGACATTATATTCTCTATCATCATTAAAACATTATTTGTTATTAGTTACTTGCCCAAAGCTTTGCCTTCAAAGAACACTTGCCTCCAGCTGACTATAGATGATAATCTAAAGAATGTTTTGCCAATGCATGCCAGGGACTACCAGTGTCCTGTTTATCAGTGACATCAGGTCTTCAATGCTCCTACGTCTAGTCAGATCAGAGAACCAACTCCAACTTTAAGGTTCTTCTTGGAACAATTACTGCATTAGTCATGGTCCCCTCAAGATAGTAGAGCCACTATGAGTTTTAGGAGAATAAGAGATGTGTTATAGAAACTAGACCTTACACAAATGCAGACATAGAAAAATGAAGCTCTAGAAGGGATAGTCAAAGACCAGAGAGTCACTAACAAATTTTCCTGAATTGCTGGCATGAATGAAAGATTAAAGCTTAAAGAGAAATATGAGACTTCAAGCATGTCTAGTATCCAACTGGAACCATGAAGAGGGAGTTCACAAAAGGGTTACATAGAAGTTGTGGTCTCTGTGTAGCTACTGCCTCTGCAGGCTTATGGTAAAACATCTACTGGTGGGCCTATGGTTGCAGTTGGGCCACAAAGCCAGTAGTCAAGAAGATGAGTTGGATATGAAGTGGAGGAGAGAGAGGAAAGCTGGATTCATACCCAGTGGGTGACTTTTCTCTCTTCATCTCCAGGTTGATTGAGACAACCATCTGAGAACAACAGCCACCACTTGACTTCTGCTTCTGCAGCTCAGCAAGTTCCTCTTTGATCCCTATTGTGCTAGCTCAGAACCACACAGGGGAAGTGACACTGGGATGTGCAGAGCAGATCTCAGCCACAGGTCTGCAAATTTCTAGTTGTATGTCCTTACGCAGGGCATTTCATCTTTTTAGCCCTTTCTGCTTCTGTACAATAGGAACAGTATGATGGTTCTGTTCCATGATGTGTAAAAAATAAGATGATGTTTTAATGCAAACTTATTTAAGCATATAAAGGAAAATATTTTTCTTCTACATTAATTGCCTTGTATTAACTACTATACCATGCAAGACCCACCCAGACTACCTAATTCCTAGACGATATTTTATAATAATAGATTGTATGGTATTTAGAGAACCAGCAAAGAAAATAGATAGATAGCCTTTGAAGCTAGATCTGGGTATGAATGTTGACTCAGAAACTTACTAGTCATATATCCTTGAGCAAGTTGCTACACCTCTCTGATCCTCTGCTTTTTAAAGGGAGGATAATGGAAATTGGATAACAACACCTGCTCTTTAGAACTATTCTAGGGATTAGAAATAATATACTGGCCATTTACCCATAGTTACCACTTAATAAATGTTTGTCATTATTTCCATTATTATCATTCAGACTGCAAAATACCCAGTGCAAGAATTAAACTCACTCCTACAACAGTTACCTGAGCACTTAGAAAATAAATTAAAGTTGTCCATGTGTGTCCATAGACAGGCACTGTCCTCAGAGGATTTATGGCTTATTCACCTAGCTTTGTTTTGTTTTAATTTCCAGGGCCTGGTACAGGACGTGACTCATACTAGGCCCTCAGTAACAATCAGGACTCTGGGAACTTTGGCATGTACACATAAGCTGCCATTTTCCCCGCTCTAAAGTAAACCCATCAGAGATCTTGAAAAATCTGCATTTTTCTCTTTAGAATTCTCATGTAAGATGTGAAAGATCTGATCTACAAGACTTAGAAATGGACAAAGAATTGCACACATGCACACACAAAAATCAGTGCTGGGTAGCCTGGCTCTGCAAATGGCAAAGAAGAGTGCTCACTTGTCAGTAATCATTGTTTTACATACCTTAATTCTGGAAAGGGCACTATCCCCCTGAAAGTATGCACAGGTTAGAAGACCATTCCTTTACAAAAAACCAAACACCGCATGTTCTCACTCATAGAGATGGGAATTGAACAATGAGAACACATGGACACAGGAAGGGGAACATCACACTTTGGGGACCGTTGTGGGGTGGAGGGAGCGGGGAGGGATAGCATTGCTAAATGACGAGTTAATGGGTGCAGCACACCAACATGGCACATGTATACATATGTAACAAACCTGCACATTGTGCACATGTACCCTAAAACTTAAAGTATAATAATAATAAAATTAAAAAAAAGAAGACCATTCCTTTAACTAACCAGTATCAAGTCAATTAGCTGTTAATTCATGAACATATGATTGAGCATGTCCGTGGATCACCTGGATTATGGAATGAGAGTAAAAAAGAGATCTTTGGGATCAAGGCTATGAAATTGATTCTCCTTTTAATCACAATGAGTTCCTGGGAAACATATCACAAATATTGAAAGGCATAGAAATTATTATTCTTTACTTGTTCTTGTAAAGTTTACAAGAAATGTTTTTCAAAAGCATAGTATATTCCCTCCTAAGTATCATTCAGTCTAGTAATGCATTTTACCCAATATACCTCTGAGAGTACAAAGGGTTGTGATAAGGTTGTGCTTATAGGCTATGGCAGGCCATTGATTGGATTTCTACTTAAAGTTTTTCTTTTTAAGATTCTATCTAAAGTTGAAGACTTTTATAAAGATTAGCCTTGTAAATGTTGCTGTATATTTTCTGTGATGGTATTGTTAAAGATACTATTGATTATATTATATTTCTATTTACTTAGAGACAAAATCCAAAATATGAATTTTGAAATTCTTATATCTGGATATAAATACTGACATGAATAGCAATTATATTTTCTTCCTATAGAGTGTTCTGTTAATGAAGCACTTTCCAATTTACCTACATCAGTACATTTAATTTTTCAGTAACATTTTAACAACAGTTGTATTATCTGTATTTTAGCTAACACTATGACCAGAAAGAATAAATTTCCGAAGAAAATTTAATTTACTAAAATTCCAATTAGTAAGTAGAAGAGGCAAATGACCATCCACATGGTCTGATCTCAAGGATATTTATGGGCCATCCTAGTGTTCCACTTTTAAAACCAGTGTAGTCATCGCTCAAAACAAAATCTTTGTCTTCCTTAACATTTAAGTCAGAAACCAAACTGAAACATGAAAAATGTAGATGTGAGTTGGAAGTTGGCCCTTGTTCATTCTGTTATCGTTCTCCCGGTGCTGTTAGCCTCCATTGCTCTGAGTAGGGTGCTGGAAAATAATATAAAAGTTTGTGTCTCCAACAGGCAGAAGTGCATTCTCTTTTACTTGTTCAATTAAATGATTTGACCTAGAGGCAACAAACAGGTTAAGTTTTTGGCTTTCAAAATTGGCCATGATTTTTCTTTCTATTAGGAATATTATGAGCTGCTGAAATTCCATGTAATGGATGTAAAAGTCAACAAAAAACAAAAAAAGTCCTTAACTAGCAAAGACTCTGTTTCCTGCCAAAGCAAACACTATCCCTAAAGCATCATTGAAAGGCGTTCTTATCAGAAACAGGCCAGACATATATAAAATCTAATTACGGAAGAAATATATTCTAGAGAAAAGAAATTGTGACACTGGTGAGTCATAGCCTCATGATATAGATGGGAAATGACAGTGACTCATAGCTGTTGGTATCCCGTGCTTCAAACTGGTTTTAGCTTGACTGGCCCCCACATTTGAAACATCTGCACATGACTAGAAGTCTCAATCTGCTTAAATTTCAATACGTCAGAAAACTAAATCCACCTCTACTTTGTCTTCCACCTCTATGGTTAGTTCTTCATAGTGTTCAGAAAGTTCATTTAAAAATAAAGCTAAATTTAGGTCATTCATCTGCTTACAATCTAGGAACACATCCCAAAGTCTTCCACATCCAAACATACTCTACCCTATGGGGTCCTGCCTTCTCTGACTTCACATATTATTCTCCCTACAGCACACTGCATTCTAGCTCATGGCCTTCTCTCTGGTCGGAAATAAACCAAGCTTGTTTCTATCCCATGGACTGTGTGCTGAATCCTTCCTCTGACAGGAATGCTCTCCCGCCTTCTTCCACCCCCTTTTTTTTTCTTCTTGTATTTCATTCTCAGGTTAATGTCACCTTGCCAGGGAAAACTTCTCTCATCACTCTATCCAATGTCTCCATTTTCAGAATATATACTGAATTCAAATACTTCTTCTTCTCTCTACTGTCATTTAGCAACAAACTTCTTATCATTTCTTGCTTGGATTATTGCAATAATTTCAAAACTGGATTGCCTTCTTTCAGTCTTGCCCTGCTTCCACAGTTTATAAGTATAACGTCACTGTGATCCTTTTAAAACATCACCGTCTAATTCATGTCATTTTTCCTCTTGATATATTCCAAGTGTACCCCCTGTCACATAGAACAAACATCAAAATTCTTATATTATTCTCCAGGGGCCCGGGTGGCCTGACCCATGACTCTGACATCATCTCCTACCTACATCTCTTGCCTCTGCTCAATACCCTGAAACTAGATTCCTGGCTATTTTTCTCTTTTTTTTTTTTTACATTTTTTAAATTATACTTTAAGTTCTAGGGTACATGTGCACAACGTGCAGGTTTGTTACATATGTATACATGTGCCATGTTGGTGTGCTGCACCCATTAACTCGCCATTTACATTAGGTATATCTCCTAATGCTATCCCTCCTCCCTCCCAACTAACTTCTGCCTCAGGTATTTTGCATTCTTCCCTCGAATAGCTTCACTACCCATTCTCTCACTTTCCCCCAGTCTCTGCCCAAGAAAAAGCTTAGTGAGGGCTTCCTTGATCACCCTCTAAAACACTAATAATCACTCCAGTCCCTATGTCAACACTGCGAATCTCTCTTACTATGCTTGGCTTTTTAACTTTGCACTGATCACTATCTGCCGTATTCTACATTTAGCAACTTATTTAATTACTATTTATTGTCTATCTTTCTGCAGCTAGAATATAAGCTCTATGAGGGCAAGGACTTTGAAGTTTTTGGTGCACTGTTCTCCCCCTGGTTTCTAGAACTGTGTCTAGTACTCCATAGGCACTCAAATATTTGTTGAGTGAATATTGTATGATGGAGTCTTTTTCTCTTTACTAATCTAATCCTCCTCTAGTCATTCATTGCAACAACAAAACTTCCAGCTGAAAATATTCAAAATCTCGTGATAGTCTCTCCTCCTGTAATTGCCTTGAAGTCTTCTTAGCACCCAAGACCTTAGATTCCCTTCCCTTTACCACAACGTCATTGCAAACATTTCCTTAGTATTATTTCTGACTTATAATTCTAGGCCAGCTGGCCTTTACTACTAACTCATTCTGTTGCTATTACATGATTTTATGGACACCCATCAATCCATCTTCTTGTGTACTGTTCGAGTATATTTCTAACCATGTGACTCCTTGGCTTGAGAACCTTAAATTACTCACTACTGAAGGCACTGCTTCTTAAATATTTTATAGTAAAGTAGTAGCTTCTCCCCCAATTTACCTCAGATTGATATTTGTGTAAAACATAATTAAAAATAAATGAAAAATGGGAGCTACAAATGGAGTTCAAGTTTATTGTTAGATTTGGCAGATATAAAATTATACTTTAATTACTATACTCAGGATAAAATAATGGAAAACAAAAGAATTTGAATGGCTTTAGTCACTGAAAATATAAGTACAGACAATATACAGAGAAAATCTTTATTGTACTCATAATTTTCTGTTGTTCTGTAATCAAAAATTAAAAAAAAACTAAAGAAAATAGCTAATCCCCATATTGAATGCTTATAAGTATATTTTGAACCAATACTCATATATGTCCATGTGTAAATCATAATTGTGAAAAATTTGCTTGCTTTTGCTTGTTAACTCATGTAATCTATATTGAATTGTGGCAGCCCTACCTGTGGTTGATAATGTATACCTGAATTGTTTCCAAGTTTTTTTTCTAACAATACTCAAAGGAGAGAAAGCAATCTTACAGTATGTTATGAGACTAGAAGAGGAGATTTTAAAGCAAGCTCAGAAAATTCTTTTATTTTCTTTTATTCATACTGAAGCAAATAATGGTATATTATAAAATTTTATTTTTAATTCTTCATTGGTAGCAAGTTCCAATCTTCTAATGTCCTACATAAATCTGAGTTTTGATTGAAAAGATGAAGCTTGTATCCCTAAATTTCCTATGTGTCATTCAACTTTTGATAGAAAGTAAAAATTTTAAACTGTCCACCAACTTGTAGTTTGTACTATTATGACCTTTTATAAATGTGCAAGATCAAGACCATCAACTTTTTATTAAAAATCATTGTTAAATTATGAAATATGTTAAAACAATCTGTAGAAACTCTGTTCTTACAAGGTTCTAATATTTGCTTTTGCCCTTCAATTTTACCTTCTATTTGCGTGGGAACATTACTATTAATTTAAAATACCAAAGATATGACAGAAACAAGCAGGTCTGGTTGTCCAATTAGCATCTTTTAAAAAGTTGGGTCCAAACTGGTGACTTCTCTTACAGAAACACTAATAATTAATCTTCCAGTTTAGACTTTTGAAACAAAGATTTTTCTCTTCAAAATCTGTACCTCAGCAAAAAAATCATTGTTCATGATCAGTTTCCATATTATCCCATAAAATGAAAACACTTTGAAATGCAATACACTAGGCTTTGTGTAATTCACAATTTTTACCAAGTTACTAAGTCACTGTTTAGTTCAGCTGACATCGTTTTTCATATCAAAACATTCTCAGTGAAGGAAGCAGTTTATTGATTTATTTTCTGGTTCAAGTACCTTAATCTAGGTAACACCTTAATAATGTTTTCCACCTGGGCGTGGTGGCTCATGCCTGTAATCCCAGCACTTTGGGAGGCCAAGGAGGGTGGATCACTTGAGGTCAGAGTTCGAGACGAGCCTGGCCAACATGATGAAACCACATTTCTACTAAAAATATAAAACTTAGCTGTGCGTGGTGGCGCATGCCTATAGTGCCAGCTACTAGAGAGGCTGAGGCACGAGAATCGTTTGAACCCAGTGGGTGGAGGCTGGAGTGAGCCGAGATGGTGCCATTGCACTTCAGCCTGGGCAACAGAGCGAGACCCTGCCTCAAAAAATAAAAAATAATATTTACCTTGCATTGCAGCTGTGCCATCAAATGAATATACTCATATACAAAATAGGCATGTAACCACATTTACTGATATGAATCATGAGCTTGGACATTGAGGCAATATGAACTTACTGTAAAACTTTATGAATAATTATTTTCATTGGCTACTACTTATTTAATCAGAGACTGTTGACCTGGAGTCCAGTTTGCACACACTTGGAGCAGCACTGTTCTCGGCACTATTCACAATAGCAAAGACTTGGAACAAACCCAAATGTCCAACAATGATAGACCGGATTAAGATAATGTGGCACATATACACCATGGAATACTATGAGGCCATAAAAAACGATGAGTTCATGTCCTTTGTAGGGACATGGATGAAGCTGGAAACCATCATTCTCAGCAAACTATGGCAAGGACAAAAAACCAAACACCTCATGTTCTCACTTATAGGTGGGAATTGAACAATGAGAACACATGGACACAGGAAGGGGAACATCACAAACTGGGGCCTGTTGTGGGGTAGGGGGATGGGGGAGGGATAGCATCAGGAGATATACCTAATGCTAAATGACGAGTTAATGGGTGCAGCACACCAACATGGCACATGTATACATACATAACTAACCTGCACGTTGTGCACATGTACCCTAAAACTTAAAGTATAATAATAAAAAATTTAAAAAAGGCCAATTTTGGACCTTCTCTTTTTTCTCACCCAAATACCTTTTCTCCCTCCCTATTCACTCTTTAGTACCTTGCTTCGTGTTTCACCAGGAAAACTGAAACGACAGAAGATAATTTCCGTCTTCCACTATGACATGCACCATTTATCAGTGTCAGCCTCCGTGCTCTCACACTTGGCTTGTTACTCTCACCCAAGACAATCCCTGCACTAGCACTCTAGATACCATCCCCTCTTGCCTACTCAAGAACGTCCCCCCAGCAATTCTCCCCTCTGTCCTACTCCAAATTTTTGCTCTCTATTGGATTTTTTCACATCATATAGAATCTGTTATTTCTCTCATTTGAAAGATCACACACACACAAACATACGCTTATGTCCTTGTCTTCACTTCTTCCTCCAATATTGGCTTCATTTATTTGCTTCTCTTCACAGTAAAAGTGCTTAGAAGAGTTGTCTATATGCATCGCCTTCCATCAATCTCTTGCTACTCTCTTTGAAGACTCTCCAACCAGGCTTTTCACTGCACATCTCCAGAAGAACTGCTCTCACCAAGTTCACCAATGACCGTCATACTGCTAGATTCAGTAGACATTTCTCAGACTTCATCTACTTGGAGGCCCAATTTGCATTATTATTTTTTTGATATGCTTTTCTGTTCATTCTCACTCCCTTGGTTGTCTCGTTCTGGTTCAATGTTTTAATACTCCCTTGTATGTCGATGACTTGTGTTGTTACACCTTGTGTTGTTATCCCTACCCTACTTGCCGCCCCACTATAATGTCTAACTATAATGTCTAACACCCAGACCTGGTATCAGAGTATTGCAACACCATTCATCCTATTGCTCAGGTCAAAAGTTTCCTTTAGATCTTTTTTCTCATATTCCACATCCAATTCCTCAGCAAGTTCTGGGTGTTTTGTGTATAAAGATATCCAGAAAGTATATGTGGATGTACATTCTCACCACTTCTGCCTCAACCATGATGATTCTCACCACATCGACCTCTCACCACATTCTCACCACATTCATCGACCTCAACCATGATGACTGCTCACTTGGGTTACCACAACAACATCCTAAGGTACAACCTCCATGTTTGTACCTTTGCTCTCCTCTGCAGCCCATTATCAATATACATTCAAAATGATTCTTTAAAAATACAAACCAGTTCATATTACTCCTCTTTCCAAAACCCTCAAATATCCCCTTATTTCACTCAGAGTAAAATTCTTGGACCTTAAAATAGATCTCTGCACTGTCTCTTACCTCCCTGACCATGTATTTTCCTTCTCCTCCCCTCAGGTCTCAAGCCCTTGCAGCCTCACCAACCACATACCAGCCATGTCCTCTCTTTGGATAATTTTCTGTTTCCTCCTCCTGAAATGCTTCTCCTTCAAATTGTTGTTGTTGTGTTAATTCTTTTGCTTTCTTCAAGTCTTACCTCAAATATTATCTTCTTAACAAAGCTATTTCGACCAACTGATTAAATATTGCAACTTCTCCTTCCTTCCCAGGCATCCTACTCACAGTTACTATATAAATGTGTATATTTATTATATTTATTATTTATTGTTTGTCTTCACCCAAATAGAATGTAAACTCCCCCAGGGCAAGGATTCTTTCTCTTTTCATTCTGTGACAAATTTCAAGTGCCTAAAATAGGGTCTGTTACATAGTAGAACTCCATGAATATCAGTCGGATTAATAAAGGAACTAATGATGGAGAAGTTATTTCCTTACATGAAACTTATACTTGAAAGGGTCCACGAATTCTCAGAAAAATAATTGAAAGGACCAACAAATTCTTAGAAAAATAAATAGGACAAGACCACACCTAAGATATTAATTGTGAGATTTAAGAACACAAGGGATAATGAGAAAAACATAATTTACCTATGGTTAATTGGATGCCATGGAGAATGGAAAGCTTATCAACCTTGGCAATGTTAAAGTAAAAATAAGAGCATAGATTCTCAGAGGTGAAGGGGCATGGCAAGGGAAAGGTATGAGTTACAAATTAGGGAGTCAAGAAGATAGTAAATAGGGAAAATATAACAGGTAATGAATAAATAAATAAGGCCCAAATACAGCCTATCAATAAATAGTCACTAAAAATATAATTTAAATATATAGCCATGACCTCTGAAAGAACTAACATGGTAAATGACAAGAAAAAGGGCTGCCTTTTGGGGACAGCATCAGGGATGAACCAGCGCTGCCTCATTTTAGACATAGGGACTGATAGGAGCTTTTAAGAGCTGTTGTGCATTTGAACTACCCCTTTAATAGCAGCCGTTATATGAAAGGGGCCTTTGGCACTGCTAGAACCAAAAGAAATGTGAAACTCCTTGACTTGCAAGACTTTCTCTACAATATAATTTAATCACATACCTTAACATACATTTTGTAAATTAGGTTTAACACTATATAATAATTCTTTGAATTACAGGCATTATTCCCTCTTGAGTACATACATCAGTCATTAGCCTCTTCTTTAGCCCCTCTAGAATTATGGGGTGTTAACTATCATCCAAGACATATATTTTACCTCACAGGACTAGGCTCCATTACTGGAATCACCTAGGTGCTTGATAAATGTGTTCCACAAATTAATTTTTTTAATGTTCCATGTTTTTTTTTTTCAAAATTCTCAAAAATTTTCTCTAATTCCTCTATAAAAAAATACACACATGAATATGCATGCATGTGTGCAATCATGTCTCTTATCTTCTCTCCAGCTACACTATCAACCCCATACCTGGGACACCTTCATTTTTATAAGCTGTCTTGCATATAATGCAAGTTGGTAAATATCTGATTACCAAAGGCGTTACGTGAAGTTGATAAATATCTGTTAAGTGAACGGATGATAAATAAATCGGTTGTGTCAGTACCTGACAGTGGACCATTTTCTATGGTTTCTGTTGATAGAAATGTTTATTTGCCTAATGGAGACTGCAAGTGACAAAGGACAATTCCATTTTGATTTAGAAAGTCCATGTTCATAAATTTGAAAAAATGAAATAACCAGGACAGACTTCAGAATAATTTTGCCATAATGATAATAACAATGATAATGGTAATGACAACAATAGCTCCCCATTAGCAAGCAAGCATATACTCTGTGTTAGGCATGGTTCTGAGCTCTGTCATTCAAATCTAACTAATCCATTCAACTCTCACCATCATCTTATGAGGCAGTGAATATTACTGAATGGTCTTCCTCACATTACAAAGGGGGAAGATGTTAAGAAGCTTGACCAAAGTCCCCTAGCTCTGATATGGCAGAGCTACACATTGACTCCAGGCAATCTGACCACACTGAGTGAAATATCAGGCTTTACATAAAATAATCCTGGGAAACTTGTCCTTTTCTTAGCAGATTAATCCTTTATTTTGGACATGTGCATGCTAGGAACTTCCAAATTAATATATCTAATTAAGCTACTCTTTAATAGGAACCTCTAATTGAAAAGGTCCTTTCGCTCTACTGTGACGAATGGAAGTGTGGGTCTGTGGAACTCCAGAAAACAGAGAGCCCCACTCAAAAGCATGATGTTAAGCCCTACTGAGAAAACTACCAGCCCTTAGTGTCAGGGGAATCAACATCATCTTCTACACTCCCTGCAAAATGTGATTTTGAAGAGTCTGCTAACATATTTTTCGCAACACCACAATCCCCATTAATAGAATATTGAAATACCTATTATATACATCTATCTATGATTTTTCTATTA